>NC_000004.12:68921381-70171381 GCF_000001405.40 Homo sapiens | reverse complement strand
GCCTATGGTAAAATTGGTTTTGTTATACGTCCTCTTGCTCAAAGTCAGTTTCCAAGAATATAATCAAGACATTAAGTGAGGACTTGCTATATATTATTAGCTGACACTGAAATTTTGTGTTAAAGTATGTTGAAATCCCCTTGAACTATTTTCTTTTAAATTTTATTTATGTATTTATTTTAGAGACTAGGTCTTGCTCTGTTGTCCAGGCTGAGTGCAGTAGAATGATCATAGCTCACTACAACCTCAAACTCCTGGACTCAAGCCATCCTCCCGCCTCTGTCTCCCTAGTAGCTATGTCTACAGGCATGTGCTACCATGCCTTGCTATTTTTTTTTTAATTTTTATAGAGACAGAGTCTCACTATTTTGCCCAGGCTAGTCTTGAACTCCTGGCCTCAAGGGACCCTCCCACCTTGGCCTTCCAAAGAGCTGGGATTATAGGCATGAACCACTGCACGTGGTTCCCCCAAACTTTTTCATAGCACTATGTTTTAGGAGTATTTTTTAAGCACCTGTTTTATCTTAATTTTGAATTTTTAAATTTACTTATTTTCTGCTTAATGCCATCTTCATGTAATTTCAGTGGGAGTAGGCTCCTTGCTATTGTCTGTGCTTAAGTTCCCAGTATGTAGAAAAGCTCTTGGCACAGGGGAAATGAAAAAGCTCTTTGCTGAAAGAATATCTTTGGAGCAGAGCTCAAGGAATAGCACGGTGAGGTCTGATTCCTTTATATATATTACTTAAGTCTATGATTTTTGATTTTGAGTCTTTTATTTTGCAGGATAAATTAGTTATTTTTTGATGAGTGGTAAGGGGTGTGATACCATTGGTAACACACATTTGGTAAAAACAGAGACTTAACAGTTAGCCAAGTCAAAGGAAAAATAACCTTGACTGTTATAGGTGAGTCTTAGAAAAATGAAATAAAAGGTAGCAATAAATTATATGCTTGCAAGAGAGATTTGTTAGTAAAAGCAAAGCAGTTAACATCCCAAAGTCATTTGTTATTCATTTCTGTTAGTGTACATGATGTAATCCACAGATGCTATCATAGTAGGACCAAACTTCTGAGTAAGGAGTATTGAGTAAGATTTTGATTTGTTAGAAGTATACAAGTCAGTATTTTGTAGGGAGATGTTTCAGGATTCAAAAATTTGAATATATACGATATATAATGACTCAAAATTTAAAGTAAAAGTTTCATTAATTTGATTTGATTGCCCTCCAAATTATCTCCACCCTCCTCCCCACACACCCACACTATTACTAATAGACACAATACTATTGTAGAGAGAGTAAGTGCTACACTTTCTCCTTTGTATTTCCCAGACTTCCTGGCAGGTAGTGTGAAGGCATATGTCTAGTTCTGGCCAATGGGCTGTGATAAGTTGTGTGTGCCATTCAATTGCCATTGAATACAGCAATTCAATAAGAATTGGTATTTTCCCCTATCTCTCTCTTACTCTGATATGGAACTTTGGAGGTGATGTGTTCAAGAGGTAGCACATGAAATTCATACATTATACCTGCATTAGAATATGAAGTGATGTGAAGAAGAAATAATCTTATATCATATATGACACAATATTTTGAGAACTATCTATTACCATAGCATGAGGAATCTATACAAATAATACAGTGATTATTGATTTATGTCTGAATAATGGTACATTTGACAAATGCATGTACACAGAATTCTTAAAATGAGATACTAAGAAAAATAAGCGTGTTACCCCTGGAAAGCATAATGCTGATATGCAATTTTATAATACCAGGTCACTTTCATGAACTAGACATTTACTTGTTTATTTGTTGCAAATATATTATCTCACTTATTACTCCATAATCTAGTAACACAAAGAGAAAATTTGGGTACCTCAACGACATCAGCTACTGCAAGCATTTAGCAGTTTCTGTCACCTGCTAACAACGTGATTTCAGGCAAATTAGCCCTTTGCATCTCATAAATAAAATGAGATGGACAATACTAATGACTCTTGTAAAAATTATATAAGTGTTAGTTCAGATAAGAATGCCTAGAAAACAGTAGAAAATTAATATTTGCTTTTGAGAGTTTATTTCTGCTGATCGGTAGAAGGGAAAGTTGATGCTAATATGTATCTGAAAGCATGCTGAATCTGGAATTTCATTTTTATTTATGTGTTAGATTAAAGAGCTAGGATAAAAATGACTATTCTTTCATTCTTAATTATCTTTTTTATGGTTTTATTTATGTAATAAAGAGTTTTATTAGAAGAGAAACTGCTGATTTTTTTTAAATCTTGGAACAATAATAATTATATTTATCACATGCTTACTGTTTTACTTAATTTCATATGATACTTAAAATTCTATTGGTCTATACTAGTGTTATCTCCACTTTACAGATGAGAAAATGAAGGCATATGGAAAGTCAGCAATTTCCTTGGATGACCTTTGCTACTAAGTGTTGATCCTGGGGTATGGGCCCACTTGATCTGACTGCGGCATCTGGTATTTTGTATCCACAAAATTCTATTGCCTACCACAATTATTTTGTCTGAATTTAATACTGTATTTATCAGAAAATTATTCCAGAGTGATCCATCACATTCACAGGTAAATTTTAAGTTACCTTGTATTTATTAAAAAGATGATTAAAAAATGAAGATCTGTTGTATGCCAGAGGATTCAGTGAATTTTCTTCTGAAGGTAGGTGTTCAAAATGATCATCACTTAAATCAAGGTCACTTAAGTTCTAAGGATAAAATAGGCAAATGAGAAACAAAATGCCTGTGTTGATGATGAGAATGGCATTCTGACTCCTGCCTTGCTGATTTCAGTTCTGGAAGAATGTTTTGAATATATTCTTTCAATGCTCACCAGGATTTGCTACCAGTTCTTTTTTACATGAAGACGTGCTAAGTTTTTCATATAACCTTCCTTGCTTTACTCAGATCCCTTTATATGTTCTATAGGCAGTGGGTAAGCAGGATAAAAACTCCCACCCTGACTTTTCCAGAAATTGGTAAGTGATGAAGACTGTGGATGAAGAAATTCTTTTTTTTTAACAGTATTAACACTAAATTTTATTTATTTATTTTTTCTTTTTTTATTATTATTATACTTTAGGTTTTAGGGTACATGTGCACATTGTGCAGGTTAGTTACATATGTATACATGTGCCATGCTGGTGCGCTGTACCCACTAACTCGTCATCTAGTACTAGGTATATCTCCTGATGCTATCCCTCCCCCCTCCCCCCACCCCACAACAGTCCCCAGAGTGTGATGTTCCCGTTCCTGTGTCTGTGTGTTCTCATTGTTCAATTCCCACCTATGAGTGAGAATATGCGGTGTTTGGTTTTTTGTTCTTGCGATAGTTTACTGAGAATGATGATTTCCAATTTCATCCATGTCCCTACAAAGGACATGAACTCATCATTTTTTATGGCTGCATTAGTATTCCATGGTGTATACGTGCCACATTTTCTTAATCCAGTCTATCATTGTTGGACATTTGGGTTGGTTCCAAGTCTTTGCTATTGTGAATAATGCCGCAATAAACATACGTGTGCATGTGTCTTTATAGCAGCATGATTTATAGTCTTTTGGGTATATACCCAGTAATGAGATGGCTGGGTCAAATGGTATTTCTAGTTCTAGATCCCTGAGGAATCGCCACACTGACTTCCACAATGTTTGAACTAGTTTACAGTCCCACCAACAGTGTAGTAGTGTTCCTATTTCTCCACATCCTCTCCAGCACCTGTTGTTTCCTGACTTTTTAATGATTGCCATTCTAACTGGTGCGAGATAGTATCTCATTGTGGTTTTGATTTGCATTTCTCTGATGGCCAGTGATGGTGAGCATTTTTTCATGTGTTTTTTGGCTGCATGAAACAGTATCTCCTATCCCTACTGAAGAATCTCTCAACTCCTCTGATACCTCTCAGAATGTTTCATGGCACTAGGTAATATATAATAATGGTATAATTGCAGAAACATCCTTGGAATAGAAATTTCTTTTTTAAATGAGGAAAGTCACTAATTATCCCTGTAACTAAAATGTAGGATATCCATGCACTTGCTTTGGAAAGGATGTCTGTATTGTTTTATACTTCTTATTGTATTTTATAATAACTTCATAGATTCATTTTAGGCTAAATAATTCTTGTAGAGGAATATATTTCCTTGTGCAGATCTGTACAAAGATTACATGACAGAAGATGTCTTCTCACTGGATTGCCACAGCAAAAGTGGAGAAGTTTGGTACTTTAAAATATCACTGGTGTATTTCTACACTGCATGTACCATTGGTCCATTATCTGGTTATATAATAAAAATAAGTAAATTAACATTTCAATCAAGGAAAAGCATCAAAACATGAAGGTAGGATTTAGCATTCATGTTGCCCTTTTACACACTCTGATTTAAATTCCAGCCCTTAAGTTACAGGAATTTACTTATTGTATTTTCTCTAGATACAGCTTAATAAGAAATGGAGGACGCTATTTTCTTACTTTATATTAAAAATTTTAAAGTTAATGAAGATACTGTTAATATTACCTTAAATTTTTTGATAGTGACCATAATTATTACACCAATTTTCATAAAATAATTTTTGAGAGTTAAGAATTGGGATACACACATGTGGAATTAAAAAACATAAAGCATTAAAACATACTTAAATGTAAGAATGTTATGGTGCTACCTCTTCACTGAATGAATCACAGTTGCATCAAACATCTCCCCACTAAAAACAAGAAAAAAAGTGACTTACTTCAGTTAGTTATTTCAATAATATTTTAATAATGTTTGCTATTAGAATCCATGGTTATTCGTATTCAAAATGGTTAGAGAAAATGTTCTTATTGGTGTCATACTCATATATGGATTTTGTAACTTATCGACATATGTAGTCATTTAAAAAAGATTATCCATTGTGATATTGGTGGAAAATAGTATTTTCTCTTATAATTTTTTATTTCAGTTTTGGGTTAAGATTTTTACTATGCATGCACATGCACACATATATACATACACACATATATGCATGTGATAATATAAATAATGAAAAGTTTTATTCAGGCTACTTGCAAAGGTCTGAGATAAGGCCTATAATTAACTTAAATTAGTCTATAAGTTCTATAGCATAATGTAGGAAATATAGTTTACTTTTTAGTCAAATAAAATGTGATATATTTGATCTTTCATGGCAAACATCAATTAAAGTGAAACTATGAATACATTCAAAAATGTGAAAAGTCTCAGAAATATAAATGTTGAGTAAAAATAGTAAATTGTGAAATGACATACCATTTATTATATGTCTTGTTTATATACATTTTTAAAACTCATAAAACTCTTTTATATATTAAGTGCCACATAAATGCATACTAAAATTTTAGAAAAAAGCCAGGGAATTATACACACAAACTTATACCTCTTTGAGGTCCTGACTTTCTGGCCACAAAAGAAAGAAATAGAAGAAAGGATGTATAGTGGGCCATCTGGCAATCACTGGAGAAGTATAGTGGTTGTTGCAGTTGATACCAGTGTGAAGGTGTGAACATTTCTTAATCGTAAATGCGAATAGTTACCTGTCTGTAGAAAGTAGCACTGAATAAGAATCAGTCACCTTCTGTAAGCAATGACATTATATCATTTTCCAGTGGCTAAAGGGAACGCTATACAGTAAAGAATTATGTAAGATGGATATAAACACACATACAAAACTCTGCAAATGTATCTTAATATCGATCAAAAGATATGACTCAAAATAATTTCGCAGTAGCATTTTTCTATAAAAAGCTCAAAAATAGGCAAAAGTGAACAATATTATTTTATAGAATACATTAGAGGTGGAAAAATCATTTTTAAAAGTAGAATGAATTACCCTAATCCACTAAGTAGTTTTTAACTCTACAGATAAGGAAGAAGGTGGATTCATAAAGCGACATTAAACAATACATGCAGTGATGGAAATGTTTTATAATTTAGTGTGAAATTTCCAGATGGTGGTGGTTACATGTATGTTTTCTTTTGGATTATTTATGATAATACAAACTTGTATGTAGTATTTTGAATGTGTCATAGACCTTACCAAAAATAGTCTTTAAAATGTATAATTAACAACATTTTTGACTAATTGAATGCAATAAATGGAAGACAAAGTAATTGAGGAAGTTCCCAATCTTCTGGTTTGGATGACTTTTCTGTGTCTCAAAGCTGATGCCTGTTTACTAACAACAGTTTGTTTTCCACAGTGGAAATTACCTCAATTCAAATGTTAGTGTTTACCTTTCACTCAATCTAACTCATCTCAATGTAGTCAGGAGGAAAAAAATGAACACTAAAAACAAAATATTATTGTAGTGATAGACTTAAATTTCATACTTTCACAACTGACAGAGCAGAACATTTCACAGTATCTTGTAGTAAAAGCAAAAACTGTAAATGTTTCTCATGATAAGATGTCATGTTTATTTTTAAAATTCCAAAATTTTCTTGGAATAAATTCTTTCTTTTACCCCATGAAAAACTTAACAAATGACTACATTCTAAATGTGATACTAAACACCACATAATGTACCATTAGCAATTATAATTTGCTAAGACTTTGTAGCCTCTTGATATTTCTATTTCGGTTCATCTTCATCTTTCTGTTGTTTCTTATACAGTCATATTTACAAATTCTTCTTTAAGTCTTCAATTCACACAAAAAGCCTGAATTTTGACAACATAATCATTAAAATTGACTATCATGTATGATTACAAATTTATCATTAAATATTTAGAAGTGAATATTGCATGTATCTGTGAAAGACAGATACTATAATAGTTTCAGATTATTGGCTAAGTCAAATTAAAGTTAGATCCTACTTGGCTCTAGAAGATGGAAGCAAACATCTCAAGTTAACAATTTTACTGTCTAAGAAAGTTTCTCATTTTTTGAGACCATGTCCTCATGGCTATACATAACAGTAATATTCTGATCCAATGTAGGATATAGGGAAAAATACAAAATTATTTCAAAATAAAAATATGTTGAATGTTTGTAAAAATTTTTTCTTCCTTCATTCTTTGTTTGTTACTTCATTCTTTCTTCTTTTCTTTCCTTCCAAAAATATTCACTGGTCACTGAATATGTCCCAGGCATTGTTATAGGCCCTGATAAAGTGCTGAATAAGACACAGAAATGCCTGTTTTTATGGAGCATATATTTTTGTGGAGATAAGATGAGGGCAACAACAAAGACAATACACAAATAAATAAAAAGGTAAAAAGCAGTAATAGTAACTTCTACAAGGAAAAGAAGTCAGTAATAGAACAAAAAGCACTGGGTTGCAGAAGAGGGATTTATTTAGATAGAGTGCTCAGGGAAGAGTATTCTGAAGCAGGATTTCTATATGAGACCCCCGAAGTAGAAAAGCAGTTAGTCATTCATACATCAGGGCAAAGGTTCTTGGATAAGATCAAAACCAACATATTTGAAAAAGGAAAAAAAAAAAAAAGCTGCTGCATGAGGAGCATGGGGCAAGATGGAGAATGATAGGGAATGAAGTTAGAAAAGTCATTAGTTAGACAAGGTAAGTCTTGTGTCCTTGGAGAGGTGTTTAGAATATATTCCATTTTAAAAGAGAAAGTATCAGAGGCTTTTCAGAGATCTTATCTGAATAATGTTTGGTTTAACATCTGATTGTGACTGCTCAGTGGATAATGCATGTGTGTATGTGATCAGGGTGGAGGAAAAGTGGAAGCAGGTAGACTGGTTAATAGGCTATTCTGGCAGGGCACGGTGGCTCACGCCTGTATTCCCAGCACTTTGGGAGGCCGAGGCGGACAGATCATGAGGTCAGGAGATCAAGACCATCCTGGCCAACATAGGGAACCCCTGTCTGTACTAAATTACAAAAAATTAGCCAGGCGTGGTGGCACACACCTGTAATCCCGGCTACTCAGGAGGCTGAGGCAGGAGAATCACTTGAACCCGGGAGGTGGAAGTTGCAGTGAGCTGAGTTGGCACCATTGCACTACAGCCGTGCAACAGTGTGAGACTTCGTCTCAAAAAAAAAAAAAAAAAAAGAGGCTATTCCTCCATTTCTGTTAGGGATGACAATAGCTAGAGTTGGCTAGATGCAGTGGAGAAGGTTAGAAGTATTAGGATTTGGGGGTATATTTTTTGAAGTAAATCAAATGACAATTGGTGATGAATTGATTGTGTGCTGGCATAAAAGAGAAATGAAAAACTGTAGATGTCACATTTGAACTGTCCATTAAGTCATGGATAGCATAGTTCATTAACATGTTGTTTACCATAGGTTAAACACAGATGTTTTACTGTTTTGTGACAAAAAGTTCATTGACTACAAAATATGTTTGTTTAGGAAAAAACCTATTGCACTCAAAACCAATACTAACATCATCCTATAGTAGCTGTATAATCAGACTCCAGGCTAGGCTGAATGATTGCCATTTCAGTCCTCCATAGCGTAGTTTTCATCCAGACCTTATCACCATTGGTCTAAATTATCTATTTTATTTATTTAATTATCAATGTTTTTTCAATATAAATTAAGTCCAAGGAAAAACTACCACAAACAAATCAATGTAGTGAGATGAATACTCTGAATACAACAGAATGAAATAGTCTTTGGAAAAGAAAGAAAACTTTTGTAGATTTCACTTATTTCTGCATCAGTATCTGAAAGAAGAAAATAACATTGGTTCAGTATAATAAAATGACCAAATGACTCACACTTAAAGCAAAATTATTTTTCTTGATTTATGATTTTAATGTTATTTCAAAAAGACCATAATGAATGGTTATCTACAAATTCATGCTATTTGGCAAAATACTAAATACAAATGCTACAGAATATATGAAACTATTATGTGTATCTAATATCTTGAACTAATTCACTAGCCAATTGTTCATTTAACATAAAAGTAAAATAAATGAAAACCAAAGAATATAGCAATAGTCAAGGTTTAACTAAAAATGGATATCTTTTAGTTTCTTTGGCAATGGCTGCTGTAAAGAGGTATCACCAACAATAATAAATACCATCACATTTGCTTTTCAATTCTACTTTAGCTAGTGATGTCACCTCAGAAATAACTTTGATTTGGCTGACAGTCAAAGCCTTGTCATTTACCTGTCTGGTAAACATTAAAATTGGAACATCTTTGAGAAGGGATGAAGGAGAAGAACCTGAAATTAAGATGGCCAAGTTTCTTGCTTATCCCCTGATCAGATGACTAAGACACAGTGAGTCCAGTTGAGCTGTTTGTTTGTGCCTTTGGGTGGTACAATGTAGGGACAGGGAGACTTCAGGTCTAAATTGTTTGTTTTCTAAAACAGTAGTTCTTAATATGGGGTAGGATGGTGGCTGAAGGGATAGCATACAGAATAATCTGTAAGAACTTAAACAATGCCTCTTTCTATGTATAGTCCAACCCTCTTTTCCCACGTTAAAGGTTTTTACCTATATTAACTACTGTTAATTTAAAATCTTCAAGTCATAATCAATTTGGATCAATTTAAGGAGGAACTCGCTATTTGTTCAAAAGTAGCCTGAGTTCCTTACGCAAGACATGAGTTAATAGTTTGAAAGGTTCTGAGGCACAAACTACCAGTGCTTCTCTAAGCTCCACTTTCTCATTTTCATGTAGTAAAAAATATAATACATTCCAAGGTAGCTTCAGATTATGAGATTTAACCTCTTTATCTATAATTTCTAAATTATATTATCACATATGACTTACAGAAATGAACCCATGGTACTCTTCTAGAGAATTTCACTGATTTGCCTAGAAAACATTAAAAAAAAGATCTTTTCATAAACAATCAAATGTACTTTATTTCATAGTATTGGGCCTATCTTTTCTAAATAACCTTTCTTCTCTGAGAAGTTGTGTTTTGCTGATCTCTTCTTAACATGTTTAAAATATTCTATACTGCTACTAGATTTAGCTTTCTGAAACAGAGAACTGGTTGAATCACTCCTCTCAGTGAAGGTCCCTAATAAATTGCTTTGGCTACAGGATGAAGTCCAAGGTATTGAGCAGTGTTTTCAAGGTCCCTTCTTATCAGGTTCTATTTCTTTTTATCTTCACTTTCTATCATTTCCTTCTACTGTCATGTGAACCATGAGCTACAGGTATATATATATATATATATATATATATGTATACGTGTATATATATGTATGTGTGTATATATATATATATATATATATACAGTGTTCATAATACCCCAGCAGATGGAAAGTGCTTGTGTCAAATCTACTGAATGAACATATTTAATGTGTGAAGCATTGGAAGCATTGGAGAACAAGCCTGGCTCATCATACCTCTCTAGAGAAGCTGCAAACACCATTGAATGTAACCCCTTGGTGAATATCTTAAAAGAAAAAGAGTTCTTATCTCCTTCTAGGTAACAACTACTAGAGCTTTCCAAGTGGTGGCAATGTGCTGCATAAATAATTCATTGGTGGATTTAAACTTCCATTTGTTTTTAGCCTCTTGCCAGGGTTCAGAGTATCTTCTATGTAGTTCAGAATCATGGTTTCCCTTTGGTAAAATAGCCTAATTCCTTGGGTCATATCTACTAAAATTTAGGGACTAGCTGCTTCTTACATTTTTTTTTTTGTCTGAAAACAATTGTTTTTCTAAAAGTTTAGTAAACTTCGCTAAAGCTAAAGTTCAAGATGAATAATAGAAACTGCATTTACTCTCTTGCTCAAAACAAAAATAATGTGCAAACATGAGAAGAAAAATGAGAAGGAACAATTTTTCAAGATCTAAATATCAGGCTGTGTAAAATAGTAATCACTAAGAGACAGGAAGCAAGGTAGGTGGTCTCTATGATTGTCCTAGCATACTGCCTGGAGTGAGTTTCCATGGCTTGGTGCAAGGGAAAACACACACACACACACACACACACACACACAGAGAGAGAGAGAGAGAGAGAGAGAGAGAGAGAGAAAGTCCCAGAAGATTCTCTGAGTTAAGTAGATGGAGCCAGGAAGGTCAAGATAGCTGACGTTTACAGGCAGAGTACCTGATGGGAAAACAGGCCACAAAGATGTAGATACAAAGATCTAGATATCTGTGTTCTCACTTATAAATGGGAGCTAAGCATTGAGCACACATGTACATAAATATAGGAACAAGGAACACTGTGGCCTACTAGAAGGTGGTGGTTAGGGCTGGGTTATAAAACTACCTCTTGGGTAGTGTGCTCACTACCAGGGAGAAGGGATCCATTCTCTAAACCTCAGCATCACACCATATTCCCATGTAACAAATCTGCATATGTACCCCATGTAATCCCTGTATCTAAAATAAAAGATGAATTTTTTTTTTAAAAAGAGGATATGCTCACATTTCAATGAGTATTGATTAATTATATGAAGATATGACCTGAGGTCAGGTAGAGAACTACCTGAAAGGACAGAATAGAACAACAATTGGTACTCACAATTGGTACTAGGGCAGGAAAAAGTTCTTGATCCCACCAGCCAGAGTGAAAAACCACAAAATTCACTGGACATAAGTTTGAGCACTCAGAATAATTTGATCTCAATAAAGGAAAAATTAGCCTTGGATAAAAACATTTATCCGTTCCTGTTTAATAAAGTGTAAAAGCATACTAACCTAATAGCATTCCAGAATAAAGCTCATGAACATGTATGTCCATACACACATATATGTGTGTACTACATATACACATTATGTACACGTTGTGTATGTTATAGATATAATAATATGTGGGTACAATGTATACATGGCCTCAGGAGGAGGAGGGTATGTAGGTACATATACATGTGCATGTGTGTGTGTAAAGATATGTTAAAAAACTTAATGCTTTCCCCTAATATTAGGAACTGAGCAGGGATGTCCATCTAATCACTTTTATTTGACATTGTACTGGATGTTTAAGCCATTAAAGCATGCAATAAGTAAATAAATGCATCCAGTTTGGAAGCTAAAATCTGTTCAACAGATGAATGGGTAAATGAATTACGGCGTATCTGTATAATAAAATAATAATCTGCAAAGAACCAAACTATTAGTAAATACAACTTCATGGATAAATCTCTAAAAGTGAATGATGTCTGACACAAGAGTACATACAATATTATTCCACTTACGTAAAATTCTAGAAAATGCAAACCAATTTGTAGTGACAAAAAACAGCCCAGGGATGGGAGGATGGGGAATGTGGGATTACAGAGGAACAGGAGGAAACTTTTGACTGTAGTAGACACATTCCCCATCCTGGTAACTCTTTTCATGAGTGTATACATATGTCAAAACATATCTAAGTATACACTTTCAATATGTGTAGTTTGTGGTATGTCAATTGTATCTGAATAAAGCTGTTCAAAATATTTAAGTTGATATAGATTTGCTTGGGGAGTGGTTTTTTTTTTTCCCCTTCTACAAATCTCATTTCTCATACATTATAGTGGTAAGATATAAACAACCTACCTGTTCAAGAGAGGGAGAAGGGTGAGGTTCTGGGGCAGCAGGCTTGGCTGTAGCAGGCTCAGCTGGTGAAGGTTCCTCTGCAGCTGGCTCCACTCCAACAGGTGCCTCTGCAGCAGGCTCAGCTGCAACAGGTGCCTCTGCAGCAGGCTCAGCTCCAACAGGTGCCTCTGCAGCAGGCTCAGCTGCAACAGGGGCCCCTGCAGCAGGCTCAGCTGCTACAGGTGTGGCTGTAAGAGGTGCAGCTGCAGCAGGCTCAGCTGCAATAGGTGGGGCAGCGGGTGCTGCAGCTGCTGAAAAAAACCTTGAAGGAGGGACAAACGGGAAACCCCTAGGAGGGAGAGGAGGAACATTCAACTGAGTAGCTAAGGGAAAACCACGGATGTGATAGACATAGGGGAATCCAGGAGAAGTTAGAATCCAGGGATACGAAGGTAACCCTGTGTCAGTGTAAGTATTCCCAGGGTAACTGGGGACTGTATTCACTGGGCGATAATAAAGAGGAGGTGGTAAATTCCGTATGCCATAAGGAATATTCAGAGATGGATGAAGTGGGTGACCATCGTCATTGTCATCCTAAAGGAGAAACAAAGAAGTCGAAGTTGATTGTATTTGTCCTGTCTATATATTACTTATGGTACAACTGTGATGATATATGATAAGTAATGATATTTTGAAAGAATTCCAATGTCTTATCTTTCTTAAGTCTAGTGTACTTCCATATTTTTGAAGTAAGAAGTAATAATCTCTTAAGAAAATTGAATAAACTCCAACTGAGGAGGAAATATTTTGTGTTTAAGCAAATAAGAGTGTTATAGTCCACAGAATATGCTAACCTAGGCCAGGACAAAGATAGAAGGAAAGCACTCGCACTTTTAGGATTGATACAGGATTATGAGATTAGTAGCTCCGGGCCTTCTTCTCTGCACCCTCCATTGTCTTTCCCACTGCGCTCAGCACTCTCTGGGTCTCTAAAGTGTCCACTGAAGCCTCTGCTTCATTATTCCTCTTCCAGGTGTCCCATATTCCAGACTTATCTTTCTCAACTTCCTACCTCTCTTTATCAATGCTTCCCTTCCTTTAACACTGTGCATCTCAAATTTTCATTAAGAGGGTGAGCAGATTGGGAGGCCGAAGAGGGCGGATCACGAGGTCAAGAGATCGAGACCGTCCTGGCCAACATGGTGAAACTCCAACTCTGCTAAAAATACAAAAAAATTGGCTGGGCGTGGTGGCGGGCGCCTGTAGTCCCAGCTACTTGGGAGGCAGAAGCAGGAGAATTGCTTGAACCTGGAAGGCAGAGGTTGCAGTGAGCTGAGATCAGGCCACTGCACTCCAGCCTGGCAACAGAGTGAGACTCTGTCTCAAAAAATATATATAAATAAAAATAAATAAACAAGACAGTGAGCAGACTGGATGTAGATGTTAATGTTATTGTATATAATATTATTATTATATATAATAATATACAATACTGAGAAGTTTCTCAATAAATGTAGATTGTCCCTCAGGGTCTTTGAGATATTTTAAGGTTTTTCTTGATGGAAGTTCTGTGATTTATTTTTAAAAGTATAAAATGTGTACCTTCTCTGTGCCATCTCTGTGCTAGGGGATCCTACATACTGGAAAACAGACAAGGTTTCTTTCTTCTTGTGTCTGGGATGCTACATTCCCCAGCCAGTCAAGCTTCTTAATTAACATTTAATTTTTTTCCAATTTTAGGTAAGTTTCCTGAATTACTGAGTTAAATTTTTCTCACGAGTCATATTGCCAGAGCCCCCTGAGGTATGACATATATACATAAGTAATATATGTCCCCAGGTGTTCATAGAGGCAAATATCAATTATTTGCATTGTGGATCATAGAGCCCTAGAATCTGAGGACTTAAATATTAACTCATTAGACGAGTTAATGGGTGCAGCACACCAACATGGCACATGTATACATATGTAACAAACCTGCACGTTGTGCACATGTACCCTAAAAGTTAAAGTATAATAAAAAAATAAGTAAAATGATGCAAAAAAAAATTCAAAATAATACCTAATAATATTTCTATTTTAAAACATTATTTCCAAAAGATTTCTACTCCTTCGTTATATGTCTGATCATTGTTGGTCAAAAGTGTGCACATCACAGATTATGTCTCTTGAGCTTTCTTTGCTAGAGTGTCATGTTGATTTATGGCATACTGGTGGATAGGTGTAAGTGTAATTTTCTTAGTAGTCTTCTGTTGCCAGAAATTGAGGCACAAGTAGCAAGGAACTGAAAAAAACATCTAACATCAGTTAATCAGTATGTGCTTTGGTCTCATAGAGATAATTTATGGGTATTTGCTACACAGAAATCATCTAACTCATTGGGACACACTCCTCCTGCTAGTGGTTCCTAGCTTGAAGACACACACCTGAATATATGGCTGGCCCACTACTTCATGCTTTCTCTTGCTCTAACCCTTCATGCAGACAGAGCATCTCCAGATTCATCACTAAGTTTGTTCAAATGAACTTAGGACATACTGACAATGTATAATAGAGGCATGAGGGGAAAACCTTGGCATGGCAAAAATTTTCTTAAGCTGCAAAGGGAGTGCACTTAATGCTTTTGCTCATTAAAAAGACTAAAGACCTTTTGCTAAATATGTTGAACACAAACATATTCCATAAATATTTTCTATCAAATCGGAAGAGTTTAATAGCACTATTATTTTAAGAGCAATAGCAGTCATTAAGTTTCACTGTAAAGAAATCAGAGAGTTTTAAAATGTAAAATATATTTTAAGATAAAAACAAATATACTTGCGTGTAAAGAAAAAAAAGTTTTACCTCACCAATGAAGGGGAACCGTCTCTAAAATAAAGAAAAATATATTTTAATGCGGTTATGTATTTGAAAACATCTGCACCTACATTTCCATATTGCTGAAAAATTTGCAAAGCTTAATAATACTTATGGTTAATTTTTTTGAAATTTGAGTAACTAATATGAATTTTTTTTTATCATCGTCATCATTATCATTACATGGTTTTGACCTAAACAATTTCCTCAGGGAGTTTTACTTTGGCTGGATGGATTTTGGTTTGTAATATTCAACATGTACATAAATCTTTATCATCTGAAAGATCATTCAGCTCTCATTCATATATCTGATTTTGCTATTCACTTTTTACCTCCCAGGTTTTGTCTGGTGTGTGTGTGTGTGTGTGTGTGCATCTGTGTGTTAAAGTGTGGCCTTTGCGACGGGCGCAATGGCTCACGCCTGTAATCCCAGCACTTTGGGAGGCCGAGGGGGCGGATCACGAGGTCAGGAGATCGAAACCATCCTGGCTAACACGGTGAAACCCCGTCTCTACTAAAGATACAAAAAATTAGCCGGGCGTGGTGGCGGGCGCCTGTAGTCCCAGCTACTGGGTAGGCTGAGTGAGGCAGGAGAATGGCGTGAACCCGAGAGGCGGAGCTTGCAGTGAGCCCAGGTCGCGCCACTGCACTCCAGCCTGGCTACAGAGCGAGACTCCGTCTCAAAAAAAAAAAAACCACAAACATACAACAAAAAAAAGAGTGGTCTTTGCCACCTCTTCACAGTACCAGAAGGACCATAGATCCATTTGTTCTCCAATGAAGCTTCAATATGGTTTGTGAATTGACCACAGATTATGAACTACAGAATAAAAATAAAAAGTACAGGAAAATCATCACTTATTATTTTAAGAATTGGAGCTTCATTTATCTAATTTTAGGGAACAAAAATAATAGTTTAAAGTTTGGACAGGATGATAATAACATCAATAGCAAATGGTATCAAGTAGCAGTTGAGTTTCTACCATACCTGAGGTACTCTGCTAAGCACTTTATATAATTACCTTATAAAATCTTTAAAACAATGTTATGGTGTAGGTGTTATTATTTTCTCCATTTAAAAAAAGATAATATTTAGCATAGTCACTGGCTAGGATTAAGAATTTGCCATCAGATTTGTCTTACATTAGAGTTTCATCTACTTATGTTACACTAAAGGCCATTGCATTACACTATATTACGTTACAGTCCACTAAAGGTATGATGTGCATTTACTTCTATTCCATCAAGTATCCCTAATGTCTGTACATAAATACCTCCAGCAATGGCACTTCACAGCCATAGGAAGCCCAATCCAGCATTCTATAATTTGAAGAGATAAACTCTGTTAAGATAATCTACGTGGGATCCTGCTTTTCTATAATTTTTCCTCCTCCAGCCTCCTACATTTATGAACTTACCTCCTTTCCTTGCTGTTTATCTATTTTCAGATACTACAACTTTATTATTTTGATTTTTAAATTTTCCGTTGAAAAGTCTGACACTACAAATCTCATGTCCATCTATGTCTCTCTGCTGCTTTATTACAAACACTATAGTACTTTATCATAAGCACAAATGCCTATAAACAATTAGCAAATGGTTATACAATTGTTACAATTTTGGAAGTCCATTTACTTACCTTCCTTGCAAAAGCAACACATACAATGCAGGCCCAAAGGAGAAGCTTCATTTTGATTGACCCTATGAATATTAACACTATAAATTTATTGTTTTAGAAAATACGCAATGTATTTTTAAATTATATTTTTCTTCTTTTAGAGAGAAACGAAAGAATACATGGCTTTTTTAGTCTGTCTAGGAAGACCCTTAACAGAATAGTTGGCCCTGCTATTTAACTACTGTCTGTATACCTTAACAGGAATGTCACTAAAGCCAATATAAATATATATTAGCAGATACCGTTCAACAGTTAATTGACTTCCAACTGAAATGTCTAAAAGTAGATGTCAACTCATTTAGCTCCCCAGGGACATATTTTGCAATTAATTTATTTTGGAGGTCTTACCAGGAAATAAAATTGCTTAAATGTCACCATTCTATGGGTGCTTCTTAATGTTTTGTTTTTATGAATTCAGTGGGAGATTGGTATCACCTACTTAGAAAAATTTCTAATCTTAAACTTGATCGTAATTTTTTTTCTCTATTTCTGAAGAATAGTGGAGAAGGCATATTCTCAGGTGTGTGTCTTGATTAGGCTCAGTTTTCTTCAGAGAACCTAAAACCATTCTCCAACTGATTGATTATTAAAGTGTATGGCTTCTTATTTCTTCAAAGCCAAAATATCTCCACTTGTACCGAAAAATTGCATATACAAGGACACTTATAGCATTATTTAGAATCTCATAATGTGAAAAATATTAAATCCCAACAAAAAGTTTTGTTAAGAATAATCATATTAGGTTCATAATATATTGCTAAATGAATATTTAAATATTAAATATTGCAAAGATAAGCCATAAAGAGAATAAAATCATGTCCTTTTCAGTAACATGAATACAGTTGGAGGTCATTGTCATAAGTAAATTAATAATGCAGGAACAGAAAACCAAATATTCGTGTTCTCCCTTATAACTGGGAGCTAAACATTAAGTACATGTGGACATAAAGATGGCAATATGAGACACTGGGGAATACTAGTGGAGGGAGGAAGGAGAGGAAGTGGGCTGAAAAACTACCTATTAGGTACTATGCTCAATACCTGGGTGAAGGGATCCATCCATACCCCAAACCTCAGCATCATGCAATATACCCATGTAACAAACCTGCACATGTAGCCCCTGAATCTAAAATAGAAGTTAAAATTATAAAATAAGTAAATAAATACAAATAAATAACTAAAACAGCAAATAGAAACAAGAATAATATTCCTACTCTAGAGACTTGTAGCACTATAAAAAGAGCACCAACTTTATATATGACAGGAAACTAATTTAAAATAAAAAAGTAGTAGATAAGAACATGAGTATTGGTAAAATATTTAATGAGTTATGAATTAGAAGATCAGTTTGTTTTTATAATTATTTGTATATTTTTCTTTCATTTT
Source organism: Homo sapiens (assembly GCF_000001405.40). Lineage (NCBI taxonomy): Eukaryota > Metazoa > Chordata > Mammalia > Primates > Hominidae > Homo > Homo sapiens. Next base: position 70,153,001 of record NC_000004.12, on the reverse strand, counting down.
CTGTAGTCTATTTTTTGTGAAGTGAGAATGTATTGCTTATATACTATGTATATTCTAGTAATATAATGAACTTCCAAGTTTTTTTTGATAAGATTGTGGATTCTTTCCTACCTAATCCTTACAAAATCTAGGCTGGAAAAAAATCATCATATTCCTCGAAACATATTTTTAATCTTGGCTAAGCTGCTTACCTGTTCAACATGGCTTTGACCACATACTGAGTGACCTTTGCTTTAGTGATCTTTGATATTGTACATCAGGTTTTCACTGACACACAATTTAATAAAAAGTGTTTCATTATCCTTTTCCTTCTTTATCTTTTTCTTGAAATAGCATGTTAAATGAGACAGACTTACCTGACCCTATTTTTCAGTTCTTCAGAAGCACATGAGGCTTTATGAACAGAACTGATCTGTTTTTTCTAGGGTTTATGTGAATTCTTGAGTCCAGTCTGAATGTAGGGAAAAAAAAATTTCTTTGCTAAGTCTTGCCTCATACAGTGTTAAAGTGAGAACTCAGGTGTGAGGTGGACTAGATTTATACAGACTAGATTGTGTCATCAATCTCTGGAAACTATGAAATAATATAAATATGCCATGCATTTACAAGTATGCTATTAAAGTCCATCTGACTGAAATCTGGTAGAAAAATTTTTATTTTTATTTTATTTTTGTTATGGTTTGTGCATTTTCTTTTTATTTATTTATTTATTTATTTATTTATTTATTTATTTTATTTAAGTTTTAGGGTACATGTGCACATTGTGCAGGTTAGTTACATATGTATACATGTGCCATGCTGGTGCGCTGCACCCACTAGAGAAATTTTTAAAATGGGAACATCTTAACATAAAAAAAAGCATACCTTGTTTCCAGGGTGCAAACTAGTGGATGCAGCTCTTGGTCTTGACGTGGACAATGTGCCTCACTCCCTTTCTTTCCAGGGATATTTATAAGTCCCTAACTTAATGTTTACTCTTTCATTTTGAAACAAATTAGCATTGACTCTGAGAAAAATAATTTAAAAACCTATGAATTTGACTGATTTGGCTGTGAATTACTTCCTTCATTTCAGAGAACCATAAAAATAGGGAAATTATTCCCATAAAATGACAATAAAGACAAATTTAGGAACTACATTAAGCTTAATTCCTAAATTGACTTTGCAAATATTCATTACTTGACTTTGTTTTGACATCAATTGGAAATTATGATGAAGAAAGGTTATGCATTACTTCATTTTATGTTAAGCATGTAATAGAATAACATAAATATATTTTTAAACAATGGTGTGGTTTCTCTTCCTGTATTAGCATTATAAACATGAATTAGCTAATGGAAACAAATATTAGAAGCTGAAAGAACCCTTCTATCCTGTGAATTTATTACTGACAACCTAACAACACTAGTAATATGTTATATCAAAGAATAATTGAGGCATACTAATGGTTGTCAGTGCACACGTCATACATCAGAGTAACGTGAAGTAATTTAGCTGGATACCTTCTTAGGTCATATACTAGGTTCAGTGTTGTTTGTCAGGAGTGACAAAATCCTTTTGTCTAAGTATTTAATTTCCTCTCTTGTGGACTAGATTAACACAACCCCCCTATACTAAGGCCCTCGTAGAAAGAAAGTGGGCTCATGTTTATCTAATGACTATACCATAAATCAGGCATTCAATAAAAAAATCACAAGACACACAGAAAGGTATAAGCAAGGTCTGAAGATTTTTAAAAAAGCAATAATCAGAACAAGAGTCAGTTGTTACACAGATGTTGAAACTCTCGAGCAGGGAATTTAACATAACTGATTATTATACTAAATATTCTGAAGAAAAAGATAGATGAGATTCAAGATCACATAGATAATTTCAGCACAGAGAAGGAAACTGTAACAATAACTAGAAATGCTATAAATAAAAATTTACTAACAGAGAAAAAGAATTCATTTGACTGGCTAATCGATAGACTTGACACAACCTAGGAAAGGATTAGAGACCCTGAGGATATGTCGTAGAAATCACCAAATTGAAACACAAATTGAAAAATAGCAAATTCTCTAACATTTGTAATCCTAGGAGAAAAAAGAGCAAAGCAGAACACGTTTAAAGAAATAGTGGTCAAAAACTTTCCAAAATTATGGGCAGAAACTAAAAGCACCAATGCAAGATACCCTGAGAACATTAGGAATAAATTCTACACACACACACACATACACACACATATACAGCATATTGTATTGAAACTGCTGGGAACCAAAGACAAAGAGAAATCTTGAAGACAGCAACAGAAAAAAAAAGACTGATTATCTACAGAAAAATAAGGTTAAGAATTACGGTATGTAATTTGCATGTCAGAAACCATGCAAGAAAGAAGAAAATAGTAAAATCTTAAATGTAATGAAATAATACTGTCAACACATAATTCTAGGTCCAGGAAATATATTCCTCAAAAGTGAAGGAGAAATATTTTCTCAGACAAAAACTGAGGGAGTAAACCAGTAAGAGAAAAAAAATGATTTGAACAACACTATCAACCAATTTGCTCTAATTGACATTCATAGATCACTCCACTGAACAACAATAGAATACACATTCTTCTGAAAGTCACATGGAACATATGCCAAGATAGACCATATTTAGGGCCATAAAACACACCTGAATACATTTTTAAAAATAGAAATAATAAGAAGTATTTTGTCAGTCCAATGTAATTAAGCTATGTGTCAATAACAGAAATATATCTTAAAAATTACCAAAAATGAGGAAACGAAGCATCATGCTTTTAGATAGCCTATAAGTCAAAGAGAATGTCTCAATGAAATTAGCAAATATTATTTTTTTTGTTGTTACAACATCCAGTCAAGATGATGTTTCCTGAAGTTTCCTAGCTTACTCCTTTACTCCTACCCGCATTGGTGAGGCTATGCCATATATTTATATATACTGTTGGATTTATTTGTCACAGGCTGCATTCTGTCTTAGGTTGCTGCAACATCTTGGTTTACTTCTATTTTTAATTTGCAATTAGCAATATTCACTCTTAAACCTTAAGCCTTCTATATGTTTTGGCAAATGTATGTGGTTGTATATTCACCACTACTTTATCATATGTAAGGGTTCCATCATGCTAACATTTCCCATGTGTGGCCCCTCTGTAGTAAAAAAAACAAAAAAAACTAACAATGTCTTTCCTTTCCCTCAACTCTAGCAACCACTTAGTAGTTTTTCATTCCCATAGTTTTGCCTTTTTTTCTATTTTCCCCTTATATTCATTCCTTTCTTCATTTTTTTTTCTTTTTTTCCTCCCTCCCTTCTTTACTTTCTTTCTTGTTTTCTTCTTTCAGTCATTTAAACGATAGTTTGTGAGTATTGTTATAGGCCCAGAAATATATGAGAAATGCAACCCAGTAGATAAAAAGTATTAGGTTGGTGCAAAAGTAATTGCAGTTTTTGCCATTAAAAGTAATCATATAAGGACATCATTAATATAAGGCATTTGTAATGTAAAGCTCCAAAGGCACTAGGGTTTTGTAAATGAAGAAGTTGAAAAGCTTTGTTTAAACTTAATTGATCCCTTATTTGAGAATGAAATACTAAAAAATAGGTATTGTTAAGCTCATTATTTTGTGATTAACAAGATAGGGAATCAGTAGTTTGTGTCTGACAGTTGAAAAAAGAACAGACGATAAGCATATGAGTAACTTCTTTTGTTAGACACAATCTCTCAATCCACAAACAGTGATTTTAGAAGACCGATGGAACAGAACATGTCCTGCTATTTGTAGTCATGGAAATAAGGTGCCTTTTCATCCGTGATGGACAGCTATGCTCTTGAAAATGTCAAGGGATTTAATTTACAAGAGAAACATTCTGCAAAGATATGTTACTAAATATGTTGCCATAAGTATGCAACTAATTGGCAGATTTTTATAATGTTTGTGTTTTAATATTTTCCTAATCTCCTTCAATTACAGGGAAAATATTTAGTCATATATCTATACCAGTGTGATAAACTTGAATCTGGAGCATCTTTGGCAAATTGTGAATGTTTGTGTTCTAATGGCAAAAAGGAGCTATACTAAATGTTATGTTCTAGCTTAATTTATGAAAACAAACTATTAGGCCTAAAATATATGGAATAACCTCATAATTCATCTGAATATCCGATAATGTTTTGAGTACTGGATATTCAAAGTGGAAACAATGCTCACATTTATTAAAAATAATAATGTAATAAAATAATATGTATTATATTTAATAATATAATAATAATAGTTACATTGATAATATAGCAAATTTAATAGTAAGGCTAATTGAGACAAAGATATAAATTACCCTGCACATAGCTGCTCATTCAATTTTAGGCATTAAAACTATCACGATTACTTTTGCTACAATGAACATTATCAAAAGGATAGATTACAGAGGAACTTTTTAAAAAGTCAAAAGAGCTATTAGCTTTGAACTGAAAGAAGGTCATATATCCTTTAAAACTTGAGAGAACTAAAATTGTGCTCAGATTTAGATAAAATTATTGATGTGTCCTACTAAGAAGTGGATAGTATTTATGCTCAATGGACTCAGTATTGTCTATGAAGTAGAAAGGAAAATTGTTTTCTGGTGAGATAAGTTTGAAGTTTAAGGAGAGTTAAAGGCAGTTAACACTAATGTCAACAAGAAAAAGAGTTTGATAAGATGTCTTTGGTTACCAACACAGTTTAAAAAACATAAACTTACTTAAAATTCATCTGTTTTGGTGGAATGGCAGTAGAAATCAAATTCAGAGTTTTACGTGGTTGCGTGTTTTCCAGGTAAGGTTGGCTAAGTGTAGGGGGGCAGAAAAATTATATGAGCTATCAAGATAATATTTAAAATAATGAAGCATGAAGTCTGGGCTGTGTAAGAAAGGAAGTGAGTCCAATAGAGAGTAGAAAGAATGAAATGTAATCAGAATTTTAGTGGATGGGAGTGGGGTGAATGGATTCTATGAGGAAAGATAAAAATTCTCTTGGCTTCTGCTTATTCTACCTTTTCAAAATATATGTCATATGTCAGCTTCTGAAAATCCCTTAAATGTTCAGTCTGAATAAGAAAAGAAGTAGCGCTAAGAGGAATTGGATAGAATGGAATACAATGGGAATTATAAAGGATTGACGTATTCTATGGAGTCAAAGATAAAGTCTTCAAAATTTGAAGTTTTTCACTCATCGATGACATATATCATATAATGTTACTCCCCAATGGAAACTCCTGTAATGTCTTCCCATTACAACCAAATGCTTAACAAATAACTTTCATCCCTATCCCCTCCTTCCTGATCTGCTTTCCTTATAGCTTTCCCCATCCCTCCATCTTCTCAGGACGTGCTGACTCCCTTGCAGCCCAAGTATGCCTTGGAGCCCACGTATGCACCCATGTGTTTGCTTTTGCTCTTTCTTCATTTGGTTACACCATTAATGAGGAATCTTGAAAGGTTTATGGTCTTAGTGGCTGACTCCATACTTTAGTCTGACAAGGTGGACTGAGAGAGGAGGACTGAGGGCTCTGGTGAAGGTTTGAGATTAAAATTGTGGCAAATTATAAGCATGAATAAATCAGAAAGATGGTAGAAGCATGGCTAAGTAGTTCTGTGAGCCAAGCTGTGGTGGGAGAATATAAAACTTGTAGTGTTCTAGATTATTGGTTATGATAAGTAAAATTGAAGTGTCCAGAAAGTGTATATAAAGCATTTTGGTAGTAGATAAGCTAGTTTAAAATTAATTGTTAAATAACTACTTATATTAGCATCAGTAGCCTCGGTGGTCAATATGAACAATAAAAATGCTGATTATACACCAATGAATCACTTGAAATTTTATTTTGAGGGGAAAAGAAATGTGTTTTTGTAACTCAGAAACAGTGGTAAAAACATCTTAAGTAATCATCAACCTAATGAAACCACAATGCAAACCCAACATATTCAACATTAACTCTTGGGAAGGGTATACACAATTCAGGAAATATTCTGCAGTCTTCTTTGACTCAGTATTCCCGCCTTCACCATAAGCCTGTCCAAACATGCTGGTAGTATGAAGTAATATGGTAGATTTTCCAGGCAAACCTTAAAAAAAAGGTAGATTTCCCAGGTAAATCTAAAAAAAAAAAGCAAAAAAAAAAAGCAATACTGGACTTATATATTACAGAAGATAGTTTTGGTTTATGTACAGAACACACACACTTGTCCATCTTAGTCTGGCAGAATGTTATTTATAACTATTATGAGTTAATATTTTCTCATGCTTAAGATAATTCATGGCACATAATAAGATTTTTAATAACTATCTGTGTTCATGCTTGATGGAGTCAATACAGTCTATGAGGTAGAAGGAGAAATTGTTTCCTGATAAGATAAACAGTTTAGTGAATGAGAGTTAATAGCAAGCTTATTCAATCTAGCATACAAAAATAGCATTTTTATTTATTAATGGTACATATGTATATTTTCAGCCAATTTTGAAGGAACACTTTATTATTATTGTTATATTATTATATTATTATTTTCTAAGTTGCTTATTAGGCATATAAGATATTACTGCTTCCTATAATTTAAGCCTTTTGATCTAATTGGAATGTAGATTTCGGTAAAATAATGTTTTATGTACAATGACTTTGGGGTCTTATATTTCAATAAATCATTTTAAAATTAAATTCTTCAAATTGCACTGTACATTTTTTGGCTTCTCTGTTTCTTTTGTAATTTTTCTGTCAATTCAATACCTTCTGCCTTATATTTTATCTCTGATTCATCACTTGACCTTGTTGTATTATTATATCCTTCTATCTCTAATTAGCAGTTAGCACATTATATTGTCATTTCTGTGTCTTTGTCAGAAAAGGACTTAATGAAGGTAAATGTAGTATCATAATTCTGTATCTCTCAGGTCTCTGGCATTACGGGTCATATGATAAGCTTTTTAAAAAATGTAGAATAAAGCGGGGCTCCATGGCTCATGCCTATAATCCCAGCACTTTGGGAGGCCAAGACGGGCGGATCACCTGAGGTCGGGAGTTCAAAACCAGCTTAGCCAACATGTTGAAACCCTGTCTCTACTGAAAAAAAAAAAATACAAAACTAGCAGGGCGTGGTGGCGGGCGCCTGTAATCCCAGCTATTCTGGAGGCAGATACAGGAGAATTGCTTGAACCCAGGAGGTGGAGGTTGTAGTGAGCCAAGATCGCGCCATTGCACTCCAGCCTGGGCAATAAGAGTGAAACTCCGTCTCAAAAAAAAAAAAAAAAAAAGTGGAATAAATATGTGAATAATGACAGTAAAAAAGGTTACTATTTATAAAACACAACTGTATTTTTAGCTCTTATCCATAACAATTATGGTATTATTTTTGTCACATGAGATTACTTTGTGAAGTTGCCTGACCCTTTTTCATTATTAGGAAGGCCAAAATAACATAATAAAGAAAATCAAGTTTGTAACAATGTACTCAAAGTCAGAAAATATCCTCTCAAAAAAACCTTAACGTGGCCTTTCGGGTGCAGTTCGGCATTGGTGGAAGAGCGTTTGAGCCCTTGGGCTGGAAATCTGTATTCGATTTTTTTTTTGGCTTTTTTATTTTCTCAGGATTATCATGAGCAATTTATTTAACCTCCATTCCACCTCAGGTTCTTCATCTCAAATCAACTGATACTTTGATTATGGCCATTCTTGCAGGAATAAGGTGGCATGGCATTGTGATTTTGATTTGCATTTCCTTGATCATTAGTGATGTTGAGCATTTTTTCATATGTTTGTTGACCATTTGTTTATCTTCTTTTGAGAATTGTCTATTCATGGCCTTAGCCCACTTTTTGATGGGATTGTTTGTTTTGTTCTTACTGGTTTGTTTGACTTCGTCGTAGGTTCTGGATATTAGTCTTTTGTTGGATGTATAGATTGTGAAGATTTTCTCCCACTCTGTGGGTTGTCTGTTTACTCCGCTGACTGTTCCTATTGCCATGCAAAAGCTCTTTAGTTTAATTAGGTCCCAGCTACTTATCTTTGTTTTTATTGCATTTGCTTTTGGGTTTTTTGTCGTGAAATCCTTGGCTAAGCCAATGTCTAGAAGGGTTTTTCCAATCTTCCAGAATTTTTATAGTTTCAGGTCTTTGGTTTAAGTCCCCATCTTGATTTGATTTTTGTGTAGGGTGAGAGATGAGGATCCAATTTCATTCTCCTACATGTGGCCAGCCAATTGTACCAGCATGTCCTTTGTTGAAAAGCATGTCCTTTCCCCACTTTATGTTTTTATTTGCTAATCAAAGAATCAAAACAGTAGATGTTGGCATAGATGCGGTGATCAGGGAACAATTCTACACCGCTGGTGGGAATGTAAACTAGAACAGCCACTATGGAAAACAGTGTGGAGATTCCTTAAAGAACTAAAAGTAGAGCTACCATTTGATCCAGCAATCCCACTACTGGGCATCTATCCAGAGGAAAAGAAGTCATTATTTGAAAAAGATACTTGCATACGCATGTTTATAGCAGCACAATTCACAATTGCAAAATCGTGGAACCAACCCAAATGCCCATCAATCAACGAGTGGATAAAGAAACTGTGGTATGTATATCTGATGGAATACTACTCAGCCACAAAAAGAATGAATTAACTGCATTTGCAAGAATGTGGATGAGATTGGGGACTATTATTCTATGTGAAGTAACTCAGGAATGGAAAACCAAACATCGTATGTTCTCACTGATATGTGGGAGCTAATCTATGAGGATGCAAAGCCATAAGAATGATATAATGGACTTTGGGAACTTGAGGGGAAGAGTGAGGCGGGGATGCATAAAAGACAACAAATACAGTGCAGTCTATACTGCTCGGGTGATGGGTGCAGCAGGATCTCACAAATCACCACTGAAGAACTTACTCGTGTAACCAAATACCACCTGTACCCCAATAACTTATGGAAAAAAAATCAGCTGATAGTATTAACTACTTCATAGGTTTTTTGTGAACATTAAATTAGTCAATACAGGCAAGGGCTTAGAATTGTAATTGGTGCACTATATGCTCTTGATAAATTATTATTACTATTATTATTCATTGTTTTGAAACCTACTTTGTCACGTTAGAAATTTGCGTTTGGGACATATAAAAAGAGCAAAACGTTTGAATTAAATGAGACAGAATTCTAGGATAGGAGATAAACCTGAATGCTGTAAGAGCAAAATAAGAAAAATAAAACATGACTACACAAAGGGCATTACAATTTTCTTGAGTTGCCACCATGGTTCTGAATCCATTGAATAAATTGTCAAAGAGAGAAATTTAAAAAATAAGCAATTTTTTTTTGTAGAAAACATTAATTTTTCCAGAGAAAATGATGCAGGAAATTTGTCTTAAATGGCTTGAATTGTGTATGAAACTCTCTTGATATTATATATCTTTTCTCAAACCAAAGAGCCAGGTCTGAATTTCTTGGCACAACTCAAAGATGACAGGAAATCACCTGTGTGAACACTATGCCTGTGACAATTTTCACTCAGAGTCATTCCTTCTGGCTTGAATGTATCATTAGCTTTGGAGGAAATGTACTATAATTTATATTTAAAATATTTATGAAATATGCATGCAAATTACACAGACAACTTACATTTGTGAGTCAAAAAGATGAAAGCAAAATTTAAAACACTTTATAAATGAAAATATGATTTAATTAAAGTTGGAAGTATATTACTTAATAATATTATTTAATATCACTTTCTTCACATAAAAGTTATTGCTTAAATTCTAGGGGGAAAGGCACTTACCAAAGTAAAGTAGGAGCAGTTAATTCAAGAATCTTAAAGATCCCTGTTTGAAGAGAAAAGAGAAAAAAATGAATAATTTTATTTAAAAAATGTATAGGAACAAATCTCCATCTCATATGCAAATCAGAGGTACTAAATTCTGATTTTTCTAAAATTATATGGAAGACACTTTTAAATGCTACATGCATATCTAAAAAACTAAATCATATTAAAAAATTCCAGAGAAATGATGTGACTTGCCTATGTTCAAAAGCCTATTTATATTAGGTCTTCTGATTCCAAAACCCATGTTGTTTATAATACATTTTAGTTCTGTGGGTTCAATGTCCTGTTCTCTCATTCATTCTTCATGTTAGAAGAAATGTTCCCTAGGTCAAATCTCTTTTTTTTTTTTTAAATAAGATAAAGGATAAATGTTAACTAGAACTTGGTCCAGCTACTTTTTACAATTTCATCTACTTTTGTAACATTATTATTTTTATTTATTATGCTGTATTTGCATATGATTTATTATTTAATTTTTAGCTTAGGCATTTTTATTTGTTTCAACTTCTACTTGAGTTTATTGGGATTATGTCAGTTTCATCCCCCTAGCTTACTTTTAGCACAACAGATAACTATTTTTAAGTTGCAAATAAAAAGAGAGCACTCACCAGAGTGGGGATAACTTGGTAAGCATTTGTCTTCATGTTTTTCCATGGTTTCATAATTTTGTGATATTGATAAACAGCTTTTACATATTGGGGCAAGGTGAACTGATAATACTGGTTGATTTTGTTCTAGAAAAATATATAAAGAATTATCTCAATATCCCAGAATCAGAGAGACCTGAACATAACCAAATAAATCAAAACTCTATTTGGATAAATTCTACATTTTACCAAATGAACTTAATTAAAGGAAAATTTATTCATACAAAATTAACTCTATGCTTACATTTACAGAATTAACTGTAGAAGTAAGAAAATTATTTGGTTAATTCAGACCCCAAAGCCACAGTGCTTGTGTGAAAGAAATCAAAAACAAGGAAAAATAAAATTAAAAATACATGTAAGAAGGCAAGAAGATAATTTCTTGACTAAGATAAGTGTCCCCAGTTGTGGTTTATTTTCTGTTTCTGGTAGGAAAACGCTGGTCCTCAGAGTCATATAGAATATGTGATTTAACTTAGTGGAATCTATGACACTGAGCCAGTTAATCTCTCTGAGTGTTATTTATCTTGTAGAAGTAAATGAATTAATATGGAAAGAGCACTTTATTTGTATAATGCATCCCATATACTTTATTATGAGTACATATGCCCCTCTTCTATGTTCTATTTATCTATATAGATTTAGCCACAGATTATTGTAGGGATTTAAATTGGAATTAAATACAGTGGCATCTTCTTTTAAGCTAAGTTCTCATTTTTACAAAGTGGAAAATCAATGGAATTTTACAATTGCCATGGAATAATTGTTGGGTGGATACTTAGCAATAATATAAGTGGTACAGTTGGGGAATCATTCTGTAACCATTTTTAAAACTATAAGGAAGGCTTTTATAAAAATTAGAACTTGGTAAACATAGTATTTTTTTTTTTTTGTCAAGAGGATTGCAACTAGGCAGTTTCCAAGTAAAGTCTAATTGTGCTATGTTTGTATGGAAAATTTACCAGATGTTTTTGGTCATTCTTTTCTTCTTCAGTCAGCTCAGTTTTCTGTTAATAACAAAAATAAATGGTCATAAAATACAGAAGAAAATGTTTTGAGATTATATTTTATTAATTTTGTTTGAACAAAACTTACTTACCTTGGTGAATACTTCAGTTGATTCCTTAGGGAAAGAAAATGAAAAAATAACCTCACTTGGATAACCCAATAGTAATTTTTGTCCATATCATAATAATATAGAATTAAGGCTAATTATTTTAATAATTCAGGGCCAAGCTGTTACTACCAAGAAACAAAGTCCTACTTTATAGAAATCTATTCTGAATTAAATGAATGTAAGTATTCATTAAAAGGACATGTCCTGTGTCAACATAATGGTACCTGACTGAAAATACATTTTATTTCATATTTTCCATTTACCTACATGTTCATATAATGTCAAATTTCTGTGTACTATGGGCAGATGCAAAAGAGAGAGAGAGAGAGACAGAGAGAGAGAGAGGAAAAATAATTAAGCCTACTGAGGTGTGTGGCAAAGTCTGCATGTTCTTTCTTGGAGGACCAATGTTTTTTATATTAGTGTCCATAGGCCCACAGTTTGAGGTGGAGAGAAAGGGTAAAACATGCTTCTCAAGGCACTAAGAAGGAAGATCTTGCTTGCTTTGGGCCCTAGGCCACAAGATCCTGTGCCACAATTTATACTTCATATTCTGAAGACCCTTTCCAATTGTGCTCTCCCACTTGGCACTTTCTCCCACAGTGGGTGTTCCCTGAACCTGTGATTTACATAACTTATAACCCAGTCCAGTATTCAACTCCTAAACGATATTAAACTACAGTGAAGGCAACTGACAGAATCCTGATTTGGCTGGCTTATTTTAAAAATTCATTTTTCCAATGTAACAGAGTTCAGACATATATTATCCGAAAGTGTGTGATAGAACAGCTACTTCTTGACCATGTAGATGGTTCATTCCAGACCTCTAAAATGACTTTGAGACTGTGTATTTTTTACAAGGGTTTTCCTTTATTTCCATTCGATATGTCAATAGCATAACACCTAATTTACTTAAAATAATTAGTCAACAGCAAGAAACAGAGTATTTCTCAATGAATTCATTAATTGTTTGATTTTAAAATTATCATTTTCCTCACCAGAGATAACTTACTAGAACATTATTTGAGAAATAAAAAGTATAATAATCAAAATTTTAGAATCAGGGCAATTGAATACTTAGCAGTATATTCTTAATATTTGTGGACAAAAGATCTTTTTTATATTACAACAAAGGTATTATTATGACAGGTGAAAAAGATTTATTGCAATAAAATTCTCAGTTCAAAAAATGGTAGAAATCTGTTTTTTAAAAAAAGAAAGAAGCAGCAAAAAACATAGAATACTTAGGCTATGTGGAGAGATCTTGCTAACCTGGAAGGTCTTGACTGAAAAAAATTAAGGTCAATTGAGAAAATCACAGTTAAGGAGTAAAGAGGATTTTTAAGTAAACTAAAATATCATTCAATTTTACTAAAAGAGAATTTCAGGAATATTAATATTTTAATGTTTAGTTTTTAGAAATTTGAGTCAAATACAGCTTCATATAGAAACAATACTTTACCATATCAACAGTCTTTTTTGGTGTTTCCTTAAAGGAATAAAACAAGAATTAGACACATTGTTCTCAGTGTATTGATTATACACAATTGCCTCTTAGATGTATAGAGAAAAACTACTGTTTTATAAAGAAGAAGAATAAAAATAAATTTATCTGTAATGCTTCTTTTAATCACTTTTTTATCTCTAAGATGTGGAAACATGTAAGGGACATAGTATTTGCTAAATACAATATTTCTTAAATAAATAATTGAATGAATGAATATTTCACAAGAGTAATTGAGAAAGCACATGCTTTTAGGCAACTCATTTAAATAATTTTAATAATTGCATGTTTATTTAAAACATATATATATATATAATCAAACTTGTGAGTTGAGTGAAGTATATATAACATTCCTTTTATTTTTATTTTTATTTTTTTTAATTTTTGAGACAGAGTCTCTCTCTTGTCACCCAGGCTGGAGTGCAACCGTACTCTCTTGGCTCACTGCAAACATTGCCTCCTGGGTTCAAGTGATTCTCTTGCTTCAGCCTCCCGAGTAGTTTGGATTACAGGCACCTGCCACCATACCTGGCTAATTTTTGTATTTTTTTAGTAGAGATGGGGTTTCACCATATTGGCCAGGCTAGTCTCGAACTCCCGACATCAGGTGATCCACCCGCCTTGGCCTCCCAAAGTGCGTGAGCCACCGTGCCCGGCCTAACATTTCTTATTATTAGCAATAACAAGTTTTTAAAAAGCATAATTTCAGGAAAAATATTATATAAATAATAGCTTGGATGGAGAACAGGTAAGGGGAAAAAACAAATTGAAAAGTTTAAAAGTTTACAAGAATGAAAACTTGCAGGAAAGCAAAAAACTAATTTAGAAGATTCCCTTCCCAGAGAGGATCTGGATTCAGAGAAGCAATGCCCTTTGGAGGATCATTAACAACATATCTGGACTCCGATCTCTCTTTTCCTCCCCTCCTACGTGAAATTCCCTCTCTGTCCAAGGGTAGGGCGAGGGCTGTCTCAGATACCTTGCTGCCTCTTTGCTGATCACAGGCAAGATTTCCTTTTAGGACCTGACCTCCTCCTTGCTTCTTAACCTCAGTGTCAAGTCTGACTTTATTTTTTTTCTCTGTGTCACAATGAATACCTTCAGAGGCAGAAACATCTCTTCAACTGCCCCTGTAACAAACTCAGAAAACTATCCAAGATGAAAAATCACGCTGTGGAGATCTTGCCAGGTTATAAAATAAATCTATCAGCTATCTATAAACTTCCCAGATTGGCATTGTCTGATGGGGTGGTCTTGGGTTGTCACTGCTCCCATTGAGGCCTGCCTGGAGCAGAGGTCTCCTTCTGGTCTCTCTTGCATAATGCCCATGAATGAGTTTCTAAAACTGCTTCGAGATGTAGAGTGTTGCATCAGAAATGCCAACCACTCGGGCAAAAAGCTACTGTAAATTCCCATTTATTAGTGGTTGGAAAAAAATTTTATTTCACCTCAAAGAAAAATAGTTTGAAAATACCTACCAAAACTAAAAATAAATATACTAAACCTAAACAACCCAAATGCCTTCTAAGTATAGGGCAATAGAAGACTGAATTGTGGAATATCATTAGCAGTGTAAATAGGTAGATTATACCTGCTGTAACAATATGGATAAAGTGACAATATGGATAAATGTGCTAGAAATCTGTTGAGTGAAAAATGCAACACCAAAGAGGCTACATAAAGTATGCTAGTCCTTGTAAATCTTAAAAACAAACCAAACTACATAGAGAAACTACTTTGAAATTCAGGGTTTGTATGCTTTTTAAAAGAAATGAAGCCCAATCTAAATGCTAATATGAGTTACTTGAAGGAGATTTTCAATAGGAAATAAGTCCCTTAGGATCTTTCCGATATCATCTTGTCATATTCAGAGTCTAACATTAACTATGAGAACTTACTGTGTGGTAAAAGCAATTTATTACTTAATATATTAACCTTATTAAAAGTAATGTTATTGTCTAAAATGAATGTTCTAAAGAGAAATAAACACACACAAAATTAAATAGTGTTTAGGATCATATATGTATGAAATAAAACTGTTATAAAATATAGAACTATAAGTATTAATTATGATACTCATAATTTGTAGTTACATATGTGTTACATATTAATTTATGGTATTAAAGTTTGTGATAAAAATATTATAAAAATTTCATGTACATATCCTCTAACTAAAAAATTTCACTTTTAGGAATTTTTCCTATTAATATATTCATATATGTATAAAATAAGTTATTATAAGAATATTAGTATGTTATTTTTATAATTTAAAAAATAGAAACAACATTTATCAATAGGAAACTATGAAGATGTATCAATGAAGATGTATACAGTGGAATTAACTGAAAAAATTTTAAGAAAGAATGAAAACCACTAACTGATTAAGCTTCCATTTCTCATGGGAACTGGCAAATTTAGTTTGGTTAGTTGATTCATGCAAGTTTAAACCTCCTTTACTTGATTATTCATAAAATTATGACAAAAGTAGTTGTTTGCTTTCATTATCACCGGTTTCCTATGTTTTCAATTTTTTGGTGATCATCAGTACTGTAGCATAAGGGAAAAGTCAGTGTAAAATAAGTATTCTAAGAAAGATATATAAATGTACTTATGCATATAGATGCATATACTCTCACATACACATCATCTGCTATGCTTCCATATTATTGGCAAAAGTGTAAAATATCTTAATTCTGATAGTGAGGATATATCTCAGTAAGTGTTTTTAAATTTTTATGTGTTCAAACATCCCTATAAAACTTAGATAAATTCAATAATTCTTTCTTTAAGAAAAATGCAGATGTTTACAAAACAGTGAAATTTTCCTATTTCCTATTTATCAAACTCTCCATTAGCATCAAATTAAGATCTACTACTTTCCCTTAGAAATTACAGGCTAATATGAAAACGGAAACTAGCTTTCCTATATCAATGGGGCAAAAAGGAAGGGAGGTAGAGAAAGATGATAGCACGTTTGGTGTCTGTTCATTGGTATAGGAACACTGTCCCAGGTCTGTTAACCAATTAACTCTGCAGGGCTTCCCTATGTAAATAGCAGAATCTTTATGCCAAACTAAAACTGTCATATTTTTTATATACAGAATATTTTTAATTTATATTCTAACAATGAAATAATAATCTATATTAGCAGTGACAAATTTAAGTTAATATAGTAAATAAATTTAAAGAATACAGAAAATCATGTTATTTATTATATGAGTTGATATTATATACTGTTTCCAAATGTGCTTGACTATTGGTTTTCTCAAATACAGTGTCATTAAATTGTTTCATCTTTTAGGTTTTGGAGTGAGGGTCCTCATAGGTTTGGAGTGAGGGGCTTTATTCTTGGAAAGAAATAAAAAAAAAATGTATCTACTGATTCAAGAAGAATATAGTGCCAGTCCAGCATTTGATGACAAACTTGCAACCAATTGGTGATAGAAAGGTGATGGAAAACTAACAAGAAATCTTTTCAAGAATATCTAACTTTGACAATGTGCTTCACAAATGGCACACAAGTATATTTTCTTGGGACCCTCTTGACATCCATTCATTACCTCTTTCATACTTATTTAAAAAGATACTTATAAGGAATAAGATTGGTAAAAAAATAATGCACATGCATCTAAGATATATTTCATCAATGAACCAGTAAATACATAAATACATTTTACCTGACTGGTATGTATAACTACATCCTTTTTCTCCTTATATTTCCACAAAATAAATAATACATTGTTATAAATAAAAAGCAAGTCATAATAGATAAATAAAAAGTAGTTCTTTAAATATATTTAATATAAGTGGTTTGTACTTACTTTCTGAGAGATGCCGGCAGTTTTCCTTAAAAAATATAAATAGTATGTTTAATTACTTATAAAATTTTTATTTTTCCCTTTCTTTGGACTTTTAATTATTCCCGGAGATGAAATAAGGGAAATCAAACTAGGCTTTTTATTGGGTGGCTATATTTACTGGTCCTGTAACAAGACAAAAAACCTTTAATTTTATGATTTGATCAAAAGGCTGAGGAGAACTTGTGTTATTTATTGCTCATATTAGAAAAAGTTCCCTAAAACAAATTCATTTTATGAAACAAAATGGAAATGGTTACTTGGCGTTTGAGCAAGTACTTCCTTACATTTCCCCATATTACATTTCCTTTGTTAAATGAAGGTACTGATTTCTATCCTCCCCCCTACATGAAAGAATTATTTGAAGGACCAAGTGAAATGATATATGAGCAAACACTTAGGACATGTATGTTAAATTTAAATTAAATTAGTACTTATTTGTCACTATTGCTACTATTGTTATTTGTTATTGTATTTGGACTGCCCTATTTTAAAGTTAGAACTTTTGGGTGTATTTTGCCTCGAGTTACTGTATTTTTTTTTGAGAGGGAGTCTCGCTCTGTTGCCAGGCTGGAGTGCAGTGGCAGATCTTGGCTCACTGCAACCTCCAACCCCCTGGTTCAGGTGATTCTCCTGGCTTAGTCTTCCAAGTGGCTGGGATTACAGGCACGCACCACCACCCTCAGCTAATCTTTATATTTTTAGTAGAGACAGGGTTTCACCATGTTGGCCAGGATGGTCCCGAACTCCCGTCCTCAGGTGATCCTCCTGCCTTGGCCTCCCAAAGTGCTGGGATTACAGGCCTGAGCCACTGAGCCTGGCCACTGTATATATTTTTATCCTGTACCCCTCGCCTCTTAAAAATGCAAAACTTACTAAGTGGGAACAAAGGGGTAGACACTTGTCTTATGCTGATCTCCTGGGTTTATAAAAATCTGATGTTGATAAGGAACCTGAAGAAATGGGAGGAAGTTCCACTTCTGATAAAATGGGTTGATTTTGTTCTAGAGAGAAAGGAAATTATGAATATTTATTCCAACATTTTATATCCTTCATGAGTCAAAGCAAATGTTAGCAAAACTGAATGAATTAGAACTTTAATTAGAAAATTTATAATTGGTGGCAAATTTGCTTAGAAAAAGAATAGTTTACATACATAAAAATTACCTTAACTGTTGCAGAATTTAAAAATTATCAAATTAAGTAAGACCACGGGAGAAAATTATCTATGTGGGGAAGAAAAGTATGTTTAAGAAAGAAAAAGAAAAGAAAACAATCACAAGGTACATGTCTCAACTTATTCCTTTTCCATGTGTGTTGGAAGTTAGTCTTGTCTTTGGAGTCAGAAATGAACTTTCATTCTCTTTACCCAGGGCACTGGAATCCACGACCCTGATTAAATTGCTTAAACTGTTTGAGCATTACTTATCATGTGGGATTATATCTGTTAAACTATAAAGAGAAGTTTGCCTAGTAACTAAGTGTTCTAGTAAGCTCCGGCGTCTTTGAACTGATTTTGCAAAGATTATTTTTAGGGATTAAATATAAAACCACAAAGCATTTTTTCCTCAGGAGAATTTTCATTTAATAGAGAGTGAAAAATAAGTGTGTGTAGAAAGTCAACGGGTCTTTAGAATTGTTGGATGAATCCATGGTTACGTTAAGAGAGGTACAAAATGAGAATGTTGCTGGAAGTATTTTGACAAAATGTAAGAAAGATATTTATAGCAACGTGGAAGTTAGTAACGATCTAAATTCCTAAAAAGACAGGTTTTATTTGGAGCATTCCATTTTTAAGTGTTCAAAACAGGTGTTTCTATTATAAAGGTTTTAGAAAGCATGTCTGCTCTGTGTTGAAATAAGATAATTGCCAAATTTTTAGATGAATTTACTGTGTTCCAAGCAATTTTTGTATAAATTAAATGTATATCATCTAATACAATCTTGCAGGGTTAATGCAGCTCTCCGTATTTTCAGTTAAGGAAACTGGAGCTTGGAGAGGTTAAGTAGTAACTCGTGTAGCTGGAGTTGGAATACAAGTTGCCTGACACCAAAATCCATGCGCTTTCCCTACACAGGAAGCAAACTTCTCTAATCCGCAGACGATGGATTACATCAGGAGTCCCCAACTTTTGGACATCAAGGACTGGTTTTGTGGAAGACAATTTTTCCACGGATGAGGGCGGGGGTATGGTTTCGGGATAAAACTGTTCTACCTCAGATCATCAGGCATTAGAAAGATTCTCATAAGGAGCACACAACCCAGATCCCTCACATGCGCAGTTCACAATACAATTCGCTCTCCTGAGAATCTAACGCCACCGCTGATCTGACAGAGGCGGAGCTCAGGCTAGTGCTAGCTTGCTTGCAGCTCACCTCCTGCTGTCCTGCGTGGTTCCTAACAGGCCAAGGACCGGTACCGGTACCCCCTGTGGTTTGGGGACCCCCTAGATTATATGACCTCCCGTAGCCTGAGAATGTTTACACTTCAGATAATCATCTAAGATCCCGTCGTCAAAGAGAAGTTGAGTGCGTAATAATGTGATACTTTAACTGCATTGGTATCTAACAGGTAATTTAAACTTGCAACAAACTTTCTGAAATTTGTAACTCCTCCAAAATCAGTGGATAATTTCTCAATACTCATTTTTCTTAAAATATAAATCCAGACTGATTTGACAAAAATAATAGCCAGAAATCAGAGCAACAAAAATAGCAAAAATAGGCTCCTACAAATTGGGGATAAATTTCTTTCTTTTTTTTTTTTTCTTTTTTTTTTTTTTTTGAGACGGAGTCTTGCTCGGTCGCCAGGGTAGAATGCAGTGGCCTGATCTCGGCTCACTGCAACGTCCGCCTCCCGGGTTCAAGCGATTCTCCTGCCTCAGCCTCCTGAGTAGCTGGGATTACAGGCACGCGCCACCACGCCCAGCTAACTTTTGTATTTTTAGTAGAGACGGGGTTTCACGATGTTGGCCAGGACGGTCTCGATCTCTTGACCTGGTGAACCACCCGCCTCGCCCTCCCAAAGTGCTGGGATTACAGGCGTGAGCCACCGCGCCGGCCGATAAATTTCTTAATGGGATATAATGAATTGTGTGAATATTTGAGAGAAGAAACAGCCAAAATAAGATGTTTTACTTGAAATCATAATTTATATGAGAAATTTACCAGTTGTTTTACGTAGTGCTTTTGATCCACAGTGTGCTTAACTTCCTGGTAAGAAAAAAAATTAATTTGTATACAAATATACAAAAATAAAACACTACTAAGTGGTATTAATTTTATTTTATTTGAATGAAAATTACCTCTGTGGAAACTTCTGCAGATTCCTTTTAGGGGAAGAAAAGAAGAATTAACATTACTTGCATGATTAAGCTTCGGAGTCATGCTAGAATATTAGGGGTAATTAATTAAATACTCAGGGCCCAAGCCACTACTACTCAAAAATTATGTCATTTATTAGGAATTTAATAAATTAATTAAAAAATTAAAACATTTATAATCAGAGTCATCATTATCAAAATAGCACATGAATAAAAATGTTTTATTTTAAATTTTCATAAATTTTTTATTATTCATACAATATCAAATGCCTACAGAAGGTGACAAGTGACACAAAATATTATGACACAGGCCTGGTGAGGTATGTGGCAAACCAAGTCCCACATACCCTTTCTAGAGGACACAAATGTTATCTTTAAGCGACTGTTAACTCTCCAATTGAAGATGATACTTGAAGCTTGGAAGAAGAGTAAAGCATGTTTCCTAGTCCCTGACTAGGAAGAGTGTAGGCTTCACCTAAGGCCACAAGGTTTGTGGTGCCACCATGCTTCTTCCTTTCCCAGATACTTTTTCCCATCATGTTTATTGTTTGGGTATTTCTACCATGGCAGGTGTTCTTGTGTCAGTGATATACACAACTCATAATCGAATCCCTTATTCAGCCTCTTATTTTTAAAAACAAAAGAATCTCAAATTTTAAAGTGCACCAGAATATAATGTTGTTGCTGCTAGCTGAGGGGCAACACTTTCAGAACCACCGCTCTAAGAGATATTGAGAGGTTTTTCAGGATAAAACTATGCTGAAGGCAAATGGCAGCCTCTTGATTTAACCCTGGCTTCCTTTAAAATGCAATTTTCTCTGAAATCAGATGTTTGATACACACTGTCAAAAAGCACAAAACGGGAAACCAATGTTCGGATAGTCAGTTTCAATCTCCCTCAAATACCATTGAGTTTGGGTTACAATTTGATGAACAATCTAATTGCTAAAAATCTGCCACGTCTTGGTGAACCTGCTTTTTGATGTTAAAAGAAAATAGCTCTTACCTCACTAGAAGAGCTGCTAGAAGATTGCTTGAGAAATAATAATAATAATAAAAATTTAGTGACCATAAGAAATCCCCAGCATTATTTCTTTAATGATAGAGGTTGTTTTAGATAGGCCTCAAATTACCTACGTAATCATTAGTACGGTAGATTAAAAGTATTGAAATAAAAACAACACAATAGGTTTCTCAACTGTTCATCATTGATTACCTTTGGAAAACAAGCAAAAGAGATAAAAATCACCTTATCCTTGAATGGAAATGTCTCAAGAGAATATAGAGCAATTTAGGTGAATACTATTAAAGTGGGAAGGGAGAAATTGTTATTTTAAATAAATTTATACATCTCTTTTTAGTTTACTAAGAGAGGAAATTTACAGATATTTCCACATGCCATTGATATTGTAATATTACATGTTAAGAATGTGAACAAAAATTGTTTAAGAAAATAAAAATTTCTCACCATTTCATTCATGTTTTTTGTGGTTTCCTTAAATACAGAAGAAAAATAATCAGACTTATTTTCTCCACAGCTTTGTTTATAAAGTATTTTATCCAGAACATAAAGGGAAAATTTTCTTTCCCATAAAGAGAATCATGACAATAGATTCATTTTCATTATATAAGTTTTGTATAAATTATATTAGACTTTCCCATTTAGTAATAAATATACAAGCAGTGGTAAATTGGAATGTGAGAAAAATGAGAGGAGGATTTTGCCTGCTGTATTCAGAGTATGCCTCGAGTCTAAGATAGTCTTCTCCAATACATGTTTGTCTAATAAATGAATAAACACACTATTATAATAATTTAGGCATTGCATTGACAAACTTCATTTTACTCATCATGATTTATTAGAAAAAATATATCTCCAGGCAAACTAATGTGTTTTTGGTAATGCATATATAATGTTTCTATTATGAAAATATTGATTTAAATTTAAATGAGACAATTTTAGGAAAAAATGCATATCAATCTAAATAGCAAATTAATTTTTTAAGAACGATAATGAAAATTTGGGAATTTTTAGGAATGAAGACCACTAAGTGACAAGTTCTCCACTCCTCACGAGATCTTAGAATTAAGTATATTAGTTGATTTATGCAAAAAAAATATTTTTCGGCTGAATTATTCACAGAATTTTAAAAAGAGAAGATAACTTTGTCTCATTCTTTATAAATAGTTTTGGTTTTCAAATTTGATTGCTTTGGAATATTTTAAAAATCCAGGTTAATTTCAATTTGGCTCAAAGTATGACAATATTTTTATTTCACATTCTGCTATAGATCTGCTATCAATATATACCTTACAGGAAGTAGAACAATTGTCCTTCTGAAAAGAAAAGAAAATGAAGAGGGAATGTATAATGTACTGAAATGCAGTATAATGTAATTTCACATAAATGGATAGCAAAGGAAACACAACATTGTAAACAAAAGAATGCAGAGTTGGAGAGGTAAATGTGATGAACCATTAAGAAGAAATTATTTCAAAGATATCTGTTTTAATAATAGAACTAACAAATCTTTTACTAAGACCTTTTTCATATTGCTCCACTGCATTTTGGCAAATCAATGAAAACATCACCATTTTAACAATCATAGCTAACATACTCATTTTTGGGTGAGAAAATGACCTACGTTTGATGGAAAAAGATAAGTTATCAAAAATTAATATAATGAAATAATTACATTTTACCTCATTGGGAAAAATGACTATATTCTTGACCTGCTTAAATTTCTACAAACTAAATAAAAGTCTTATATAACCTTCATTAAATAAAAAAGTTAAAATATATTTAATTTAAGGAGTTAGGACTTACTTCCTGGGAGATGCTGACAGATTACTTAAAAAAGGAAAAAACAATAGTTACTTACCTAAATTATATTTGTACTAGCTATAAGTTGTCAATTTACACTCAACATCCAGTGGTAAATAATATATTTATATTATTCTGAACTATAGGATTAAGTTGACAAAAGTTTCACTCCCCACACAACTAATTTATCATATTTTAGATAGCTAACATTTTGATATTGTGTTTTGGTTTATTAATAACTGTAACAAAACTTTCCCAAATATGAACCACAAAGAAGAAAAGAAATTTTTATATTTCTTCTACATAATTTTGAATTTTCCTCTGCTTTTTAAAGGGGTTAAACACATTGCAGAAAAAAAAAAGCCTTTGGGCAACAGTAAAAATGTGTGTGTGTCTTTTATGCACCCCTGCCCAGAAAAATCATTTGGAAATTAACATTTAATATGGACCCAGATGAATATGAGTTCTTATTTCAGAAATGTAGAATGAATTCCTGTCACTCTTCTCCCAAGATGTAGAATATTCACCATAGCTTCTGAGCTAATATCTTTAACATTAGGAACTATTCAGAGGAAAAAATGCACAAATTTAATCTGGTTAATTTGAATGTGTACATTTTTGGTCTTAACACATATAAAGACTTAGTTTAGGACATATCACGTGTTTACTAGGTGGAAGAATTAAAGTGTCTTACCTCGCTGGAGGAGTGATGCTCCATATTCTATATAAAAAACAAAAAGTAATTCAAGTTTCACTTTTATCGCTTATTTAAAATGTAAAACTGTCTTTCCATTTTGTTTCTTTTGTTTCTTGGTGGCAAGGGAATTTTAGTCATCTGATTCTAGGAACTTTTAGTTGCATAGAGTTTCTTTGCAAAATTCTCTTGGTTTCCTATAATGTTAATGAGCAAATCACTGTATACCTCAAGTGAATTCTTGTCATGGTTTAATATATTTCTTTTAGGAAGTAGGTGGGTTCTTAGCTTTTGAGTATTAACTGTTTCACCATTTAAAATATAATTATATTCATAAATGTACCACCAAATCTTAAAGTGTTAAGACTCTGGTGTAATATTTTATTTTACTTCACTTATACTGTTAGAATTAAAAATATTGGGCGAGTGCTTCTGTCAAGTGGCATAAAAAGTTGAAGATTAATTTTTAAAATATGAAAAACTGTCATACAAACTCAATTTTGTACTTATGTTCTCAATAGATTGTGACAAATTTAGCTTTTAATATCTGTGGTCTGTCACTTGCTAGTGCAGCCACCATATTCTTAGTTGAATAAAATTGTTTTATTTAAATAAAAGATCAAAGGCAATTATTGACTAGAGAGAAAGGGAACAAAGTCAGAGTAGATCATAAGAACAATCAATCTTGGTGGGTGTGAGATTGCCAAAGTACTATTATTATTTTTTTATTTACCTAACTAGAATTCTTATCTAGCTTTGCCCTTAAATTGGCTCTAAATTTAAGAAATAACAAAAACTTGTCAAGATTTATGTGAGCGATATGGAGACATAGATGAAGCAAAGAACTCTGATCACCCTAAAGAAATGGTGTGCTTATGAGAAGTAAGATACTGGGTATGGGAAAGGTATGGATGGTGCCAGCTGCAGGGTAAGGCAAAAAAAAAAAGAAAAAATGAGTTACTTCTGAGGAAGTGAATAGAGTAAATGTGTGCGTGCGTGTGTGTGTGTGTGTGTTTTCAAAGTAATTCACTCAAAGTAATATTGCCATCCTTATCATTTTTTATATGAATATTAGTACTATATTCTCTCAAGAAAAATATAATGCTTTGAGAAGCTGAGGAATTGTTTTGCATTAGGTTATTTTTGCAAGTAATTTACAAAGTCACCCTTGTTTCCTGTCTGATCTTCCTAGCTCTGAACTAATGTAATCAAGAATGGTGAAACTCTATCACTTATTTGAGAGATGGTTTTGGAGTCTACATTTTATCTGTGGCTTTTCTGCGCTTTCAAAGAGATATGCCACGGGAGTGAAAACAGTTCCCTGGTGAATGCAAACAGACAGAGATGGAAGTATAGGCCTTTTAACCCACAAGTAAAAAATCTCCACAGAACTACAAGAATACATCATACAAAGTGTGTCCACTTTCATATCTTGTATAAGGTAGGGCCAATGCTGTCTTTGATTATAGTTTTATAAGTTCACACACTTAATTTCTGTTCCTTGCTGCCCACCCCTGCCTTCATTTGCATAAAATATTTACCCTTATATTTAAATTAGAATAGATACTTGTAAATGTTTCATTATACTTACATGCTTTGCAAGAGCAATAGCCAAAAGACAAGTAAAGATGAAGAACTTCATATTTACTGAGTCCTATAAAACAGGTATGTAGCAAATCAATAATAATTTAACTCCCTAAAATCACACATTTCCTCATTAACTCTGTTTTAATTTATAATCACAGATAAGTGGGAAATACAAATGATGGGTAAAAGCAGATTCATTTGAGAAACATGGATATGAATATGACAAGTTTTTTACTTTAATACATTTTTAAGATAAAATTTATTAATAGAAAATAATATACAATATCGGTTTCTAAAATATAAAAGGTATTTTCAGGAATAGTAAATTAGTAGGAATATTGGTCCTATGTAGAATTGGTTAATTTATTTATCAATTTGCTTATTCAATAAATAATTGCTACCACATGCCAGGCACTGTTCTAGACATGAAGATATGTTGATACACACAACAGGTGTAATCTACCAGGCCATATTATTTACAATTCTTCAACCTTTTGGAGAACAATTACTAGAAATGCAAAATAGAACAGACTCATTTGCAGATTAGTTTCCAGGTGAGCCAAAAATGCAGTATGTCAAGAAGTAGCAGGTAGAAGTAATACTGTGTGGGTGCATCTATGGTCCTACTAGTCCTAACTTGACATGGGACTGGCTACTGAAGCTTAGCAAGTCACTGAACATCTGTGCCCCTCCTTTCAGATATCTTAAGTAATGAAAGACTTTACATGATTGCTTTGACATATCTCTTTGACATAAATCAATTTCTCATAGTATGATACATATAACTCCACGGATTTTCTGACCACATATCAGCTCAACTTTTCCTGTGATTAAACAAAGAACTGAAAACTAAAGTTATGTTATTCAGTATCTTGCTCATTATATCTTATAAATCTTAAATTAATTATTTTTAAAGAACAATTTTTTCACACAGTTTTAAATATGCCAGTGAGCCATAAATATGCAAATCTAAAGAATGTGTACACATAGGCATTATGTTATGTCATATACAGAGATTTGCATTATCTGCTTGTTATTAATTTCTTACTCTATTAAAATAACTCTAATAAAATATCTGATATTTGTTTACTTTTATAGGATAAAATGATCTTTATGCATATATAAAATTAATTTTAGAAACATTTTATAAAAATGTTTTAAAATGATAAGTTCATAATTACATTATTGCCTGTTAATATTTGAAATACATTTATCATTTATTGTAGTTTTTCAATTTTCATCATTATATTTTTCATGTGAAAGGAAACTAGAACATGGACAGATGTTAACTGAGAGTTAAAGAAATACTTTAACTTGTTGGTAATTGAGAAATTTAGAAATAGGTGCAGTTACTAAGTATCTGCTCCATCCCAGACACTGTGCTGGATATGTTTTAAATACTGTCTGTAGTCTTCAGAACAACTATGTTAGATAAATGTTTTGCTGTGTGGATACCAGATAAAAAAGTAATCTAGGAGGTCAGAAATCAAACACACAGTGGCCTGGATTTCCAAAAACTTCATTATATTGACCTTGCCCTTAAAAGAAGGCTTTGACATCATAAGATGGAACAGCATAATTAACCGTTTTCAGTGTCTCTTTCTCAATCTTAATTCTATCCATAGCATCCAAATGGAGATAAATCAGTAGCTTATGTTAGTTATAAAACAATCTCTCAAAGAATTCTAAGGTATAGTGGCATAAATTTCTTTAAATAAATTTTGCAGATCATTAGGTTTTACAATATCATTAGGCATGTAGAATAACAGGGATACATGAAAATACTGCCTTATTTCCTAAATGGCAGATAAGAAGTCTAAGCAGAGGGAGACCTTAGGTGGGTTATCGTAGCACTATTTAAATCTTGCTCTTGCATGATGTGGTCATTCAGTGGTTTGAAATATCTATAAGGGATTTGAATTCTAGGAAGTCATAATGATTAGAAATTGTTTTTCCATTTATTTTTGTAAGACATATTCCAAGAAGTGTTTTCACTCAGGTTGATCTAGAACATGATAGATAGAAATGAGGATGTTATTATGTACAATGATTATCTATATTCCAGTTTGTATAGCTTACCTCTGCCAGGTAACTGCATGGCTCAAGATAATTTTTTATTTTTTTTTGTTTTTTGTTGTAATAATATAATCTTTTTATTAACAGACTTCTGCCTACTTTCTGCTGGAAAATTGTTTTAAAATATCTAGAGCAGCAGTATATTTTTTTCAAATTTGTTTTAAATTGACAAATAAAATTGTATGTATTTATCATGTGTACCTTAATGTTTGCAATTACACACACACACACACATATATATATACATATATATATATATATATATATATATATATATATATATATATATGTGAGCTTCATGCCCTACCTACTGAGTATATATATATAGTGAATGGTTAAACGTTGCTAATTAACAAATGCATTACCTCACATAGTTATTTTTTGTCGTAAGATCACTTAATGTCTATGCTCAAGAATGCATTATGTATTAACTATAGTCACCATACTTTACAATAGGTCTCTTGAACTTATTTCTTTTATGTAAGTCTAATTATGTATCCTTTGACCAGCATCAGTCTCTAGCAACTGCCATTCTACTTTTTACTTTTATGAGATCACCTTTTTGAGATTCCAATATGAGATCATAAAGTATTTGTTTTCCAGTGCTTAGCTTACCTCATTTAGCATAATGTTCTCCAGGTTCATTGATGTCACAAATTACAGAATTTTCTTCTCTTTTATATCTAAATAGTATTCCAATGAGTGCATATATTACATTTTCTTTATTTATCTGTTGATGAATACTTACGTTGATTTCATATCTTGGCCACTGGGAATATTGCTGGGGTAAACATGGGAGTGCAGATATCTCTTCAACATCTGATTTAATTTCCTTGGGCTAGAAGCCTGGCTAGCTCAGTAGGTAGGGCATGAAGCTCTTAATTTCCTTGGGCTATGCATCCAGTAGTGGGATTGCTGGATCATATGCTTGTCCTATTTTTAATTCTTTGAGGAACCTCTATATTGTGTTTCATAATGTCTGTACCAGTTTACCTTGCCACTAACAGTGTAAAAGTGTTTTTTTTTCCTCCACATCTTTGCCAATATCTTTATCTTTTATCTTTTGGATAATTGTCATTCTGTCAGGTGTGGAGTGATATCTCACTGTGGTTTCAATTTGCATTTGCCTTATAATTAGTGATTTTGATTTTTTTTATATATCTGTTGGCCCTTTGTAGTCTTCTTTTGAGAAATATCTACTCTGGTCTTTTGCCCATTTTTAATCAGGTTATTTGGATCTTTGCTATTGGGCTTTTTAGTTTGATATGATCCAATATGTCTGTTTTTGCTTTTGTTTGTTGCATATGCTTTTGAGGTCCTATACAAAAAAAATCATTGCATAAACCAATGTCATGAATGTTTTCCCTATATTTTCTTCCAATAGTTTCGTAGTTTCAAGTTTTACATTTAAGTCTTTAATCCATTTTGAGTGATCATTGAATATGATGAGAGATAAGGGTATAATTCTATTTTTCTGGATGTGAATACCCCAACATCATTTATTAGAGACCCTTCTTTCCCCACTGTGTTTTCTTGGTGCCTTGTTGAAAATCAGTTGGCTGTAAATACATGGATATTTTTTTTCATGGCTCTCTATTCTGTTCCTTTGGTCTGTGTGTCTGTTTTTACGCCAGTACCATGCTGCTTGGGTTACTATAGCTTTGTAATATATTTTAATGTCAAGTAGTGCTATGCTTCCAGCTTTGTTCTTTTTTTCTCAAGATTGCTTTGGTTGCTCAGGGTCCTTTGTGATTCCATACAAATATCAAGAATTTGTTTTTTTTGTGAAGACTGTCATTGATATTTTGCTAGGGATTGTATTGAATCTGTAGATTGCTTTAGGTAGTATAAAAATTTCAGCTTGCTAATATGTTGTTGAGGATTTTTGCATCTATGATCATCAGCGATATTAACCGGTAGGTTTAATTTTTGTCGTTTCTTTGTCTGATTTTGGTGTCAGGATAATACTGGCCTCATAGAATGAATTAGAAAGAATTTTCTCCTCTACAATTTTCTGGAACATTATGAGAAGAATTAGTTATTAGGTCTCATTAAATGTTAGGTAAAATTCAGCAGTGAGGCCATCAGATCCTTGGCTTATCTTTGATGGAAGACTTTTTATTACTTATTCAATTTCCTTATTCATTATTGATCTGTTCAGATTGTTTATTTCTTCATAATTTATTCTTGGTATCTACATGGTAGGTAGTATGTGCCCAGTAATTTATCTATTTCTTCTATGTTATCCAATTTGTTGGTGTATAATTTCTCATAATAGTCTCCTATGGTCCTTTGTTATTTATGTGGTATCAGCTATAATATCTCCTTTTTTATCTCTGATTTTATCTATTTGAGCCTTCTTTCTGTTTTTCTTAGGTAATCTAGCTAAAAGTTTGTTTATTTTATCTTCTATAAAAAACAAGTTGTCATTTTGTTGATTCTGAATTGTTTTCCTAGTCTCTATTCCATTTATATCTGTTCTGATATTTATTATATTCCTTCTTCTTTGGGGGGCTTAGTTTTGTCTTGTTTTTTGAGTTCCTTGAGGTGTGATGTGACATGGTTTATTTGATATCTTTCTTCTTTTTAGATGTAGGCATTTATTTCCATAAACTTCATCTTAGAGCTGCTTTTGCTGTATCCCATAGGTTTTTGTATGCTGTGTTCCCATTTTCATTTTTCTTAGGAATTTTTAAAATTTCTCTTTTAATTTCTTCACTGACCCATTGGCTGTTCAGGCATATGTGGTTCAATTTTCAGGTATTTGTGAATAATCCAAAGTTCCCCCTGTTATTTTTTCTAGGTTTATATCATAATGATCAGAAAACATACTTAATGTGATTTAAATATTCTTAAAGTTGTTAAGACTTTTTTTGTGGCCTACTGTATCATCTCTTCTGGAGAATGTTCCATGTGCGGTTGAGAAGAATGTGTATTCTGCAGCTTTTAGATGCATGGTCCATTTGGTCTAATGTACTTAAGTCCAGTGTTTTCTTATTCATTTTTTGTCTGTTATCTGTCCATTGGTGAAAGTGGGGTATTAAAGTCTTCTACTTTATTATTATTATTTAAAACATTATTTTATTGCAGTTTATCTCTTCCTTCAGATTTATTAACAGTTGCTTTATATATTTAGATACTTTAATATTAGATGCAAATATACTTACAGCTGTTATATTTTCTTGCTGAACTAATCACTACATGACTTCATAATAACTTTCTTTGTCTCTTTTTATAATTTTTGACTTAAAGTCTACTTTATCTGATATAACTATTGGTGTTCTCTTTTTCTATGCATTTGCATGTAGTATTTTTTCTTTCCTTCATTTGCAGTCTATGAGTGTCCTTATGGGTGAAGTGAGTCTCTTCTTGGTAGCATATAGACAAGTTTTGTTTCTATTCATTCAACCACCCTGTCTTTTGATTGGATTATTTAATCCATTTACTACATTCAAGGTAATTAGTAATGGGTAAATACTTACTACTGCCACTTTGTTATTTCTAGTGATTTTGTAGATTCTTTCTTCCTCTTATAGAGTTTTCCTTTGTGGTTAAATAATTTTCTCTGCTAGTACATTTTGATTTCTCACCTCTTATTTTTTGTGTTCTGATTGTAGGTTTTGGCTTTGTGGCTACCATGAGGTTTTCAAAAACCTCTTATAATAGGTTATTTTAAGCAATAACAATCAAACTTTGATTGCAAAAACAAAAACAAAAAACAAAAACAAGACACCTTGGTATATTAATATAAGTAATTTACACACCATCATTACAATATTAAAGTATTCCAAATTCACTACTTTACACTAGTGAGAATTACTGCTAAGGAGCACTCCCAGAAAAAGTCAGACTGCAGTTATACTTTGAGAGAATTACACTTTTAGCTGTTTTCATGTTACTCATTAGCACCCTTCTCTTTCACTTTAAGTAATTCTTTAGCATTTTTTTTTAAAGCAGAGCTAGTGATGATCAGCTTTTGTTTGTCTGGGAAAATATTTATTTCTCCTTAATTTCTAAAGGACACCTTTCCTTGGTACAATATTATTGGTTGGCGGGTTTTTTTCTTTCAGCAAATTGAATATATTATTTCTCTCTCCTGTCCTGTAAGATTTCTGTTGAGACGTCTGCTTCTAGGCATACTATGACTCTCTTTTACGTTTCTTGCCTCTTTTTTCTTGCTGCTTTCAGGATCCTCTGTTTGTCTTTGATTGTTGACCATTTGAATATATTATATCTTGGGTTATCTTATATGGATTGAATTTGATTGGAGATTTTTTACCTCCATGTATCTGAATATTTAGATCTTTCACCAGGAAAGTTTTTTGCTATTATTTTAGAAAATGCTCTTTTAATCCTTTTATCTTTCTCTACTCTCTCTTGAATTACAATAACTAAAAAATTTGCCCTTTCTTGCTGTTCCATAAATCCCATAAGCTTTATTTATTCTATTTTCTTTTTTTCTGCCTATATGATTAAAAATAGCCTGCCTTCAGGTACACATATTTTTCTTTTGCTTGATCAATTCTATTGTTATTGTAGTTTTCATTTAATTGTTTGTAATTTTTAGCTCCAAAATTTCTTTTTTTGATGATTTCAATTTCTGTGTTAATTTTTTATATGATCACTTATTGTTTTCCTCATGCGTTGAATTTTTTCTCTGTATTTCTTGAAGTTTGTTGAGCTTTCTTAAAACAGCTATTTTAAATTCTTTTTTACATAATTCGTACATCTCCATTTGCTTAAGATTGGTCATTGACACCTTACTTTGTTTGTTTGGTGATATCATGTGTTTTTATTTTTCTTAATTCTTGTGGTTTTTCACTGATGTCTGTGAATTGGAGAAGTAGGTACTTGATTCTGTTCTTTACAGCCTGGCTTTGTCTGGGTAAGCTCCTTAACAGTAAACCTGTCCAGAGATTCTGGAAAAACTGTCTGGCATGGTCCCTAAGTTCATGACTGCTACAGCCATTGCATCACTAGACGGCATCCTAAGCCTAGGGCCATAGTGGCTGGTACAGTGCCAGGCTGGAATTCTTTGGTCACTAATGCCAGTGCAGTGTTTGGGCACACCCACAGCTCATAGACACTGAGGCCTGCTTGCTAGCAAAGTTTGTCTGGAGCCCTTGGCCACTGTTTTTGGCTAGCAGTTATGTGGATTGCAGATCAAATCCACTTGGTAGTAGTTACAGGTTCTTACCTGGCACCAGAGTAAGTCTGGGGGTTCAGTCCTTGGGTACTGGCTTGGTGTCTGCCTGGCATTAGGTTTTACTATGACAGTAATGGTTTTGGGGTTGAAGAAAAAAATCCTATGTTTACTCCCGTCTCTCTTCCTCAAGTGTATACCTCTCCATGCTCTGCTGCCTGGGGGTGGAAAAGAAGTGATATGGGTATTGCAAAATTATCCTTCCTATGCTGTTTAATGTATCTCTTTTTATTATTATGCTACAACTAGATACTATGATTTTTCACCTGGCTTTCTGAGTCCCTGTGAAGGTATTTTTTGTGCATGGATGTTGTTGAAACTGCTGTTTCTGTCAGGAGACAATTGCTGGAGAGTCCTACATATTTCTCTGCCCTCTCCAAATGCTGATTTTTCCTAGAGGTATTTCAGTGTGTTCTCTAGTCTAAAATATCCTAAATAAATATACCAAATTACATTTTTGATACATCAGATTGTGTAAGTATGTGAAAAAATGCTTACATATGTAAGTATTTTTTATGTGATCCCAATATCCATTGCCTATAATTTGTCAACAATAAAAATAAAATAAGCTATATACATGTTTATGTGATATAATGGGAAACTCAGCTCTCTAACTTAATAGCAGTAACTTTCATTAAAGTTTGTTTTCTTAATTTCTTTCAGAGGTTTCTACATATTGAAATAATAATAGTAATATTTAACATATAAAGATGTAGTGGTTAGCAATAATTTATATAAAGTAAATTGGTATCTACATGGTGATTACTTTTTCAGAAGTCACAAGGTAAAATGTGACCAAGCAGATCAAACATCTCTGCTCTGCTTCCTGGGGGTAGAAAACAGGCGACATGGTGAATGTAAAATTACCCATGGGTAAACATGGGTAAACTAAAATTATTTTAGTTAAACCTGGACCTGCCTAAAGTAGGTCCAGGTTTAAGTAAAGTAAGGTATTGTGGGAACAGAGGCCTTCCTAAAAGTGCTAGCCTGATCTGAACAGAAAAGTTAATAGTTCCAGTCAATCTCGAAATATAAAATATATGCCTCATTCTTGCCACTTCTGCTGTTTTTCAATATTTCTTTAAAATTTTTTACATATTATCCAAATTTAAAACTGTTAAAAAGTTTTGCATCTGGCCGGGTGCGGTGGCTCACGCCTGTAATCCCAGCACTTTGGGAGTCTGAGGGGGGTGGATTACAAGGTCAGGAGATCAAGACCATCCTGGCTAACACTAAAATTAGTTTAACCTGGACCTGCCTAAAGTAGGTTATATTTGAATCTAAAATAGGTACATATTTCCCATCTCTACTAAAAATACAAAAAATTAGCCAGATGTAGTTGCATGCACCTGTAGTCCTAGCTACTCTGGAGGCTGGGACAGGAGAATCGCTTGAACCTGGGAGGTGGAGGTTGCAGTGAGCCGAGATCATGCCACTGCACTCCAGCCTGGGTGAAAGAGTGAGACTCTGTCTCAAAAAAAAAAAAAAAATTGTGTGTCTAAGGCTGGACATGGTGGTTCATGCCTGTAATCCCAGAATGTTGAAAGGCCAAGGTAGGAGGATCGCTTGACCACTGGAGTTTGAGACTGGCTGGGCAACACAGTGAGGCCTTGTCTCTACCATAAATAAAAAAATTAGCCTGAAGTGGTGGCACATGCCTGTACTTCCAGCTACTCAGGAGGCTGAGGTGGGAGGATCGCTTGAGCCCAGGAGTTGGAGGCTGTAGTGAGCCATAATTATACCACTGCACCCTAGCCTGACCAACAAAGAAAGAGCCTTTCTCAAAAACAAATCAAACAACCCCATCAAAAAGTGGGCAAAGGATATGAACAGACACTTCTCAAAAGAAGACATTTTTGTAGCCAACAGACACATGAAAAATGCTCATCATCACTGGCCATCAGAGAAATGCAAATCAAAACCACAATGAGATACCATCTCACACCAGTTAGAATGGCAATCATTAAAAAGTCAGGAAACAACAGGTGCTGGAGAGGATGTGGAGAAATAGGAACACTTTTACACTGTTGGTGGGACTGTAAACCAGTTCAACCATTGTGGAAGAGAGTGTGGTGATTCCTCAAGGATCTAGAACTAGAAATACCATTTGACCCAGCCATTCCATTACTGGGTATATACCCAAAGGATTATAAATCATGGTGCTATAAAGACACACACACACATATATTTATTGTGGCACTATTCACAATAGCAAAGACTTGGAACCAACCCAGATGTCCATCAATGATAGACTGGATTAAGAAAACATGGCACATATGCACCATGGAATACTATGCAGCCATAAAAAATGATGAGTTCATGTCCTTTGTAGGGACATGGATGAAGCTGGAAACTATCATTCTCATCAAACTATCGCAAGGAGAGAAAACCAAACACTGCATGTTCTCACTCACAGGTGGGAATTGAACAATGAGAACACTTGGACACAGGGTGGGGAACATCACACACTGGGGCCTGTCATGGGGTGGAGGGAAGGGGGAGAGATAGCATTAGGAGATATACCTAATGTAAATGACGAGTTAATGGGCGCAGCACACCAACATGGCGAATGTATACATATGTAACAAACCTGCACGTTGTGCACATGTACCCTAGAACTTAAAGTATAAAAAGAAAAAAATAGGGAACTATAAACAGTAAAAAAAAAGAGAAGAAAAGAAAAGAAAAAAGAAATAAAGGGAGAGAAGAGGAAGAGGGACGAAGAAGTGTTCCTCTTCCTGCCTTTGGTGTATGGAAGTGATACTTGGAGCTATAATAGCCATCTTATGGTCATGAGAGGTCAAGCCTGAAAACAAAAAATCAACATGCTGTGGCTGGCAAAACAGAAATGTGAAAAGCACCTGTATTCATAATGACATTGAAATGCCACTGAATTAACCAACCACAAAAAGCCCTAGCTACAGACTTCTTTATGAGTGAGGAAATCTTTAAAATCTATTTTGTTTAGGTTGGGCATTATGCTACTTGCAATCAGAAGCATTCTAAATTCCATAAGAAGATGCTGTCCTTCTATTAAAGTTTTTAGGGAAGAATTAATGAAATGTACATGCAAAACTAAGTATCCCCCAAAGACAAGAAAATTATTAATTTCAGGCAAAACAAAAAAACTGTACAAAAATTTCAGTAAAATATATATGAACTGCAGAAAGCGTGTACATAATAATAAAATAATCATTAAATAAAGCCAAAGCAAGAACAAAAACGAACAAAAAAAGTGTTTGCCTACAGTACCCAAGGATGGCTGGATTTTGCCCAAGTGCCAAAATGCTAATTTCTAGGTGTCTGTAATTGTTGGAAGATGGAGAGTTTTGGAAAAGCAAGTCTCCTAATTATCTGAAGCATTGATATTTAAGCACTAGAACGTTAAAATTTCTAATAATTTTACGGATAAATATTTGTCAAATTTACCGCGTATGTGAATATATTTTTAATACTACAGAGGACTGATTATTATCTTTAGTATTTATAGCTATTCATAGATTTAAATCTTTTTCTTTCATGGGGCTATGGTTTATAGAACTGCCATTATTTTATTGTTTCTGATTTTTATGTAACCTTCATTGCTGCCTAGCGATCATTTTGTTTGACATGGAACTATATGAATAACTTTGTCCTCCTGAGGAGAAGAAATCTGGTTTTTCACATTTCTGTATTTGTCACTCACGTTGGTCTAGCACTTCTTGATGTTTAGTAAGCTCTTTAATTTCCCTTAACAATCAGTATTGCTTGTCTTTAGCAGCAACTGTTTTAGCCCTTGCTTATTTGTTTTAATTTCTGAGAGTTTGGAAATCAGACAACCATGCTTGCTCACTTTTGTGACTCTTCATTAATTGTTCTGAGTTACGTCTCTGTGAGATATGGGCCTATCTGCTCTTTCCTCATTCTCTACAAGCTTACTTTTATGTTTGTTACTTTTTCTTTGTACAGCTTTACTTGTTTCATTTGCACCTGCTTCTTCGCTTAGCCTAAAATATCCTTAATTCTCCTTCATTTTACAGATACCATCACTCTGTTCCACCCACTAACTGAATCACCCATTTTCCCCTTTCATTAGCCACCAAAATTCTTGGAAACATTTATACTTTGACTTCTTCCACCTAATCTTTTCAATCTATTGCTTCTGCATAGTTTATCTGATATTGCTCATACTCAGCTTTCTAACAGGCTTTCTTACATCTTGTCTGTTATTTGTAAAATGCATTTTCAAGAGCAACTTCACAAACATTTTCTCTCTAAAGTAGATATAATAGGTAATTTTACTGAATCAAACATTTCTACGGTCTTGTTATAAAATCTAGGTAATGTTCAAGATATTTAACGTAGAATTCACGATCAATCAAAATCGTTCTAGGAGATATTTCTGACTCCATGTTTTGACATGTTGCATGTGCCATTTACAATCTTTCCAGAGTACATGCAACACTCCATATTTCCTCTACCTGAAAATGCCCTTTTTTTACATTTTCTATATTCTCTCTCATGACAATTTTCATATGTTCGTGAAGATTCAGTTAAAAATTGAATCCATCTGTGAAATGATCTCCAAAATATTTGACAAACACAGTAATTCTTTTTGTAGTACACTTGAGCTTTTTGTATATGCAATGGAGAAAATATTTTGACAGATGCTGAAGTTGACAATACAGTTAAGATTCTTTACTTTGTGTGAATAATTCTTGAGTATCTAGTATGTGCCAGGAATTTTTCTAAGCATCTGGAATAAAATCACAAACAACAATGACAATAAGAAATTCTGCTTTTTGTGG
The DNA here is from genome assembly GCF_000001405.40 of Homo sapiens. Lineage (NCBI taxonomy): Eukaryota > Metazoa > Chordata > Mammalia > Primates > Hominidae > Homo > Homo sapiens. Next base: position 70,115,542 of record NC_000004.12, on the reverse strand, counting down.
AGCTTATATTTTGACTGGCTGAGAAAAATGAACATATGAAAAGTAATATATGATTGGTTGGATAGTGAATCATACTAAGGCAACAACTGAGTTGGAGAAAGAGGATAAAAAACATTGGTCGGGATCGGGTGTTCTCTGTTAGAAAGGATGGCCAGGAAATGCCTCCCTGAGCAGGAGAGTAAAATCTTCAAGGAAATAAGAAACAAAACCTTGCAGACAGTCCAGGAGGAAATCACTTGCAAAGAGCTTGATATATAACCATGCCTGGCAACTTTGAGAAATATTGTATAGGCCAGTGTAGTTGGATAATAGTGAATGTGGTCAAAATGAGGTCAGAAAGACAAATGGGACCATAATATAGGGCGTTTGAGTATTATGGAGACTTCAATAAAACATTTATGCAATTGGAAATTGATATAAAGTTGAAGAGAACTCTAGATTACCTGCTAAAAGTAAACTGAAGGAGCAATTTGGAGGATATTTCAATAGTTCTTACATATTAGTATGGTAGCAGTGGGGATAGTGAGAAATTGTCACATTCTAGACATAATTTGAAAGTTATGGCAAATGTAGCTTAATAGGTTGGAATTGAGGTGTGAGAGAAAAAACGGTTAATAATTGTCCCAGGTTTTTTGCTTGCTTACCTAGAAAAATGTAATTATTACTGAGCTGGCAAAGATAGAGAGAAGAGCTGGTTTGGGGGAGAACATTAGGAACTTAGTTTTATAAAAGTTTACTTTGTGATGCCTGTTAGATATTTAAGTTGTAATATGAACAGTGTACAATAACAGTTGTGCCATGAACAGTGTACAATAATACTTAACTACCTAAAGGCTTTGGTGCAAATATTAAAGGCCATAGTTAAAGGCTTCGGTGAGAATATTAAAGCCCTTATCTGTATTAGTTATTATTATGATTTAACCTTTTCTGATGCTGAACTCTCACTTGGATGTTGTTTAAATCACAATAAATCAATCAAAAAGACTTTAAGAAGTACATAAAAGACATACCTAATACAGTGTAATACAGTTACACTGCTGGCAACAATCGACTTTACAAAAAAAATTAGTTGTATGAATAAATACTAAGCAATTAGAGATAATAGGGATGAGTAGTACAACAGGAAAGCTACAATCTGCAAATCCGTCTTGTACATGTTCTTGGCTTTTTGATATCTGCTAAGTACCCTAACATGCAACAAGTAAAATCAGCAACACTTGTCATCAAATTCATTCAAAGTAAATGCAACTTTCACTCATTTGGGGATCTATTGAAATGCTGATGTCTTGGCTCTGTCAGAGATTTTTATTCAATTGGTGGGATTCTGGCAACTATATTTTATTAAATTCCCTAATGCATTCTAACATGTGGTTAGGATTAAAAACTCTTCTTGGTCTTATATGAAAGCATGAATACTGAAGACCTGGGAATATTATAACCTTTCTTTTTAGAATAACAATTTAATCTTTTTAAATACACCATGTAAAAAACTTCAAATTCTGCAACAGATTAAACATTTTTACTTTAAAAATTGATGTCTCATCTTTTTAAAGATAAAACTTTTTTTGATTCAAAGTTGAAAGCTGCAAATGATTATAGATATGCTAAATATACTTCTGCACAGTTTAATTTGAATTTCAATGAACAATGACAAGGATTTCTTATTCTTCTCCACAACAAGACAGATAATCCTAGTTACCTCTGAGAAAGTAAGGACAAGAATAGAATTGAGTGGGAAGAACAAAATTTCAGTTGCATTCAGAATAATTTTTCTTTTCGTTAATAACTTTAAAAAAATGAAGTATGATTATATGTGGTGAATCCTATTTTAGGTGGCTATGTCAATCTGTTATCAGGGTAGAAATACATAGTGTCTCTATCATCCCCTAAATATGGAAACCTAATTTAGTCCAATAGGCAGTAAAGAACTTTAAGGTTTTTTGATCAGAAAAAGACAGACATGCACATAAAAGCAGTGTACAGCTAACATGAGAATGAAAAAAAAATTAAAGCAAAATTAAAGCTCTTTCCACTTTGAAAACTGGTACAAGACAGGGATGCCCTCTCTCACCACTCCTATTCAACATAGTGTTGAAAGTTCTGGCCAGGGCAATCAGCCAGGAGAAAGAAATAAAGGGTGTTCAATTAGGAAAAGAGGAAGTCAAATTGTCCCTGTTTGCAGATGCCATGATTGTATATTTAGAAAATCCCATCGTCTCAGCCCAAAATCTCCTTAAGCTGATAAGCAACTTCAGCAAAGACTCAGGATACAAAATCAATGTGCAAAAATCACAAGCATTCTTATACACCAATAACAGGCAAACAGAGAGCCAAATCATGAGTGAACTCCCATTCACAATTGCTTCAAAGAGAATAAAATACCTAGGAATCCAACTTACAAGGGATGTGAATGTCCTCTTCAAGGAGAACTACAAACCACTGCTCAGTGAAATAAAAGAGGACACAAACAAATGGAAGAACGTTCTATGCTCATGGATAGGAAGAATCAATATCATGAAAATGGCCATACTGCCCAAGGTAATTTATAGATTCAATGCCATCCCCATCAAGCTACCAATGACTTTCTTCACAGAATTGGAAAAAAACTGCTTTAAAGTTCATATGGAACCAAAACAGGGCCCTCATTGCCAAGACAATCCTAAGCCAAAAGAACAAAGCTGGAGGCATCACGCTACCTGACTTCAAACTATACTACAAGGCTACAGTAACCAAAACAGCATGGTATTGATACAAAAACAGAGATATAGACCAATGGAACAGAACAGAGACCTCAGAAATAATACCACACATCTACAACCATCTGATCTTTGACAAACCTGACAAAAACAAACACTGGGGAAAGGATTCCCTATTTAATAAATGGTGCTGGAAAAACTGGCTAGCCATATGTAGAAAGCTGAAACTGGATCCCTTCCTTACACCTTACACAAAAATTAATTCAAGATGGATTAAAGACTTACATGTTAGACCTGAAACCATAAAAAACCTAGAAGAAAACCTAGGCAATACCATTCAGGACATAGGCATGGGCAAGGACTTCATGTCTAAAACACCAAAAGCAATGGCAACAAAAGCCAAAATTGACAAATGGGATCTAATTAAACTAAAGAGCTTCTGCACAGCAAAAGAAACTACCATCAGAGTGAATAGGCAACCTACAGAATGGGAGAAAATTTTTGCAATCTACTCATCTGACAAAGGGCTAATATCCAGAATCTATAAAGAACTCCAACAAATTTACAAGAAAAAAACAAACAACCCCATCAAAAAGCGGGCAAAGGTTATGAACAGACACTTCTCAAAAGAAGACATTTATGCAGCCAACAGACACATGAAAAAATGCTCATCATCACTGGCCATCAGAGAAATGCAAATTAAAACCACAGTGAGATACCATCTCACAACAGTTAGAATGGCAATCATTAAAAAGTCAGGAAACAACAGGTGCTGGAGAGGATGTGGAGAAATAGGAACACTTTTATACTGTTGATGGGACTTTAAACTAGTTCAACCATTGTGGAAGAGAGTGTGGCGATTCCTCAAGGATCTAGAACTAGAAATACCATTTGACCCAGCCTTCTCATTACTGGGTATATACCTAAAGGATTATAAATCATGCTGCTATAAAGACACATGCACACGTATGTTTATTGCGGCACTATTTACAAGAGCAAAGACTTGGAACCAACCCAAATGTCCAACAATGATAGACTGGATTAAGAAAATGTGGCATATATACACCATGGAATACTATGCAGCCATAAAAAAAGATGAGTTCATGTCCTTTGTAGGGACATGGATGAAGCTGGAAACCATCATTCTCAGCAAACTATCGCAAGGACAAAAAACCAAACACCGCATGTTCTCACTCATAGGTGGGAATTGAACGACGAGAACACTTGGACACAGGAAGGGGAACATCACACACTGGGGCCTGTCGTGGGGTGGGGTGATGGGGGAGGGTTAGCATTAGGAGATATACCTATAAATGATGAGTTACTGGGTGCAGCACACCCACATAGCACATGTGTACATCTGTAACAAACCTGCATGTTATGCACATGTACCCTAGAACTTAAAGTATAATAAAAAATAAAAATAAAAAAGGTATGGAGTATATAAGTTCAATAAGATATAAATAAACAGAGATAAAGCAAATCCTGTAATATAGAAAGCCCTATATTATTGCAACGTGTATATGCATAAACTTGTTGTCAGTTTTCACCCTTTGATGATTAATGCCTTAAGATGATTATGTCTATAGTTCATTAAGACACCTTCTTACAGACAGAAATGTCCCTAGGTATAAGAACCACATCTTTATGAAGGAAAATAACACATGAGGGAGTTATTACAGAGTTGAGGGCATTGAGAGGTGAGAAAGAAACAAAAAGGACAACAGCCCTGTGAAAATGAAAGCAGAACCTGAACACAGGTTAATAACCACTAAAAATAATTCAAGAAATGTAAATTTTTATTAACAATGTTAATTATTGTTTAGTGAATATTGATTCATTGAAAATAACACAGACATTTTTTCTAATTTCTGAGTCAGAGAGAAAGTGGTCCTTGCTAAGTGAAAGCAATATTAAATTAATGTGAACTGTTAAGAATAACATGATACATATGTCTAAACTTTTTTTCTAAAAAATATTTATTGATAATATATTTTTCGGTGTGCTTTGAGAAGTCTATGAATTCATTCTTTTCTGAAACTCCAAAAATGCACAGTTGTCTCTAATTTTAAAATAGTAAAAATGTTATCTCATTACACAAAGAAAACATTTTTAAAGCCACATCTACTATCCATTGTAATAGCTACATGCATGTGTAATACAAGCATAATATATATAATATGCCTGGGAAGCATACACGCTGATTGCAGAATCCTGGTAACCTCTGAGAAGGTATAGAATTAGTGGGAATATTATTGAGCAGGAAGAACAAAGCTTCAGTTGTATTCAGAAAAATTTTTCTTTTCATTAACTAATAACTTTAAAGAAATTCAGGTATAATTCTATATGGTGAAAACATATTTTAAATGGCTATGTCAATCTGCTATTAGGGTAGAAATACACAGTCTTTCCATCATCCCAGAAAGTTGCCCTGGCCCTTAGCTGATCACCCTTTGCAGAAACAACCACTCATCTAAGTTGATGAATAGTTTTTGCCAGTTCGTATAGAATCATATGGCATATACTCTAAGGTCTTTAGCTTTTTGCACGTGGCTAAATTCTTTTGAAATTTATCCACATTGTTGGAACCATTGCTGTGTAATCTATTCATGACTACACAGTTTGTTTATCCATCTCCCACTGAAGGACTAGCTGTTTGTTTATCCATCTCCCATTGAAGGACATGGTTGTTTCTAGTTTGAGACTACTACAAATAAAAGTCCTACGATGTTATTTGTGCAAGAATATCTGAAGACATCATTTTTTCCTCTCTCGGATAAGACATAGTAATAGTGTTTGTGGCAGACGCACATTTAATATTTTCAGAAATCGCTAAACAGTTTTCTAGGGTACCATTTGGAATAACTTTACACTCCCACTAATGATGTATGAAAGTTTCTTGTTGTTCTATATCCTAATTTACATTTAGGTATTTTTTTCAGTCATTTTGATTTTGGCCATTCTAGTGTGTGTTTGATAGTACATCATGCTGGTTTTAACTCAACTAGGAAAGAGGTTGAAACTAACCCCTATATTCTTTAGCATTTATTTCTTTAAAGCCATGTATTTCTCATGGTTTAAATGCTCTAATTGTACAATTTCTGGCTCAAATTGTGCAACTTTTGATGAATGTACTTATTGTTCATCTATTTAATTATGTAAATTAGTAAGAAGACATTTTTGAGGCCCTAATACATTGATATGCTGTAACAAAGTGCTATAAGATATCAGACTTAAATAATGTTGGGAAAAAACTTAAAAGAAATAAAATTTTAAAATGACATTACATCACACTATCTTGCTTAGTCAATTTAAATAATATATATTATATTCTATAATAATATTTCCGTTGAAATAAGGAATAAGTATTTGAAAAATAGATTGTCAATAGCTCCTGTGAATAGAAATGTCTTATGTCTTCCAGTGAATTATTAACTTTTACAGGAACAAAAAAGCAGAAAAAGTTCTTAATTTTATAACACAATTGAGAGTAAAATTACACTTGACTTTGTGCCACTGTAGAATTGACAGCATTGGATAATTTGTATACAAAAATTGCCATTTATTTTTAAATACATAATACTAGTAGTGAACAGAGATTTTAAAGAGAAATTTTCCCAAGTCCTAAAAACAAGAGTTCTTAAATTCAAATATATGCTTTGATGATAGCATCTGTATTCTGTTTTTTCTTTTTAGTGTATTTTCCTTCCCTTATTTCATACATGATAAGATGGTAAACTATTGTTTCACAACTTGTTTGTAATTTTAAACTCAGAGTAGAGCATGTGTTTATAATTTGAAGTACTGCCACTAACCATGTGCGAATTTCACGGTAACTATATACCAGGAATACCAGAGGGAAAATGTCCTCTAATTATACCAGAAGAGGAAGAGAGGTTCAGGGAAGTTGTGCGATGGGTCTACAGATACAGTTGTACTCAGATCAGGAAATACTGACTTTTATTACAGTGATTTTTTTTTTTTTTACATTTAAGGACACTCTGTTAGCTTGTCACCCCACTTCTTTATCGAGTAATTTTTTCAATTTTGACTTTGAGCCAAATATATCTGAGCTGAGGGTGTGTGTGTTTGTGTGTGTGTAAAAATATATTTGATCACCTTAAGGAAATTTTGTAAGCTAATTTGAGGAAATTATTATATGAAATAGATTAACTCAATAAACAACATACAAGTAAATACAAACATAACCCAGAACAAGATAGACTAGATACTGTTAATGTAATCAATTTGTCCTCCAAATTTTCTCGTATACTTGTAGACATGGTAACCACCAAACATGGATAAAGGTAATGAATAGAAGCTTGATATCATTTGAGATTTAGTAATGTATGTATGGTAAAGTAGCTCATTCATTTTTTGTCAAGCATGTACTGATTATTCTATGTTCTAAAGCACTGAGGTACTTGTAATACAAAGAGAATTGAAACATATTTCCTTATTTCAAGGAGCTTATTTTCTGATGAAGTTATATAAGATACGTTATCCAAAATATTTTAATAAAAATATGCTTAAAAGTCAAAACATTATGAGAACACCTAAAATGTACGTATCACCCAGACTGAACAAACTTGGTAAACATCATGGTAGGTTCTATAATACCAGAGGAGTTACAGAAAGGAGATGAGGAAATGCAAAGTGTTGGAAATCTGTACAGATATGACAGCACAATGGGAATGTTGAGTGTAAGAGCGGGGTAAGAGCTGAGGGTAAGGGCTAGCGGGGGCTTAATATTTTTTATATTATTATGAGGGCTGAAGGCAGCATGAAAGACTTCAAGCCAACATGTGATATGGGAAGCATTGCATTTTAGATTGATAACCATGGAATCAATGCAGAGAAAAATTCGAGGGAAGGTGGGCAAAAGAGCAGATGACATGGCCATTAAGGGAGGTAAAATTATAAGGACTCATTTGCAAAAAAATGCGTTAGGAATAATTTAAAAACAAGCTGGTGAAAAGTTTAAAGGAAAAAGTGATAGACTATTAAGCAGCCAAACATTTTTTGTGTGTATGTCTGCTGTGAAAGGAAAAAATTATTAAATATGCCTCACTATTTTATCATTTATAAAAAGCTGAACGTGTTACTGTTTGTTATAATTTCATAACTCAGTTTTGTGCAAGTAAAATCACAGCTAATGCTATTAAATATGAACTATATTTGAATTACACACATCAAAATTAAAATACATTATGAGGGATGTTTAATCCCCACAGAACTTATGATGCTCATATTTTACCTAACTGAAAAATATGATAATTATTAGCAGAGTTCTCCTGAAATTTTCAGTCAAGAATAATAAAATTTTACAGAAGAATATTATATTTGAAAACCCAAAGGTTTTTTTTCTGCTAAAAATTTTAATCATCAAACACCTACAGAATTGATAATGACTATGTATTTTACTTGCTTCTTGTCTGCTGTTTTTCTTCATTTATTTGTATTAAGAATGCAGTGTGTTATTTAGAATGTGAATTATTAAGTATATTGTAATGAAATTTTCCAACAGGCAGACACTATACAGAATTTTCAACCACATTATTATGCATGATAATTATTGATGTTATAATAATTATTGAGATTTACAAAGGTACAGTTAGATAGGAAGATAATTAATAACAATTATTGTGTCACTCATAAATTTAAATAAAAGATGTAATCATGGCATTGTTTTTCTCTGTTATATTTAAATTAGAATAAGGCAGATGCCTTGATAAAGTGGTCATTCTCTGCCAAAGTATCACATTTGCTGGCTTTAAAAGAAAAATCCAAAAGATACAATCATAATCATTTGAAAAAAACAAAAATAAAATAAATATTTTCTTCTTTTTAAATAGTTAAAAAGTGAAGTAAGCCAGGCACAGAAAATAAATACTTCATGATTTCCACTCATATGTGGAATTTAAAAAGTTCTTCTTATAAAAGTAGAGAGTGAAATAGTGGTTACCAAAGGATGGGAATAGTAGGGGGAATGGGAAGATGGGAAAACATTGGTCAACAGCAACGGTTCACTGTTAGGTAGAAAGAATAAGTTCTGTTCATGTCCTTCGCCCACTTTTTGATGGGGTTGTTTGTTTTTTTCTTGTAAATTTGTTTGAGTTCATTGTAGATTCTGGATATTAGCCCTTTGTCAGATGAGTAGGTTGCGAAAATTTTCTCCCATTTTGTAGGTTGCCTGTTCACTCTCCCACCACAGTCCCCAGAGTGTGATATTCCCCTTCCTGTGTCCATGTGATCTCATTGTTCAATTCCCACCTATGAGTGAGAATATGCCGTGTTTGGTTTTTTGTTCTTGTGATAGTTTACTGAGAATGATGATTTCCAATTTCATCCATGTCCCTACAAAGGACATGAACTCATCATTTTTTATGGCTGCATAGTATTTCATGGTGTATATGTGCCACATTTTCTTAATCCAGTCTATCATTGTTGGACATTTGGGTTGGTTCCAAGTCTTTGCTATTGTGAATAATGCCGCAATAAACATACGTGTGCATGTGTCTTTATAGCAGCATGATTTATAGTCATTTGGGTATATACCCAGTAATGGGATGGCTGGGGAAGGGGGAGGGATAGCATTGGGAGATATACCTAATGCTAGATGACAAGTTAGTGGGTGCAGCGCACCAGCATGGCACATGTATACATATGTAACTAACCTGCACAATGTGCACATGTACCCTAAAACTTAAAGTATAATTAAAAAAAAAAAAAAAAAGAAAGAATAAGTTCTGGTGTTTGATTGCGTAGTGGGTTGACTACAGTTAACATCAATATATTGTGTCTTTCAAAGTAGCTGGAAAGAGATTTATAGATGTTCTCATCACAAAGAAATTATAAATGTTTACAGTGATGGATGTGTTAATTACCCTGATTTGATTATTGTACAATATATACAAGTATCAAAACATCACTTTGTTCTCCATAAGTATGTACAATTATTGTGTGAGTGATAAATTTTAAAAACTTAAATACAATTAATAAATAAAACAGGGAAGACTGTTGTGTGCTTTTAATTTTGCAAAATAAACTTTTTAACGACAGAAATAAAATAAAAATAGGAGACAAAACTTAAATGTGGGAATAAAATAACTTAGAAAGAGTCAAGTGATACTTTAATACAATAAATAATTTTGTGAAAAGATCATTTATTCTAAGCAAGAGATTATACACATACACAAACACATACACAAACACGCACACATACAAACATATGTATATACATACACATACATATACATACTCACATCCTGAATTTACCTTGAGGACAAAGTATAAATTAATTATTATATATTATAAGTATAATTTTAAATATACATTATATTTTAGGATAATAAAGTCTTCCAAGTTTTCACCACAATGAATTAGTAACTCATTCTCCCCATTGGAAATCGACATTTTTCTGGATCATAAGGAAATAAATACATATATACGATTGTGAGAGCAAGATAATTAAATCAAGTTATTTTGGCTTCTAACTTTTAAGTATCATAAATATGCAGGTTCCCTACGCATAACTATTGGAATATGTCTGACTTTTAAAATATTCACTGCTATGACATTTTAAAAATGCATTTCAACATGGTTGATTACATTCTTTTTCTTCCAGTTTTTATTCCTTTCTTCCTCCTTGCTTCCTTTTTTGTCTTTCTTCTACCCACTCTTTCCTCCTCCCTCTCTTTCTTCTTTCCTCCCTTCCTGTATTTCCCCCCATATTTTTCCGAACAATAGATATTAAACACTGTTATAGGCACTAAGGTCACATTGCTGGGTAGATAAAAAGCAATATATGAGTAGGGGGAATATAACAAATTTGAAATTAAAATTAAAATGATGTTGCTTTTATCTAAATGAAGATATTACCTCAGATTGTTAGGATGGCTATTATTAAAAAAGACAAGTGTTGGCAAAGATATGGAGAGAAAGGAACCCAGTACACTGTTGGTAGGAATGTAAATTAGTACAGTCATTATTGAAAGCTGTATGGATGTTTCTCAGATCACTAAAAATAGAACTACCATATAATCCAGCAATCCTACTTATAAGTGTATACAAGGTAAATAAAATAACTATCTCAAAAATAACTATATTTCTATGTTCATTGAGGCATTATTCACATAGCCAAAATACAGCATCAAATTAAGTGTCCATAAACGGATGAATGGATAAAGAAAATATGGTATATATACACAATGGAATACAATTCAGCCTTAACAAAGAAGGAAATTCTATCACTTTTGACAACATGAATAAATTTGGAGGACATTATACTAAGTGAAATAAGCCGGGCACAAAACGGCAAATAGTGAGATTTCACTTATGTGTGGAGTCGAAAAAAGCCAAACTCATAGAAGCAGAAAATAGAACCAGGGTCTGGGGTGGTGGTGGTGGGTTGGGAAGACATTTGTCAAAGGATACAAAATTTCAGTTAGATAAGAGAAATAAGATCAAGAGATCTATTGTACAACATGGTAATTACAGTTAAAAACAATGCGTTATATACTTGAAAATTGTTAACAGAGTAGATTTTACATGTTCTTATCACAAAAAAATAGTATGTGAGATAATAAATGTTAGCTAGATTTAGCCATTTTACAATGTATACATATATCAAATATCATGTACAGCTTAAGTATATACATTTTTATCCATTTAAATAAATAAATAAATATATAAACAAAATGTAAAAAATTTAGATGGCACCTGCTTTTATAGAACTGAAGACATAAACCGCATTGAAACAAGGCATCCTGTATTTTATGTTTGGACACCAATTATAGGTATTATTAAGTTAATTGGTTTAAGACTGAACAAGATAGGAAGTGTGTGATTATGTTTGATATTAAGAAATAAGAACTGCCAACTCTAAATACAGGAGTGGCATTCTTATTTTATCTATAATCTTATATTCCATGACCAGTGGGTGACCTTAGAAAACTAATGTACCAGAACATGTACTGCTATTTTTCAATAAAGAAAGAATGATTCATTTTCCTCCAAGACCAAATTCTATGTTCTTGAAAATGTCAAGGTGTTTCATTTACAAGACACAACTCAACAAAGAGATATTGATCCCGTAAGTGTGGTTCCATAAGAATACAACACATGGCTAACTTTTATCATGTGTTTTCCTGTTTTATGTTTTTAAATTTCCTCTGGTGACAAGGTGATCTTTAACCATCAATCCATGCTAATGAGAGAAACCCAAAGCTGGAACGTCCTCAACAAATCATTCTGTCAAATTATTTTTGTCAAATCATTTTGACAAATTCAACAAGTTCATTTTTATGCCCCTAAGCAGCTTAAGTCTATGTTATATTATTGTTTTATTTTACTGTAATATAGAAACATGATACTTGACAAGTTTATAACAACCTTTGAATGCAATTAGACGCAGATATGGTTTTGAGTACAGGAGATTCAAGTGAAAAGATATGACATTGCCCCAAAGATGCTTACTTATTATTCTGGAGGACAAACAAATACTATGCAGAGATGACTAGGAGATAGGTGAGTGTATTTGGGAGTCATGGGTTACAGATGCTAAGTAAAATCATTCATGTGGGCAAGATTATATAGGAAAAATGCAGACTCAGATAAGAAGTAGGCTGAGATCAGAACCCTAGAGAACATTAATGTTATATACTCGAGGAAGAAGAGGAATCCACGAAAATACCTGAAAGAAGTAATCAAATAAAGAGGCTTATCAGAAGAATTACCAAGCAGAAAAGCATAACAAGTAAAACCAAATAAAATAGAGGCTACAGGGGCAAATTACTTAATCTCTTTCACTGGCAATTTTTCCATCTACAAGATGTTGTAATAACAGTTGTAAGAATAAATTGGATATATGGTTTGCTATTATTTTCTCACATTCCTGTGGTTGACTTTATTTTATCAGTTATTTCCTTTACTGTGCAGAAAGTGTTTTGTTTGATGTAGTATCACTTGTTTTTGCTATCTCTCTATCTATTTATTTATTTGTTTTTGCTTTTGGTGTTGTATCTAAGAAATCATTGCTAAGACTAATGTTGTGGAACTTTTTACCTATTTTTTTCTTCTAGTAGTTTTACAGTTTCAGGTCTTACATTTAAATCCTCAATCCATTTTGAGTTTATATTTGTTTATGACATATGATAAAGGTACGATTTAATTTTTTTGCATGTGGATGTCTACTTTTTCTAACACCATTATTGATGAGACTATCATTTCCCTATGGTATATTCTTGGTACTTTTGTCAAAGATTAGTTGACCTTATATGCTTGGGTTTATCTCCAGTCTATTAAACCCTGTTTCACTGGTTTATCTTTGTTTTTATGCCATGCTAACATTTTGATAACTATAGCTTTGTAATATATTTTAAAAATACTCCAGTAAAATATTTAGTATATAGTAGATATTTTGAATGACTCCAGTTTTGCTGTTTTTGATCAAGATTGCTTTAGCTATTTGTGATCATTTGTGGTACTACAGAAACTTTAGGATTGTTTTTCTATTTCTGTGAAAAGTGCCATTGGAATTTGGATAGAAATTTCACAGAATCTGCAGATCATTTTGGATAGTATGGATGTTTTGACATTATTGAATTTTCCTATCCATTAGCATGGAATATCTTTCCATTTATTTGTGTCGTCTTCAGTTTGTTTCATTGACGTTTAATGTACAGCTCTTTCACTTTCTTGATTAATTTATGTGTTTCATTCTTTTTGATACTATTTCAAATGAGATTGCTTTCTTAATTTCTTTTCTTTTGGATAGTTTATTGTTATTATATAGAAGCACAACTAATTTTTGTATGGTGATTTTGTATCTTGCAAATTTCCCTTACTTGTTTATTAGTTCTAACAGTTTTTGAGTAGAATCTTTAGGGTTTTCTATATTTAAGGTCATGTCGTCTGCAAACAGTGGCAGTTTAATTTTTCCCTTTTCTATTTGGATTCTTTTTATTTATTTTTCTTTATTAATTGCTCTGGCTAGGGCTTTAAGTACCATGTTAAATATTATTGGTGAGAGTTGGCACCTTATCTTGATCTTTTTCTTGATCTTATGCGAGAAGTTTTCAACTTTTCATTGTTGAGCATGGTGTTAGCTGTGGGCTTGCGATCTGTGGATTTTATTGTATCAAGCTATGTTCCTTCTATACCTAACTTACTGAGCATTTTTATTATAAAAGGATGTTAAATTATGGCAAAAGCTTTTTTCGTTATATCTCGAGATGATCTACTGATTTTGTTCTTCATTCTGGGAGTGTGGTGTATGTATCACATTTATTGATTTTAATATGTTGAAACATTCTTGCATCCCAGGGATAAATCCCACTTATTCGTGGTGCATGATCCTTTTAATATGCTATTGAATTTAGTTTGTTAGTGTTTATGGTAATCAGGGATATTGCCCTGTATTTATTTTCTTGTAGTATCCTTGTGTGGCTTTAGTTATCAGGATAGTTGCTTGTTAAAATGACTTTGGAAAGTTTTTTCTCTAATTTTTTTGCGAGAGTTTGAGAAGGTTTGGTATTAATTCTTCTTTAAATAATATAATTCATTGGCGAAGCCATCAAACCCGGGTCTTTGATAAGAGATTCAACCTTTCTTATTCCATTATAGGTCTATCAGATTGTCTATTTCTTCATAATTCAGTCTTGGCAGGTTGTATGTTTCTGGAAGTTTAACCATTCCTTCTAGGTTACCCAATTTGTTGGGGTATAATTGTTCATAGTAGACTCTTGATCCTTTGTATTTCTCCCTTCAGATCTACTAATATTTGCTTTATTTATTTAGGTGCTTTGATGCTGGGTGTATATATATTTACTATCATTATATCCTCTTGCTTAATTTACCCCTTTTTCATTACGTAGTTACTTTTTTTTTTTTTTTTTTTTCCAGACAGAGTCTCGCTCTGTCGCCCAGGCTGGAGTGCAGTTGTGCGATCTCGGCTCACTGCAAGATCCACCTCCCGGGTTCACGCCATTCTCCTGCCTCAGCCTCCGGAGTAGGTGGGACTACAGGCACCCGCCACCACGCCCCGCTAATTTTTTGTATTTTTTTAGTAGAGACGGGGTTTCACCGTATTAGCCAGGATTGTCTCGATCTCCTGACCTCGTGATCCGCCCGTCTCGGCCTTCCAAAGTGCTGGGATTATAAGCGTGAGCCACTGCACCCGGCCCATTTTGTAATTACTTTCCTTGTCTCTTTGTGCAATTTGGACTTACAGTTTATTTTTTCTGATATTAGTATAGCTATCATTGTTTTCTTTGAATTTCTATTTGCGTAGAATATCTTTTTTCATCCAGAAAGCTGGTCTTTAAATTCAGAAATAACTTGCCTTAAGTTTCTGCAACACTCTTTGCTGGAAACAGTGATCCTAGACCAGTTTCTTTATTTCTTTAAGCATAAGTATCCTTATAGGAGTATATGAGTTAATTTCTGTAGAGCACTTTGTCTACTGCCTGTCATGAATATCAGACTCAATAAACATTCTACTAAGTATTTATGTTAATGTGGCTAAGGAAACTTGATTGTAGACTATTATAGTGGTATATATGAACACTTTTTGTTCATACAGAAAGTGATTGTGTTTGCAGAAAGTCAGTTAGTGTCTAGTATTGCATGGAAAGGATTGTTCATGGGTGATGCAAAAGGGAGACTGCTACTAGAAGTATTTCCACAAAATATGAGGAAGAGATCTGGATAACAATGAGTTATTTGGAGAATCTCATTTTGAATTGTTCAAAGACTGTTTTTTTTCTAAATATTTTCAAAAACATTTCTAGTGTATGCATGATAACAATTATTTTAATATTGTCTGTAGGTTATTTGACTGCTTCCTTCTGCTATTCTACATACTAAGTGAAAGCAGAAGTCCTTTTAATAACATTTATTTTATTAAACATGTTTTTGGAAGAAAATGGCCAAACCTTAATATTTATAAAATATGGGTTATGGGTTTACCGTGTTTCTTAAAATACTTTTTTCTATATTCTATTGTATACACATGAAATATTTCCTTAACAAATATTTTTGATAAGAAATTAATCTAAAAGAAGTTCTAGGGGAAAACAATTAGAATTTTTAACTTTATATTAATCATAACTGAAATTTTAATTAATTCAGGGAATATTTCTTTCCAACATTTTCAATGTAAAAATTAAAGAAAATTATAAGCTGATTATGTGGATTATACTTTTATCTGCTCCGCTTGCCCTGGCTTCATTCGAAATGCTGGAGCACAATAAGAATTTCATTATAGGTTTCTGTGCTAAAAAATTAGCACATTTACCCCAGTGTAGCATCAGACAAAATCTGGGACATCTGGTTACAGTGATTTGGTTAGACAGTGATATACGTAGGAAATATAAAGAAAGATTCTTTGAGAAAACAGTTGAATTCACATGTGGTTTTGATTTATTCCTTTTGTACATGTAGCCATATTCTGCTCAGAATTGGAGCCCCTCCACAGTGGTTACTGGTCACATCTATTTTATAAGGAATATATTTAAGAATTTTCATTTGTTGAGTATACTCATTCAATGAAGTATTATGTCTGAAATGGAATTTGTTTGTTTGACTAGTTTTAACTTTCTCCGGTAGAACTTTTCTAGTTCTTACATTAGGCTCCGAAGTTATGAAACCAGGAAATTATTTGCATCTTCTATAATTTTTTGGGAATACTATTTTCTTTGAGTTATTCCCACAGGCTATGCTTCAGAAACTAAACTGCTTAATTTGTCACATTGAAAATGAATTTGTGCTAAGGAATTTTTATCACCACATGAAGTACTTAATTTTAGTGACAACTATTTGAAAACCACAGAATGTAAATTCTATTGTGAGAAGATAGATAAGATTTTTGAGAAAACAAATATTTCTCTAAACACTTGGCCCTTGAACAGCATAGGTTTGAACTGCGTGGGTTTACTTATATGTGGATTTTTTTCAACCATATCCAGAGTATTTGCGCATGCGAAACCCTGCAGTGGAGGGCCAAATTTTCCTATACACACTTCCACAGGGGCAGCTGAAGGACATGAGAGTACACAGTTTTTGGTATAAACAGGTGTTGTGGAACCAATCCCTGTGTGTACTGAGGGGCAACTGCATATATACTTACGTATATTAAAAATGTAGTGGTGTGTAAATTTGTTTTTCTGGAAATTTAATATCTGCTTAAGAAAATATTATGTCACTTCATGAATACTGGAAAAATAATACGACATTGTGATTTCTTTCAGCAGTGTTTTGTAGGTTTCCTTGTAGATGACTTTCACATCCTTGGTTAGGTATATTCTTAAGTATTTTATTATTTTTATTTTTTTGCAGCTATTGTGAAAAGGGTTGAATTCTTGGTTTGGTTGCTGCTGGTTTATAACAGGGTTACTAATTTGTGCACATTAATTTTGTATCCTGAAGCTTTGCTGAATTCATTTACCAGTTACAGGAGCTTTTTAGATGAGTCTTTATGGCTTTCTAGGTTTACAATCATATCATCAGCAAACAGCGACAGTTTGACTTCCTCTTTACCGATTTGGATGCCCTTTATTTCTTTCTCTTGTATGATTGCTCTGGCTAGGACTTCAGTACTATACTGAGCACCAGTGGTTGAGAGTGGGCATCCTTGCCTTGTTCCAGTTCTCAGGGGGAATGCTTTCAACTTTTCCCAGTTCAGTATAATGTTGGCTGTGGGTTTGTCATAGATGGCTTTTATTCCTTTAAGGTATGTGCCTTGTGTGCCGATTTTGCTTAGGGTTTTAATAATAAAGTGAGAGTGGATTTTGTCAAATGCTTTTCTGTATCTATTTAGATGATCATGTGTTTTTTGTTTTTAATTCTGTTTATGTCATGTATCACATTTATTGATTTATGTATGTTAAACCATCCCTGCATCCCTGACATGAAACCCACTTGATCGTGGTGGATTATCTTTTCCATATGCTGTTGGATTCAGTTTGCTAATGTTTTGCTGAGGATTTTTGCATCTATGTTCAGCAGGGATATTGGTCTGTAGTTTTCTTTTTTTGTTATGTCCTTCCCTGGTTTTGGTATTAGGGTGATACTGGCTTCATTTTAATTTAGGGAGGATTCTCTCTTTCTCTGTCTTTTGGAATAGTGTATATAGGATTGGCGCCAATTCTTATTCAAATGTCTGATAGAATTCAGCTGTTAATCTGTCTGGTCATGGACTTTTTTTGTTGTTGTTGGCTCCTTTTTTTTTTTTTTAATTACCATTTCAATCTCGCTGCTTGTTGTTGGTCTGTTTAGAGGTTCTATAGAAAAATGCTCAACGTCATTAATTATCAGGGAAGTACAAATTAAAACCACAATGTGATACCACTTTATTGCTGCAAGAATGGCCATAATGAAAAAATAAAAAAATAAAAAAATAAAAAAGATGTTGGCATGGCTGCGGTGAAAAAGGAACAATTTTACACTGTTGGTGGGAATGTAAAGTAGTACAACCACTATAGAAAACAGTGTGGAGATTCCTTGAAGAACTAAATAAGGAACTAAAAGTAGATCTATCAATTGATCTAGCAATCCCATTACTAGGTATTTACCCAGAGGAAAGGAAGTCATTATACGAAAAGGACACTTGCACACACATGTTTATAGCAGCACAACTTGCAACTGCAAAAAAATGGAACCAGCCCAAATAGCATTCAATGAGTGGATAAGATAATGTGGCATGTATATGTATATATATATACCATGGTGATATTGTTTGGCTGTGTCCCTACCCAAATCTTATCTTGAATTGTAGCTCCTATAATCCCTATGTGTCATAGGAGGGACCTGCTGGGAGGTTTTTGAATCAGGATGGTGGGTTTCTTCTGTGCTGTTCTCGTGATAGTGAGCAAGTCTCATGAGATCTGATGGTTTTATAAAGTGCAGTTTCTCTGCACATGTTCTCTTGCCTGATGCCAAATAAGATGTGTCTTTGCTCCTCCTTCACCTTCTGCCATGATTGTCATGTGGTTCTGTGAGTCCATTAAACCTCTTTTTCTTTATAAATTACTTAGTCTTGGGTATTTCTTCATAGCAGTATGAAAATGAACTAATACACATGAAATACTACTCAGCCATAAAAAGGAATGAAATAATGACATTCACAGCAACCTGGATAGAATTGGAGACTATTATTCTAAGTGACATCACTCAGGAATGGAAAACCAAACATTGTTTGTTCTCACTCATATGTGAGAGCTAAGCTATGAGAACACAAATGCATAAGAATGATACATTGGACTTTGGGGACTCGTGGGAAAGGGTTGGGGTGGCGAGGGATACAAGACAAGGTTATTTTAATCAACCTCTTTCCAATATATATTGGATACATTGTACACTGCTTGGGTAATGGATGCACCAAAATCTCAGAAATCACTACTAAAGAACTTATTCGTGTAACCAAACACCATCTGTTTCCCCAAAACATATTAATATCAATCAAAAATATCATAAAAATAAATAAATAAATAAACTGGAGAAATAATAAGATATTGTGATCTCTGATTACATTTGTTTTCTCTCATTGTCTTTTTTCCTATTCAAAACCATTTATAAATTATAGAATTGGATGTGAGCTTATATTCTAGATTGGTTTTCTGTCCAGTACACAAATCAACTTTTCATTAATCCTTCAAGTTAGTCTTTTTATATCCACTTCAAGACAGGCAAAACTTGGAAATTTGTAGGTTTTCAAGGCAGCCCTTTCCATTGTGTCTTGCCTTAAAGGCTAAAATTTATTCCCATCTGAGGGAAATGCAAGATATAGCATCATCATCATTGGTTTTGGCATCTAATAGATCTGAATATGAGTTTTATCTCTAATAATTTACTAATTGTGTAATTTTAGAAAAGTTGATTAATACTGCTATACTTTGCTTTCCTTATCTGCAAAATGGGGGTAATTATACCTTTTTAGATGGTCAATTTTGGGGATTTAATAAAACAATTTGTGAGAAAATATGTAACTGGAGTAACCAGTTGTAAGTAACAATAGGTAATAGTAAGTAATAATCATACTTGCTGCAATTTTCAAGTATCTGCTCTAAGTCAAGCATTGTGGAAGGTGCTTGATATTTGCATTAGGTCTTCCTGCTATTTCTTTTTGACCTCTATTACACAAGAGAAAATTGGACTTCAGACAAAGTAAAGAAAGGTGGTAAAAATCATATCATTAAAAGTTTATACTCATTATTTAAAGAAAAATGAGTTGATAAGAAGGCCTAGTTGAGGTCCATCCCACTGATCAGAAAATACTTAACCCTGGGTTATTTTAATCAACCTCTTTCCAAAGAAAGCCACAAATGAAGTTAACTCCTAACTATTATTACTTAAGTTGTTATTTTTAAGGATAGCAAGTGATTTGAATGTCTGTACAAATCCTCGCTATCCTAAAGAATAATTTTTTAGAAACACTGTAATTGAACTTGAATATAAATAAAACTTCATCTTAGGTCATAGAGAGTGATATTTTCAAGTCCGAAAACTGAAATTTAGATAACAGAAATAACATCAGTGCCTTATTTTTTGACTATTTTGAAGCATGTCAATAAAAATCACATAAATACTTGCATCTTCTAGATTGCCCTTAGTGCCCAAGTGTGTAACTTGGAGAGGTAAACTTAAGGTCATTATACTGCCTCTGATTTATCATATCTAAAAGAGATTTGGTAATAATACCAGCTGAAAAGATTGTTGAGAGGCTTAAAGAAAATAAGACATGTTAAATACTTAGAACAATGCCTAGCACATAGAAAACACCTAGTAACACTAGCTACCTGTATTAACATTAAATAAAATTTACAATTTTACCACTGCTATACAGGAAAACATCCAATGTTAATATTTATTTGTCTGAAAACTAAATATCAGTAAGCTGAAATTTGAAATCTGAAGAGTAGCCTCTGTCATTAACCTCACCAAGTCCATTCAAATATTTATTATCTAAGTATATGATGGAACACTATTGCACCTAATTAAGGAAAATAAGGCAAGCGCGTTTCTGGTGACAAGAAAGGCCTAAGGCTTTAGCATGAGGAGTCCTTGAGCGCTATCCTGAACTTTCTTAAATTGCAAAGCAATCTAGCAGGATATCATCACACAACTTTTGACTGCTTCTTTCCTTCACTTGGGGTTAGGTTTGCTTCGCAGTCTGATGGCTTCTCCAGCCTTTCTTGACTTTCTTCCCATTTCCTTCTATACAGGTTGTTCCCTTAATAAAATCTTTGCACATTTAATGTAGTCTCGGCGCCTACTTCTTGGAGGACTCAGACTAATGCATGAGGGAAAAGTTAGTGATGATGGTTAGAACTGGTTGTATTTGTTCAATGATTTAATACTGGTGAAGTTGATCAGATTTGGTAAGAAATCTGATTGTCAGTAAAAATTGAAGAACACATAAATAGTTAAGAACTATTCCTAAGTTTTAACTAAGTACTATTCCTATCTTTATTTCAATTCTCCTGCAAAATATTTTCTTCGATGGTGAGATGCCAATACATCAATCTGTACCTGAATATTTCTAAAGAAGGACCATGCCAGGCCACTTCATAATCTTCTGAGTCAATGTTCATTGGGGAGGGAGGGATATGGGAATTTCCTGGGTTTTAACCTGAGGACTGAGAGTAAAATTTCAAATTGAGAATACTGAGGGAGAGCGGTAACAGTGAGTTATATCTTGCAGTTTTAAAATTGAGATTTTCTTTACGTGCCAAATAGGGAATTTATGGTGTGGTTCCAATAGCCAATCTCTGAGAAAGCACACAGTGCACACAGCTTTCACTGTTCCACCCCTTTCTGCACACAAATTAACTCCTTTCTCAACATCTGAGGCCCAACACTCTTCTTGCTTCTCTTTTTGACTATCACAACAGTGACCTTCTGCAGTGTAGAATTTGATTTCCAGCTCTGACTGTTTCTGACTGTTTTTCTCAAAGGGAGCTGGCTCTCTGACTTCTAGTTAATATTTTTCTCTGCCATTATCATTGTAATGTGATATAATCCATGGAAATTTTATTTACAAATATACATAGCCATTATATAATTGAAGTTTTTCTTTTCAAATACAATATATGAGAGAATTAGTGTCCATCGTGAATAAAGCTAAAACAAAAGATAAGATTTTATTTGGAATTTCAGGGTTTGCTTGCAGGCTTCAGACATCAGCATTTATTTGATTAAAAATAATTTCAAAGTTGAAAAAATTGTGATGATTTTTGTGCGTATGTGTGCATTGATTAACTACCCAAAATTTGCATGTCTCTCCTTCCTCAGTAAACATTGACTACCCAAAATTTGCATGTCTCTCCTTCCTCAGTAAACATTGACTGAAAAGATTATGAAATGACCTGGCATGGTCCTTCTTTAGAAATACTGCTGTACAGATTGATGTGCTGGCATCTTACTGTTGAAGAAAAACATTTTGCAGGAGAATTGAAATAGAGATAGACCATCCCGTCTATTACCCAAGAAAAGTTGATTCTTTATGATTATTAAGATAGAACAAAATTTCAAAGAAAATTAAATAGTCCAACACATACCATCATATGTATCTTCAAATATTATAAATGATTTTAAATTTATGCTGTTAATGCAGCTCAATGAATTAGACTGGAATTTGAATGCAGAGCAAATGTTCAAAGGTCAATTTGTTTTTAATGTCAATATAACACCTAGAATAATGCAAGCCATACACTATTTTCAAAATTACTGAGATAGAATGATACTTTTCAAAATAACTTGGAAGAAGTGTATGATAATACATGTTGCTAAATGCACAGAAGGATTTCTGAACAGAAAGAATTGTTGTGAATATAGACCACGTCAAATTTCCAATCAAGCCACGAACAAATGGAAATTGTTATATGTATGATTAGGTTGGTGCAAAAGCAATTGCAGTTTTTGCTGGATGAGATCGGAGACTATTATTCTAAGTAAATAACTCAGGAATGGAAAACCAAACATCGTATATTCTCACTTATAAGTGGGAACTAAGCTATGAGGATGCAAAGGCATAAGAATGACACATGGACTTTGTGGACTGGGGGAAAAGATGGAAAGATGGTGATGGACAAAAGACTATAAATTGGGTTCAGTGTATACTGCTCGAGTGATGGGTACACCAAAATCTCACAAATCACCAGTAAATAAATTACTCATGTAACCAAATACCTCGTGTTCTCTGAAAACCTATGGAAATAAACATTTTAAAAAGTGGTCATATTTGCCATCACTGAGATATAAGAACAATATTCTTTTCAGAAAAGTGCAAATGAAATTTCTAAAAATAAAGATCTCTGTGGCCACAATGTAGAAAAAGATTACAGAAAATAAAAGAAGATAATAGGATTACCATTTAGTTTGGGAATAGACTGGTAGGAGATTATGAGAGCTTGTTCACAGACAATGTATTAGAATGATAAGTAAGGAAAAGATTGAAAAAATGTTTCACAAGATAGAAGAAACAAGATAACAGTTAATAGATGAAATTATAGAAATAGAATTTTCATGTACTGTAAAGATTGTATTGTTGTATTGTTGAATATTAGGTAATACTTCAAAATATTTTAGTAAAACAAATTTGTGCAATTTGGAACTCTTTGATATATTTTCATATTTCTGTAGTATGATATATATATATATATATATATATATATATATATATACTGCTTTTTTCTGAGTTCTAATACTATCCAAATTAAAATATATTTTGATGGGAATATTGTCACAGAAGTGACAAGATTGTCACATTTTTTTTTCAGAAAAATGTAAAGAAATTTATCAATGAGTTTAATATGTATTTTTTGTCAATAAAAACAGTATACTAGAAACATTTTAAACTTGAAAATCGAGAAAAAATTCTTGTCCTAAAAAATTGTAATCATTAAATATTTAAAGTAGAACTTGTAATATATTTTTCCAAAGGTGACAATCGTAAATGTTTAAAAAAGGTAGTGGTTCATCCTTTATATCTAATTCACATGTTAAATAAAACTAATTTAATTGGCACATGGTATTCAATATGCAGAATAAGCAAAACTGACTTCAATGCAGAAAGTGATGAGAAAAAAGAAGAAAATATTTTAGATATGGAAATAAAGTAGTTTTGAAATGCTATGTTAAACTTTGAAGCAATAAGTAAACTTGCAAAAAAAATACATTCCTGCTGACTAGGAGATCATTTGTATATAAATTTTGAATTTCATCTTGTTAACAATAAATAATAACATTATTTAACACACATTTATGTTATAAAAAGTTTATGTTATATCACAGCAATAGAGGCATCAATTTCTTCATTGTTTCTGTAGTTTATATAATAATGTTAATGTTGACTAACACATACCTAGATCACAAGCAAACCTTTCTATTGCTATATATAAAGATATATATATGTAAAGATGACTTTACATATATATGATGACTTTATATTCTTATATACCTGCAGAGGTGTTCATGGTACCTTTGGTAGTTTTAATTTTTTTTAACTATTCTAATTAGTGGAAACAAATGTCACACTTCCAACTTACACTAATGAGAATAGTTAGAGTTTAGAGAGTCCTAGAAGAGAGTCCAAATCCTGGAAGTCTATTTCATTATCTGCAAAAGAGTCTGAGTTAAAAATATAATCATGTCTCATTTTATTATAATATTCTTATACATATTTTCTTATCTATAAGGTCATCATTTTTTCAAATAGTTTTTTTGGGTATTTATTATTAAATAAGTATGCTTTGATTTTGTCATAGTTTATTCGGACAGTAACAGTCCACAGACATTTGAAAATAGACACCATGTTGACAATACATGCATGAATGTATTGTCTTGTGATCAAAATGAGGTCTCAAGATTCAGAGGAACTGTCCTGAAGACCTACGAAATAATGTGCATGTCAGGTGAGTTGATATATCAGGTTGGTACAAAAGTAATTGCGGAGTTTGCCCTTGAAATCAATGTCAACGCCCGCAATTACTTTTGTACTAACTTGATATTTAAATTCACTAAAGTCATTATCTTGATGCAATGAATCATGTCAATTGTGAGATCAAATTATGCAAGTGAAGGATAGTCCCATCAGATGCTAGGAAGTAAAATAACAAGGTTATTACAATAGAAGATTGTGAAACAAATAAGTCAGGTTATTAATAAAACTGTCAGTTGCTTAATGCCAATATTAGTCTAGGTACATATGAATACAGCAATAAAGAAAAAGTTATTAGAATAAGTTAACTGTAGAAATGAATTCGAATGTCATATGTGTGTCTGTAGAATATTAACTATTGTATCTCAAAAACCTCATGTCTGAGATGGACATTCTTGTACCAAAAAGAAGACCTAAAACTTTGTTTACCATTTTCTCATACATAGGGATAATAGACACAGCTCTGAGCAAAATTCAGTCTCTTCTAGGGTTTGAATTAATAAATTTGTCCTCAAAAAAATATATGTCCTTGAAGTCAGAACTTTAATATATCTCACTTAGCAAGTTGAACTCTACCACATGGAATTAAATCTACTTGTTTTGGGCCTTAGAGGGTTTAACATCCTTCAAGTGAGGTTATGCAGTGGCATATTTACATGTGTTAGAAAAATGTGTGTTTTCCACTGAATCTCTAGGAAAATGGATACACATAATTTACATCCTTCTAGTTGGATAATTGAGTGTAGTCAGAACAGAATATTAGGATGTTTTTCCTAGTTTTGTTTAGGCCACAGACATTAAGCTAAATAATATACCACTTGTCTATAGGTTTGAGCTCAAACTTAAACTTGAAGTTTGATTTTGTATCATGTGTTTTGAGGAAATATTTCTAAAGGATATTAAAAGAGGCCCATTAGAAATTGTCTCCTTTTTCACCTTTCTAGATAAAAGAATGTATATGTTTAAAGTTGGTAACAATAATTCAATATAATAATTTATGCAAGAGACTTTTAAGTATTGTAGCTATGTAGGCTCTTCCCCCAAAGACATAGTCTCGATTATAACTATTGGGAAAATAAAAAAAAATTCATCTTCTAATAGTAATTTTTGAAATGGATTGTTTGGCTGTTTGACTACATTGTCTTTTTCTTTTCTTTTCTTTTCTTCTTTTCTTTCTTTCCTTTTCTTTTCTTTTTCTTTTTCTCTTGTTTTTATTTTTAATTTTATTTTTTATTTTTTTTTGAGACAGGGCCTTACTCTGTCACCCAGGCTGGAGTGCAGTGACGCGATCTCAGTTCACTGCAACCTCCGCCTCCTGGGTTCAAGGGATCCTCTTACCTCAACCTCCCAAGAAGCTGGGATTACAGGCGCCTGCCATTACACCTGGATACTTTTTTTAATTTTTATTTTTAGTAGAGACAGGGTTTCACCATGTTGGCCAGGCTGGCCTTGAACTCCTGACCTCAAATGATTTGCCTGCCTTGGCCTCCCAAAGTGCTGAGATTACAGGCTTTAGCCACTGTGCCCAGCCTCCCTCTTTTTTTTCCTTCCATTTCTGGTTACTTTATTTCTTTATTCACTTATTCATTCAAACAATTGTTATTAAGCACTCACTATACAGGGCACTGGGATTATATGGGCAATGTGATTGACTCTTTGGATAGAAAGTAATATAAGGCCGGGCGCAGTGGCTCATGCCTGTAATCCTAGCACTTTGGGAGGCCGAGGCAGGTGGATCATGAGGTCTGGAGATCGAGACCATCCTGGCTAACACGCTGAAACCCTGTCTCTACTAAAGCATAAAAAATTAGCCGGGTGTGGTGGCGGGCACCTGTAGTCCCAGCTACTTGGGAGGCTGAGGCAGGAGAATGGAGTGAACCCGGGATGCGAAGCTTACAGTGAGCTGAGATCGCGCCACTGCACTCCAGCCTGGGCGACAGAGCGAGACTTCGTCTCAAAAAAAAAAAAAAAAAAGAAAGAAAGAAATTAATATAAAAATGTAAATACTTTCAAGCGTTTGGAATTCGAACCTTTAAGCTAACTACTGTTCTATAAACTAAGAAGTATAAACCCATTTTGAAATATAATGATTCTATTATTCAACCATAAAAAAGAGTGAAATCCTGTCATTTGTAGCAAGATAGATGAAGCCGTAGGTTATTATGTTAAGTGAAATAAGCCAAACACAGAAAGACAAATATTGCATGTTCTCACTTATACATGGGAGCTAGAAAAGTGGATCTCATAAAGATAGAGAATAGATTGGTGGTTCCCAGAGATCAGGAAGGGGACACAGGAGAGGAAGATGAAGAGATCTTGATTATATATATAATATGTAATTTGATAGAAGAAATAAGACCTTGTGTTGACAGATAAGCAGGGTGACTATAGTTTACAATAATAGATTGTATATTCAAAAATAGTTAGAAGAAACTAATTTAAATGTTTCTAGGATAAAGGAAAGACCAACATCTAAGGCAACAGTTATTCTAATTACCCTGATTTGATTATATGAGTGTGTCAAATTATCACATGTACCCCCCAAATATGCACATCAATTATGTTTCAAGAAAAAATAAATAAACTAGATTCTTATTTTGGTTTGTAACATTAAAATAGAGGCATTATTAATTTCTCCCTTAAAATTAAACACTTCAGGAAGTGTGAGGATTATGCTTGATAACCAGAAACAAGGACAGAAATTAAAAACAAAGGTTGCATTTTTGTGTTTTTTTTTTACAATCTCATATTCCATAACAGATAGTTTTAGAACACTGCTGGGAAATAACATGTCCTGCTATTATGCAGTAAAGGAAATAAAAGGTACATTTTTCTCCGTGATAGAATTCCACTTCTTGAAAAGTAAAAAAAGCATTTTACTTAGAGAACAAATACTCAACAAAGAGCTATTGCAGCTTTATAAGAATGGTGACATAAAGATGCAATACCTGCCAAGGTGTTAATGGTACCTTTGGTTGTTTTAATTTTTTAAAACTATTCTAATTAGTGGAAAGAAATATCACACTTCCAACTTACACTAATGAGAAAAGTTAGAGTTTAGAGAGTCCTAGAAGAGAGTCCAAATCCTAGAAGTCTATTTCATTATCTGCAAAAGAATCTGAGTTAAAAATATAATCATGTTTCATTTTATTATAATAAAAATATAGAACTGCAAATTTAGAATGAAATGTGAGTTCACATGGATGCATTCTGTGTAAAAGAGATTCAAGTGAAAAAAATACTTGAAGTGATTATATTTCAATTTGGGAAATACAAAATTAGTCATTCCCAGAAGATAATTGGGTATATTAGCCCAAATTGAGAGCAGAACAATTAAAACTTCATCTAAAGTTTGGAGCATTATCAGGCTGTAGGTAATCATTAAAATTCTCAAATTGACAAGATGACAGGAAAAAAATGTATATTGTCAATATACATTGGGGTTTTGATTTGCATTTCTCCAATGACCAGTGATGATGAACATTTTTTCACGTTTGTTGGCTGCATAAATGTCTTCTTTTGAGAAGTGTCTGTTCATATCCTTCACCCGCTTTTTGATGGGGTTGTTTGTTTTTTTCTTGTAAACGTGTTTAAGTTCCTTGTAGATTCTGGATATTAGCCCTTTGTTAGATGTATAAATTGCAAAAATGTTCTCCCATTCTGTAGGTTGTCTCTTCACTCTGATGATAGTTTCTTTAGTTGTGCATAAGCTCTTTAGTTTAATTAGATTCCATTTGTCAGTTTTGGCTTTTGTTGCCATTGCTTTTGACATTTTCTTCATGAGTCGTTGCCCTTTCCTATGTCCTGAATGATATTTCCTAGGTTTTCTTGTAGGGTTTTTATGATTTTAGGTCTTATGTTTAAGTCTCTAATCCATCTTGAGTTAATTTTTGTATAAGGTGCAAGGAACGGGTCCAGTTTCAGTTTTCTGCATATGGCTAGCCAGTTCTCCCAACAGCATTTATTAAAAAGTCAAGAAACAACAGATCCTGGAGAGGATGTGGAGAAATAGGAACGCTTTTACACGGTTGGTGGGAATGTAAATTAGTTCAACCATTGTGGAAAACAGTGTGGCAATTCCTCAAGGATCTAGAACCAGAAATACCAATTGACCCAGCAATCCCATTACTGGGTATATATCCGAAGGATTATAAATCATTCTACTATAAAGGCACACGCACACGTATGTTTATTGCAGCAGTATTCACAATAGCAAAGACTTGGAACCAACCCGAATGCCCACCAACGATAGACTGGATAAAGAAAATGTGACACATATAAGCCATGGAATACTATGCAACCATAAAATGGATGAGTTCATGTCCTTTGAAGGGACATGGATAAAGCTGGAAACTGTAATTCTCAGCAAACTAACACAGGAACAGAAAACCAAACACTGCATGTTCTCACTCATAAGTGGGAGTTGAATAATGAGAACACATGGACACACGGAAGGGAATATCACACACCGGGGCCCGTTGCGGGTAGGGGGCTAGGGGAGGGATAGCATTAGGAGAAATACATAATATAGATGACGGGTTGATGGGTGCAGCAAACCACCATGGCACGTGTATACCTATGTAACAAACCTGCACGTTCTGCATATGTATCCCAGAACTCAAAGTATAATAATAATAATAAAAAAGAAATAATTGAATCCAATGAGGGAAACCTTAAGGAATTGGAGGATTCTTTGAAGTCCGATACATATTCCCCTATCTTTTACCCTATTCATCTTTTCAAAAAATATGCTATATAATGATGCTCACCTGCAAATGACTCTCAGCTACCAGCTCAAACCAATTGCTTAAGGCAAATTGCAAGACCAAGATAATCTTCACTCCTCCCACCTTCACCCACTTCAGTGAATTTTCTTTTACTTTTCTTTTGTTGGAACGGTACTTCTCCAGCTCCTTCTCACACTAATTTCATTTCACTGCTCAAACTTTGACTTGCCCAAATTGCCTTCCTTGACCACCCCTATGTAAAATACACTCCCATTGCTCTACTTTATTTTTCTTTAGGTTATCACCACATGGCGATAACACATGCCATGTTATCACCACACGGCATACCCTGTCTTGCTTCTTTTCTTGTTTGTTGTCTTTTTCCAATGATTAAAATGTAATCTTGGCCATAAAGCCAAGATATTGTTTTTGTTTTCAGCTATAAAACAACATATTGAAAAATGCCTGGCGTATCATAGGTACTCAATGTTTGTTGAAAGAAGTCTAAACCCTGAGGGAAGGCCTTCAAAGCTGTACTTTGTTAGTGATTAAACCACTTTTTATGGAATGATATTGCAGATTATTAACTGGCCAGGCACAGACTGGAGACTTGAGAACTCTGGAGAAAGTTGTATGGGATAGATAGATGGAAGCAGGGACAAACTAGAGAGATGTTAGAATGAGGGCCAGTAAGTGCTTAGGATACAGTTGTTGTTGAGACCCATAAGTATGTAACATTCAAATACATGTGATATGAGAGTCAACCTTGAAATTAAGGGCCTCAAATGTATATAAAGTTATTTCAGTGATGTTCAAGCTGATTTATTCTAGTAATAGTGGTCTGGTCTCTCTAAGTATGAGGAATGGAAAAAAAAAACCCCAAAACACTAGCTACAACTTTGTTTGAAATTTTAATGTTTTGGCAACTGATATACAGTTCTATATTTCAGAGATAGTGGAGAAAAGACCTCATTTAATCATCAATACAGTAAATATGATACCACAATTCAGATCTGGCATATCCAACACAAATTAAAAATATCATAACCAATATGGAAAATGTTCCACACAGTCTTCTTTTGGCTCAATACTGTTGACATTTCAAGAAGCATGCCAAAATATATTGCTAGTAGGAGGTGATGTGGTAGATGAAGAAATTATAAAGGAATGATTTTTCTAGTCATACCTATGAATAAAGAAAAAATATTGGATTATCTATAAAATTTATATTCCAGGAAACACATACTACATATAATATGTAAAATACTTGTGCACAAAATACATATAAACATTCAAACATGCAAGATAGTGTAATATAATATAATTATAGTTATTACTAATTGATATTTTCTAGTGCTAAAACAGTAGGCTACTAATATTTATTTTATAAATGACTAAATGATTGACAGTTAATAGTCAAACTCTTCACTGTGTTATGCAAATAAAGATTCTATTTAATGCTCCCATTAAATAAGAAATATTTACATCTCTCATCCAATTTTGAAGAAACATTTTCTTAATTTCCAAATAGTTTACTAGACATAAAATATAATATTACTTCCTACATTGAGTATTTCTTGATGTATTTGGATTATAGATTTGTCAAATAATTACACTGGGAAAATGTCCTTTTGGAAAAAATTTTAAAAACCTTTGAAAAGTAAAGTCTTCGTAATCTATTTTATTAGAAATCTTTTTATTAATAGTTTTATGTTGTAAACATTCTGTAGATTTAATTAAGTTCTGCCTTATAATATTCTTCTGGCATTGCCTTGCTTTGTTTATTTCTGGTTTACCTAAAGGTTCAGGTCTTAATCTGATCCAACTGATTTTTTTATTCTATCACAGTATCATGCTCACAATTCTAATTTTGCACTTAGTAAACTTCTTTGTAAACCTATTTACCCTTCTAGAACTGAGGTTAAGGAAGGTTGTCAGTATCTCATTTTTTTTTTTTTTACCAAGTTTCTCATATTGTGGGACTCATGATAAGCAATTTCAAAATACAGAATGAATGACATCAAAGGGGATATCACTATTCAGAAAATACAACTACAACCTCAGCTCTCATCCATAACAATTATGGTGTTATTTTTTCTCATATAAGGTTATTTGGAAGAGTTGCTTGATCTCTTTCCATTGTCAGGAAAACCAAACAAAAATAGAATCAAGCTGTGAGACCAATGCCCTTTCACATTATTCTTGAACTCCTGACATGGATACGGGGTTGCCTCAGTAGTTGAGTCTTTCAGAGGAAGCAATCTAGGGCCAGACACTAGGTTGGAATCTTGGCTCTTTCACTTATCACATACAATATGATCATGGGCAATTTATGTAACTTTTTTGTGCATTGCTTGTCTCTTTTATACATTAGTTAATAATGATAACCACTTCACAGTGTTATGTGACCATGAAACTAGTTAATACTGGAAAAAAGTTTAGAACTGTGGTGGGCGCACTCGAAGCACTCAAAAAACGTCAGCTATTATTATCAGATTTGCTGTTGCACCCTCTGTCACGATGATGTATACTTATTATTATACACATCTATGCATATAGGTTTTGAACAACCATTTAAGTTTAGGAGATGTAGATAGAACAATGGAGATAAACTGAGGGCGACTAAATTTCAGAATGGAGAAACCTCTAATAATTATAATGAAAACATAAGGAAAAAAGGAGACCAGATAAAGTGAACCACGACTATAAGTCACCATTGACTTGACGCTCTGTCAGACTTTTTTTTTTTTTTTTTTTTTTTTTTACTATACTTTAAGTTCTAGGGTACATGTGCACAATGCGCAGGTTTGTTACATATGTATACATGTGCCATGTTGGTGTGCTGCACCTATTAACTCATAATTTACATTAGGACCTGTCAGATTCTAAATATACTGTGGAGGCAAATGCAATCTAGATCGGAACCTCAAGGGGAATGACAGTGATGGCAAGTAGGAAAGTAGGCTTTATATATTTATCTATATCTATATCTATATGAGTTTTCCCAGAGAAATTGCTGCAGAAAAAATTTGTATAAAGTAGCTCAAATTGTAAAATTTAAAAAAATCTACTAAAAATATATATATATATTTCTCCAAGCAGAAATGTTGAGTGAAAATCAAAAGGCAAACTTTAAAGTAAACCAGTGTAGCCACTTGTCTTTGTGAAGATTTCTTCTAAGAGTCATTACTTCTGGTTAAATGCATCCAGTTCACAGAGGAAATTTTCTATAGTTTATTTTTTAAAATTTGCAAAAAACCATATGCCTGTAAGTTACACAGATAACTCTTCTTTGTGAATCAAAAAGTGTATAGCAAAAGTTAAAGTATTTTATAAGCCAATCTCTGATTTAAAGAGAATTTATCTAAAGTATTTAAATTATTGCTTTGATGTTGTATTCTTAAGTGAAGATCCTACTTAAATTTTTGTTCAATGACTAGTCTTAAAGGTACTTACTCAAGCTCAAATTGCAGCAGTTAATTCAAGAATCTTACATGTTCTTCTTAAAAGAAAAAGAATAATGCATTTTAATGTACAAAGGCTATTTATATCTCACTTGAAATATTTAGAAACAATTTTAGACATCTAACATTCAAACCTAAATTATAGAAGTCTTATTTTCTATAATGATAATGATAAAGTCCTCCAAATGTTACATGCCTATCTAAGAAATTCAGTCACATCTCAAAATAAAAATAGAAAATAGAATTCAGAGAATTATCAGACTCAGACCCAGTCCTAGGATTTCTGATGCTAAATTATTAATATTTATGCTAAATTTTCAGCTTTCTTT
Organism: Homo sapiens; assembly: GCF_000001405.40. Lineage (NCBI taxonomy): Eukaryota > Metazoa > Chordata > Mammalia > Primates > Hominidae > Homo > Homo sapiens. The sequence continues at coordinate 70,082,389 of NC_000004.12, read as the reverse complement.
TTTGTTTTGTTTTCTTTTCTTTTCTTTTCTTTTCTTTTCTTTTCTTCTTTTTTTTTTTTTTTTTTTCTGAGACGGAGTTTCACTGTTGTTGTCCTGGCTGGAGTGCAAGGGCGCGATCTTGGCTCACTGCAAACTCCACCTCCGGGGTTCAAGCGATTCTCCTGCCTCAGCTGCCTTAGTAGCTGGGATTACAGGCGCCCGCCACCATGACCAGCTAAATTTTGTACTTTTAGTAGAGATGGGGTTTCACCATGTTGGCCAGGCTGGTCTTGAACTCCTGATCTCTGGTGATCTGCCTGCCTCGGCCTCCCAAAGTGCTGGGATTACAGGCGAGCTATCGCGCCCAGCCAATTTCAGCTTTTTAGATTCAATTTCCTGCTCTACCATTTACTTCTTATGTTAAAGAAAAGGCATCCTAAGCCAAAAGACTTATTAAATGAAGGTAAACTATTAAATATAGCTTGGAAAATTGAATCCACTTCTTTTAATTTCAGAATCTGTTGTAAAATTAATATTACTTCTATCTCTCTACTTCAATGGATTACTGTAAAAATCAAGAGAATATATACACAAATGTTTAGAAAATTAAAATCTAATATAATGCAATTCTTTTTCCCTAGCATTATGATTGCAGTTGTATTTGAACCGTATGATTTTTATTTCATTACTGGCCTTAACATTTTGATTTAAATTTGATTTAACTTCTACGTGATAACTTAGATTCTTTTTTAAATTTCATTTCTTTTTATCTCATTTTTCACAAAACACAATAATTATATATATTTTTAAAAGGGCAAACATACCTAAATGGGAATATATGGGTAGGTGTTTTCCTGAATGTGATTCCACAGGCTCATAGACTACAAGGGGAACAGCCTGGACATACTGGGGGACAGTGAACTTCTGGAGAAACTGGTTGGTTTTCGTCTAGAAAGAAATAAAATTATTAATAATTATCCCATATTTAATCTCTCCCAGAGTTCAAAAGAGAGCTACATAGAAGCAAATGAATTAAAACTTTGCCTATTTACATAACTGCTAAATTATTCCAGGTAGAACCAGCAAAAGGAGAGTTTACTTATGTAAAAATCACTGTAAATATTTATATGTTATGGAGTAAACTTCAGAATTCTTCAGAATTAAAGAGAGTCTCTAATTCTGACACTCACACAAAGATGTCTAAGAGAAAAAAATAAATTTATATGTAAGAAGCCAAGAGGAAAATTATTTGAATTACAGATATGTGTCTCAGTTTATTATTTATTGTTCTGTATATAATCCTTAGAGTCAGAGAGGCTCAGCATAATTTTTTGTGATTTTACTCACTGGAATCTATGATAGCGGTCTTGTTGCTTAAGCTCTCTGAGCATCATTTGCATTGCAGAATTATTTAAGTTAATATATAGAGAGCATTCTGATTAGTGCTGATCACTTCTTTTATGTACAATGGATGCTCCCTACATCCAACTTCTTTCTTTAAGCATTCTTCATAAACCTTATTATAAATTATTGTAGGTAATAAAGATGGAATTAAAATGGCAACTTTACACAAGATAATTTCCAGTTTTTATGAACATACAGTAAGTGTTGACTGGATCCATGACTATGATATACAACTGATACAATGGTAGAATTCTTTTGGGATCATTTTGACAAAGTATAAAGATTTTCATAGCAACTAGAACTTATGAAACCAGATAGGTTTTCAGTTGGGAGAATTAATTTGAGAACATTGAAGCAAATAGTACTCCTGTTACAAAAATTTTACAAGAAATTTGTGTCTAGGAGGATGATGACCATAATATTAATATTACTGCTGTAGTACATTTATTGTATTATACAGTTTACATGTATTACCTGAAATGATCCTTTCCAAAAAAATTAAAGTCAGAAGTATATTTACATGTTCACTGTTTTATTGAAGACACTGTAATTGAGAGGGACAAAGTACTTAAAAAATGTCACAGCCATAAAAAAGGGTGGAGCTGCAGTTGGAAAATAAACTGCCTGACTCCAAAGCCCATGTCCTTTCACTGAGATACATAAGCCTCTTGACCACACTGATTGGCTACAAGAACTACGGCTTGAAAATAATCACTAATAGTTTTTTATTTTGAGAAATCAGGTCATAACATACTGTCAAAGAGAAGTTGGAATACAGTTGTGCTATACTAGTACCTTGATTAAATCATTTAAAATATAAACATTATTTTTTGAGATTTGCAATTGCTCAAAAAACAATAGATTAAAATTGTTTTTCTTAAAAGATATATTCATATTTATTTGAAAAGAAAGGTGCATACCATGATAACAACAATAACAGAACTACTATAGATTTTAAATTTGATTTTAAATATTTATTTGGAATTCAGTGATGTGAAAGTTGAGGGGAAGAAAGAGTTGAGATTTTATATATATATATATATGTATATACATGTATATATATGTGTGTGTGTATATATATATTTTTTTCTTTATTTGCACTGTAAGTTTATGAAATAACTACCAGCTGTTTCAGGTAGTTCTTTTCTTCATTTGACTTAATTTTCTGTTTAGAACCAAAAACAACTGTTATGAAAACAAAAGAAATTACTACTGGATAATATTAATTGTATTTTGTTTCAAAGATAATTACACACCTCAGGGAATACTTCAGCAGATTCCTAAAGGGAAGAAATTAAAAATCAGCTTTACTTGTATGACACACCAGTAATTGCATGTAACTAGTTATAGTAAAGTGCTAAAGCACACACCAACGTGGCACATGTATATATATGTAACAAACCTGCATGTTGTGCACATGTACCCTAAAACTTAAAGTATAATTAAAAAAAAAGAAAAATTCAGAGCCACGTCATTGTTAATGAGAAGTGATCTTAATCACCGATTAGAGAAATCAATTAAGAATCATTACAATAAAACATTCATTACTAGAGCACACACTCTGTGTTAACAATGACACATTTCTAAAGATATGTGTTATTACAAAGTCTTCATCCAGGTGCATTGTTCAGACAGTAAAAATGACTACAGAGAGTAGTCAGGTAAAATAATGAACACATAGGCCAGGTGAGGTGTGATGTAAACCAAAGCTCACATGCCGTTTCTAGAGTGATATGGGTTCTTATACTGAGATTGAAAGAAAGAATAAAATATGCTTCCTAAGGCACCGATAAGGAAGACCTTGTACTGTGCCTCAGGTCACAAGACTCCAGCTCACAATCCGTATTTCCCCCTTCCCCAGGACCTTTTCCAATTGTGCTCACCTACCTGGCTCTTTCTATTACAATAGGTATTTCTTGTGGCAGTCACCAAATAACTCATATAGTTCACCCTACTGGATGATACTTATTATCTCCTAACTAATACTAGTTATCTCCTAAATAATATTGAGAGAGTAAAACTTTAGTGAAAGCAATTGGCAGGCTCTAGATTTCATACTGAGCTGTATTAAAAAATGAAGTTCAGGCTGGGCGTGGTGGCTTATGCCTGTAATCCCAGCATTTTGGCACAGTTATATCATAACCATTATGAAATAAAAATAACTTTTTAAAATTTATGTAATAAAAGATAACTTTAAATTTTTATTTAATTTTAGTAGTTATGACTTACTTCTTGGGAGATGCTGGTAGATTCCTTAGGAAAAAGAAAAGATAAGACATCTTAATTATATATCAATTCAGATATTACTTTCCACCATGCAGTTTACCACTTTTTCACAAAAGAACAAAACTAGGCAAATCATTAGGTGATATTCAGGGTATCTCTAGGCATATGTTATGCACTATTAGTAGAAATATATTTGAAAATTAACAATGTATAAAGTTGAATCTTTATTTGGAAAACATATAATAAATTCCTCTTATCCAGTTTACAAATTTGAGAATGGACACCATGATTCCTGAAGGAATATTGTTATTCAATGACAGCTAGCAAAAGAAATGGTATTGAACATTTTTTTCTAGAACCTGGTCCTGTACCAATCTAATCTGGCTAACTTTGAATGTTACAGTTGTAGTCGGCATCCACAAATTATTCTTGTCATTGCTGCACTTTTTATTTTCTCTAATTCTGTAATTCTAATTTGATGCATAAAGAATAATAATTTGGAATAAAGGCAATCTTGTACAGAATTTAATATCTGGACTATTCAATATCATAGTGCTTACATTCAAAAAGTGAACTTTAGAATTAAAGAAATCAACTCATCAAAGTCATTCTCCGTCCAGCTTTGTTCCGTTGCTGGTGAGGAACTGCGTTCCTTTGGAGGAGGAGAGGTGCTCTACTTTTTAGAGTTTCCAGTTTTTCTGCTCTTTTTTTTCCCCCATCTTTGTGGTTTTGTCTACTTTTGGTCTTTGATGATGGTGATGTACAGATGGGTTTTTGGTGTGGATGTCCTTTCTGTTTGTTAGTTTTCCTTCTAACAGACAGGACCCTCAGCTGCTGGTCTGTTGGAGTTTGCTAGAGGTCCACTCCAGACCCTGTTTGCCTGGGTATCAGCAGCGGTGTCTGCAGAACAGCGGATTTTCGTAAACTGCGAATGCTGCTGTCTGATCGTTCCTCTGAAAGTTTTGTCTCAGAGGAGTACCCGGCCATGTGAGGTGTCAGTCTGACCCTACTGGGGAGTGCCTCCCAGTTAGGTTGCTCAGTGGTCAGGGGTCAGGGACCCACTTGAGGAGGCAGTCCACCCATTCTCAGATCTCCAGTTGCATGCTGGTAGAACCACTGCTCTCTTCAAAGCTGTCAGACAGAGACATTTAAGTCTGCAGAGGTTACTGCTGTCTTTTTGTTTGTCTGTGCCCTGCCCCCAGAGGTGGAGCCTACAGAGGCAGGCAGGCCTCCTTGAGCTGTGGTGGGCTCCACACAGTTGGAGCTTCCCAGCTGCTTTGTTTACCTAAGCAAGCCTGGGCAATGGCAGACGCCCCTTCCCCAGCCTCACTGCTGCCTTGCAGTTCGATCTCAGACTGCTGTGCTAGCAATCAGCGGGACTCTGTGGGTGTAGGGCCCTCAGAGCCATGTGCGGGATATAATCTCCTGGTGCGCTGTTTTTTAAGCCCATCGGAAAAGCGCAGTATTAGGGTGGGAGTGACCTGATTTTCCAGGTGCCATCTGTCACCCATTTCTTTGACAAGGAGAGGGAACTCCCTGACCCCTTGTGCTTCCTGAGTGAGGCAATGCCTCGCCCTGCTTCGGCTCACCCATGTTGCACTGCACCCACTGTCCTGTGCCCACTATCTGACACTCCCTAGTGAGATGAACCCTGTACCTCAGCATGGTACTGGTACCAAAACAGAGATATAGATCAATGGAACAGAACAGAGCCCTCAGAAATAACGCCGCATGTCTACAACTATCTGATATTTGACAAACCTGACAAAAACAAGAAATGGGGAAAGGATTCCCTATTTAATAAATGGTGCTGGGAAAACTGGCTAGCCATATGTAGAAAGCTGAAACTGGATCCCTTCCTTACACCTTATACAAAAATTAATTCAAGATGGATTAAAGACTTAAATCTTAGACCTAAAACCATAAAAACCCAAGAAGAAAACCTAGGCATTACCATTCAGGACATAGGCATGGGCAAGGACTTCATGTCTAAAACACCAAAAGCAGTGGCAACAAAAGCCAAAATTGACAAATGGGATCTAATTAAACTAAAGAGCTTCTGCATAGCAAAAGAAACTACCATCAGAATGAACAGGCAACCTGCAGAATGGGAGAAAATTTTCGCAACCTACTCATCTGACAAAGGGCTAATATCCAGAATCTACAATGAACTCAAACAAATTTACAAGAAAAAAACAAACAACCCCATCAAAAAGTGGGCGAAGGACATGAACAGATACTTCTCAAAAGAAGACATTGATGCAGCCAACAGACACATGAAAAAATGCTCACCATCACTGGCCATCAGAGAAATGCAAATCAAAACCACAATGAGATACCATCTCACACCAGTTAGAATGGCAATCATTAAAAAGTCAGGAAACAACAGGTGCTGGAGAGGATGTGGAGAAATAAGAACACTTTTACACTGTTGGTGGGACTGTAAACTAGTTCAACCATTGTGGAAGTCAGTGTGGCGATTCCTCAGGGATCTAGAACTAGAAATACCATTTGACCCAGCCATCCCATTACTGGGTATATACCCAAAGGACTATAAATCAGGCTGCTATAAAGACACATGCACACGTATGTTTATTGCAGCACTATTCACAATAGCAAAGACTTGGAACCAACCCAAATGTCCAACAATGATAGACTGGATTAAGAAAATGTGGCACATATACACTATGGAATACTATGCAGCCATAAAAAATGATGAGTTCATGTCCTTTGTAGGGACATGGATGAAATTGGAAATCATCATTCTCAGTAGACTATCACAAGGACAAAAAACCAAGCACCGCATGTTCTCACTCATAGGTGGGAATTGAACAATGAGAACACATGGACACAGGAAGGGGAACATCACACTCTGGGGACTGTTGTGGGGTGGGGGGTGGGGGGAGGGATAGCATTAGGAGATATACCTAATGCTAAATGACGAGTTAATGGGTGCAGTACACCAGCATGGTACATGCATACATATGTAACAAACCTGCACATTGTGCACATGTACCCTAAAACTTAAAGTATAATAATAATAAAATAAATAAATAAAAAGAAATCATGTGGCTATTTTAGTATTCCTGTTCAAGTGAAGCTTTTTACTGAGTGTAAAAAGCAAAAGAATGTGTGTGAAGGGAAGTGGAGGCTCATCAAGAAATTTGTCTTAGTTTTTCATTCATTTTTCCACATCCGGTTGAAGAAGCTTTGCAGTTGGAGTAGGGACATCTCATTTATATTCCCTTTCCCCTGGACTGGTTGCTTTACCTCTCATAAGCATCACATACCTTGAAGTTTTATATGGATTGAAATATGAAGAGTGGTTTTTATAGTACCTGTCACATATGTCCATCTGAAAAATTTTCTAGTATGTTTCTACTTTGATTTTGCTGTGAATACTTAACCAAAAATTCCTGTAGAAATTAAAGATGGAATAATTTAAAATGGCATCTTCACTCTTGGAGAATTTCCAGTTCATACAGATGATAAGTAAATAGGTATGTAAAACATGTGTTTTTTGAATTGCTCAGGGTTAAGTTTTAAACGGACACATGATTACAACCAACAAGGGAAGAATACAATTAAATTTATTTAGACAAAGTATAAAAAAGATTATCAGGGCAATTAGAATTTTCTAAAAATAAAATAGTTTTATTTTAGATATCTTGTTTTAACATGACCAAGATTTAAAATGGATTTTTTGTCTGTGTATACATTTAATAATAATTGCTACTTTTGGCACATCTTGGAAATTTTTCAAGTAATTGATTATATAATTTACCTATATTATCTAGCATCATCCTCATAAAAACCTGTAGGATTAGTATTACTAAATTCATTTACAGTCGAGAAAAATGTAAGGTCCAGAGGTTAAATAATAACTTAGAGAGCTGAAGTTGGAAGGGAAATCACTTGACCCTGAAGCCTATCCTCTTTCCTTGCACTGCACATTTCTCTAGTCCACAGAGGATGAGTTATGTGATTTCCTATGGCTTAGAATGAAAGTGGTTAAAAGCTTATAAATTCCTGTTGCTACTTCATAGAGCTGAGTGATGAATTTTGTGTTTGTTAAACTACGGTGATGTCTCCATTAGATCACTTTAATTCCTTTTTTTTTTTGAGAGTTGAGGTCTTGCTATGTTGCTTAGGCTGGTCTTGAATTCCTGGCCTAAAACAATCCTCCTTCCTCAGCCTCCTAAAGTGCTAAGATTACAGGTATGCACCACCATGCCCAGCCTAATAATTTATTATTATGTTTGTAATTCTTCCAAATTTAGTTGGATTGCTCATTTTTCTTAAAAGATAACTCTAGATATATTTGTTAACATAGTATTTATGTATCACAGTAACAACAACAGGAAAAAGTAATTTTATCATAAGTGTGGTGCTAGATATTTCAATGTGGTGCTAAATATTTCATTGAGAAGAAATGATGTGATCATTTGGAAGAAGAAATAATTGTGAAATATATTCTTTTACTTGAAATAATACATTGTATGAAAAACTTACCATGTGCTTTAAGTAGATCCTTCCTTCCTTAGTCAGTTCATTGTTCTATTGAAACCCAAAGGACATATTAGAGAAATACGAAATAAAAATGTTACTAATGGTATTAATTTTATTTAAATAATGACTTACTTCAGTGGATACTTGAGCAGATTCCTAAAGGAGCAAAATGATAAATAGCTTTACTTGAATGACATAGTGATAATTGTCTCTACATAATTTTAGGAGAAAGTTAGGGATGAGTAATTATTCAGGGTCCAACCCACTAGCACTAAGATACTCTCATTTATTAAGAATTAAATATGTGACATTATTTATCACCAGGACTTTTTCTGTCAACATAATAAAAGGACTAAAATGTGTTTTATTTTGAATGCTTTATTAATTTAACATTTTTCAGGCAATTTCGTATGACTACAGAGTACAGGCAGGTGACCAAAAATATGCAAAATAGACCTGGTGAGGGTGTAATAAACTAAACCCTACATGCTTTTTGTTGAAATGACAGACATGGCTCAAGGCTCTCAGATTGAGATCAACACTTAAAATTAAGGAAAGACTAAGGTGAGCTTCCTAAGGCACTGATTATAAAGAACTTAGGCTTTGTCCAAGGTCATGGGACACTGGACAATAATCCACGATGACACTGCCTGCTATTCTAGGGCACTCTTACAACCTGGCTCGCCACCACAGAATGTTTCATGGGTTGGTGACTTACACAATTCCTAACCCAAATCTTCATTCAATCTTTTTAAAAGTGGTTCTCAAAGTATTATGTGTATCAGTATCACCTAGAGGCCCTGCTAAAATACAGATTGCTTAGCTCCAAACCAGAGTTTTTGATTTAGTAAGTCAGCTGTGAGGACTATGATTTTGTATTTCTCACTGTTTTCCAGGTGCTGTGGTGCTACTTATCTGGGGGCTACCATTTGAGAGCTGCTGTGCTAAACAATATTGAGAGGGTTTCCAAAGAGAAATGATGCTGAAGGAAATTGGCAAGCTCTTGATTGGCACAAAAATGCAATTTCCTATTGAGTCATGTATACATTTGCAGAGAGAATAGGGCAGAATAAATAATAATTCTCAATATAGTCAATTTCAGCCACTCAAAATGATTTTGAGTCATGTATGTGATTTTTCCACTTCTCCCTTTGAGTGTTTAGATGTAAATTATCAAACTATTGTATACTACTACTAGAAAGCTGCTATTTCTTTGATTTTAAAAGAAACAGTATCTTACCCCACTGGATAAACTGCTAGAAGATTGCTGATAAGTTGAAATGAAAATAAAAATAAAATAATTTGGTGATAGGAATAAATTGAATCCTTGAATAGCAGTAGTTACTTTAGATATGTTCCACATTAATTACCTACTTCATCATTGTACTAAACATCAAAAGAAGGATTGAAATAAAAACAATATAATCAGGTTTCATAGGTTCTTATTATGAATCATCTTTGCAAAACAAATGGGAGGGATTCACATAATCTGTTATTTAAATGGAAGTATCTCCATTATGAGAATAAGGGCAAATTTAAGAGAATAAAAAGAATGGATGCAGGATGAAGTTATAATTTAAAAAAATTTTTAAAAATAATTTCTGGATTATTAAAAGAGGAATATTCCAGATATGTTACAGACTATTATTAATATTTAATATTAGGTATACATATTGTCAATCAAATATAGTTCAGATGAATAAAAATATCTCACCATCGTATCTATTTTATTTGCAGTTTCCTAGTTAAAAAAGAATTAGACATATTATTCCTGTAGCATTGCTTATAAGGTATATTCTACTGAATGTAAAGAAAAAACCCACCTACCACAGAGAGAAGCATTCATTTTCATTTTAGGGATTTGAAAGAATTATATCAAAATTGTTCATTTCATAATAAACGTGCCAACAGTAGTAAATTCAAATGTAAGCCCCATGAGGGAGGGAATTTGTTTGTTGTATTTATTTGCTGTGGTATTTCAGAGCCTAGAATATTGTTTGGGATACAGTTCTTCCTCAATAATATTTGTTAAATGAATAAGTGAATACACAAAATTAATTTAGTCTGCAGCTGGATAATTATTTTTAACTTTAAATAACTGTAAACATTTTAATGTATATTTGAAATACATAATTAGGACTTAAACCTGTGATTTGCAGATAGATTATAAAAGTTTTCATTAAAAATAAATGTATTTAATTTTAAAAGACAAAATTTTGAGATAAATATTAAAAATTAGCTGAAGGAATTAAAAATCACAAAATTACTAGGTCTCTATTCTTTGTTGGAAATAACTGTGGAAGTGTTTAGTGGATTCATTGATTCTTGCACAAATTAATATTCTTCAGTTGAATTATTCATTGAATTAGGACAAGTGCATGCTTTTGTCCTGTTTTTCAAATTTCTCTTACAACAAGTATACTTTTTATATGTGCTAATTTCAACTTTACTCAAGATCAGATTTGAAATCAAGGTCTTATACTTGCTAGAATTTGGAGCAAATGTCCTTCCAAAAATGAAATTGGAATTGATTCAAATCCTGATTCAAGAGAAACATAATTTTCCATAATTCTTATATAGATTTTTTAGCATAAAGTAAAATACATTAAATGGTCATCCAAAAAGTCAAGAATTAGTGAGGTGAAGAGTAGATGATTGATCATAAATAACTCCATTCAAAGAGATGACGCTTTGAAAACTTGGTTCACAAATGGGCCACAAATATGTTTTCACGTGATCCTTTCACATAATTTCATAGCAGTTAAGACAATACAAACATCACTCACTTTACACTTGGAGATGAAAAAATAATACTCACATGGAAAATAATTTATAATTGATAAAAATACACCTCATTAATCAAACACAACATTAACAGATGAATTTTACCTGACTGGTTTGGAAGACCATATTATTGTTAAGCTTAAACTTCTGGAAAAAATAAATAATATTCATTTTATAGCTATATAAAAATGACAAATTATTTAAAAACATTTAATGTAAGAAGTTATGACTTACTTCTTGGTAGATGCTGGCAGATTACTTAGAAAAATAAATTAATAATACATTTGATTACTTGTGAAATATTTTATTCATACTACCCAAATTAGCATCAATTCATACTCATTATACAGTAGCTCAAGATAAAATACTTGGTCTTTTCCTGAATTACAGAGTGAATCTGACCAAAAATTTTACTCTCCTTAATTAACTTATTATTATATTCTAGTTAAATAACTTGATCTGAACTCTTAATATACTTGTGGGATAAGCCAGATACAATATTTTTGCAAATGCTAACAGCAAACAGCAAAGGAATAATTTTATTTGTCTTCTGCACAGTTTTTTTTTCTTTGTCTTTTTCTCTCTTTGATTTCTAAGTGAAATATATAGTAGCATAACATGGCAATTATTTGGCCAACCTTAAAGAGCTTTGGACACCTTGTATGTAGCCATGAGCAAGAAGACATTTAGAAATGAGCACTTAATATAGATGTAGGTGTACCTGAGCCCCTTTCTCCATAATAATATGTAATGGACTCCATAATAATATGTAAAGGACACCATTACTTCCATACTAATATCACCGTTATTGGATAACTACCAAAGAATCAAGTGGAAAAGTGCACAAATCTAATCTTGTCACATTTGGATGCATGCATTTTAGTTTATTCTCCCCATACGTTCAAGCAATAATTGCACTTCAAATTTTCCATGATTCTGTAACTCTGCTGTTACTGATCACAAAAATGGAACTAACCCAGGACATTTGTATTATCAGGTGCCAAGAAGTGTTTTTATAATAAAGTACCTTACCTCACTGGAAGAGGAGGAGTGCTTTATCTCCTATATAAGTCACAAAAAACAAACACAAATTTAATTTAAAATACCAATGTGAATCTTTGTCTCTACTATTTAATGGGAATAAAATATTGTAACACTGCTTCTTGGGGAAATTTAATGAAATGAGGCCTCCTTTAACAAATTACCTCTGTTTCTAATATTGTCAATAAATAATGAAAACATTACTCTGAATTTCCCCGGAAAACTCTGAAACAAATGTCCCTTGATTTTTAGCTGAGAGTCCTTGTCTATTAAATGGAACAATTGAGGCCAATTATTTAATTTTTAAAAGTGAAGGAGAGTGGTTACATCTAGTAACCACCAGTAGAGCATAAGATAGAAGAAATTATTGATCCTGTGTATTATTGATTACTAAAGCATTGTTTTTTTTTTTACTTTTTAAACCAACCTGTTCATATTAAAAATGAAATTCTCACTTTAGATTTACTCAGTTGGCTACAAATTTAAGAAGGCACAAATGCCTGCATGTATATATCTCTTACATATGGGGATGTGCATTATAAAAGAGTACACTGAGCACTATAAAAGTAAAAGATGACTTTATGGGAAGAGTGACATGTTGGAGTGGGAAGGAGGTGGGTATGTGAGTTTTTTTTTCCTGTGAATGAGGGTGCTAATAATGTTAGAAGATTAAAATTATAGGTAGTACAAAATGTATATATGTATGTATATATATGTATCTATATCCATGTATGCAAGGCAGTTTTATATGTATTGTCTATTACATACTTACAGTTTTGTGACATGAATATCATTATTGTATCCTCACTGGGTTATTTGGCAAATAATTTACAAAGTTGCCACTGAAAATCTAGAGCTACTAACTCCATCCTCTGTAACATGTCCTTGTGTATATTTGATCATCATGGCTTCTTAATTACTTTTATCAAGAATGCTGAAATTCTGTTACTCCATTGATAGCTACCTTTGGAATCCGCAATTATAGTGGTGAGGCTTTCTTACACTTCTAGAAACATGTGGCAGAGTGGAAATAATCCCTCCAGAAAATTTCAACATATATTCCAACATATTACGGAGGAAAATTCCTGCCTTTTTTCCCTATACATACAGCCTATCCAATACTAAAGTGAAGTCACTTTGTAGAAAGACTATTTGCCTGAACACTCTGTTTAAGGTAGAGTCAATAATGTCATTGATCATAGACTAAAAGGTCACATATTTAGTCTCTGTTTATTACTGTTAATGCCTGAATCTTCTGCATATAGTAAAAAGTTCATTTTTCTTATACACTTAAATAAGAATTGATATCACTATATGTCCCAGTATGTTTACATGATGTGCCAGAGCAACAGCCAAAAGGCAGGTAAAGATGAAGAACTTCATGGTTGTTTGGTCCTGTAAAAACATGTACAGAAAATTAATCACATAATTTATAGTTCCAAAACTTATACATTCTTTTATTTATTTACCTATTATTATTTTTATACCAGATGATTGAGAAAAGATAATGAAGATTGAAAGCATTTGCTTTTGAGAAGCTCATAAATATGAATATGAATATAATAGTTTATTTTGAAAGAGACTTTTTTTTCAACAGGACTAATTTAAAGGCATATTTGTTAAAATGTGGAAGATTCATTCAAATATCATTGGTTCTTGGGGCTAATCTCCAATGACAGGCATTTTGTGAAGAATGATTATCAGAAAAACAAAATACAACAGGAACTCCTTTTAAAATCAGATTTCAAGGAGTCAAAACATGCAGCCTGGCTCCCTAATAGGAAATAGCAGATAGAATTAACACTGGATTGGGAATAAAGAATCCTGCAGGTCCCAGTTTAACCCTGGACTGGCCACTAAAGCTTCAGTAAGCCAGTGAACATCACCATACCTTATTTAACACATTTAATAAATGTGAGTTGACTACACGATCTCTAAGATCCCTTCCAGCTAGACTGATGTCTCATATTATTGATATAAACAAATCCACAAGGTTTTCTGAATACGTGTCACTAAATTTCTCTTCCTTATGTTTAAATGAATAAGTAAAAATTAAAGTTATTCTAAAATATTTTTGATATATGTAACTCTTTATAGTGTACATATTTACAATTTATTTTTAAAGGATAATTTAAAGCTTACCCAATGATAACAAAATGGGCTTATGATCCACACCTTTGTGAATACAGAGGGTGTGTCTATACAGGCATCAAATTACACCTTCATATTTTATTGCATAATTTTTGAAAGATTTCTCCATTATATAGTATAAAATATCTCACCCTTGAAGTGAATAATAATACCATGTAGTTGATGAAATAATCATTAATAATACCATATAGTTGATGAAATAATTATTTATTCTTCTAAGATGCAAATAATAAATATGTATAGAGCATATTTCATATAGGCAAAGCTTTGTTCACAATTGTAAGGCATATTTCGTTATCTTTATAATAAATACCTGAAGTAATATATTTTATATGGCTGTGTTTATATCAATTTTACCTATAAATAGCATTTTACATAGATGAAAGAATTAAAACATGGAAACTGTTAGTTCTTAATTAGACATATTCTTAATATTTTGGGAAAGGAAATTAAAAATAGCTGTAACTACTAAGCAACAACTATGGCAAATATTGTGCTAGACATTTTACTGTTATCTGTAATCTTCAGAATAACTATGTAATGTCAGAATTTTTGCCTCCCATTTCCAGACGGAGAAAGTGGTCGAGAGGCCATATACAAACTGATTATCTTGGTCATGACTTCAGAAAATAACCTCAGTACCTATAAGACTGTGTCATAATAAGCATAACATATTAATTGTATTATTAAAAAATAAAATAACAAAGAAGTTTGTCATAAATAAAAATATTTCTTAAGCAATTTATGGTGTGTTGATATTGACACCTTTAAAAATAATTGCATTTTTATTGTACAGAAGAGTAATAAGCTTTAAAATATTTTTTATTAGCACCTAATACAAGAAAAATAATATATGAAGATATTACCTTGTTTCCCAAATAGAAGACCAGTGGACTACACAGTGGAAAATCTGCAGTGGGTTATTTTAATACTATTTAAACCTTGTTCCTCCATAATAGGGTAATTCTGTGCTTTAAAATATCTAAAAAGGCACTTGAATTCTGAGAAGTCAGAATGGTTAGAAATTTTTTTCTTGATTTTTGTTCCACAAATTCCAAGGAGTGCTTTAGGACAGTTTGATTTAGAACATGATAACAGGAAATGAGGATGTTATAATACTTAATAATTGGCTGTATTTTGTATGTAGCCTCATTCATGAAATAGTTTTTTGATTTAAGATAAGTATTTTTTTATTTCCTTGTCTCCTGTTATCAAATTTCCCATAGCTAATATTTGTGCCCCATTTCTTGTTACTCTTTATGCCTCATTCAGACCCTTTCCTGAGCACAACATGAATTCTTGTGTCTTTGTGACTCCTCATTTTGTGTGAGCAAGAATTTCCGTCTCTCAAATTCTCATTGGAAATGCCTGATAAATTTCTGTTTTAAAACATCAGCTTAAAATTGGACAAAGCTGTGAAAATATCCTGTGATTCTCATACAAACACAATTCCTTATACAGTTGGTGTATGGTTTTTTACATTTAATTAAAAGAAAATATAAAAATTTATATGTAGATAGGTGCTAATATATAACTATATTTGACTGAACAAAGATTTACTGAGAACCTACTATATGCCATGAACTCTTTTGAACACATAAAATAGAGTCATGAAAAAAGAAAAGTTCCATGCTTTATGGAGTTTATGGTTTAACTGAAAGGGAGACTAATAAACATGATAATTAAGTAATCTATAGTTGGTTTGATAGTGATAAATACTAAGGGGAAAACGGAATTGGAAAAAGAAATAAGAAGTTTTGTTAGGGAAGGGGTTTTCAATATTAGATAGCATAGCTAGGAAATCCTCCCTGAGCAAAAGAGTAAAAATGTAAAGAAGTAAATGTATAAACCAGGAAGAATGCTGGGAGAAGAGCAACCTAGTGCAGGCCTTAAAATAGGATCATGCGTGGCATGTTTAAAAATAACAAATAGAAGAGTGTGGCTGGGGTTGAGTAAATCTGGTTAACCTGAGGTCAGAGAAACAAAAGGAGCCAAATAACGCAGGACTTTTAGGGCCTTGTGAAAACCTCAAAACACTTTTACTCTGGAATTCAGTTTTTGGCCAGAATTGCGTATCAGGGACTGCATTTACCTTAACTCCTGTTTTCAGTAACTAGACAAATAACAAAATAAATGATATAAAAATTTTCCTGTCTTATACAATAAGAAATGCAGGATGGTGATTCCCAAGAGAAGGGAAAAGAGTGAGATGAGCCCTATAATAATTATCTCACCTTATTATGAGGAAAAAATGTACAAATTGCAACAGAGAAAGGAAGCGTTTAAATAGAATAAGCAATTCCCTTAATTGAAGAGATATAGTTGAGATTAATGGATGGAAGCCTCTAAAATTAATACCTAATACTGAAGAGGAAAAGATTTCAAAGATAGGAAGGAATTGCACAGGGAAGGAATTCTGGAGATCTAAAGAGGGTTATCTTTAATTATCTGCTGAGTTTTGATTAGCAGGAATGAATGCAAGAAAACTCTATGAGGCTGGGGAAAGAACATCAGAAAGAAGCAGATGGTATAATGCCTGGAGCACAAACAGGACTGGGAATAGATCATGTTACCATCAGCCAGAGTGGAAATACCTTGTAGTATACATGGCATGGTTAGAATACTTAGAAAGGTATTGCTTGAGTAATGTGTTAAGTTTACCTATAAATGAATGAATTTTCTGTTCTGCATTTCCTAGTAAAGCTTTAAAGCAAGTCTAAAGTGAAAATTGTTTAAAAGCAACTTTACTATGACCTAGAACATAGCTCAATGATATTTAAATGAATAAAAAAATTCAGGGCTCAAACAAGCTAATCACAAGGTCTGTCAGCCAATAAAGAATTACCAGGCGTGTAACAAAGAAAGAAAACATGACTTGCAGTGAAGAAAAATAATCAATCAATACAAATAGTCCTAGAAGTGATACAAATGATAGAATTAGTAAACAATAATACAAATATGTGTTGTAACTATATTGTCTATGTTAAACTAGAGGGAGCATGAGTATATTTAAAAATACAATATCTGACATAAAAAGTACATAATTAACAGCATGCCAGATAATAAAGAAAAAAGTTAAGAAAATTGAAAATATAAGACTAAAACTATCAAAAATAATAGAGAAAAACTAAAAACACAGCACAGGATTTCAATGAACTGTAAAACAACCTTGAGTGTGTTAATACCTACAGATATAAACCAAAACTAAAATTGTAAGGAAGAAAATTGAAAATATAGGAATAAAAATGTCAAAAATAATAGAGAAAAACTAAGAAAACAACACAGGACTTAAATGAACTGTAAAACAACCTTGAGTGTGTTAATACCTACAGGTGCAAACCAAAACTAAAATTGTAAGGCCCCTGACCATCTGAACGGACTCCTCTCAGCAAGAACATTCCACAGCTAACCTGAAAAACTAGTTCAGGCCATGATGGGAAGCAGAGGGTTAAACATGCCTCTTTATACTCTCGTCCCTGTTGGAATTACTGATAGAACAGACTCTTTAAGTCTGATAAGAAACATTTACAGTCTATTTTCTCCAAAGCCTGCTACATGGAAGCTTCACCTGCATGATAGAACCTTGGTGTCCACATCCCCTTATCTTAACCCAGTCTTTCCTAAGTCTTTAGACAATAACCTAACTTTTTGACTCAATTGGCAATCAGACAATTGTTGAATCTATCTATGACTTGGAAGCCCCTGTTTCCAGTTGTCCCACCTTTCTGGACAAAACCAATGTATAACATAGCTTACATGTAGTGATCAATGTCTCATGTCTCCCTAAAATGTATAAAACTAAGCTGTACCCTGACTGCCTTGGGGACGTGTTCTCAGGATCTCCTATGGTCTGTGTCAAAGGCCATTGGTCACTCATTTTTGACTCAGAATAAACCTCTTCAAATATTTTACAGTTTGATTATTTTTGTGAACAATAATTTGTTGCCTGAGCATGTGGGGCCTCAGAGAAGACTCAGGACCCTGAAGGAGTTGCCCAAACTTGGAGCTAGGGTACAAGCAGGGGCCCATTGAAAGCCTCCCTGACTTTGAGCTTCTCCTCTAGTGAAACTGGCAAGTCCTCCTGAGCCCTGAACGTCCCTTTGGTTGAGGGTCCTTGATTTATTCTGAGCTGCATTTTTTTTTCGTGCTAGGAAGTTGTTTAGGATCCTAATTCTATTTGAGAGGTGCATTTTTTTTTTTTTTTTTAGACGGAGTGTCGCTCTTTTTGCCCAGGCTGGAGTGCAATGGCGCGATCTCGGCTCACCGCAACCTCCGCCTCCCGGGTTCAAGAGATTCTCCTACAGAGGTGCATTCTACAGGATCTTTTCCATTGCCTTTTTTTAAAGACAAGGAGAATAACCTCCTTTTGGGCAACCTGTTTGGTTTCCAGTTCAGAGAGGTGCATTCTAAAGGGTCTTCTCTATTGCTTTTTCTCCCAAATTAGCACAATTGTCTTGTCTGCATATTCATGTGAGGAACTGAACTGTTGTTTTCCTAGATAAATGAGAGGCTGAGTTTTCTCAGTTCCGAAGAGAAAGGGCATTTTGCTCCTCCCAGCCGAAAGGTGCCCCTGGGTGACCAGAAGCCAAGTGAGAGTATCTGGAGGGTTGACCTCCTGTGATGTGCAGCAGCCCTGCGGGGAACCCCCAACAACTTTAGTTTAAAAAGACTCATTAAGGAAATGTATATGGGAGCTGGTCACTCCATGTTTTGAACCTTCTTGGTGGTAGGAGACCTCTGAAGAGAGAAACCAAGGCATGTAAGAGGGCGGAAATGACTCAGTGGTGAAACACTGTGGAGTCCCACCCACTATCAAGACAGGTCAATCCACTATGCTAAACTTGTCATACAATTTAGAATCTAAGATTATATTAAAAAATAGACATTAATTAAATGTCTGGGTAATTTCCAATTTTAAAAATACAGAAAAATATTTTAAACAGTGTTTTTTTATTAAGAGGTAAATATTTTTTGTCTAATTCAAAGGTTATTTAGAGGTATATAAAATGAAGTAAAAGGAACCAGAAAATAAGAGAAATATAAGGAAAGTTATAGATATAAAAAGATACTTTTGGTAAGAAGAAAAATGTTAGTAGAAATTCAACTTTATATTAGTAATAATCTTATATTTTGAATTTTTTCTTCTAAAATAATAAGGCTGGTTGTTCAAGAAGCATTTCTTTTTGCAATTCTTCAGATTGATATCCCAGAAGTTTGATGCTTTCTCTGTTTTGAAAAGGCCTGAGATGGTAGATAACTCTCCTTCACCTTTTGTTGGCTCCTATAACATCTCTTTATTAATAATCTAAAGTAAGTGAGAGAATTTTTTCAAAACAGCCAAATGAAAAATCTTTTGGACTGGCCTTTGTATGTCTATTACATTTATATATTTGTATGTGTCACGTGGAAGTGATGTTTCACTACCAAATTATTTGAAAAAGCTCTAATCTATTGGCTTAAAGAAAAGTCAGTGCTTAGCAGGCTAATAGAGGCTAACTCAGATACCTTTTATTTCACATGACTTGGGTAATCTTTGGTAAGATTACTTTGGTAAATTTAATCTCAAAATTCTCTCCAGTAATTTAAAATCTTAAAGTCATGGTTTGTTAAACCATGTTTTTTCACTGGGAATGGGGTTACTAAGAGTTAAAATAGTAGGAGAGTGAAAGGTGTTTCTGATGAAGTTTATAAAACACAAAGATGTATTTTTTTTGCTAAAGAAAAGTGTATTTTTTTCTTGTTTAAAGACTATTTAAGAGTCATTTTTAAATGAAGGAAAAATTATACAGAAAAAACTAAATGGATTAAGAGAAAATGAAAAGATGTGGAATGAGAAACCTTGACTCTTGGGTGGCCGTGTGGTTGCCCATCTTCAGGAGCTTTAGCTGGGCTGCATTCAGTTACTAAAGATAAAAGTTACCAGTGGAATTTAGAGCTGTATCATACCCATACTCTCAGGGAATTAGTTCACCCAATGCATGAGGAAATGCAAACTAATAAGAAAAACGCAAAATATTCAATCACTTGCTTATTGTTATCTATAAATAGCTAAAATGAAAGTAAAAGCATGCTGGGTTGGGTCTTCAGGCTAGACCAAGCTCAGATATGGGAATGTCTCAGCTCAGGCCACTAACCTCAAAGCTACCCAAAAGAAAACTATTAACCCAGAGCAACAAAAAGTTACCTCTGAGACCTGTGGTTACTAAAAGGATAGTCAATGTGGGGGAAAGGCAAAATCAAGTAAGTACAAAATCCAGAGGGTATAATTGCATTTTGTAAATTGGTATCATCTCCTTCATGAGAAATCTTTCTGATAATGGATTGTAAAAATAACTACTTTAAGGACAGTATCCTTAATTTTAAATGCTATGGAATGAAAAAGTATGTTTGGGTTAATTCAGGCTCCACAGCTCACTATTAAAGAATTGTTGATGCGTATATGTGATCCATATGCACAGGAGGTCATTCCAGAAAGAATGACCAGCCTAGTGGACTGGATAAACACCACTGTAAGGTCTGTTTTTCCTAAGAAGGGGACTGCCCAACTCTCCCTATAAAATGCCAAGTGCAGCACCAAGATGAAGCAGCTGATATGCTTCATATGCAAGCCATGTGGGACTGGCTTTATGATAGCTGGCATATTCACCCACTGAATATCCCTATTATCCAGTCATGGTAAATGCTGGGGTTAAGAGGGTTTGTTTTATGTGGGCACTCAAGGTGACATTACTCCTGCAGAATCATACAACTGTTTGAGAAGACTCATCATGAAGGACTTTGCTGACCCTCATGAAACTTACAGATTCTTAATAAAACATCAGGATATGGCTGGGCACAGTGGCTAATGCCTGTAATCCCAGCACTTTGGAAGGCCGAGGTGGGCAGATCACCTGAGGTCAGGAGTTCGAGACAAGCCCGGCCAACACGGTGAAACCCTGTCTCCACCAACAAAACAAAACAAAACAAAACAAAAAACAAAAATTAGCCAGGTGTGGTGGTGGGCACCTGTAATCCCAGCCACACAGGAGGCTGAGGCAGGAGAATCGCCTGAACCTGGGAGGTGGAGGTTGCAGTGAGCCAAGATCATGCCATTGCACTCCAGCCTGTGTGACAAGAGTGAAACTCTGTCTCAAACAACAACAACAACAAGCAAGCAAATAAAAAGCATTAGGATAAGAAGTAAATGCAGTAAATGGAACTCGGAACCAGAAGCCATACAAGAAATCAATGAAACCAAAAGTTAGTTTTTTCAAAAGATAAATGAGATCAATAGACTGCCAGCTAGATTAATAAGAAAAAATAAAAGACAAGGTTCAAATAAGAACCAACAGAAATGACAAAGGTGACTTTACAACTGAGTCCACAGAATTGCAAAGATCCTTAGAGACAATTATGAACACCTCTATGCACACAACTAGTAAACCAAGCAGAAATGAATAAGTTCCTAGAAACAGACAATCTCTCAAGATTGAACCAGGAAGAAATGGATACCTGGAACAGACAAATATTGAGTTTAATTATTGAGTCAGTAATTCAAAACCTACCAATCAAAAAAAAAAAAAAAGCCCCAGACCACATGGATTCACAGCTTAATTCTACCAGACATACTGAGAGCTGGTATCAATTATACTAAAGCTTTTCCAAAAAACTGAGGAGGAGAGATTCCTCCCTAACTCATCTGTTAAGCCAGAATCACTGCAATAGCAAAACCTAGCAAAGACACACACAGACACACACACAAACACACCCACACACACACACACAAGAAAACTATAGGCCAATATACTCGATGCATATAGATGCAAAATCCTCACCAAAATACTAGCAAACCGATACCAACAGCACATCGAAAAGTTAATTCACCATTATCAAGCAGGCTTCATTCCAGAGATGCAAGATTGGTTCACCATACATAAATCAATAAATGTGATTTGCCACATAAACAGAAGTAAAAGCAAAAACCATATAATCTTAACAGATGCAGAAAGAGCTTTTGATAAAACTCAACGTTCCTTCATGATAAAAACCCTTAACGATCTAGACATCGAAGGAACATATCTTGAAATAAAAAGAACTAGCTGTGACAAACCCACAGCCATCATCATGCTGAATGGGCAAAAACTAGAAGCATTCACCTTGAGAACTGGAGCAAGACAAGGATGTCCAATCACACCACTCCTATTCAACATAATATTGAAAGAAATAGAAAGAGCTATCAACAAGATATAGTAATAAAAAACTAGGAAAAGTGGAAGTCAAATTCTCTCTCTTCATGGAAATTTGATTCAATACCTACAAAACCCTAAAGGCTCCACCAAAAGACTCCTGGAACTGATAAACCACTTCAGTACAGTTTCAGGAAACAAAATTAATGGACACAGATCAGTAGCATTTCTATTCATGAATCATATGCAAGGTGTCAAATCAAGAACACAATCTCATTTACAATAGCCACACACACACAAAATAAAAACCTATAAATACATCTAACCAAGGAGATGAAAGATTTCTACAGGGAGAACTACAAAACATTGTTGAAAGAAATCACAAAAGACACAAACAAATGGAAAACATTCCATGCTCATGGATTAGAAGAATCAATATTATTAAAATGGCTACATTGTCCAAAACAATATACAGATTCAATGCCATTCCTATGAAATTGCCATCATTTTACACAAGAGTGGAGAAACTATTCTACAACTCATATGTAACCAAAAATTCACAATGGATTTGTACTTGTTATTTCTTCTGCTTGAAAATGTCTTTCTTCATGCTTACTCCCATATTTAAATTATATCTTTTCTAAAAGGTCACCTATACCAGAGAGGTTATCCTTGACTATCCTATTTGAGGCTGCTTCTATATCCTAGTCCTGCTTTACACTTCTTTAGCACACTTATTATTGCCTAAGTCATGTGTTCTTTGTTTACTTTTTGTCTGCATCTCCCAATTGCAATGTAAAAGCTCTGACAACAGGGCTCTGACTCTTTTTCTGTGACTGCAGCCTCTAGAACAGTATCTGACAGCTGGTATCACTCAATAAATTTTTGTTCAATGGCTATATTGACAAACTGATAGAGAGCATTAGATGGTTTGTGTTCTGAGTGCCTGCCTACTGCTGTGGAGTGACATGGGGGTCATCTTCTGGACTGTAGGGCCTGAGATAAGAAATGTGGGAATGTACAAGGCTAAGAAATGTGCTGTGGCAAAGGACACCAGAAACAAATCAAATGTTCGTATCAGTAGGTCTAGTAATCTAGATGTGATTGAGGACCATATGTTTGTAACACAAAATGAATATAACATGCTAAATTAAAAATAATCATTTCAAAAGAGCTATGGTATAAAGTACTATAGTCAGTGCTACTCAAACTGGGAAAACGAAGTGAAGAAAGAAATCTTTATATATGTAAATATAAAAAAGAGAAATAAAGAGCATACACATAATAATGTGCTAGAAATTTATTGCTTTTGGAGAGGAATGAATTTCTATTACTCAGAAACAGCAGTGAAAACAGCTTAACAGTTTAAATTGCAAGTATCTAATCAAATGATAATTAGGAAGGGAAGTATCATGAAACACAGAATTCACTAAATCATGGTCTTTCTTTTATTCTCCATTGCCTTATGATAATTCTTCAAAAAGCAGTGGTAGTGTGATGCGGTATGATGAATGAGAATAAATGAGTAAAAAGTGAATTTGCCAGTCAAACCTGTGAAGAAAAAGAAAATAACACTTTATCTTCAAAATGGATACTCCTATAAATAAATTTATACTCTTGCTGGCAGAAAGTATGTATTTATAGATAGTTTTATTTATTATAATGCAGGGACCAAAATACTATTTGATATAGAGTAGACAATTAAATACTCATTAAGTGGGTATCAGAATAAATAAAAATTATCATTCAGCATTTGCAATTAAATTTAAATTTTTCTTGAGGTTTTCCATCATCATCTTACTTTATTCTTCCACTTAAATATAGCCTACACATTTCATCTATCTCCCCCAAATAATATTTTAAATATATCCTCCCCTGATTAAATGTCATCAGCAATTATCTAACACCTGGAGGATAAAGATCAGGCTTTTTCTGATATCACAAAGAGCAGGAATTCAATATGAATAAAATGTCCCAATACATTAAAAAATATTTGACACCTTTTGAACTATTTCAGCTTTGAATTGTAGAACAGTACTCTGTTATCTCCAAAATATTGCTTTATTTTGAAATGTAATCTTTAGTATCTCATAGATTTTGGAACATTTTATGCTGTGAATATAGATAAATAAAACTGACTTTATGAAAAGGAAATTGTTACCATTTTCTATTTCCTTGAAAATTCCCATCTCCTTGTTGATGTTATATTAGTCATTCCTATAGCAATTGCTCATTAGAGTTGCTTAGGCATAAAATGTAAATTTTTTATGAGTTCCCAGATGGTGGTTGTGCAACTTCTTCAAAGATTTCATTTTAGGACAGAAAACTTCAAATAACATCCATGTACAGTGTTAGTGGCAGAGAAGCCTATGGCCACAACCATACACCTTCCAGAACAAGGGCTTCTATATAATGTCTCTCAATAGTCTTTCCAACTCTATAAAAAGCTTAAGTAGTATTATAATATGTATTTGTCGATTAGAAAACTGAGGTATGGAGAAGATTAGGAATAGTTCCAGGTCAGAACTGGAACTATAGTTCCTACCCAGAACTCAGCATCTTAACACTGGTGAACAGAAGCTTTCCCTCGGAGGCATTTTTATTTTATTTCATTTTATTTTTTAATTTTACTTTAAGTTCTAGAATACATATGCAGAACATGCAGTTCTGTTACATAGGTATATGTGTGCCATGGTGGTTTGCTGCACCTATTGATCAGTCCTCTGTTACCTTCCCTTACTCCCTCCCCTCCATCCCTGGTTTGTGTTGTCCCCTCCCTGTCTTCACGTGTTCTCACTGTTCAGCTCCCACTTATGAGTGAGACCTTGTGCTGTTTCCTTTCTGTTCCTGTGTTAGTTTGCTGAGGATGATGGCTTCCAGCTTCATCCATGTCCCTGCAAAGGACAGGATCTCATTCCTTTGTATGGCTGCATAGTACTCCATGGTGTATATGTACCACATTTTCTTTATCCAGTCTATCATTAATGGTCATTTGGGTTGGTTCCATGTCTTTGCTATTGTAAATAGTGCTGCAATAAACATATGTAGGCATATGTCTTTATAGTAGAATGATTTACGTTCCTTTGGGTATATACCCAGTCATGGGATTGCTGCATCAAATGGTATTTCCGGTTCTAGATCCTTGAGGAATCACCATACTGTCTTCCACAATGGTTGAACTAATTTACATTCTCACACACAGTGTAAAAGTGTTCTTGTCTCTCCACAGCATCACCTGCATCTATTGTTTCTTGACTTTTTAATAATCAGCATTCTGACTGGTAGTGAGATGGTATCTCATTGTGATTTTTATTTGCATTTCTCTAATGATCAGTGATGATAAGCTTTTTTTCTTGTTTGTTGGCTGCATGAATGTCTTCTTCTGAGAACTATCTGTTCATGTCCTTTGCCCACTTTTAGATGGGGTTGTTTGTTTTTGTCTTGTAAATTTGTTTAAGTTCCTTGTAGATTCTGGATATTAGAGCTCGACAGATGAGTAGATTGCAAACATTTTCTCCCATTCTCTAGGTTGCCTGTTCACTCTGATGATAGTTTCTTTTGTTGTGCAGAAGCTCTTTAGTTTAATTAGATCCCATTTGTCAATTTTGGCTTTTGTTGCAATTGCTTTTGGCATTTTTTTACATGAAGTCTTTGCCAACGGCTGTCCTGAATGGTATCACCTAAGTTTTCTTCTCAGGTTTTCATGGTTTGGGGTATTACATTTAAGTTTTTAATCTGTCTTGAGTTAATTTTTGTATAAGGTGTAAGGAAGGGGTCCAGTTTCGGTTTTCTGCATATGGCTACCCAGTTTTCTCAGCATCATTTATTCAATAGGAGATCCTTTCTTGATTACTTGTTTTGTCAGGTTTGTTGAATATCAGATGGCAAGCAGAGACCCAAATCATGAATGAACTCCCATTCACAATTGCTACAAAGAGAATAAAATACCTAGAAATACAGCTAACAAAGGATGTGAAGGACCTCTTCAAGGAGAACTACAAACCACTGCTCAAGGAAATAAGAAAGGACACAAACAAATGGAAAAACATTCCATTCTCATGGATAAGAAAAATCATTATCATGAAAATGGCCATACTGATCAAAGTAATTTATAGATTCAATGCTATTCCCATCAAATGACCATTGACATTCTTCACAGAATTAGAAATAACTACTTTAAATTTCATATGGATCCAAAGAAAAGCTCATATACCCAAGACAATTGTAAGCAAAAGAACAAAGCTGAAGGCATCACACTACCTGACTTCAAACTATACTACAAAGCTACAGTTACCAAAACAGCATGGTACCAGTACCAAAACAACATACAGACCAATGGCACAGAACAGAGACCTCAGAAATAACACCACATATCTACAGCTTCAGAAGCATTTATACAAATGAATACACTTCAAGGAGCTAACCCATGCTACATTTCTTAAACTGGAATGGTTGTTAGCTTATGGCTTTTTTTTTAAACTGTCAGTGTTGACACTTCTAGAAAGACAAGCAACTAGAGTCAGCTTACCTCTATAATCATGCCCCATGATTACTAAGGATATCAATTGTCATATAGATAATTTGATCCATAGTCCCCATAAAATGGAAATTCTCGATGTGAATGATGCTTTTCCTGCATACACACAAAAGGAGAGAGCAAATTGCAGAGAATAGAGAATGACAATACAAGTGTTTCTCAAAAACTGTCATTAAAAGCTTAGATTGCTAAAGTTGTTAAGACCTTGTATTTTATCTACATAAATGTTTTCAAACTTTTACATTTTTCTTTTTTATCAGAAAAATGTCTAAAAGTAGGTAAAAATGATAAAGTATTTACTGTTTGCTGATATTTTTGTGACAATAGCACAGGTGGAAACACTGATTATAGGTAACCTCTCTAACCAGGGTTCAAATCTTCTTTAAAATATTACCTCCAAGCTACTATTTTGCTCACTATTGAGTATTATGGAAAGGATTAAGTTACTGTTTCCAACTTAGGTGGTGCTTCTTAATGTCATTCCTTTAGTGATCTTACTTTCCTTTACAACTCCTACATTCTTTCATACCCACTGCTGTTAACACAAACAGTCTTCATCCATTTTTATGCATCTTTTTACTTGGTGCTTTTTTAACATGTATACTTGCTATGTTAGTAAGGAGAACTTTAGAACCCAGATTCATATTGATATTACAGGTCAAAATAACATGAGACTTTATATACATACAGTGAGAAAAATGTTAGAGAAATACAATTTTCTGTCTAATTTAGCACAGTCAGTTTAATTTAAAGACTGTATCATCCTCAAAAATTCAGAAGGTAGAAACTTACCACATTACATGAGTAGCCTCTATGCTTTATTAAGCATATGTTATACTTAATAGAATTAGGATTTCAACTATTCTTTAGGTCAATGAAATTATTTACAGGACAAAGATAAGTTCTCAGAGAATAATTGACAATTGACTTATTTCAGGTGGAATTGAGTTTCTGTTGAAATGCTTTTAGGACACAAGATATTTGTGACTTTTTGCCTTTGCATCATAAATAAATGAAATCAATGTGCACTTTAGCAATTAATGATATAGATATATTTGAGAGACAACTATTGATTCTTCTAGGAGAATAAATAGTCAGAGAGGAAAATTTATTTAGAGTGCACATTATCAGAAGAACACTTACATGGAATTTTCTTCTATACCCATGATGTCTCTATGAAATAAAAAGAAAAGATTAAAAATTCAATATATGTTTATTTATCAAGTTTTCCCGTAAATGAAAATGTCTTACCTTTTCATGTGAATCAGCGCTCTTGGAAAAAAAGAAAATGAGAAAATAATTAATATTTTAATTTTATAATTCAAGAGTAAGTATAAATATTGACTTAGCCACATATATGATTAAACAGAATGGAGGCATTCTTTGGTTGATGACAGACTAAATTAGTTATTTTAGCTTTATGACATCTTCAAAATGAGTGAGGGGTAAATGCTATAATTAATGTGCTATATTCAAATATCAACTCATTTTGGTTTATATATCTTTTTTATGTAAGGCAGGAAAAGTCTGTCACTGGTGAATAAGAGAGTGGAAACTGAAAAATGAAACTCTGGATTGTTTTTTATATGAATATGTTCCATGTAGCTCAAAAGCTACCAACATACAAATATTTTATTTGCTGATAGAGACAGGCATTATGCTTTACTCTGTTCTTATTTGTTTATTTTTCTACTTCTATCCTTTTATAATAAAATCACGTGATAAACTGTGATATCATAACCAATTCAGTTTCGAAACATTCATTAGAATTTAGTGGATAGTTTGGAGTATTATTATTCTTTTGTGACCAATTTTCTATTAAGTTCATAGAAAGAGGAGGAGGAGGAGGAGGAGGAAGAGGCGGTGGAAGTAGAGAAGGAGAAAGAGCTCCAAAGAGGTCAAGTGCTTTTCCTACTAATACACAGTAGTAAATGACAATAGAGCTGGGAACTCATGACACTTAATAAATATGGAGATTTGTTTTATGGTTTAAAATAAGCAGCTTTATTTTAGGAAGAATTAAATAATTGTATGCTGACTTTAAGAGTAGGTTGTGCAAGAAATGACTTGAAAATTCCTATTTTGACACCCTCTAATACTTGGGTTCCATTGAAGTGCACCTTTTTCTTTCCTCAGATTTCTAACTTCAGATGGTCTAGAGCTTTTCACATTTAAAGATACTTTCACAGATCTTAGTCCCACATATTTAAAAAGCTCGCTAAATTTTCTTTTACTTTTACATTCAAGTAATTGTACTTGAGTGTTTGTAGGTATGTGATGAATATCTATTCCAAGTCCTTAAAGAACTTACATAAGTTAATTCAAAGAAACTCCTTGTAGGGAAATATTAAAGCTTATAAAGCTGTATTGAGGTCAACATGAGTATATACCAGAACACAAGGAATAAGAGAGACACTTGGGATAAGTACTGAGAATGTAGTATTTAAAATTTCCAGATATACTTACAATCATGGAAATCATGAGAGCCAAGACTAAAGCAAAGACAAAAAACTTCATAGTTGGCTGAGTCCTATAAAATCAAACATGAAAAATCAGTAATCACATTCTTTCATGCATTCATTCATCAAACTTCTATTGATGACACTATGCTTCAAAGCATTGGGAGACATGCTCTGTTTTCCAGGCTGGAGTGCAGGGGCATGAGCACAGATCACTGCAGCCTGGACCATCTGGTCTCAAGCCATCCTCCCACCTTAGCCTCCCTAGTCCCACTTGTAGCTGGAACTACAAGTGTGTGCCACCATGCCCAGCGAATTTTTTCTTTCTTTTTTTTTTTTTTAGTAGAGAATGTTTTTAGTCTCACTATATTTCCCAGGCAGTTCTGAAACTCCTGGGCTCTAGGAATCTTCCTGCCTTGTCTTCTCAAAATGCTTGGATTACAGGTGTGAGCCCCAGGCATGGCCTCATGAATTGATAAGTAAAGGTGAGTGCTCTGATTTGGAAATATTAATATGCTAATGAAACACACAAATGGACATCTTAAACAGACCAAGAGGATGGGAGTAAGAAGGTAATGAAGAAAGGCAAGCTTGAGTTGGATTATATGGAATGAGTAAAGGGTGGTGTTGGGAGCCTATAAAGAAATAAAACAGAGAGGAAAGCATGTTAAAAATGCAAACAGTTCAACACATAGGGAGGACAAAACTGGAGAAAAGATGACCACTTAGGTTGTTGTGACACTACAGGGGACTTATATAATGACATTAAGAATGCTAATTAAGGTACAGTGTAAAGAGATATTAGGAAAGTAGAATGAAAAGCAATGGAGACTGGCTTTATAATAAAGTCAGTGACTATGAGCCAGAGTTCTATTACAGAATCCACAGATGGTGTAACCCTGAGATTAGAACATTAGTGATATTGGGTAGCGAAAAATAAAATGAAGAGAATTCACAGGGAAAATGATTGTATCTACTTTGAGAAGTTGAACTGGTGAAGATTATTCAATATTTCAAATAATATTATTCAACAAAGTTAGCCTCATCTGGGACTCTGATATGCTTTTATAATTATGTATATGCAAGTGTATCCAGTTCCTTTGCAGATATAAAAAAGTATAGCAGGTTACTTATTTCTAAATTACAAACGTAAATAAAAGCATTTCCATTGGAAAATACAATTACCACAAGACTTACAGTTACATGGCATTTTTGGCTGTTAATTGCAGTTATAAAGTAATTCATTAATAGGTAATTTAAAAATTTTTTTCTAATCTCTCTTTCCTGTCATTTGTGATATAACATTACAGTAACATTTTTCATCTAATTATAATAAAATGTCCTGCTCTTAAACAGCCCTACATCTCTATCATGAAAAGCAGAACCCAAGATTTATGGCATTTACCATATTATTTATTCGTTTATTTTGCTTCACTCAATTAAATGGAAACTTCTACTATAGGACTAACTATAAAAATTATGTATTTTGAAGTTTTTCTATTACCTAATATATAAATCCTACTACAACTCTTTTTATGATACAAAAGGCATGAGAATTTTACTGTTGTTAATGATTGTCAATTCTGTTGCAAGTACAAAATAAAAAAGGGTTCTAAGAAATTGGTCTTCTTTTACTAACACATAAACTGATAGATAAACGAACATAGATAATCAATATACAATTAATGGTTATGAAAAACATATTTCCCAAGTAACACATCAATAAAAATTTGGAACAGTAAACTCTTTCTTTTCTGCCATAACACAAATGAATGAAAATGAGTTAAACAAATTAGTAAGATTGAGATGACTAACTCTTATACAGTATATGCTTTGCATTATAACAGCACTGTTTTAAATGATGGAAAGGTCAATAAAAAAGTAATAAAATAGTTTCCTATTAAGAAGAAAGTAAATTTTTAAAAATAAACCTTTATAATAATATATTTACCAAGAGAGAATTTATCAGTATCTTCTTGTAAAATTTGAACTCCTGGTTTAAGTTAAATGTAGAATTAATAATTAAGAAAGTAGATATTAGGTATCTAGACAAGGAAATAAAAAGAGTTAATTGAGGTCCCACCATCAGAGAGGATGTAATACATTGCCATATTCCACATAATTTACTTTGCGTGATGATTGCTGGTGTTAATTCATAGGAATTGAGATCTGGAAGTCATCTTCAGATCCCGAGTACAAAATTGTACACATTACAGCATCAGGGCAAATAACTAATGCATGCGGGGCTTAAAACCTAGATGATGGGTTGATAGGTGCAGCAAACCACCATGGCACACGTTTACCAATGCAACAAATCTGCATGTCCTGCACACGTATCCCAGAACTTAAAGTAAAATAAGAAAGTAAAATAAAATAAAATAAAATGAATTTGTGTGTGAGTTTTTAAAGGAAATATTTATTAGATAAATCATCTATGCTAATTTGAACAGTCCTATTAGAAATTATGGTATTCTATAGGTAATATACAAAAATGTAAATTATTTATTTAGGCAAATACGCAATTCAAGTAAACTAGATTTAAATAGATAATATACATTTTCATAAGTGGGTTACTATTGATTTTAGCAAACAAAAGCTTATGCTAATATATAATATTAGATTGTACTTGAACATATTACCTTTTACTCAAGAGGAGAGTCAAGAAGTCAGTGAAGCTGAAGTGAAGTCTCAAGAGATGTCCTTTTCTATATGGCTGATGTATTTAAACACGTTGAAATCTCCCTTTTGTTTTTCTAAATAGCATCAATTAGGAGATCATATGATTGAGACGGAAAGTAATGCCCAAAATCTGTCTCTACAAATTCTAAAAATAAACTTAACCAGGTGATTTTACAATAGATCATTGTGAAGACAAAGCAACCGGAAAGCGAATGGACCCATCACATGCTAATCCCAGTGTTAGTCTAGCCCTGAGTGAGTCAGACAACGGAAAAGCACGCTGGAGGAAACCAGGCATAGAAATGATTGCAGTGATAAAGATGTTTCTGTAGAATACCATCTACTACTTTTCAACAAATATATGTCCAAGATGGAACAACGCTATGTCAAAAATAATACTTACCATGTTATCAAAATTTTACACATTCTCTAGTAAATAGTGATAATTGGCATAATAAAATTGGAGTCATTCTATACTTCAAAAGTTTTCCTACAAATCATTATTTATCTTGTATTTTTACCTTTACATTGACTTTGAGTGTTTTAAGTAATAAAGTGAATGTAAACATTTGCCAAAATTCAATCATCTTTTGGATATCATATGATAAAAACATTCTCATATTTAATGTCAAAAGATTCTAGGTGCTTGGTCACATATCTCTCACATAAAACTGATTTCTTATGTTTAGAAATTTGAATTTACTTCCCTGGAGTTTTCTGAGGTTCATATATATTTATAGAGGCCATTTGTTGAAATAACTATATTAGACAGAAAGAGAAAAACAGAATTTTAATTTAATTCATAGGCAAACATGTATAAGCATTCACCTACTCTCTACCGGTTGGAGAATTTGATGTGCTAAGAACTGAGTATTAAAAACTCTTTTCTAAAGTTCAGATAAGTTATACAGCCCAGTCCATTGTTCCTCAGAGGGTGCCACATGCGACCATCATGATCAGCATCAGCTAGTAGCTGTTGAAATGCAGATTCTTATTCTACTTTTCCAAACTTACTGAGTCAGAATCTTGTGGTGTACACCTGGAACCGGAATTTTAAGAACATGTCCAGGAAACTCTTTGTGTACTTTAAAGATAGAAAAACTACTTAAGAGATTTATAAACGCATGGTCTTTAGCTTGATCCCACTAATTAGAAATTGTGTTTTAAATTTGTGTCTGATTCAGGGAAGGAAACAACGCCCACCAGGGCCTGGTGGTGGGGAAGGGAGGGAGAGCATCAGGGCAAATAGCTAATGCATGTGGGGCTTAAAACCTAGATGATGGGTTGATAGGTGCAGCAAACCACCATGGCACACGTTTACCAATGCAACAAATCTGCATGTTCTGCACACGTATCCCAGAACTTAAAGTAAAATAGGAAAGTAAAATAAAATAAAATAAAATGAATTTGTGTGTGAGTTTTTAAAGGAAATATTTCTTAGATAAATCATCTATGCTAATTTGAACAGTCCTATTAGAAATTATGGTATTCTATAGGTAATATACAAAAATGTAAATTATTTATTTAGGCAAATATGTAATTCAAGTATATTAGATTTAAATTGTTCTTTTGGCATGAAATTTCTAAGCATCAGAGATATAAGGTCTCTTCTCTGGCACAAAACAAACCCATTCTCTTTACATTCTCAATGAAACAAAGTTACATAGGATTCAGTGACTATTTTTTTTTAATAGGTACATAGGCTGCATTCATCACCCAGGCTGGAGTGCAGTGGTGCAATCATAGCTAACTGCAGTCTGGAACTACAGGGCTCAAGCAAACCTCCCCTCATACTCCTAAGTAGCTAGAGACACAGGTACGCACGACTGCACCAGCCTAAATTTTTAATTTTATTTTTTATAGAGATGGGTTTCACAATTTTGTCAACATTGTTCTTGAACTTTTGATTTCAGGTGGTCCTCGTGCCTAAGCCTTCCAGAGTGCTGGGATTACAGTCATGAGCCACTGCACCATCTCATGGTTCAGTAACTACTGAACTATGTCTGATTTAAAAAATATACCCTGCTTTAATTAATTACAAAATGTCAAGCGGTTTCCTTCCTTTCTTCTTTTCTTCTCTGCCTCCTCTCATTTCTTCCCTAGTTCGTTTTTCTAACAATATTAGGTACAGTTCCAGTGGATCTAAGATATTCATGTTCTAGTGCACAAAAAGCAAACTAATAGTCCAAAAGCACACTACCAAACAGCAAACTAACAGGTAAGATATGGCAGATGTCAATATACTCATTTAAAAACTACAATTAAACCTAAAGCATATACACTTTATGTTGGAACACCAAAATGTAGGCATTATTTCACCCATGATTTTCTGCTTCTCCAAGTTAGGAAGTGTGGTGATTATGTATGACAGGTGGAACAAGCATGGTGGCATAGAAATACAGTAGTGACCTTCTCATGCTAGGGATGGTCTCACCCTCCAGGAACAGTAAGCCATTTTAGAAGACTGATGGACCAGAACATGGCTTCATATTTTATAATTAAGTAAAACAGATATCTTGTCTTCTATAAGCAAACATCATGTTCTTTGAAAAGGCCATGCCTTTCAATTACAAGGGAAGTATCAACAAAGAGCCACTGTCTTATCACAGTTGTGGCAATACACTGGTTGCTTATGGATACAATCCATGAATGGGTTTTTATAGTGATATTTATGCTGGGTTTTTATCCTCCTTCTTCACCTTCTTCTGCTTCTCCCCCTCCTCCTCTTTCTCCTCTTCTTCTCTGGGCTCCTCTTCCTCCATTTTCTGCTTCTCCTCCTCCTCCTTATTCTCCGAATCTCCTGTGATGAAAATACTGCATGTTCTCACTCATAGGTGGGAATTGAACAATGAGAACACATGGACACAGGAAGGGGAACATCACACATCGGGGACTATTGTGGGGTGGGAGTAGTGGGGAGGGATAGCATTAGGAGATATACCTAATGCTAAATGACAAGTTAATGGGTGCAGCACACCAACATGGCACATGTATACATATATAACAAACCTGCACGTTGTGCACATGTACCCTAAAACTTAAAGTATAATAATAATAATAATAATAATAATAATAATAAAGAAAGTCATTGCAGACAAACTGATGGGGGGCATTAGATGGTTTGGGGTCTGTGTTCCCTTTACTGTGCAGTGACAATGAGTGGGGTGGGTGGGGGCTGGGGGGCGGTGCGGTTACCTTCTGTCTTGTAGAAACTGAGGTAAAAAATGTGAGAAACTTCCAGGGTGAGAAAATTAGGTGTACCAAAGGAAACCCAGAGCCAATCAAATGTCAGAATAAATAGGCCCAATAATCTAGCTGAGCTTAAGGATTATATGCTTGTAAAATATAAAATACTACAGACTAAATTAGGAATAATTGACTCTAAAGGACCTCTGACATAGAGTGCTTCAGTCAGTGCTTCTCAAACTGGGTAAAAGAAGTGATGTAAGGAATAGCTATATTTGTAAATATAGAAAATAGAAATAAAGAACTTTTGCATAAGAATTGTTTAAAATATATTGCACTTATAAAAAGAATGGACTTCTATTACTCAGAAACAGCACTGCAAACAGCTTAATGGTTTGAAATTGCAACTATCCAATCAAACATCCATTAGGAAGTCAGTCATCTTGAAACAGAGAAAATACACTAAATCATAGTCTTTCATTTTACTTTGTCTTTTTGGTAATTCAACCAACTCCTGTAGAAAACATTTATATTCTTCCTAGTGCAGCATAGCTATTTACAGATCATTTAGGCTAATATAATGCAGGGCTCAAAATAATATTTGACACATAATACGCAATTAAATACTTGTTAAATTGGTATCAGAATAAATAAAAATTATCATCCAACACCTGCAATTTAAATTTAAATTTCTCTTAAGTTCCATTATTATTCTATTTTTTCTCCCACTTAAATACAGCCTACATACTTTATTCATATTTATTTTCCCCAAATAATATTTTAAATGTATCCTTTCTTGATTAAATTTCATCAGCTATTATCAAATGCCTAGAAGATCAAGTTCAGGCTGTTTCCCATATCATTAATGTCAACAGGATATTCAATTGGAATAAAATCTCACAATGCACTGAGAAATATTTAAAATTCCATGAAATATTTCAACTTTGATGAATGTAGAAGTTATCTTTAATCTCTAAAAATTTGCTTTATTTTGTAGATAAATATTTAATATTGCACAGAATTCAGAACATTTAATGTTGTGTATAGTTAGATAAAACTGATATTCTAAAAATGAAATTGAAGACGTTTTTATATCTCCTTGTTGGTATTATACTAGTGATTCTTTCAGTAATTGCTCTTGGATTTACTTAGGGCATATAATGTAAATTTCCCACAATTTCCCATATAGTGCTTGTACATCTTCTCCAAAGATTGTGTTTTAGAAGGCATAGTTTTGAACAACATTCTGAAACAGAATTAGTGGCAGGGAAATCTGCAGTCATAACTGTACACCTTTCTAATCAGGGGATTTTACGTAATATATTTGTTAATAGTCTTCCCAATTCTAAAATGAGGTTAAGTATTATTATAATATCTATTTTGTTGATAAGAAAACTGATGTTTAAAGAAGATTAAGAAACTACTAATTTCAAGGTTGATATGGTTTGGCTGTGTCCCCACTGGAATCTCACCTTGAATTGTAATAAACCCCATATGTCAAAGGCAGGCCAGATGGAGATAATTGAATGGTGGGAGCATTTTCCTCCATACTGTTCTTGTGGTAGTGAATAAGTCTCAGGAGATCTGATGGTTCTATAAATGGGAGTCCTCCTGCACATGCCCTCATGTCTGCAGCCATGTAAGAAGTTCCTTTCCCCTTCCTTCGTCTTCTGCCATGATTGTGAGGTCTCCCCAGCCATGTGAAACTGTGAGTCCATTAACCCTCTTTCCTTTATAAATTACCCAGTTTTGGGTATGTCTTCTTAGCAGCATGAGAACGGACTAATACAGTAAAGAAACTAGTAGTTGTCAGGAACATGATACAAACTCAGGGTTCCTCCTCTCCAGAGTCCAGCCTCTTAACCACGACAGGACAGAAACTTTCTCTCAGAGGTGTTTATATAAATAAATACATTTCAAGGAGCTAAACCTTCCCACATCTCTTACTGGGTCTATTGTTTGTTTGATATCTCGTGTTTGTTTTCCTCTTTTAACTGTGAGCATGGATATTTTTGGAAAGTAAAGAATATCACTAGACCTAGCCTACTTTTATACTTATGTCCTGTGGTTACTGAGGAACACTGTAAGGCTATGGATAGGGATATAGGTAATATGGTGGATATGCTGGATATGGCCAATAGTCTGGATATGGCTGATGTTGGTTAGACCTTTCCTGCATACAGACACAAGAACTAGAGAAAGCTGTAGATAATTGGGACAGTGACAGTGCAAGAGTTTCACAATAATGTGTTTAAAAGCTTAGTTTGTTGTATCAACTGCAATTCGTATATCAACTGCAATATCATTTTTAAACTACTAGTTAGATTTATCATTTTTATAAAAAAATATGTAAAAGTAGGTAAAAATCATAAAGCATTTACCTTTTTACTCTTTGTTGCCAGTTCTTGTTTTACAGTACACATGGGAATACTGATTACAGGCAACCACTCCAAATGAGGATTAAAACTTTTTTTTTTATAATACTACCTTTAAGCTACTACTTTGCCCATCATTGAGTATTATGGGAAAGAAAAATTTAATACTTCCAACTTAAGTGGAGTTTCTCCATGTCACTACTGCATTCTTTAACTCTGCCTTCTCTTAACCCAAATAACTATCCTTCCCCAATGTTTATGTTTTTATTTAGTGCCATTTTATCAATGTATTTATTATATTACTAAGAAGAATTTTTTTAAACTCCATCACATTAAGATGAGAGATCAAACAATAATGACATATCAAAGATACACATTAAGAAATATATTAAAGAAATACTATATTCTATTTTATTTAGAATAGCCAGTTTAACTGAAAGACTTTATCACCATCAACAAATCAAATGATTGGAACTTCCCATATTACCTGTGTGATTGCCAGCACATGTAATATGGCAGTATAGGCATATATTATACTTAGTAGAATTGGCTTTTAACTATTATTTATGTCAACATAATTATTTACCAAATTTATTTTAGTTCTCAGAGAATAATTGACTTCTTTAAATTGGCATTATGAACTTCCACCTAAATTCTCTAAGACATGTGGGACTTTTGCCAATGTATCATGAGTAAGTGAAATTAATATACACTTTAGCCATTCATAATATACATATATTTCAAAAATGATCACAGATTATACCAGGAGATTAAATAATCAGAAAAGAACACTTGTTTGGACTGCACAACATTATCAAGAGAATCCTTGAAAGGAATTTTCTTTTACACTCATGATATTTCTGTGAAAATAAAGACAAGAGTAAAAATTCAATATGTGTTTGATTATTAAGTTTTCCTGTGAATGAAGGTGACTTACCTCTTCAGATACGTCAGCTCTCTTGGAAAAATGAAAAATGAGAGAATAGTTAGTATCTTAATTTTATAACTAAAGATCAAGTATAAAAGTTTTTTCACTTCTATCCTTTTATACAAAAATAATATGATAAACTCTGATATCATACATAGGTTGTTTCTTGAAACATCCCTTAGAACTTAGTGGACAAATTGAAGTGTCCACCTATCTGTACAAATCCATTGTATAATATATCTTACATGGATTTGATTGATGTCTCATGTCTCCCTAAAATGTATAAAACTAAGCTGTACCCTAGCCATTTTTGGGGACATGTTCTCAGAATCTCCTACGGTCTGTGTCAAAGGCCATTGGTCACTCATTTTTGACTCAGAATAAATCTCTTCAAATATTTTACAGAGTTTGATTCTTTTTGTCAACAACAATTTGTTGCCTGAACATGTGGGGCCTCAGAGAAGAGTCAGAACACTGAAGGAGTGGCCCAAACTTGGAGCTAGGGTACAAGCAAGGGCCCATTGAAAGCCTCCCTGATTTTGAGCTTCTCCTCTAGTGAAACTGGCAAGTCCTCCTGAGCCCTGAACATCCCTTTGGTTGCCGGTCCTTGATTTGTTCTGAGCTGCATTTTTTTTTCCTCCTAGGAAGTTGTTTAGGATTCTAATTCTATTTGAGAGGTGCATTCTAAAGGATCTTTTCCATTGCCTTTTTCTAAAGACAAGGAAAATGACCCCTTTTTGGGCAACCTGTTTGGTATCTGGTTCAGAGAGGTATATTCTAAAGGGTCTTCTCTACTGCTTTTTCTCCCCAAATTAAGCACAATTGTCTTGTCTGCACATTTGTGCGAGGAACTGAACTGTTGTTTTCGTAGATAAATGGGAGACTGAGTTTTCTCACTCTGAAGAGAAAAGGCATTTTGCCCCTCCCAGGCAAACGCTGCCCCTGGGTGACCAGAAGCCAAGTGAAAGTGTCTGGGGGTTTGACCCCCTGTGATGTACAGCAGCCCTGCAGGGAACCCCCAACAAAAGTAGTTAAACAAGGCTCATAGGTAAATGCATATGGGAGCTGGTTACTCCATCTTTTGAGCCTTCTTGGAGGTGCCAGACCTCTGAAGAGAGAAAACAAGGCATGTAAGAGGGCAGAAATAACTTAGGGGTGAAACACTGTGGATACGTACCCACTATCAGGACACTTCAATCCATTATATTAAAGTTGTCATATAATTTATAATCTGAGGTTATATTAAGTAATAGATATTAATTAAATGTCTGACTAATTTCCAATTTAAAAAATACAGAGAAACACGTTAAAAAGTGTTTTTTTTTATTAAAAGGTAAACATTTTTTATCTAATTCAAAGATTATTTAGAGGTATATAAAATGAAGTAAAAGGAAACAAGAGAAATGTAAGGAAAGTTATACATATTAAAAGGTACCTTTGGTAAACAAAAAGGATAATAGAAATTTAATTTTATATGAGAAATAATCTTATATTGTGATTTTTTCTTCTAAAATAATATGACTGTTTGCTCAAGAAACGTTTCTGTTTCTAATTCTTCAGATTGATATCCCTGAAGTTCGGTGCTTTCTCTCATTTGAAAAGGCCAGAGACGGTAATTTTCTCCTTCACCTTTTGTTGGCTCCTGTAACATTTCTTTATTAATAATCTAAAGTAAGGGAGCAAATTTTTTCAAAACAGCCAAATGAAAAATCTTCTGGACCTGCCTTTGTATGTCTGTTATATTTATATAATTGAATGTGTCACATGGAAGTGGTATCTCACTACCAAATTATTTGAAAGAGTTTTTATCTATTGGCTTAAAGAAAAGTCAGTGCTTATCAGACTAATAGAGGCTAACTCAGATGCCTTTCATTTCACATGACTTTGGTAATCTTTGGTAAGATTACTTTGGTAGTGGGCTGGCTTCCAAGATGGCCAAATAGAAACAGCTCTGGTCTGCAGCTCGCAGAGAGATCGACACAGAAGATGAGTGATTTCTGCATTTCCAACTGAGGTACCTGGTTCATCTCACTGGGACTGGTTGGACAGTGAGTGCAGCCCATGGAGGGTGAGTCAAAGCAGGGTGGTGGGTCGCCTCACCCGGGAAGCATAAGGGGTTGTGGGATTTCCCTTTCCTAGCCAAGAGAAACCGTGACTGACTGTACCTGGAGAAATGGTACACTCCTGAATAAATACTGTGCTTTTCCCACAGTCTTAGCAACCGGCAGACCAGGAGATACCTTCCCATGCCTGGCTTGGTGGGTCCCATGCCCACAGAGCCTTGCTCACTGCTAGCGCAGCAGTCTGAGATCTACCTGCGTGGCTGCTGCCTGGCAGGAAGAGGGCATCCACCATTGCTGAGGCTTGAGTAGCTCACAGTGTAAACAAAGAGGCCAGGAAGCACGAACTGGGTAGAGCCCACCACAGCTCAGCAAGGCCTACTGCTTCTATAGATTCCACCTCTGGGGCCACGACATATTAGAACAAAAGGCAGCAAACAGCTTCTTCAGACTTAAACATCCCCGTCTGACAGCTCTGAAGAGAGCATTGGTTCTCTGAGCATGGTGTTTGAGCCCTGAGAATGGACAGACTGCCTGCTCAAGCAGGTCCCTGACCCCCGTGTAGCCTGACTGGGTAACACCTCCCAGAATGGACTGACAGACACCTCAAACAGGTGGGTGCCCCTCTGGGACGACGCTCCCAGAGGAAGGATCAGGCAGCAATATTTGCTGTTCTGCAGCCTCCACTCGTGATACCCAGGCAAACAGGGTCTGGAGTGGACCTCCAGCAAACTCCAACAGACCTGCAGCTGAAGAGTCCGACTGTTAGAAGGAAAACTAACAAACAGAAAGGAATACCATCAACATCAACAAAAAGGTCATCCACACCAAAACCCCATCTGTAGGTCACCAACATCAAAGACCAAAGGTAGATAAAACCACAAAGATGGGGAGAAATCAGAGCAGAAAAGCTGAAAATTCCAAAAAACAGAGTGCCCCTTCTCCTCCAAAAGGATCATAGCTCCTTGCCAGCAAGGGAACAAAACTGGATGGAGAATGAGTTTGATGAGTTGACAAGTAGGCTTCAGAAGGTCGGTAATAACAAACTTCTCCGAGCTAAAGTTTCATGTTCTAACCCATCACAAGGAAGGTAAAAACCTTGAAAAAAGGTTAGACGAATGGCTATAATAAACTATGTAGAGAAGACCTTAAATGACCTGAGGGAACTGAAAACCATGGCACGAGAACTTCGTGATGCATGCACAAGCTTCAATGGTTGATTCGATCAAGTGGAAGAAAGGAAATTAGTGATTGAAGATCAAATTAATGAAATAAAGTGAGAAGACAAGATTAGAGAAAAAAGAGTGAGACGAAACAAACAAAGCCTCCAAGAAATATGGGACTATGTGAAAAGATCAAATATACCTTTGATTCATTTACCGGAAAGTGACGGGGAGAATGGAACCAAGTTAGAAAACACTCTTCAGGATATTATCCAGGAGAACTCCCCTAACCTGGCAAGGCAGGCCAACATTCAAATTCAGGAAATACAGAGAACACCACAAAGATAAATTAGTAATTAATAAATTAGTTTGACCATTGTGTAAAACAGTATGGCAATTCCTCAAGGATCTAGAACCAGCAATCCCATTACTGGGCATATACCCAAAGGATTATCAATCAATCATTCTACTATAAAGACATGTGCACATGTATGTTTATTGCAGCAGTATTCACAATAGCAAAGACTTGGAACCAACCAAAATGCCCATCAATGATAGATTGGATAAAGAAAATGTGGCAGATATACACAATGGAATACTATGCAGCCATGAAAAAGAATGAGTTCATGTCCATTATATGGACATGGATGAAGCTGGAAACCATCATTCTCAGCAAACTAACACAGGAACAGAAAACCAAGCACCACATGTTCTCACTCATAAGCAGGAGTTGAACACTGAGAACACATGGAAACAGCAGGGGGAACATCACACATCTGGGCCTGTTGTGGAGTGGGGGCTGAGGGGAGGAATAGCATTAGGAGAAATACCTAATGTAGATAATGGGTTGACAGGTGCAGCAAACCACCATGGCATGTGTATACCTATGTAACACACCTGCATGTTCTGCAAATGTATCCCAGAACTTAAATAATAAAAATCAAAACAAACACAAAATAAAAAGAGAAAATAAAGCGAGTTGTGATTTTTTTTTCCTGCTTTTTTTTTTTCAGGTTGCAGAGTAGAGACTTTTGACATGCTTCTGCCACTTGAAGGTAGTAAGATAGTTCATAAAGATCATGTCTCTGAGCTTTAATTCAAGGAGGAAAGTGGGATTGTATTGGAATCATGAAGGACACTTCAGGTCCTGCAGAGGAGAACAAGTGCAAACATACCCCATGATAACATTCAGCTGACCGAAGTGAGTGAAGCCCCAGTATGTGAGAGATGCAGAGCATCTCCCTCTGTGACTCACCTTTCCACTGAGAATCTGAGCGACCTAGCCCAAAGGAGAGCATTTTGTTTCTTCCAAGCCTTGAAGCTAACCTGGGGAGAGGCTATGAGACACTATGAAGGAAAGACACTGGGAACATCTGCAGACATTTTCACAGACCCAGGACTGATGGCAGGATGCCATTTTTAATACAGGTGCATACAAAGTCAGCCATTCTTTGGTGACTTGGGAACATGGCTATGCAGGCTTTTGAGTCTCAGGCCAGAGTTTAAACTGCCTGCTCTGGAGTGGGTTAAGAACCTTCATAGCCAGAATTATGGAAAGCACTGGAAAACTAGGCACCAGAATTGTGCTTTTGCCACCTCAAAATCATGGTGCAGAGGAGAGCTGCTAGAGCTGTTGTTTCTCTTTTGTGATGAGACATGCTGCAAGTACAAGATTGCTGACCTAGAACCAGTCTGCATGTGTCATTACTAGGTGCCCTCTCCTGCTACCCCAAGACTGTGGTGTGTAGGGCCGTCTCTGCTCTACTCCCAGGTAGAAATTCAGGCCTTTAGAGCCACTACTTGCCTGGAACATTAGTCTGAGCCACCACACCCTTTATGGACATAGATTGTGGTGTAGTGGGATCATTTCCTCTCCACATTCAGGCAGATCTCCAGGTACTGAGAACACAGTTTTGCCTGGATCAACAGCCTAAGCCACCCCGCCATTCCTGTGAGTAGGTCATGGTGCAGTGAGGACTTCTCTACTCCACATGTAGGCAGATCTCGAGGGAGAAGTAAATGAAACTTGGAACCAAAAACCATACAAGAAATCAATGAAACCAAAAGTCAGTTTTTTGAAGTACAAATAAGATCAATAAACTGCCAGCTACGTTAATAAAGAAGAAATAAAGGACAAGATTCAAATAAGAACAAACAGAAATG
Organism: Homo sapiens; assembly: GCF_000001405.40. Classification (NCBI taxonomy): domain Eukaryota; kingdom Metazoa; phylum Chordata; class Mammalia; order Primates; family Hominidae; genus Homo; species Homo sapiens. Next base: position 70,038,580 of record NC_000004.12, on the reverse strand, counting down.
ACAAAGGTAACTTTACAACTAAGCCCACAAAATTGCAAAGGTCCTCAGAGACAATTTTAAACACCTCTAAGAGCACAACTAAAATAGTGTGTCTGACAGTTGGTATCACTCAATAAACTTTTTTTTTTTTTTTTTTTAGTATTTATTGATCATTCTTGGGTGTTTCTCAGAGAGGGGGATTTGGCAGGGTCATAGGACAATAGTGGAGGGAAGGTCAGCAGATAAACATGTGAACAAGGGTCTCTGGTTTTCCTAGGCAGAGGACCCTGTGGCCTTCTGCAGTGTTTGTGTCCCTGGGTACTTGAGATTAGGGAGTGGTGATGACTCTTAACAAGCATGCTGCCTTCAAGCATCTGTGTAACAAAGCACATCTTGCACCGCCCTTAATCTATTTAACCCTGAGTGGACACAGCACGTTTCAGAGAGCACGGGGTTGGGGGTAAGGTTATAGATTAACAGCATCCCAAGGCAGAAGAATTTTTCTTAGTACAGAACAAAATGGAGTCTCCTATGTCTACTTCTTTCTACACAGACACAGCAACAATCTGATTTCTCTTTCTTTTCCCCACATTTCCCCCTTCTCTATTCGACAAAACCACCATCGTCACCATGGCCCGCTCTCAATGAGCTGTTGGGTACACCTCCCAGACGGGGTGGTGGCCAGGCAGAGGGGCTCCTCACTTCCCAGACAGGGCAGCTGGGCAGAGGTGCCCCCCACCTCCCAGATGGGGCGGCTGCCCGGCAGGGGCTGCCCCCCACCTCCCTCCTGGATGGGGCGGCTCGCCAGGTGGGGGCTGCCCCCCACCTCCTGGACGGGGCGACTGCTGGGCAGAGACGCTCTTCATTTCCCAGATGGGGCGGCTGCCGGGCGGAGGAGCTCCTCACTTCCCAGACGGGGCCGCTGCCAGGCAGAGGGGCTCCTCACTTCTCAGACGGGGTGGCCAGGCAGAGACGCTCCTCACCTCCCAGATGGGGTCGCAGCCGGGCAGAGGTGCTCCTCACATCCCAGATGGGGCAGCGGGGCAGAGGCGCTCCCCACATCTCAGACGATGGGAGGCTGGGCAGAGACGCTCCTCACTTCCCAGACAGGATGGCTGCCGGGAAGAGGCACTCCTCACTTCCCAGACTGGGCAGCCGGGCAGAGGGGCTCCTCACATCCCAGACGATGGGCGGCAAGGCAGAGACACTCCTCACTTCCCAGACAGGGTGGCGGCCGGGCAGAGGCTGCAATCATGGCACTTTGGGAGGCCAAGTCAGGCGGCTGGGAAGTGGAGGTTGTAGCGAGCGGAGATCACACCACTGCACTCCAGCCTGGGCAACATTGAGCACTGAGTGAGCGAGACTCCGTCTGCAATCCCGGCACCACGGGAGGCCGAGGCGGGCAGACCACTCACGGTCAGGAACTGGAGACCAGCCCGGCCAACACGACGAAACCCCGTCTCCACCAAAAAATACAAAAACCAGTCAGGCATGGCGGCGCGCACCGGCAATCCCAGGCACTCCGCAGGCTGAGGCAGGAGAATCACGCAGGGAGGTTGCAGTGAGCCGAGATGGCGGCAGCACAGTCCAGCCTCTGCTCGGCATCAGAGGGAGACCGTGGAGAGAGAGGGAGAGGGAGAGGGAGACCGTGGAGAGGGAGAGGGAGAGGGAGAGGGGCAATAAACTTGTTTGATGGATATATTGACAAACCGATAGAGAGCATTAGATGGTTTTTGTTCTGAGTGCCTGCCTACTGCTGTGGAGTGACATAGGGGTTATCTGCTGGCCTGTAGGGCCTGAGATAAGTTGATGTGAGAATGTTCAAGGCTAAGAAATGTCCTGTGGCAAAAGACACCAGAGACAAATCATATCTAGTAATCTAGATGTGATTGAGGACCATATGTTTGTAAGATAAAATGAATATAACATGCTAAATTAAAAATAATCATTTCAAAAGAGCTATGGTATAAAGTACTATAGTCAGTGCTACTCGAACTGGGAAAATAAAGTGAAGAAGTAAGTCTTTATGTTTGTAAATATAAAAAAGAGAAATAAAGAGCATACACATAATAATGTGCTTGAATTTTATTGCTTTTGGAGAGGAATGAATTTCTATTACTCAGAAACAGCAGTGAAAACAGCTTAACATTTAAATTGCAAGTATCTAATCAAATGATAATTAGGAAGGGAAGTATCCTGAAACACAGAATTCACTAAATCATGGTATTTCTTTTATTCTGCATTGCCTTATGATAATTCTTCAAAAAGCAGTGGTAGTGTGATGCGGTATGACAAATGAGAATACACGAGTCCAAAGCGAATTTGCCAGTCAAACCTATGAAGAAAAAGAAAATAACACTTTATCGCCCAAATTGATATTCCTGTAAATAAATTTATACTTTTCCTGGTACAAAGTATTTATTTATAGATAGTTTTATTTATTATAATGCAGGGACCAAAATAATATTTGAGACAGAGTAGACAATTAAACAATTAAATACTCATTAAGTGGGTATCAGAATAAATAAAAATTATCATTCAGCATCTGCAATTTAAATTTAAATTTTTCTTGAGGTTTTCCATCATCATCTTATTTTATTCTCTCACTTAAATATAGCCTACACATTTCATCTATCTCCCTCAAATAATATTTTACCTATATCCTCCCCTGATTAAATGTCATCAGCAATTATCTAACACCTGGAGGATCAAGATCAGGCCTTTTCTAATATCACGAAGAGCAGGAATTCAATATGAATAAAATGTCCCAATACATTTAAAAATATTTGAAATCTTTTGAACTATTTCAATTTTGAATTGTAGAACAGTACTCTTTTATCTCCAAAATATTACTTTATTTTGAAGTATAATATTTAATATTTCATAGATTTTGGAACATTTTATGCTGTGAATATAGATAAGTAAAAATGACTTTCTAAAAAGGACATTGTTACCATATCATATTTCCTTGAAAATTCCCATCTCCTTGTTGATATTTTATTAGTCATTCCTATAGCCATTGCTCATTAGAGTTACTTAGGCATAAAACGTAAATTTCTCATGAGTTCCCAGATGGCGGTTGTGCAGCTTCTCCAAAGATTACATTTTAGGACAGAAAACTTCAAATAACAACCAGGTACAGATTTAGTGGCAGAGAAACCCATGGCCACAACCATACACCTTCCAGAACAAGGGCTTCCCTATAATGTCTCTCAATAGCCCTACAAATTCTATAAAGAGCTTAAGTATTATTATAACATGTATTTGTCTCTTATAAAATTAAGGTTAAGAGAAGATTAGGAATACTTTAAGGTCATGAAACTAGTTGTCAGGGTCAGGATAAAAACACAGGGGTTCCCCTACCCAGAACTCTGTCTCTTAACAGTAGCAAACAGAAGCTTTCCCTCAGAGGCATTTTTATTTTATTTTATGATTTATTTTAATTTAAGTTCAGGGATACATGTGCAGAATGTGCAGGATTGTTTCATAGGTATACATGTGCCATGGTGGTTTGCTGCACTATTGATCAGCCCTCTATGTTACCTTCTGTCACCTCCTACCCCCCATCCCTGGTGTGTGTTGTTCCCCTCCCTGATGTGTTCTCATTGTTCAGCTCCCACTTATGAGTGAAGCATGTGCTGTTTGGTTTTCTGTTCCTGTTTTAGTTTTCTGAGGATGATGGCTTCCAGCTTTATCCATTTCCCTGCAAAGGACAGGATCTCATTCCTTTTAATGACCGCATAGTGTTCCATGGTGTATACGTACCACATTTTCTTTATCCAGTCTATCATTGATGGGCATTTGGGTTGTTCCATGTCTTTGCTATTGTAAATAGTGCTGCAATAAACATATCTAGGCATATGTCTTTATAGTAGAATGCTTTATATTCTTTTGGGTATATACCCAGTAACGGGATTGCTAGGTCAAATGGTATTTCTGGTTCTAGATCCTTGAGGAATCCATAGTTTTCCACAATGGTTGAACTAATGTGCATTCTCACCACCAGTGAAAAAGTGTTCCTATCTCTCCACAACCTAGCCATCATCTATCGTTTCTTGACTTTTTAGTAATCACAATTCTAACTGGTGTGAGATGGTATCTTACTGTGGTTTTGATTTGCATTTCTCTAATGATTGTGATGTTGAGCTATTTTCATGTTTGTTGGCCACATAAATGTCTTCTTCTGAGAAGTGTCTGTTCATATCCTTTGTCCACTTTTAGACGGGTTTTTTGTTTTTGTCTTGTAAATTTGTTTAAGTTCCTTGTAGACTCTGGACACTACACCTTTGTCAGATGGGTAGACTGCAAAAATTTTCTCCCAATCTCTAAGTTACCTGTTCACTCTGATGATAGTTTCTTTTGTTGTGCAGAAGCTCTTTAGTTTAATTAGATCCCATTTGTGAATTTTGGCTTTTGTTGCCATTGCTTTTGGCATTTTCTTCATGAAGTCTTTGTCCATGCCTATGTCCCGAATGATATCACCTAGGTTTTCTTCTAGGGTCTTTTTTTGGTTTTGGGTTTTTCATTTAATTTTCAATCCATCTTGAGTTAATTTTTGTATAAGGTGTAAGGAAGGGGTCCAGTTTCAGTTTTCTGTATATGGCTAGCCAGTTTTCCCAGTACCATTTATTGACTAGGAGATCCTTTTCCCATTGCTTGTTTTTGTCAGGATTGTCGTAGATCAGATAGCAAGCAGAGACCTGCATCATGAATGAACTCCCATTCACAATTGCAACAAAGATAATAAAATACCTAGAAATACAACTAACAAAGGATGTGAAGGACCTCTTCAAGGAGAACCAAAAATCACTGCTCAAGGAAATAAGAGAAGATGCAAACAAATGGAAAAACATTCCATTCTCATGGATAAGAAGAATCAATTTCATGAAAATGGCCTTACTGCCCAAAGTAATTTATAGATTCAATGCTATTCTCATCAAACTACCATTGACATTTTTCACAGGATTAGAAATAAGTACTTAAATTTCATAATTATCTACAGAAGAGCTCATATACACAAGACAATTGTAAGCAAAAGGAACAAAGCTGAAGGCATCACACTACTTGACTTCAAACTACCCTACAAGGCTACGGTTACCAAAACAGCATGGTACCGGTACCAAAACAGACATATAGACCAATGGAACAGAACAGAGACCTCAGAAATAACACCACATATCTACAAAGTCAGAAGCATCTATATAAATCAACACACTTCAAAGAGCTAACCCACGCTACATTTCTTAAACTGGAATGATTGTTGGCTTAATGGCTTTTTTTTAATTTTTCCTTGTTTTAACTGTCAGTGTTGATACTTCTAGAAAGAAAAGTAACTAGAGTCAGCTTACCTCCATAATCATGCCCCGTGATTACTGAAGATATCAATTGTCATACAGATAATTTGATCTATAGCCTCGATGTGAATGATGCTTTTCCTGCATACACACAAAAGGAGAGAGCAAATTGCAGAGAATAGAGGCAATGACAGTAAAAATGCTTCACAAAAACTGTCACTGAAAGCTTAGATTGTTAAAGTTGTTATGACCTCGTGTGTTATCTACATAAATGTTTTCAAATTTTTAGTTACATTTTTCTTCTTTCAGAAAAATGTTTAAAAGCAAGTAAAAATGATAAAGTATTTACTGTGTGTTGATATTTTTGTGGCAATAATAAATGTTGGAACACTGATTATAGGCAACCTCTCCAAACAGGTTTTAAATCTTCTTAACAACATTACCTCCAAGTTACTATTTTGCCCAACATTGAGTATAACGGGGAGGAGAAAGTTACCGTTTCCAACTTAGGTGGTGTTTCTTCATCTTATTCTTTTAATGAGCTTACTTTCTCTTACAACTCCTACATTCTTTCATACCCACTGCTGTTAACACAAACAGTCCTCATTCCTTTTTATGCATCATTTTACTTAGTGCTTTTTTAACACATATACTTGCTATATTAGTAAGCAGAACTTTTGAACCCCTATTCATACTGATATTAGAGGTCAAAATAATATGATATTTTTATACATACATTTAGAAAAATGTTAAATAAAATTTTCTGTCTAATTTAGCACAGTAAGTTTAATTTAAAGACTTTATCATCCTCAAATATTATAAGATAGAAACCACATTACATGGGTAGCCTCTATGCTTCATTAGGCATATGTTATACTTCATAGAATTAGGAATTATTCATAGAATTAGGAACTATTCTTTAGGTCAATGTAATTATTTATAAGAGAAAGATACTTAAGCTCTCAAAGAATAATTGAAAATTGACTTATTCAGAGTGTAATTGAGTTTCCGTTGAAATGCTGTTAGAACACAAGATTTTTGTGACCTTTTACCTCTGTAACAAGAATAAATGAAATCAATGTACACTTTAGCAATTAATGATATAAATATATTTGAGAGATAACTATCAATTATTCTAGGAGAATAAATAGTCAGAGAAGAAAACTTATTCAGAGTGCACATTATCAGAAGAACACTTACATGGAATTTTCTTTTATACCCATGATGTCTCTATGAAATAAAAAGAAAAGATTAAAAATTCAATATATGATTAATTATCAAGTTTTCCAGTAAATGAAAATGTCTTACCTTTGCATGTGAATCAGCTCCCTTGGAAAAGAAGAAAATGAGAAAATAATTAATATCTTAATTTCATAATTCAAGAATATGTGTAAAAATTGACTTAGCCACATTTATGATTAAATAGAATGGAGGCATTCTTTGGATGATGACATGCTAAATTAGTTATTTTAGCTTTATGACATCTTTAAAATGAGTGAAGGGTAAACTTCTCTATAATTAATATGCTATATTAAAGTATCAACTCATTTTGGTTTATATATCTTTTTTATGAAAGGCAAGAAAAGTCTATCATTGGTGAATAAGAGAGTGGAAACTGAAAAATGAAACATTGGATTGTTTTTTATATGAATATGTTCTATGTAGCTCAAAAGCTACCAACATACAAATATTTTATTTGCTGATAGAGACAGGCATTGTGCTTTTCTCTGTTCTTCTTATATGTTTATTTTTCTACTTCTATCCTTCTATAATAAAATCATGTGATAAACTGTGATGCCATAACCAATTTTGTTTTTGAAACATTCATTTGAATTTAGTGGATAGGTTGAAGTATTAGTATTCTTTTGTGACCAATTTTCTATTAACTTCATAGAAAGAAGAGGAGGAGTGGGAAGAGGATGAGAAAGTAGAGAAGGAGAAAGAGCTCCAGAGAGGTCAAGTGCCTTTTCTACTATTACACAGTAGTAAATGACGATACAAGCTGGGAACTCATGACACTTAACAGATATAGATTTGTTTTATGGCTTAAAATAGGCAGCTTTATTTTAGAAAGAGTAAAATAAATTGTATGCTAACTTGAACAGTTTGGTTGTGCAAGAAATTACTTGAAAATTCATATTTTGACACCCTCTAATACTTAGGTTCCATTGAAGTGTACCTTGTTCTTTCCTCAGATTTCTAACTTCAGGTGGTCTAGAGCTTTTAATATTTAAAGATATTTTCACAGTTCTCAGTCCCACATATTTATGAAGCTTGCTTAATTTTCTTTTATTTTTATATTCAAGTAATTGTACTTGAGTGTTCGCAGGTATGTAATGAATATTTATTCTAAGTCCTTTAAGAACTTATATAGGTTAATTCAAGGAAAATCTTTACATAGAAATATTAAAGCTGTATTGAGGTGAACATGAATATATGGCAGAACGTAAGGAATAAGAAAGATCCTTGGGATAAGTACTGAGAATGTATCCTTTAAAACTTCCAGATATACTTACAGTCATGGAAAGCATGAGAGCCAAGATTAAAGCAAAAACAAAAAACTTCATAGTTGGCTGAGTCCTATAAAATCAAACATGAAAAATCAGTAATCACATTCTTTCATGCATTCATTCATCAAACTTCTACTGATGACACTATGCTTCAAAGCATTGGGAGACATGCTCTGTTTTCCAGGCTGGAGTGCAGGGGCATGAGCACAGATCACTGCATCCTGGACCACCTGGGCTCAAGCCATCCTCCCACTTTAGCCTCCCTAGTTCCACTTGTAGGTGGAACTACAAGTGTGTGACACCATGACAAGCTAATTTGTTTTTCTTTTGGTAGAGAATATTTTTAGTCTCACTATATTGCCCAGACTGTTCTGAAACTCCTGGGCTCTAGGAATCTTCCTGCCTTGGCCTTTCAAAATGCTTGGATCTTCGGTGTGAGCCCAGGGCATAGCTTCATTAATTGATAAATAAAGGTGAGTGCTCTAATTTGGAATTATTAATATGCTAAGGAAACACACAAATGGACATCTTAAATAGACCAAGATAATGGGAGTAAGAAGATAACAAAGAAAGGCAAGCTTGAGTTGGATTATATGGAATGAGTAAAGGGAGGTGTTGGGAGACTGCAATGAAATACAACAGAGAGGAAAGCATGTTGAAAGTTCAAACAGTTTAGCATGTAGGGAGGACAAAACTGGAGAAAAGATGACCACTTAGGTTGTTGTGACATTACAAGGGATTTAGATAATGACATTAAGAATGCTAATTAAAGTACAGTGTAAAGACATATTTAGAAAGTAGAATGGCAAGTAATGGGGACTTTCTTTATAATAAAGTCAGTGAATATGAGCCAGATTTCTATTAAAGAATAGCACAGATGGTGCAACCTTGAGATTAGAACATTAATGGTATTGGTTAGAGAAAAATAAAATGAAGAGAAGTCACAGGGAAAATGATTGTATCTACTTTGAGAAGTTGAACTGGTGAAGATTATTCAATATTTCAAATAATATTATTCAAAGCCTCATCTGGGACTCTGATATGTTTTTATAATTATGCATATGCAAGTGAATCCAGTTCTTCGGCTGATATAAAAAAGTAAAGCGGATTACTTATTTCTAAATTACAAACATGTAAATAAAAGCATTTCCACTGGAAAATACAATTACCACAAAACTTAGAATTACATGGCATTTTTATTTGTTAGTTGCTAGCTATAAAGTAATTCATTAATAGATAATATTTTAAAAAATTTTTCTAATCTCTCTTACCTGTCACTTGTGATAGAACATTACAGTAACGTTTTTCATCTAATTATAATAAAAATGTCCTACTCTTAAACAGCCCTACATCTCTATCACAGAAAGCAGAACCCATTTGCCTTATTATTTCTTCATTCATTTTGCTTCACTCATTTAAATGGAAACTTCTTGTATAGGACTAACTATAAAAATTATATATTTCTTGAAGTTTTTCTATTACCTAATAGATAAATCAAATTATGACTCTTTTTATGATATAAAAAGACAATTTTACCGTTGTTTGTGACTGTCAATTGTGTTGCAAATAGAAAATCAAAAAAGGCTGTAAGAAAGTGCCCTTCTTTTACTAACAGATAAAATGATAAATGAACATAGATAATCAATGTATAATTAATAGTTTTGAAAAACATATTTCCCGAGTAAATCAATAATAAAAATTTGGAATAATAAACTGTCTTTTCTGCCATAACACAAATGAATGAAAATGAGTTAAATAAATTAGTAAGATTGAGAAGACTAATTGTTATACAGTATATATTTTGATTTATAACAGAACTGTTTTTAATGATGGAAAGGCCAATGAAAAAGTAATAAAATAGTTTACGACTAAGAGGAAAGTAAATTAAAAAATAAATTTTTATAATAATGAATTTGCAAGACAGAATCTATCAGTATCTTGTAAAATGTGAACTTCTACATTAAGTTTAATATAAAAGTAATAAGAAAGTAGATATCAGGTATCTAGGCAAGGAAATAAAAAGAGTTCATTGAGGTCCCACCATCAGCGAGGATGTAATACATTGCCATATTCCACATTAGTTACTTTGCATGATGATTGCTGGTGTTAATTCATAGGAATTGAGATCTAGAAGTCATCTTCAGATGCCAATAAATGGTAATTATTTCTTTATAAGAAATTATCATAGATAATATACATTTTCATAAGTGGGTTACTATTGATTTTAGCAAACAAAAGCTTATGCTAATATATAATATTAGATTGTACTTGAACATGTTACCTTTTACTCAAGAGGAGAATCCAGAAGTCAGTGAAGCTGAAGTGAAGTCTCAAGAGATGTCCTTTCCTAGATGGCTGATGTATTTAAACACGTTGAAATCTCCCTTTTGTTTTTTGAAATCTCCCTTTTGTTTTTCAAAATAACATCAATTATGAGATCATATGATCGAGACGGAAAGTAATGCCCAAAATCTGTCTCTACAAATTCTAAAAATAAACTTAACCAGGTGATTCTGCAATAGATCATTGTGAAGACAAGGCAACCGGAAAGCGAATGGACCCATCACATGCTAATCCCAGTGTTAGTCTAGCCCTGAGTGAGTCAGACAACGGAAAAGCACGCTGGAGGAAACCAGGCATAGAAATGATTGCAGTGATAAAGATGTTTCTGTAGAATACCATCTACTACTTTTCAACAAATATATGTCCAAGATGGAACAACGCTATGTCAAAAATAATACTTACCATGTTATGAAAAATTTTACACGTTCTCTAGTAAATAGTGATAATTGGCATAATAAAATTGGAGTCATTCTACACTTCAAAAGTTTTCCTACAAATCATCATTTATCTTGTATTTTTACCTGCTTACATTGACTTAGAATATTTTAAGTAATAAAATGAATGTAAACATTGGCCAAAATTCAGTCATCTTTTGGATGCCATATGATAAAAGTATTCTCATATTTAATGTCAAACGTTTCTAGGTGCTTGGTCACATATCTCTCACATAAAACTGATTTCTTATGTTTAGAAATTTGAATTTACTTCCCTGGAGTTTTCAGGGGCCCATATATCTTCACAGAGGTCATTTATTGAAATAAGTACACTAGACAGAAAGAGAAAAATAGAATTTTAATTAAATTAATAGACAAACATGTATAAAAGATCACCTACTCACTACCGGTTGTTTAATTCAATGTGCTAAGAACCGAGTATTAAAAACTAACTTCTAAGTTCAGATAAGTTGTACAGCTCAGTCCATTGTTCCTCAGGATGTCCCACATACTACCATCACAATCAGCATCAGCTCATACCTGTTGAAATGCAAATTCTTAGTCTACTTTTCCAAAATTACTGAGTCAGAATCTTGGGGTGTACACCTGGAACCTGAATTTTAAGAACATGTCCAGAACATTATTTGTGTACTTTAGAGTTTGAAAAACTATATAACAGATTTGTAAACGCATTGTCTTTAGATTGATCCCACTAATAGAGATTATGTTTTTAATTTGAGTCTGATACAGGAAAGGGAACAACACACATCAGGGCTGGTGGCTGGGGAGGGAGGGAGAGCCTCAGGGCAAATAGCTAATGCATGCGGGGCTTAAAATCCAGACGACGGCTTAATAGATACAGCAAACCACCATAGCACACGTTTACCTGTGCAAAAAACCTGCATATTCTGCACATGTATCCTAGAACTTAAAGTAAAATAATAAAATAAAATAAAATGAATTTGTGTGGTTTTTAAAGGAAATATTTATTAGGTAAATGTTTTATGCTAATTTGAACAGTCCCATTGGAAATTATGGTTATTCTCTAGGTAATATACAACAATATATGTTATTGTACCTAATATTATTAGGCACATGTAATTTATATATAATATATAATTCACATACCAGTGTATTGCCACAACTGTGATAAGGCAGTAGCTATTGATATTTCCCTTGTAATTGAAAGGCATGGCCTTTTCAAAGAACATGACGCTTGCTTGTAGAGGACAAGATAACTGTTTTACTTAATTATAAAATATAAAGCTATGTTCTGGTCCATCAGTCTTCTAAAATGGCCTATTGTTCTTGGAGAGTGAGACCATAACTCACAAATATATAATTCAAGTAAATTATATTATTATTCTTGTTCTTTTGGCATGAAATTTCTAAACATCAGAGATACAAGGTCTCTTCTCTGGGGCAAAACAAAGCCATTCTCTTTACATTCTCAATGAAAAAGAATTACATAGGAGTCAGTGACTATTTTTTTTATAGATACATAGTCTGCATTCATCACCCAGGCTTGAGTGCAGTGGCGCACTCATAGCTTACTGAAGTCTGGAACTACAGCGCTCAATTGAACCGCCCCTCAGACTCCTAAATAGCTAGAGCTACAGATATGCACCACTGCTCCTGACTAATTTTTTTTTAATTATTTTTTGTAGAGATGGGGGTCTCACAATGTTGTCAGCACAGTTCTTGAACTTTTGATCTCAAGTGGTCCTCATGCCTAGGCCTTCCAGAGTGCTGGGATTACAGGCATGAGCCACTGCACCATCTCATGGTTCAGTAACTATTGAACTATGTCTGATTTTAAAAAAATATACCCTGCTTTAATTAATTGCTAAATGTCAAATGGTTTCCTTTCTTTGTTTTCTTTTCCATCTCCTCTCATTTCTTCCCTGTGGTGTTTTCTTCCCTAGTTTGTTTTTCTAACAATATTAGGTGCACTTCCAGTGGATCTAAGATATCCGTGTTCTAGTGCACAAAAAGAAAACTAATAGTCCAAAAGCACTACCAGACAGCAAACTAACAAGTAAGATATACTGGCAGATGTCAATATACTCATTTAAAAACTACAATTAAACCTAAGGCATATACATTTTATGTTGGAACACCAAAATGTAGGCATTATTTCACCCATGATTTTCTGCTTCTCCAAGTTAGGAAGTGTGGGGATTATGTATGACAGGTGGAACAAGCATAGTGGCATAGAAATACAGTAGTGACCTTCTCATGCTAGTTATGGTCTCACCCTCCAGAAACAGTAGGCCATTTTAGAAGACTGATGGACCAGAACATGGCTTCATATTTTATAATTAAGTAAAACAGATATCTTGTCTTCTATAAGCAAACATCATGTTCTTTGGAAAGGCCATGCCTTTCAATTACAAGGGAAGTATCAACAAAGAGCCACTGTCTTATCACAGTTGTGGCAATACACTGGTTGCTTATGGATACAATCCATGAATGGGTTTTTATAGTGATATTTATGCTGGGTTTTTATCCTCCTTCTTCACTTTCTTTTGCCTCTCCCCCTCCTCCTCTTTCTCCTCTTCTTGTTTGTGCTTCTCTTCCTCCATTTTCTGCTTCTCCTCCTCCTCCTGCTCCTCCATGTTCTCCAAATCACCTGTGATGAAAGTATGGACCAGAGCTATGTGACCAAAATCTATGATGTTTATTTATTTAACTAAAAAATCTTACGTTATAATCCTGTTTGAACAACTAAAATGAAAAATACTGCTATTGACCTATATGGAACAACATGTGACTCTCTACTCTATGAGATAAAATTTCCTTTATTCTGGAGATACCATTTGACTAGCTTTACTCCTACTCTTAAGGAGATTTTCATATAATTTGAGAGTCAGAAAACATTAATAGACAAAGAGATAGAGAAATTCAGGAGAGGACTAATTACGTGAGACTAAAATTGGAAAATGAAGAGCCACACTGGAGCTGCAGATGATTGGGGATTTATAAGCTGATTGATTATAATCAAGACTCTGAAATTAGAATAGATCATACAGGAAGGATGCATAGAATCAGAAGAAACTAGGCTGAGGAGAGATAACCTGATGTAATATGTGGAAGACAATAGAAAGCTCATTAAAATATTTGTGATAAAATAGATGAGCAGAGAAGAGATGTATTTCTAAGCAGTTTGTATGTTGCAGAAGCCAAGAGGATGAACCATCAAGAAGGAAATCATTTCCATAAACAAATGTTGTTGTGAACTTGGCAGTTGCTGAGTTTCTCTAACAAAATTTTTCTTATATTTAAGGTATTATAATAATAGTTAAAATTTAACTAAATGAGAATATATAAAAATACATTTTAAATAAAAATGCCCCAAATGCAAACAGGAGGTTATATCATTATAGTTTTACCATAAAAATCTTCATTGGAAAGAATATCTTAATTTTAAAACTTCTTTAAGAATAGAGGAGGAAATGCAAAACAGATAACTGTAAGAAAATATTTTTGAAAAACCTGAGAATCACCTCAAGGATCGAGATGTTGGAGAAAGTTAGAAATTTGATTAAGTGTGTAGTAATTTATAGGGAAGTTTAAAGAGGTTATGCAAAATGGGCTTAATTTTTTCTTTTCAAAATAGCTAGAGTTTTTTTTTTCTGGAATTAATTAGTGGGTGAGATGAATTGGATGCTTCAGAATACGAGTAATATATTTGGACATTTTGTTGGAAGGAAAGGATAAGAGTATAAAACTAAATAAAAGAAAAATAGTTGCTAAGCAATGTTGTACTCCACACTTAGAAAACAAAAAAGAACCTTTTTTTTTCGTGTAGATTTGAGTTTTCTTGGTAAAGGTGCGGTGTAGGAAAATTTATCAATTACTAGGATTGAGATTTTAGTGAAAGGAGATTCTAAAACCCAGAATTCATTATTGTTGTCTCAGTTATATTATTAGGTATTGAATGATGAAGATGAAGTCCTGGGTTGGAAGAAAATGAAATACAATAAAGAATGAACAGACAATAAATCAACATATGAATATCAAGGCTCTACAGTTTTCTGTAAGGTCAAAGTACAGGTATCTATGCTTCAACCTTTGTCTCACTTCCAAAATATAAATCAGATCATGTACTCATCCAATGGCATCCATCTCAATTCAAAGGCTATGCTTGACCTACAGAGCTTGAATTATCTGCATGCCCTTTTTCTGTGACCTAATTTATTTTGATTCACTTTTTGCTCTCTCTGTTCATATTAATCTCCTTGAAGTTTCCCCAAATACAACAAACATATTTCTACCACAATAGATTGACATTTGCTATTCCTTCTGCTGGAGAATTTCTTTCCTCATATTCTTTCTATAATTAGTTCATATCTCTTCTAAAATGTCACTATATCAAAGAGGCTGTTCTTGACTATTCCATTTAAAATGTCATCTATGCCTTAGCCCTACCTTATACTTCTTCAGTACACTTATCGCCTAAGATATTACCTATTAATTTTGTACTTGTTTGTATTTCCAAACAGCCATGTAAACTCCCCATAGGCAGGCTTTCATCTGTCTTATACCTTGCTGTGTCTCTAGCATCCAGAAGAGGCCTGACAGCTAGCATCACTCAATAAGTATTTGTTGAATGAAAGTAATTGCTGACAAACTGATGGAGGGCATTAGATGGTTTGAGTTCTGTGTTCCCATTACTGTGCAGTGACAATGGGGGTTATTTTCTGTCTTGTAGAAACTGAGATAAAAAATGTGAGGACCTTCGAGGCTGACAAAATTTGCTGTACCAAAGGAAACCAGGAGCCAATCAAATGTTAGATAAATAGGCCCAATAATCTAGCTGAGCTTAAAGATTATATGCTTGGGAAATGTAAAATATGACAGACTAAATTAGGAATAACTGACTCTAAAGGAGCTCTGACATAAAGTGTTTCAGTCAGTGGTACTCAAACTGGGTAAAAGAAATGATGAAAGGAATAGTTATATCTGTAAATATAAAAAATAGAAATAAAGAATTTTCACAGAAGAATATGCTGAAAATATTTTGCATTTATCAAAATAATGGATTTCTGTTACTCAGAAACAGCACTGCAAACAGCTTAATGGTTTGAAATTGCAACTATCCAATCAAACATCCATTAGGAAGGCGGGTATCTTGAAACAGAGAAAATACACTAAGTCATACTCTTTCTTGTATTTTGTTTTGTCTTTTGGATAATTCAGCCAACTCCTGTAAAAACATTTATATTCTTCCTGGCACAGAATAACTATTTATAGATCATTTAAGTTAATATAACGCAGGGCTCAAAATAATATTTTACATAGAATAGATAATTAAATACTTGTTAAATGGGTGTCAGAATAAATACAAATTATCATTAAGCATCTGCAAGTTAAATTTAAATTTCTCTTAAGTTTTACTTTTTTTATTTATTATACTTTAAGTTTTAGGGTACATGTGCACAACCTGCAGGTTTGTTACATATGTATACATGTGCCATGTTGGTGTGCTGCACCCATTAACTCGTCGTTTAACATTAGGTATATCTCCTAATGATATCCCTCCCCCCTCCCCTCACCCCACAACAGGCCCTGGTGTGTGATGTTCCCCTTCCTGTGTCCATGTGTTCTCATTGTTCAATTCCCACCTATGAGTGAGAACATGTGGTGTTTGGTTTTCTGTCCTTGCGATAGTTTGCTGAGAATGATGGTTTCCAATTTCATCCATGTCCCTACAAAGGACATGAACTCATCATTTTTTATGGCTTCATAGTATTCCATGGTGTATACGTGCCACATTTTCTTAATCCAGTCTATCATTGTTGGACATTTGGCTTGGTTCCAAGTCTTTGCTATTGTGAATGGTGCCACAATAAACATATGTGTGCATGTGTCTTTATAGCAGCATGATTTATAATCCTTTGGATATATATCCAGTCATGTGATGGCTGGGTCAAATGGTATTTCTAGTTCTAGATCCCTGAGGAATCGCCACACTGACTTCCACAATGGTTGAACTAGTTTACAGTCCCACCAACAGTGTAAAAGTGTTCCTATTTCTCCACATCCTCTCCAGCACCTGTTGTTTCCTGACTTTTTAATGATTGCCATTCTAACTGGTGTGAGATGGTATCTCATTGTGGTTTTGATTTGCATTTCTCTGATGGCCAGTGATGATGAGCATTTTTTCATGTGTCTTTTGGCTGCATAAATGTCTTCTTTTGAGAAGTGTCTGTTCATATCTTTTACCCACTTGTTGATGGGGCTGTTTGTTTTTTTCTTGTAAATTTGTTTGAGTTCATTGTAGATTCTGGATATTAGCCCTTTGTCAGATGAGTAGGTGGCGAAAATTTTCTCCCATTTTGTAGGTTGCCTGTTCACTCTGATGGTAGTTTCTTTTGCTGTGCAGAAGTTCTTTAGTTTAATTAGATCCTATTTGTCAATTTTGGCTTTTGTTGCCATTGCTTTTGGTGTTTTAGACATGAAGTCCTTCCCCATGCCTGTGTCCTGAATGGTATTGCCTAGGTTTTCTTCTAGGGTTTTTATGGTTTTAGGTCTAACATTTAAGTCTTTAATCCATCTTGAATTAATTTTTGTAGAAGTTGTAAGGAAGGGATCCAGTTTCAGCTTAAGTTGTAAGGAAGGGATCCAGTTTCAGCTTTCTACATATGGCTAGTTTTTCAATTATTATTCTATTTTTCTCCCACTTAAATATAGCCTACACACTTTATTCATATTTATTTTCCCAAATAATATTTTCAATATATCCTTTCTTGATTAAATTTTATTAACTATTATCGAATGCCTAGAGGATCAAGTTCAGGCTGTTTGCCATATCATTAATGTCAGCAGGATATTCAATTGGAATTTTTTAACTGCTTTGCTCTCTTCTTTAAGGAGCTATTATATAGAAAATGGATTTTTTACAGCTTACGTAGAATTTCTGAAAGTAATGGATTTGGCTCCAACTTAAAAGTTCACAAAATCATTTTTTAGATTCCATAATATTTGGAAACTGAAATTTTATTTCTTCCATTTTCATATTCTAATGCTGTCTGTGACAGACAGAATAATTGGTCACCTATAAAGTGAATTACTGCTGAGTCAAACTTGTCTTCAATTAAGGTACTCAATATTAATGATAATGATTAGGATTATATAACATATAGTTGAGAAGAGGAAACTTTGATGATCATTCATTGTGGAAATGTATAATTTATCTTTATATACAGCTATCTTTCTTATGACTGTAATTTCATGTTTAATTATACTTCAGAAAATTAGATACCAAATTGAAGTATTGCATAAGCATCATGAATATTGAACAGTTCTTTTGACCTCAGCTTGTATTTACTTTCTTTCAATGTCTTTTGTTCTCATTCAAAGTAATATTTAAGGAATCATAAAATATTAGAACCAAAAGTGTCCTTAATGCATAGATAAATTTTCTGTGCACGGAATGTACCAATTCTTTACCAGTTCTTGAAAATAGTCATTTTATGTCTACTTGAATTATCAATTTATTGTTTTTTTCAGGCCTTACCTTTGAGTGCAGGGTATTTCTAACGTCTAATAGTCAGAAGCTGATTACATCCTAAGGGTGTGTTGTAGGCAAACCAATACCTTCCCACCCCTCAAATATGTCCTCATTCTCATTCCAGGAATCTTGGAATACATTAGCTTACATGGCAAAGGGAAATTAAGATTGCAGATGGAATTAAATTTGCTTATCACCAACGTTGAGATTATTCAGGTGGACCCAATGTAATCACAAGAGTCCTCATACGTGGAAGAGAAAGACAGAGGGTTCAGAGTGATGTAATATAAGAAGACTCAAGTGGCCATTGCTGGCTTTGAACATGGAGGAAGGGGCCTATAAGCCAAAGAATACAAGCAGCCTCTAGAAGCTAGAAAAGTTGAGAATATCTGGATTTTCCTTGGCATCTCCAGAAAAGAATTCAGTCCTGCTAACACTTTGATCTTATTCTAACAGGACACATTTTGAACTTCTGACCTCCAGAATTGTGAGATAAAACAATTTTGTTGTTTCTGGTAATTTGTTACAGCATCAATAGGAAACTAATGGAGGCAGTGAGTAGTGTGGCTACATATACGGAATATGATACTCGGCTTGGCTTTTGAAATCTAATAAACCTAAATACAGGTATTTTTTCCCTACTAATTTACTAAATGTATGACATTGGGTAACAAACTTAATCCTGTTCAATGTTGATTTCTTTGGCTATAATAATGCATGCTTCAACAAAATTGTATAATGGTTACATAAATACCTTGTGGGAAAGCACCTATCCCTCCAGAACAGTAAGTGAGAAACATTCTTGCTGCCATTTAAAGTAATTGTTTGGGGGGAGGAGCCAAGATGGCCAAATAGGAACAGCTCCGGTTTACATCTCCCAGCGTGAGCGATGCAGAAGACGGGTGACTTCTGCATTTCCATCTGAGGTACCGGGTTCATCTCACTGGGGAGTGGCAGACAGTGGGTGCAGGTCAGTGGGTGCACGCACCATGCATGAGCCGAAGCAGGGCGAGGCATTGCCTCACTCAGGAAGCGCAAGGGGTCAGGGAGTTCCCTTTCCTAGTCAAAGAAAGTGGTGACAGATGGCACCTGGAAAATCGGGTCACTTCCACATAAATACTGCGCTTTTCCGATGGGCTTAAAAAACGGCGCACAAAGAGATTATATCCCACACCTGGCTCAGAGGGTCCTATGCCCACGGAGTCTCACTGATTGCTAGCACAGCAGTCTGAGATCAAACTGCAAGGCGGCAGTGAGGCTGGGGGAGGGGCGCCCGCCATTGCCCAGGCTCGCTTAGGTAAACAAAGCAGCCAGAAAGCTCGAACTGGGTGGAGCCCAACACAGCTCAAGGAGGCCTGCCTGCATCTGTAGGCTCCACCTCTGGGGGCAGGGCACAGACAAACAAAAAGACAGCAGTAACCTCTGCAGACTTAAATGTCCCTGTCTGACAGCTTTGAAGAAAGCACTGGTTCTCCCAGCATGCAGTTGGAGATCTGAGAATGGGCAGACTGCCTCCTCAAGTGGGTCCCTGACCCCTGACCCCCGAGGAGCCTAACTGGGAGGCACCCCCCAGCAGGGGCACACTGACACCTCACACGGCTGGGTACTCCAACAGAACTGCAGCTGAGGGTCCTGTCTGTTAGAAGGAAAACTAATAAACAGAAAGGACATCCACACCAAAAACCCATCTGTACATCACCATCATCAAAGACCAAAAGTAGATAAAACCACAAAGATGGGGAAAAAACAGAACAGAAAAACTGGAAACTCTAAAAAGCAGAGTGCCTCTCCTCCTCCAAAGGAACGCAGTTCCTCAACAGCAACGGAACAAAGCTGTACGGAGAATGACTTTGACGAGCTGAGAGAAGAAGACTTCAGACGATCAAATTACTCCGAGCTACAGGAGGACATTCAAACCAAAGGCAAAGAAGTTGAAAACTTTGAAAAAAATTTAGAAGAATGTATGACTAGAATAACCAATACAGAGAAGTGCTTAAAGGAGCTGATGGAGCTGAAAACCAAGGCTTGAGAACTACGTGAAGAATGCAGAAGCCTCAGGAGCCGATGTGATCAACTGGAAGAAAGGGTATCAGCAATGGAAGATGAAATGAATGAAATGAAGCGAGAAGGGAAGTTTAGAGAAAAAAGAATAAAAAGAAATGAATAAAGCCTCCAAGAAATATGGCACTATGTGAAAAGACCAAATCTACATCTGATTGGTGTACCTGAAAGTGACGAGGAGAATGGAACCAAGTTGGAAAACACTCTGCAGGATATTATCCACGAGAACTTTCCCAGTCTAGCAAGGCAGGCCAACATTCAGATTCAGGAAATACAGAGAACACCACAAAGATACTCCTCAAGAAGAGCAACACCAAGACATATAATTGTCAGATTCACCAAAGTTGAAATGAAGGAAAAAATGTTAAGGGCAGCCAGAGAGAAAGGTCGGGTTACCCTCAAAGGGAAGCCCATCAGACTAACAGCAGATGTCTCAGCAGAAACTCTGCAAGCCAGAAGAGAGTGGGGGCCAATATTCAACATTCTTAAAGAAAAGAATTTTCAATCCCGAATTTCATATCCAGCCAAACTAAGCTTCATAAGTGAAGGAGAAATAAAATACTTTACAGACAAGCAAATGCTGAGAGATTTTGTCACCACCAGGCCTGCCCTAAAAGAGCTCCTGAAGGAAGCGCTAAACATGGAAAGGAACAACTGGTACTAGCTGCTGCAAAATCATGCCAAAATGTAAAGACCATCAAGACTAGGAAGAAACTGCATCAACTAACGAGCAAAATCACCAGTTAACATCATAATGACAGGATCAAATTCACACATAACAATATTAACTTTAAATGTCAATGGACTAAATGCTCCAATTGAAAGACACAGACTGGCAAATTGGATAAAGAGTCAAGACCCATCAGTGTGCTGTATTCAGGAAACCCATCTCACGTGCAGAGACACACATAGGTTCAAAATAAAAGGATGGAGGAAGATCTACCAAGCCAATGGAAAACAAAAAAAGGCAGGGGTTGCAATCCTAGTCTCTGATAAAACAGACTTTATACCAACAAAGACCAAAAGAGACAAAGAAGGCCATTACTTAATGGCAAAGGGATCAATTCAACAAGAAGAGCTAACTATCCTAAATATATATGCACCCAAAACAGGAGCACCCAGATTCATAAAGCAAGTCCTGAGTGACCTACAAAGAGACTTAGACTCCCACACATTAATAATGGGAGACTTTAACACCCCACTGTCAACATTAGACAGATCAACCAGACAGAAAGTCAACAAGGATACCCAGGAATTGAACTCAGCTCTGCACCAAGCGGACCTAATAGACATCTACAGAACTCTCCACCCCAAATCAACAGAATGTACATTTTTTTCAGCACCACACCACACCTATTCCAAAATTGACCACATACTTGGAAGTAAAGCTCCCTCAGCAAATGTAAAAGAACAGAAATTATAATAAACTATCTCTCAGACCACAGTGCAATCAAACTAGAACTCAGGATTAAGAATCTCACTCAAAACCGCTCAACTACATGGAAACTGAACAACCTGCTCCTGAATGACTACTGGGTACATAACGAAATGAAGGCAGAAATAAAGATGTTCTTTGAAACCAGCGAGAACAAAGACACAACATACCAGAATCTCTGGGACACATTCAAAGCAGTGTGTAGAGGGAAATTTATAGCACTAAATGCCCACAAGAGAAAGCAGGAAAGATCCAAAATTGACACCCTAACATCACAATTAAAAGAACTAGAAAAGCAAGAGCAAACACATTCAAAAGCTAGCAGAAGGCAAGAAATAACTAAAATCAGAGCAGAACTGAAGGAAATAGAGACACAAAAACCCCTTCAAAAAATCAATAAATCCAGGAGCTGGTTTTTTGAAAGGATCAACAAAATTGATAGACCGCTAGCAAGACTAATAAAGAAAAAAAGAGAGAAGAATCAAATAGACACAATAAAAAATGATAAAGGGGATATCACCACTGATCCCACAGAAATACAAACTACCATCAGAGAATACTACAAACACCTCTACGCAAATAAACTAGAAAATCAAGAAGAAATGGATAAATTCCTCGACACATACACTCTCCCAAAACTAAACCAGGAAGAAATTGAATCTCTGAATAGACCAATAACAGGATCTGAAATTGTGGCAATAATCAATAGCTTACCAACCAAAAAGAGTCCAGGACCAGATGGATTCACAGCCAAATTCTACCAGAGGTACAAGGAGGAACTGCTACCATTCCTTCTGAAACTATTCCAATCAATAGAAAAAGAGGGAATCCTCCCTAACTCATTTTATGAGGCCAGCATCATCCTGATACCAAAGCCGGGCAGAGACACAACCAAAAAAGAGAATTTTAGACCAATATCCTTGATGAACATTGATGCAAAAATCCTCAATAAAATACTGGCAAACCGAATCTAGCAGCACATCAAAAAGCTTATCCACCATGATCAAGTGGGCTTCATCCCTGGGATGCAAGGCTGGTTCAATATACACAAATCAATAAATGTAATCCAGCATATGAACAGAACCCATGACAAAAACCACATGATTATCTCAATAGATGCAGAAAAGGCCTTTGACAAAATTCAACAACGCTTCATGCTAAAAACTCTCAATAAATTAGGTATTGATGGGACGTATCTCAAAATAATAAGAGCTGTCTATGAGAAACCCACAGCCAACATCATACTGAATGGGCAAAAACTGGAAGCATTCCCTTTGAAAAGTGGCACAAGACAGGGATGCCCTCTTTCACCACTCCTATTCAACATAGTGTTGGAAGTTCTGGCCAGGGCAATTAGGGAAGAGAAGGAAATAAAGGGTATTCAATTAGGAAAAGAGGAAGCCAAATTGTCCCTGTTTGCAGACGACATGATTGTATGTCTAGAAAACCCCCTTGTCTCAGCCCAAAATCTCCTTAAGCTGATAAGCAACTTCAGCAAAGTCTCAGGATACAAAATCAATGTACAAAAAACACAAGCATTCTTATACACCAACAACAGACAAACAGAGAGCCAAATCACGAGTGAACTCCCATTCACAATTGCTTCAAAGAGGGAAGAGTACTACATCAAGGAAGCACCCTATGAGATAAAAGAATTGGAACAGCAGCCTTGAGCCCCAGATCTTCCCTCTGACATAACCTACCCAAATGAGAAGGAACCAGAAAAACAATTCTGGTAATACGACAAAACAAAGTTCTTTAACACTCCCCCCAAAATCACACTAGCTCACCAGCAATGGTTCCAAATCAAAAAAGTCCTGAATTGCCAGAAAAAATAATTCAAAAAGTCGATTATTAAGCTAATCAAGGAGGCACCAGAGAAAGGTGAAGTTCACCTTAAGCAAATAAAAAATAATGATACAATATATGAAGGGAGAAATCTTCAGTGAAATAAATAGCATAAATAGAAAACAATCACAACTTTAAGATATAAAGGACATGCTTGGAGAAATGTAGACTGTATTGCAAAATCTCAGCAATAGAATCGAACAAGCAGAAGAAAAAACTTCAGAGCTCAAAGACAAGGTTTTTGAAATAACCCCATCCAACAAAGACAAAGAAAAAGAATTTTAAAAAATGAATAAAGCCTCCAAGAAGCTTGGGATTATGTTAAATGACCAAACCTAAGAATAATTGGCATTCATGAGGAAGAAGAGATATCCAAAAGTTTGGAAAATGTTTTTGGGGAAACAATCAAGGAAAACTTCCCTGGTCTTGCTGGAGATCTAGACATCCAAATACAAGAAGCTCAAAGAGCACCTGGGAAATTCATTGCAAAAAGATCATAGCCTAGGCACATAGTCATCAGGTTATCTAAAGTCATGATGAAGGAAAGAATGTTAAAAGCTGTGTGGTAAAAGCACGAGGTAACCTACAAGGAAAAACATATCATATTAACAGCTGACTCCTCAGCAGAAACCCTGCATGCTAGAAGGGATTGGGGCTCTATCTTCAGTTTCCTTAAACAAAACAACTATCAGCCAAGAATTTTGTATTCAGTGAACTAAGCTTCATAAATGAAGGACAAATACAGTCTTTTTCAGACAAACAAACCACTACGAAGCCAGTACTACAAGAACACCTAAAAGGAGCTATACACCTTGAAACAAATAATGGAAACACATCAAAAGAGAACCACTTTAAAGGATTACTCTCACAGGACATATAAAACAAAACAAAAACAGAAAAGCAACAGAAAAAAACAAGATTTTCAGGCAACAAATAGCACAATGAATGGAATAGTACCTCACATCTCAATACTAACGTTGAATGTAAATTGTCTAAATGTTCCACTTAAAGGATACAGAATTGACCAGGGATGGTGTCTCATAGCTGTAATCCCAGAACTTTGGGAGGCTGAGGTGGGTGGATCGTGAGGTCAAGAGATCGAGACCATCCTGGCCAAAATGGTAAAACCCTGTTTCTACTAAATACAAAAAATTAGCCTGGCATGGTGGCATGTGCCTGTAGTCTCAGCTGCTCAGGGGGCTGAGGTAGAGGAATCACTTGAACCCGGGAGGCGGAGGTTGCAGTGAGCTGAGATCATGCCACTGCACTCCAGCCTGGTGACAGTGCAAGACTCTCTCTCAAAAAAAAAAACAAAACAAAACAAAACAAAACAAAACAGCATTGCAGAATGAATAAGAATTCACCAACCAAGTATCTGCTGCCTTCAAGAGACTCACCTACCACATAAGGACTCACAAAAACATAAGATAAAGGGGTGGCAAAAGACATTCCATGCAAATGGACACCAAAAGCAACCAAGAGTAGCTATTCTTATATCAGACAAAACAAAGTTTAAAGCAACAGCAGTTAAAAAAGACAAAGAGGTACATTTTATAATGATAAAATGCCTTGTCACTGGAAAGTATCACAGTCCTAAATATATATGTACCTAAAACTGGAGCTCCCAAATTTATAAAACAATTACTATTAGATGTAAGAAATGTCATAGACAGCAATACTGTAATAGTGGGAGACAGCAATACTGTAATAGTGGGGGCTTCAATACTCCATTCATGGCACTAGACAGGTAGTCATCAAGACAGAAAGCGAACAAAGAAACAATGGATTTAAACTATGCCCTAGAACAAATGGACTCAACAGATATTTAGAGAACATTCTAACCAACAACTGCAGAATATACATTCTATTCATCAGTGCATAGAACATTCTCCAACATAGACTATATGATCAGCCACAAAACAAGTCTCAATAAATTTAAGAAAATTGAAATTATATTAAGTACTCACTCTGACCAAAGCAAAATAAAATTGGAAATCAACTCCCAAAGGAAACTTCAAGACCATGCAAATACATTGAAATTAGAAAACTTGCTCCTGAATGATCACTGGGTAAACAATGAAATCAAGATGAAAATGTAAAATGTTTTGAACCAAATGATAATAAAGACACAATCTATCAAAACCTCTGGGATGCAGCAAACGTGGTGCTAAGAGGAAAGTTCATAGCCCTAAATGCCTAGAACAAAAAGTTTTGAAAGAGCACAAATAGACACCTCAAGGAACTAGAGAAAAGAGAACAAACCAAATCCAACCCCAGCAGAAGAAAAGAAATAACCAAGATGGGAGAAGAACTAAGTGAAATGGAGACAAGGAGAAAAAAAAAGATAAATGAAACAAAAATCTGGTTCTTTGAAAAGATAAATAAAATTGATAGACCATTAGCAAGTTTAAACTTGAAAAGAAGAGGGAAAATCCAAATAAGCTCAATTAGAAATTAAATGGGAGATATTACAACCGACACCACAGAAATACAAAAGAACATTCAAGGCTACTCTGAACACCTTCATGCACATAAACTAGAAAAACTAGAGGAGATGGATAAATTCCTGGAAATATGCAACCCTACTAGCTTAAATAAGGAAGAATTAGAAACCCTAAACAGACCAATAACAAACAGCGAGATGGTAATAAAAAATTTCAACAAAAAAAAAGTCCAGGACTTGATGGATTCATAGCTGAATCTATCAGACATTCAAAGAATTGGTACCAATTCCATTGACACAATTACACAAGACAGAAAAGAGAGACTCCTCCCTAAATCATTCTATGAAGCCAGTATCATCCTAATACCAAAGCCAGGAAAGGATATAGCAAAAACAGCAAAAACTACAGACCAATATCCCCGAAGAACACAGATGCAAAAATCCTTAACAAAATACTAGCTAACTGAATCCAATAGCATATCAGAAAGATGATGCACTATGATCAAGAGGGTTTTATACAAGGGCTGCAGGGGTGGTTTAAAATATGGAAGTTAATAGATGTGCTACACCACATAAACAGAATTAAAAACAAAAATCACATGATATCTCAATAGACACAGAAAAAGCCTTTGACAAAATCAAGCATCAATTTATGATTAAAACTCTCAGCAAAGTCAGCACACAAGGGACATACCTCAATGTAATAAAAGCCATCTATGACAAACCCACAACCAACATAACACTGAACAGGGATAAGTTGAAAGCATTTCCTCTGAGAAGTGGAACAAGACAAGGACGCCTACTCTCACCACTTCTATTCAACATGGTACTGGAAGTCCTAGCTAGGGCAATCAGACAAAAGAAAGAAATAAAGGACATCCAAATCATTAAAGAGGAAGTCAAACTGTCACTGCTTGCAAATAGTATAATTGTATACCTAGAAAACCCCAAGACTCCTCCAAAAAGCTCCTAGAACTGATAAATGAATTCAGCGAAGTTACCAGATACAAAATTAACATACACAAATCAGTAGCTCTGCTATACACCAACAGTGATCAAGCTGAAAATCACATCCAGAATACAACCCCTTTAACAATAGCTGCAAGAAAAATTAAATACTTAGGAATATACCTAACCAAGGAGGTGAAAGATCTCTACAATGAAAAACTACAAAACACTGGTGAAGGAAATCACAGACGAGACAAACAAATAGAAACACATCCCGTGCTCATGGATGGGTAGAATCAATATTGTGGAAATGACCATACTGCCAAAATCAACCTACAAATTCAATGCAATTCCCATCAAAATACCACCATAATTCTTCACAGAACTAGAACAAACAATTCTAAAATTCATATGGAAACAAAAAAGAGCCTGCATAGCCAAAGCAATACTAAGAAAAAAAAATCTGGAGGCATCACATCATCACATTGCCTGACTTTAAACTATTCTGTAAGGCCATAGTCGCCCAAACAGCATGATCGTGGTATAAAAATAGGCAGTTAGACCAATGGAACGGAATAGAGAATCCAGAAATAAAGCCAAATACTTAACATCTAACTGAATTTTGACAAAGCAAACAAAAACATAAAGTGGGAAAAGGACACCTTATTCAACAAATGGTGCTGGGTTAATTGACAAGCCACATGTAGGAGAATGAAACTGGATCCTCATCTCTCACCTTATACAAAAGTCAACTCAAGATGGATCAAGAACTTAAAATCTAGGATCTGAATTCTAGAAGATAGCATCAGAAAAACCCTTCTACACATTGGCTTAGGCAAAGAGTTCATGACTAGGAACTTCAAAGCAAATGCAACAAAAGCAAGTTAATAGGTGGGACTTAATTAAACTGAAGAGTTTCTGCACAGCAAAAGGAACAGTCAGCAGAGTAAACAGACAACCCACAGAGTGGGAGAATATCTTCACAATCTATACATGCAACAAAGGACTAATATCCAGAATCTACAATGAACTCAAACCAATTAGCAAGAAAAATACAAACAATGTCATCAAAAAGTGGGCTAAGGACATAAATAGACAATTCTCAAAAGAAGAGATACAAATGGCTAACAAACATATGAAAAATTCTGAACGTCATTAATTATCAGGGAAATGTTAATCAAAATCACAATGCAATACCACCTTACTCCTGCAAGAATGACCATAATAAAAAATCGAAAAATAGTTGATGTTGGCATGGATGTGGTGAACAGAGAACCGTTCTACACTGCTGGTGGGAATGCGAACTAGTACAACCACTAAGGGAAATAGCGTGAAGATTCCTTAAAGAACTAAAAGTAGAACTACTATTTGACCTAGCAATCCCACTACTAGATATCTAACCAGAGGAAAAGAAACCATTAGACGAAAAAGATACTTGCACATGCGTGTTTATAGCAGCACAATTTGCAACTGCAAAAATATGGAACCAGTCCAGATGTCCATCAACGAATGGATATATATGATGGAATACTATACATATATATACATATATATATACATAAATATACATATATACATATATATACATATATATATATATGATGGAATACTACTCAGCCATAAAGCGGAGCGAATCAATGGCATTTACAGCAACCTGGTTGGAACTGGAGACTATTATTCTAAGCAAAGTAATGCACAAATAGAAAACTAAACATCGTATTTTCTCACTCATAAGTGGAAGCTACGCCATGAGGATGAAAAGGCATAAGAATGTTACAATGGACTTTGAGGACTTGGGGGAAAGGGTGGGAAGGGTGTGAGGGATAAAGGAGTATACGTTGGGTTCAGTGAATGTTGCTTGGTTGATGGGTGCACCAAAATCTCACAAATCACCACTAAATATTTTACTCATGTAAGCAAATACCACCTGTTCCCTCAAAACCTATGGAAATAAAAAAAAAGTTTTTAAAAAAGTGAACAGCTCTCTGCCAGAGATGGAAAAGCAATCAATTATATCCTTAGGCTTTTAATCTGAGCAAGAGGATGGTGCAGTTAATGGACACTGAGACAACAAGACATCTAATTTAATTTGTCAGATTTCCAGTCTTTTACATGCTAAGTGTGTAAGGTGGCGTGTCAAAAGGCAATTCAGGAGAAAGCATACACTACACCCATCTCACAGCATTCAGTGGCTTCCTCTCACTTTCTGACTCTGGGTTCAGAATCTGAACCCTAGCACTCTCCTTCTTCTCCCTTAAAAATGATTTTGGTCCCAAAAATAACTCTCTATGCTACATGCAACTCTTTGTAGATTGAAGATTGGAATTTATTTTTGACAATTTTTGTCAAGTTACTTTTAAGATAAGTATAATAAAAAAGACAATACAAATAATTCACTTTTCTTTCAAATTATTCTATAAAACATGCTTTTTAGACACTGGAAATATTGTATGTGGCTTAATATGTTGTTAGATGGGGAAAGGGATTTTTTTGAATAGGAAGAATCATCATGAGTACAGAACAAATAGGACTTACTTCCAACCCCGTAGGTAAAGGAAAAACATTCTTTTTATTAAATTTGAACTACTGATTAATCATTCCTAATTCTCTTATGCTTTCCAGACATATTCCTGAGTGATTGATTAAGTATTCATAACTACCCATTTCTTACTCTTTGCTTTGTCTTGACCAAATATTATTCTGGCTTCTTTCCTTCCTACAGGCCTCGAAATTCTGCTGCTCTTCAAGCCTGAGCAAGCACTAAAGATTGGAATGTGCCCCTTAATTAGCTTATCCTGAGACTCGGCAGACCACAGTGGGATACTTTTCTTATCAGATTCCACTGGTTTTTTTCCCTTGCTTCCCCAAATTCTCCTTAAAGGCTCTACTAATCTTTGCTTACCACCTCTCTCTATTCTATAAGAGAAAATTCTTTTTATGTTTGATTTTGACATACTCGCACATTTTTGAGATCAGATCTTTCTTCCTATTTTAATGGTCTTTCAACTGAATAAAGTCTCTCAATGTATGTTTGTATTTGACGTGATAAAAGGTTCTTGCCTAAAACTTGTGCCTTGGTTAAAGTTATGCATATTAAAAAACTGCAAAAATTATTCTAAAATATCTGATCAGAATTTACAATAAATTGCTGCTATCTCTACCACTTTTTTTAGTTCAAGCTCTGACCTCTCATCCTAAATTATTTTGGTAGATTTCCAATGGCCTTCCTTATTATCTCACTGCATGCTCTCTTATCCTAACTGCCATATTCCTGCTGTTATCATATGCCTAAATACTCGTCCAATCAGTTGACATTTTAGTTACATGATATTCTGTCTGAAGATTCCCTGTATTTTATCCACCTATCTCCAAAAATAGACAAAAAACTCTTGAGGAATGTAGTAGTTCAGTTCTACAATTTAACCAGCTTGGATTTTTAGTTTAAATGCTTTTAAAATTCTTGTTCTAAGTTAGCATAGCCAAATTAATTTCTTCAACATCTTCCACATAAACCAAACAAACCAT
This sequence comes from Homo sapiens, assembly GCF_000001405.40. Classification (NCBI taxonomy): domain Eukaryota; kingdom Metazoa; phylum Chordata; class Mammalia; order Primates; family Hominidae; genus Homo; species Homo sapiens. Next base: position 70,008,244 of record NC_000004.12, on the reverse strand, counting down.
ATACACGACAAAATTCCTTGGGAAAAAAAAGAAACAAATACATAAATAACAGCCAACCATTATCTCTTTTTTGAAAGGCAGAAAAATGCTCTGCACTCTTATTTGCTAATCGAATCCTGACACGTTGCACCCATTTGTTTTTCCTCCTTTGCTGATTTGGTCTTTCATTCAATCCATCATTAAATCTATTAATTTCCTTTACAAAGACTCCTTTTCCATGTTTCTTTTAAGTCTTTCTATAACCTATTTCAGTCCCTTCCTTAAATATAGCCTACATATTTCATTCACATTTGTTGTTCCAAAATAATATTTTAAATATATCCTTTCTTGATCAAATATCATCAGCTATTACCTAATGCCTAGAGTATCAAGTTCAGGCTCTTTCCCATATCATTATTGGCAACAGAGAATTCGATTGGAATAAAACCTACAACTGCATTGAAAAATAATTGAAATCCTATGGATGATTTCAAAAGTAAATCACAGGACAGTGTTCATATTTTTTAAAGTTTACTTTGTTTTATAGTGAAAAACTAATTTTTCTAGAAATACCATTTTTTTCCTAGAAATTTAAAACATTTTGTGTTGCATATAAATAGGTAAAATTGCATTGACTTTCTAAAAAGGAAATTGATAACATTTTCCTCTCTGTTTTTTGACATTATATTAGTGGTTTTTATCCTAACTACTTACTAGAATTAAGACAAAAATTCTGAAAGTTATTACGTTATACATCACATAGGGATATTATTAAAACGCAGATTCTGATTCATTTGGTTTAGATGTGGTTTAGACTCTACATTTCTTACAAGATCCCAGATAGTGCTTGTGTAGCTTGTCCAAAGATTGCATTTTAGGAGGGAAACTTAAACAACGTCCAGAGATAGCTTTAGTGGCAGTGAAGCCTGCAGTCACGATTATGCACCTTTCTGATCAAGGGCTTTTATGTAATATGTCCTTCAATAGTCTTACTAGTACTACAAAGAGTACAAGTATTATCATAATACCTATTGTGTTGATGAGGAAATTGAACTTTGGAAAGGATTAGTAATACTTCAAGATCATGAAAATAGTAGTTGTCAGGAGCAGGATACAAACACAGGGGTTCCCCTCCCCAGAGCCCAGCCTTTTAATCATAACAGGACAGAAGATTTCCCTCAGAAGCATTTATATAAATGAATACATTTCAAGGAGCTATCCCAGGCTACATTTCTAAAGCTAGAACTGTTTTATGGCTTGTTTCTGTGTTTTTTCTTTTTAAGTGTCAGCATTGATATTTTTGAAAAGTAAACAAACATCACTAGACTCATCTTACCTCTATAAACATGCCCTGTGGTTGCTGAGCAACAAATGCCAAAAAGAAATTCCTACAAAATAGTGAGAATGAACTCGACTGGATGATTTTACAATAAAGATTGTGATGACAAAGTAACCAGGAAACAAATGGATCCATCACATGTTAATTAGTTTAGACATGTGAGAATAAAATGAGGGAAAAAATCATGCTACAGTAACCAAGCATAGAAATGATTACATATGTAATATGTTTGCGTGGACAACATTCTATTTTATTTCAACAAATATATGTCCAAGATGAAACAACTCTGACAAAAATGATATTAAAATCCTTCCAAAATTTAATCTATTTTCTAAGAAATAGTGATAACTGACATAATTGGAGTCATTATATATTTTTATAAGTTTTTCTAAAAATTATGATTAATATTGTACTTTTAATTTCTTCCATTGACTTTAAAATATTTTAAGTCATAAAGTAGATGTAAATATTTGCCAAAATTCTGTAATCTCTTGATTACTAGTATGTAATAAAATAATTCTTATAGTTAAAGTCAAATAGTTCTAGGTGTTTAGTATAATAATATACATCATACATAATAACTGGATACTTATGTTTGGAAATTCAATTTACTTCCCTGGAGTTTTTAAAGGCTCATATTTCTCCATGGAAGCCATGTATTGCCATGATTGCACTAGACAGAAAGGAGGAAAAAAGAAAAGAACTTTCACTAAGTTCCTAGATAAATTTCTTCAAAAACTAACCAACTTGTGACTGGTTGGATAATTCAAACACTTAGAACTCAATATTAAAAACTCATTTGTAAATTGAAGATAAATTATAAAGCCTAATCCATTGTTTCTGTGTGTGCCACATGGAACCATGAGAATCAGCATCAGCTGGAGCCTATTATAATGAAAATTCTTAGTCTCACTTTCCAAACTTGCTGAATCAGAATCTTGGGGGTACACCAGAAACTTGCATTTTAACAGTATCTCTAGGTGATACTTTCTGTACTGTAAAGTTTGAAAAAACACATAATTAACTCACAAATGCATTATTTGTCCTTAGACTTCATCCCACAAATAGAACTTGTGGCTTAATGTGTCAGATTTATTAGGAAAATATTTATAAGGTAAAGCTTCTATGTTATAATTGAACAGTCCTATTGGGAATAATGGTTATTCTCTGGATAAATACAAAAACATAAATTATTTCTTAAGGCAAATAAATAACTCAATTTAAAATAGATTTATTCTAAGCACTGGAGATACAAGGTCTCTTCTTGTGCTCAAAATAATACAAACTCTCATCACTTTTTAATGGGAAAGAGATACATAGTTCAGTAACTTGAAATATGTCTGACTGAAGGGTAAACACTGCTTTGGATATGCTTGAGTTGTCAAATGATTTCTCCCCTTTCTTCTTTCCTTCCTGTCTTTCTCTACTTTTTTCACTCTTTATTTCTTCACTAACCATTTAAACAACAATGTAAGGCACTGTTTTAGTACTTCTATAATATTCATGTTCTAGTGAACATAAAGCAAACTAATAGTCCAAAGGCACTGACAAACAACAAGCTACCCGGTAAAAATACTGATATATATTTTAATATAACATTTTACAACTACAATCAAACTTAAGTCATCTATATTTTATGTTGGAACACCAAAATATAGGCATTATTTCACACATCGTTTCCTGTTTCCCCAAGTTAGGGAGTGTGGGAATTGTGTATGACAGTTTGAACAAACATAATGGACTAGATACACAGGAGTGACCTTCCCTCCAGGAACAGTAGGAAGAGTGATGGATCAGACATGTCTTCATCTTCACATTTTATAATTAAATAAACCAGGTATCTAATTCTTTATAACAAAACACTATGCTCTTTGAAAATGCAATGCCTTTCATTTATAAGGGAAATGTGAAAAAATAGTGAAGGCTTTATCACAAGCATGTCATTAAATTGATGTCTTAAGGATGCAACCCATGAATAGGTATTTCCAGTCATATTTATGCTGGGCTTTCCTCCTATTCTTCTTGTGTCTTCTTTTCTATTTCTACTATGATGAAAGTATGAAATGTTTATGAAAAAATCTATGATGTTTATTTAAATAAAAATATCTTATATTCCAGTTTCCATACTAAGAGGACAAATACCTCAAATGACAAATGTGAAACAACATTGGACTGTATTCTATATAACATGAAACATTCTAGACACTGGTGATACAAAGTAAATGCTCTTTTCTGCTTCTAAGGAGGTTACAGTTCAATTTATAAAACATACAAGGTTAAAGGCAACTGCACATCAGTCTGGAGGAGTGTTTGTTATATAAGTCTAAATTAAGAGAAGAAGGAACTCTTCTTCCCACACATGAACTGCAGACTTTGGACTTATCAGCTTATTGATTTTAATCAATTATGAAAATGAATTATGAAAAGAAGTCACACAAGAAAGAAGTGTACAACCAGAAAAAAAGAAAGTTGAGAAAAGATCCCCTAGACAACACTGATGTAGTATGTGAGAGAAAAAGAAAGCCCATGAAAATCTCTGAGAGGGAAAAGAATAGTATAGTATTTTCAAGAAATATACGTACATAATGGAAACAAAAGGGATGAAATTTCAAGGGGAAAATGTTAATCACAATGAATAAAATTTGTAGTGAAATAGGGGATTCTGTAGTTTCTTTAAACTACAATTTAGTTACCCAGACCATGTTATAATAATAGTTGAAAGTGAATTAAATGAAAATATATATTTCATATATTAATATATAATATGAAATATGATTTATATATTTATATATTTCATATATATGAGAAATTTAAAATATACATTATTTAAAGGTAAATATTAGGTTGTTTTATTATTATTTTTAGCATGATAGTATTCATTTGAAAGAACATCTTAGTTTCAAAAATTTCTCTGAGAATAAAGGAGAAAATGCAAAACAAAGAATAATGAAAAAATATCTTTGGAAAACATGACAGTCATCTTCACCTTTAAGACTTTGAGAATTAGAAATCTGATCAGATATAGATTAATTTATTAAAAGTGAGAGTAAGAAGTTTAAGACACTTATGCCTAATGAATTCAATTTTCCTTTCAAATACGTATGTTGTTGTTATTATTATTATCAATATTATTATTTTGAAATTGACTACTGAGTGAGATGAGTTGGTTCCTTCAGAAAACAAATATTGGGGCAATTTATTGTAGGTTAATGAGAGAGGTATTGCATCAAATACGTGGAAAAAACTTGGTGAGCAATGTTGTACTCCAAATTTAGAAAACAAAAAAATCACATTTTTTCTATATATCTAGGTTTTGATAAAGAAACATGATATAAAATTTAGGGATTTATAGGATTGAGATATTAGCAAGTAGAGTTACCCAAACCCAGAAGTTCACTGGAATTGTTTGAGTTATTGCAAGTATATAGTGAATGAAAAATATGAAGTACTGGCTTAGAGGAAAATAAAATAAATTTTAAAAGGAACACATAGAATAAAAGGACATAAAAATAGGAAGGACCCACAGATTTCTGTAAGGCCCAAGTGTGGATATCTATGATTCAACCCTTGATTCCATTCCAAAATATAAATAAGATTATGTCTTTCTCCAATGTCATCCATCTCAAATCAAAGACTTAACATGGGCCACAAAGCTTTAGTTACCTGCGTATCCCTTATGCTGTGACGTAATTTATTTTGATCCACTTGCCTTCTCTGTCCATATTGGTCTCCTTGAATTTGTCCCTAATGAAACAAACATGTTTCTATCACAATAAATTTGCATTTGCTATTTTCTGCTGGAAAATTTATTTCTCCATATTCGCTCTCATGCTTAGTTCATATCTTTCATAAAATGTCACTATGTCAGAGAGTCTCTTGTTGACTATCCTGTTTAAATTTGTTTCTGTGCCCTAGACATGCTTATACTTCTTTAGCACACTTATCATTGCCTAAGATATGTACTATTTATTTACTTTGTATCTGCATCTCCCAACTACAATGTAAACTCTCCAAAGACAGGACTTTTGTCTCTCTTTGTCTGCAGCATCTAGAAGAGGACCTGACAGCTGGGGTCATTCAATAAATATTTCTTGAATAAAAGTCATTGCTGAAAAACTAATGGAGGGCATTAGATGGTTTACATGCAGAGTGCCTACATACTGCTGTAGAGTGACATGGTGGTTATCTTCTGACCTACAGGGACTGAGATAAAAAATGTGAGTGCTTTGGAGGCTTAGCAACTGTGGTGTGGCAAAGGAAACCATGGGCAAATCAAATCTTGGCATAAATAGCTCTAATAATAAGTGAGTTTGAGTACCATGTTTGTAACATATAAAATATGACAGACTAAATTATAAATAAGGACCTCTGACATTATGGGCTTCAATCTGTGCTAGTCAAACTGGGAAAGAAGATGATGAAAGAAATCATTATTCCTATAAATAGAAAAGAGAAAAATAAGGAGCATACATGTAAAAATGTGCTTGAAATTTATTGCTTTTAGAGAAGTGATTTCTATTATTCAGAAACAGTACTGAACACAGCTTAACAGTTTAAATTGCAATTATATCATCAAGTGACAATTGAAAAGGCAAGTATCCTGAAACAAAGAGTATACAGTAAATTATAGTGTTTTTCATTTGCATTGCTCTTTGATGATTCTTCAAAAAGTGGTAGTAGTGTGATATGGTATGAAAGATGAGAATATGGATGTAGAAGTCGTATTTGCCAATCAAGCCTGCACAGAAAAAAAAAAATAACAGATTATCTGTAAAATTTTTACCCCTGTAAACACATTTATATTCTGGCCTGGTACAGAGTAGATATTATATACAATTATAGTTTATAAAATGCAGGGCCCAAAATAATATTTGACACAGAGTAGACAATTAAACAATTATTAAATTGGTTCCTGAATAAATAAAAATTATCATTCAGCATCTACAATTTAAATTATTTTTCAATCATCATACTATTTTATTCTTCTACTTAAATATAGCCTACACATTTCATTTATATGCATTTCCTCTAAATAATATTTCAATACATCTTTTCTTGATTAAATGTCATCAGCTATTACCTAAAACCTAGGGGATCAAGTTCAGGCTCTTCCCTGTATCACTAATGGCAATAGAGAATTGAATTGGAATATAATCTCCCAAATGCACTGAAAAATAATTGAAATCCTTTGGACTATTTTAACTTTGTAGAACAATCCTCCCTTATCTCCAAGAGTTTGCTCTATTTTGTTTTGAAATATTATTTTTTCATAGAATTTAGAACATTTAATGTTGTGTAGAGATAGGTAAAACTGACTTTCTAAAAAGAAATTGATAACATTTCCATATTTTCTTGTTAGCATTATGTTAATAATTTCTATAGTAATTGCTCAGTAGAGTTACTTAGGGTACAAAATGCAAATTTCTCACAAGTTCCCAGATGGTTCCCAGATGGAAGCTTCTCCAAAGATTGCATTTTGGGAGTGAAAACTTTAAGCAACACCTAGGTACAGATTTAGTGGCAGGGAAGCCCTGCAGTTATAACTACAAACCTTTCTGATCAAGAGATTTTATGTGATATGTCTTTCAAAAGTGTCACCAATTCTAAAAAGCACATTTAAGTGTTATCATAATACACAATTTTTTGACGAGAAAACTGAGGTTCAGGAGCATTAGGAGTAGTTCAAAGTCATGAAACTAGTAGTTGTCAGGGCCAGCATACAAACCCTGGTGTCCCCCACTCTATAACACTGCCTTCTAACCATAGCAGGACAGAGACTATCTCAGAAGCATTTATATAAATTAATACATTTCAAGGAGCTATACAGCTGGCTGCTTTCTTATACTGGAACTGCTGTTGGTTTAATGTCTTGTTTTTGTTTTTCTTCTTTTAACTGTCAGCACTGATACAGAAAGTAAAAAAAATGTCACTAAACCCATCTTACCTCAATAATCATGTCCTGCAGTTACTGATGATATTAAAAGGTATATTGTTGGTATTGTGGTTGGTATGGTTGTGGGTATAGTGGTTGTTCTGGAACTGGCTGATAAGGGCCATACCCATACTGTATACACACAAGGAGAAAGAAAATTGCAGAAAATTGAGATAATGACAGTGCAAGCGTTTTTATTAGAAGCTTAGATTGTTAAAGTTTTAGGAACTTACATATTACTTATAAGATTTTTTTCCAAACTTTCAATTAGATTTTTCTTTTTGGTTATAAACACATTTTAAAAGCAGGTAAAAATGATTGAGTGTTTACCTTTGTACTGCATGTTCACAGTTTTGTGGTTTTATTTCACATGCAGGAACACCGATTATAGGCTATCACTCCAAAGAGGTTTTAAATTTTCTTCAAAATACTACCTCCCAGCAACCATTTTGCCCACCTTTGAGTATTATGGGAAGGAGACATTTACTAAATTCAGCTTATGTGGTGTTTCTTCAAGTCACTCTTTTAATGAGCTTACTGTCTCTTACGATTCCTACATTCCTTAATACTTCTTCCTTCTGTTAACACAAATAACCATCATCCCTTTTAGAGTATCTTTTTATTTGGTGTTATTTTAATCCATGTATTCACTATATTAGTTAGGGGATCTTTTGCAACCCTATCACATTGACATTATATGTCAACATACTGGGACATCAAGATACATACATTAAGAAAAATGTTAAATAAATGAAATTTGCTATCTCATTTATCATGACCTGTTTAATTTAATGAGTTTATCACCGTCAAAAAAAATCAGAAGGTGCAAACTTACCATATTTTATGTGTAATTATCAGCCTTTATGCTCCATGAGGCATATATTATAATTAACAGAATTAGAATTTCAACTATTTTTTAGGTCAAAGTGATTACTTAGGAGATGATACTTGAGGGCTCAGGGAGTAACTGGTTTCTTCAGGTTGGCACTATGAGTTTCAACTTAAATGTTGTTAGGACACAATACATTTGTGACTGTTACCTGTGTATCATAAATAGAGGAAAACAAAGCACACTTTTGCAACTACTACACATATTTGAGAAATAAGTATTGGTTCTTCTAGAAGAATAAGTAATCAGAGAACACAATTTATTTGGACTACACAGCATTATCAGAGAACACTTACACCGAATCTTCCAATTCTACGCAAAAATTTCTGTGAAAAATGAAGAAAAGTTTAATAATTCAATACAAATGTAGGGAGGACAAAACTGAAAACAAGTTTTCCAGTGAATGAAAATGACTCACCTCTTCAGATGAATCAGCTCCCTTAGAAAACAGAAAATTAGACAATAGTTAGTATCTTAATGTTATAATTCCAGATTGAGTACAAAAATGAACTCAGCAGCTACAGTTGTGAGTAAACAGGATGTAGGCAAATCATCGATAGACACTAAATTAGTTATTTTTGCTTCATGACATCTTTAAAATGAGTTAAGAGTATGCTTTTCTGTAATTAGTGTGCTATATTCAAATATAAATTTATTTGGATTTATACTTGTTTTGTGTGTAAAAGGGAGTAAATGGTTATCATTGGTGAATGAAAAGTGAAACTTTGTATTTTTTCATAAGAATATGTTTTCAGCAGCTCAAAGGCTACTTACACATAACTTTTATTTACTGACAGAGACAAGCATTATGTTTTTCTCTGTTTTCCTTACATTTTTATTTTTTATTTTTTAGACACCTATCCTTTTATAACAAATAATGTGGTATACTGTGATTTTATAATCAAATTAGTTTTTGAAATATCTGTTAGAATTTACCAGGTAAGTTGAACTATTTTTATTCTTTCATGGCCAGTTTCCTACTAATGTCATAGAAAAGGGACAGGAGAAATAGAAGGAAGTAGAGTAGAAGAAAGAGCTCCAGAGAAGTCAAGTGCTTTACCTAGTGATACATAGTAGTAAATGACAATAAAAGCTGGGAACTCATAACATGTCATAGATCTGAAGTTTTGTTTTATAGTTAAAAATAAGCAGCTTTATTTTAGAAAGTGTGTGCTAAATAATTGTATACTAATTTTAAGTTAGTTTTTGCAAGGAATGACTTGAAAATTTCTACTTTGACATCTTCTAATACTTGAATTCCACTCAAGTGCACCTAGTTCATTCCTGAGATTTCTAACTTCAGATTGTCTAGAGCATTACATGTTTAAAGATACTTTTAGAAGCTCTCAGTTCCACATATTTAAGAAGTTCAGTAAAACTTTCTTTTATTTCACACTAAGCTAAATATACTTTAGTGTCTGTAGATGAATAATGACTATTTATTCTAAATCCTTATATAGCTTATGTAGGTTAGTACAAAAAAAAGTTCATATGGAAACATTTAAACATATAAAGCTGTATTCAAGTAAACACCAATATATGCCAGAACACAAGGAATAGAGAGACTCTTGGGATAGGTACTGAGAACATATTCTTCAAATGTCCTGATATACTTACAATCATGGAAACCATGAGAGCCAAGATGAAGGCAAAGACAAGGAACTTCATAGTTGGCTGGGTTCTCTGAAAACATATGTGGAAATTCAGTATCACATTTTTTCTTGCATTCGCCCATCAAAAGTTTATTGATTATACTACGCTCCAAAGCACTGGGAGACACACTCCAGATAGAAAGACAATTAAAACCCATTGCCTGACATCATGAAACTTGGAGACTTGTTGGAGACACTGATAAGTAAAAGTGAGTGTATTGATATGGAAATGCTAAGGCATTAGAGTAACACACAAATCAACACCTTACACAGACCAAGAGAATAGGGGTATGAAGGTAAAGAAGAAAGTAAAGCTTGAGTTGGATTATGCAGGATGAGTAAAGAGGTGTTGGGTGACTGCAAGAAAATGAAAAAGAGGGAGGATACCATATTGAAAGTGCAAACAGTTCAAAATGTAGGGAAGATAAAACTGGAGCAGTTTATCAGAAGATAAAACTGGAACAGTTCAAAATGTAGGGAAGATAGAACTGGATATTATGGGGCGCCTTAAATAATGACATTAGGGATGATATTTAAGGTACAGTGTAAAGAGATGTTTGGATGTTAGAATGACCAGCAATGGGCAATCGCTTTATAATGTTACTGAAAATGAGCCAGATTTCTGTCTTGAGAGTTGCAAAAATGGGGTCACCTTCAGATTAGAACATTAATGATACTGGGTAGAGAACAATCAAACTGATAAGAAGTCACAGAGAAAATATTCGTACCTCCTCTGAGAAGTTGAATTGGTGAAGATGACTTAATATTTTAAATAATCTCATTCAACAAAATTAACCTTATCTGGGACTGTGATATGTTATCATAAACAGTATAAGCCAGTTAACCCAGTTCCTTTGTTATTAAACAAAAAACGTTAGATTATTTATTTGTAAATTATAAACATCTAAATAAAGACATTTTCAGTGAAACACATAATTGCCACAAGAGTTACAAATAAATGACATTTTTACCTGTTTATTGAAAACTATAGAGTAATTCATATAAAGGTAATGGTCTTCATTATTTTAATCTCTTTTACCAATAACTTGTGATAAAACATTACAAGAATATTTTTTACCTAATTATAAAAAAAATTACTGTTATTAATAACCCCAAATCTCCAAAACATAAAGCAGAACTCATGATTTATGGCATTTGCTTTGTTACTTATTCACTGATTTGCCTCAGTTATTCAAACTGAAATTTCTGGCCGGGTGTGGTGGCTCATGCCTGTAATCACAGCACTTTGGAAGGCCAAGGTGGGCAGATCACCTGTGGTCAGGAGTTCAAGACCAGCCTGACCAACATGGAGAAACCCCGTCTCTACTAAAAATAATAATAATAAAAATTTAGCTGGGCATGGTGGTGAGTGCCTATAATCCCAGCTACTTAGGAAGCTGAGGCAGGAGAATCACTTGAGCCCGGGAGGTGGAGGTTGCGGTGAGCCGAGATTGCACCATTGCACTCCAGCCTGGGCAACAAGAGCGAAACTCTGTCTCAAATTAAAAAAAAAAAAAAAAAAAAAAGGAAATTTCTGGTATTAGAGTAAGTGTAAAAATAATATGTACTTTGGGGTTTTTCTATCACCTGATAGATAAACCTACCCATCAGTCATTTTATGATGCAAAAAGCATAAAAACTTTAGTGTATTTTATACCTGTAAATTTTATTGAAAGTATGGAATCAAAAAATGCTCATAGAAGAGTAGTTTTGTTTTACTAACCTTGATAAACTGAAAGATGGATATATAGACATAGATATATAAATATATATGTCATGGTTTTAAAAAAATATTTCCCCAATGAAAAATAATAAAAATATGAAATAGTAAAATCTTTGTTTTCTGCCATATCACAACTGAATGAAAACAACTTAAGTAATATAAAACAGTAAGGCAGTAAAGCATGACTGTTATACAACATTTTTTATTATGCAGAATGACATAACTGTTTAAAATGATGGAAAGGTCAATGAAAAGGTAGTGAGAAATGTTTACTTATGGGAAAAAAGTAAATTTTTAAAAGTTAAACTTGTGAAACAATATATACATTTGCAAAAAAGAGAACGTATGCTATTTTCTTAAAATATGAACTTCGAATAAAGGTAAAAGTAGTAAGTAGCAGAGTAGATGCCAGTACGTAGACAAGGAAATAAAAAGCTTTTCAGAAGTTCCATCAGGAGAGAAGTTGGAATATGTCTCCATATTCCACATTATTTACTTTGCATGATGATTGCTGATTTCAATGTATAGTTATTCAGATTCTCAACTTACCTTCAGATCCTAAGAAGGTCATCATTTCTCTCAATTGTTTCTTTATGAGAAATTATCATTACATAAATACACATTTTTATAATTAGTTTTCAAAAGATTTTAGGAAGCAACACTCTAGATTAAGACAACATATTCGATTATACATGAACATATTACCTTTTACTCAAGATGAGACTACAGAAGTAGTGAAGTTGAAGTGAAGCTTCAAGAGATGATGTGCTACCCTAGAGGGCCAATGTATTTAAACACTCTGAAGTCCCCCATTTGTTTTTGTTAAATAATGGCAATTATGAGATCACATTATGGAAACTAAAAGTAATGCCCAAAATCTGTCTCTACAAATGATAAAAATAACCGTAACAAAGTGATTTTGCAATAGATGATTGTGAAGACAAAGTAACCAGGAAACAACTGTACCCACTGCATGTTAATCCCACTGTTAGTCTAGCGCTGAGTGAGTCAGATGACAGAAAAGCATGCTGGAGGAAACCAGGCATAGAAATAATTGCAGTGATAAAGATGTTTCCACAAGTATGTGTCCAAGGTGGAACAACTCTATGACACAAATAATACTTACCATGTTATCAAGATTTTACATGTTCTCTGATAACTCGTGGTAACTGGCATAATAAAATTACAGTCTTCATATACTTCAAGAGTTTTTCTTCAAATCATTATTTATCTCATACTTTTACCATCTTCTATTGACTTTAGAATATTTTAAGTTACAAAGTGAACGTAAACATTTGCCAAATTCAGTAATCTTTTGGGTACTATATGATAAAAAATTATTATATTTATGGTGAAATGACTCTAAGTGCTCACTGATACATATCTCACATATGACTGAATATATGTATTTGGAAATTCAATTTAATTTCCTGGAGTTTTTAAGGCTACATATTTTTCCATAGCAGCCATGTGTTGACATGATTACACTAGAGTGAAGGAAAAAATGTTTTCATTACATTCCTAGGAAAATTTGTGTAAAAATTACCCTACTCACTGCTGGTTGGATAACTCAATGTACTAAGAAACGAATATCAAAAACTTATATATAAAGTTGAGGTAAGTTATACAGCCTAGTGCATTGTTCCTCAGAGTGTGCCATATGGGAACATCACAGACAGCATCAGCTGGAGCCTGTGGAAATGTAAATTCTTAGTCCACCTTCGCAAACTTGCTGAGTCAGAATCTTGGGGTTGTCCTAAGGCGTTTGCATTTTAACATTATCTCCAGGTGATTCTTTGGGTACTGTGAAGTTTGAAACAAGGCTGGTCTCAGTGGCTCATGTCTGTAATCCCAGCACTTTGGGAGGCCGAGGCAGGAGGATTGCTTGAGCATAGAAGTTCAAGAATAGCCTAGGCAACATAGTGAGACCCGTATCTCCACAAAAACATAAAAAAAAAAACAACCACATATTTGTCTCTTGAATGCATTAGTTATCCTTAGGCTTTAACCAGTAAAGATAATTTGTGGTTTAATTTTGTATCAGATTTTTTAAGGAAGTATTTATTAGGTAAATTTTTATGCTGTATTGGAACAGCCTTACTGGAAATTATGATTACTCTCTGGGTAATATACAAGAAAATATAAATCATTTCTTAAGGCAAATAAATAATTCAAATTAAATTAGATAGATATTATTCTTATTCTTTTGTCATGAGATTTATAAGCATTATAGATACAAAGTTTCTTCTCATGTGTAAAACAAACACAATCTCTTTACATTCTGAGTGGAAAAAAGTTACATAGGGTTCAGTAACTATTTTATTTTTCCAGAGATGGGGTCTTGCTGCATAGCACAGTCTTGAGTGCATTGGTGAGATCATAGTTCACAGATGCCTGGAACTCCTGGGCTCAAGTGGTCCTACAACCTCAGCCTCATGTTTAGCTGGGACTACAGACATGTGTTATCACTCTTGGTTAATTTAATTTAAATTGTTTTTGGTGGAGACTTGGTCTTGCTATGTTGCCCATGCTGGTCTTGAACTTTTGACCACAAAAATCCTTCTGCCTTAGCCTCCAAGTAGTGCTGGGATTGCAGTCATGAGCCATTGTGCCTGGCCCATGGTTCAGTAACTACTGAACTATATCTGATTTTAAAAATAAACTGCTTCGATTACTTGGGGAAAGTCAAATGATTTTCTTCTTTTCTTCTTTCTTTCTTCTCCCTCTCTTCTCCTTTCTTACCTCTGGTTTTCTTCACCACTTCATTTATCCAACAATACTAGGTACTGTTCTAGTAGATCTAAGGTATTCATGTTCTAGTGAACATAAAGCAAACTAATAGCCCAAAGGCACTAACAAACAGCAAACTACATGGTAAGAAATATTGATACATCTTAATATACACACTTTAAAATTACAGTTAAACTTAACTCATCTACATGTTATGTTGGAATACCAACATGTAGGCATTAGTCCACCCATCATTTTCTGCTTCCCCAAGTTAGGAAGTGTGGGGATTATGTATGATAGGTCAAACAAGGATAGCAGACTAGAAACAAAGGAGTGACCTTCTCGTGTTAGTTATGGTCCCACCCTCCAGGAAGAGCAGACCAATTTAGAAGACTGATGAACCAGAACATGACTTCATATTTTATAATTAAAGAAAACAGATATCTTATCCTCTATGCCAAACACTGTTCTCTTTGAAAATGTCATGACCTTTCGTTACAAAGGAAACATCAACAAAGAACTACTGCTTTATCACAGGTGAGGCAATACAATTTTTGCTTAAGGATACAACCCATGAATGGGTATTTGTAGTGATGTTTATGCTGGGCTCTCCTCAATCTTGCTTCTCTATCTTCTTTACTGCCGTCTCCTTCTCCTCTTCCTCTTCATCCTCCTTGTCTTCCTGCTGCTCCAGTTGCTGCTCCTCCTTCTCCTTATTCTGCAATTCTCTTATGATGGAAACATGAAACCATTTATGACCAATATCCATGATATTTATTTATTTAACTAAAAATGTTATATTATGTTCCTGTTTGAATTACTAAAATGACATATATGATTGACAAATGCTGAACAACATATGATAATCTACTAGATAGATAGAATGTTGTTTATTCTGGAGACATGACATGAGAAGCTTTACTCTTGTTCTTAAGGAGTTTACAGTATAATTTGTGAATCAGACAAGGATAAAGGCTAAGACAGAGAAACCCAGGAAAACATGAGTCTAAAATTGGGAGAAGAAGGTCAACAATGGAGTTGCAGATTGGGCACTTATCATCTTATTGATTGTAATCAAACTATGAGATTATTACAGCTTATACAATCAAGATGTGTAGAGTCAGAAGAGAATAGGCTGAGGACAGATATCCTGCTGAGCACTGATGTAATGTGTAAGAGAAAATAGAAAGTCTATGAAAAAAATCTGTGATGGAAAAGAATAGCAGAAGAGGTATTTCTCGGCTGTTTGTATGTTGTGGAAGCCAAGAGGATGAAACATCAGGAAGGAAATGTTAATTACCATGTTGCAGTGACCTTATAGGTTGCTTAGTTTGCTTTATGTCTTTAAACTAAAATTTTCTTATTTATAAAATGTTACAGTAATACGTGAAACTTAAAGGAGAGTATATAAAAATCACATTGTAAATTAAAATGACTCAAATGCAAATATTAGATTCTATCATTATTATAATTTTCATCATCATAATCTTCATGAAAAAGAACATCTTAATTTTTAAAATTCTCCAAGTATAAAGGAGGAAATACAAAACCAGGAACAACAGGAATATATCTCTGGAAAAACATTAGAATCATGTCAATGATCAAGATGTTGCAGAGAGTTACAAATCTGGTCAAGTATAGATTAATTTATAAACAAGTGAAAGTAGAGAGCTTAAATGGGTTAGATCAAATGGGCTCAGTTTTTAATTCAGAGTAGATTGTTTTCTGGAACTGACTACAAGGTAAGATGAGTTGGATATTTCAGAAAACTTAATGATACATTTGGACATTTTATTGAAGGGAAAGGGTGAGAGCTATAAAACTAAATACAAGAATATTATTTGCTTAGCAACATTGTATGCCACATTTATAAAACATAAAATAAATTCTTTTCTTTGTACATTTGCGTTTTCTTGGTAGAGATGCAGTGTAAGAAGATTTAACAATTAGTAGGATTGAGATTTTAGCAAATATAATTAATCAAATTCAGACTTCACTGGAGTTGTTTGAGTTATTGAAAGTATGTACTAAATCATAAATATTAAGTTGTAGGTTAGGAGAATATGGAAAAAAAGAATGAACAGGTAGAACAAAAGGATGTAAAACTATTAAGGGCCAGCAGGGTTCTGTAATGCCAAAGTAAGGGATCTATGCTTCAACCCTTGCCTCCCTTCCAAAATATAAATCAGATCAATGCCTGATCCAATGGCATTTATCTCAATCCAAAGGCTATCTTTGACCTATGGCGCTTCAATCATCTCCTCACCTCTTTTCTGTAATATAGTTTATTTTAATCCACATCTTTCCTTCTCTATTCATGCTGTTTTCATTAGAGTTTTCCCAAACGCAATAAATGTATTTCTACCACAGTAGAATGCAGCCCTGCTATTTCTTCTGCTGGATTTTTTTTTTCATGCTAACTTATGAACATAAGCACTTCATATGTTTTCTAAAATGCCACTGTGCCAGAGAAGCTTTTCTTGACCATCCTATTTTAAATTGCCTCTTTGCCTTAGTCCTGCCTTCTTCATCTTTAGCACACTTATGATTACTTGAGATACTATGTATTATTTTTTCACTTGTTGTTTCTATCTCCCAACTACAGTGTAAACTGCCTGAAGGCCAACTTTCATCTCTCTTAGACCTTGCTGCATGTGCAGTATCTAAAGAGGGCCTTGTCAGGCCATCGAGTGTCACTCAATGTATAAATGAAGGAAAGTAATTGCTGACAAACTCATGGAGAACATTGTTGTGTTCTGAATTCTTGCCTAAAGCTATGGAGTGACATGGGGGTTATCTTCTGGTCTGCAGGGACTGAGATAAGAAAAGTGAGGACTTTGGAGGCTTAGCATATGTGCTGTGACAAAGGAATCCAGGAGCAAATCAAATGTTAGAGTAAATACGTGCAATAATCTAGCTGCGCTTGAAGTCCATATGTTGGTTAGATATAAGATGACAGACCAAATGAGAAATATGTGACTTCGCAGGACCTCTGATACAAGGTGCTTCAGTCAGTTCTACTGAAACTTGAAAAACAAAGTGACGAAAGAAATGTTTTATGTCTGAAATACACAAAAATAGAAATAAAGAGCACATACATAAAAATGTGCTGATATCCATTACTTTTATGAAAAGAATAGTTTTTTATTACTCGGAACAGCAGTAAAACCAGTTTAGCAGTTTGATATTAGAACTATCTAATCAAAGGTCAACTAAGAAGGCAAGTATTATGGCCTTTGTTTTATTTCACATTGCCTTTCTGTCAATTTTGCAAGAACTGGTGGTAGCGTGATGTGGCATCAGGGATGAAAATACACATGTAGAAACTGGATTTGCCACTGAAATATGTACAGAAAAAGAAAATAACAGATTGCCTGTAAAATGTTTCTTCCTGTAAATACATGTAGGTTCTGGCCTGGTGCAGAGTAGATATTTATAGATAATTTTAGTTAATATAATGCAGCACCCAAAATAGCATTTGACACACAGGAGACAATTAAATACTCATTAAATGAGTATCTGAATAAACAAAAGTTATTATCCACTGTCTGCAATTCTAATGTAAATTTCTTTTGTTTTTCCGTCATCATCTTTTATTCTCTGACTTACATACAGCTTAAGTATTGCATTCATATTTAACTTCCCAAAATAATTTTGTAATATATCCTTTCTCGATTAAATGTCATTAGCTATTATCTAATGCCTAGGGGATCAAGTTCAGTCTCCTTCCCATATCATTAATGGATACAGGGAATCCTATTGGAATACAATCTCCCAAATGCTCTGAAAAATAATTGCAATCTTATGAACCATTTCAACGTTGAATTTCAGAACAGTCCTCTTTTATCTCCAAAAGTTTGCTTTATTTTGTAGTGAAATATTTAATCTCTCATAGAATTCGGAACAACTAATTTTGTACACAGAAAGATAAAACTCACTTTCTAAAATGGAAATTGATAATATTTTTATATTCCCTTGTTAGTATTACGTTAGTTCCCGTGGCAATTGCTTATTAGAGTTACTTAGGCCATAACATGTAAATTTCTCACGTGTTACAGATGGTGCTTATGCAGCTTTTCCAAAGATTACATTTTGGGGCACAAAATTTAAACCACATCCAGGGACAGATTTAGTGGCAGAAAACCCTGCAATCAAAACTATACATTTTTCTGATCAAGAGATTTTATGTCACATATCTTTCAGAAGCGTCACCAATTCTCTAAAGTTCTTAAGTATTATATTAATACATATTTTGTTGATGATAAAACTGAGGTTTAAAAACAACAACAGTTAACAACAGTAGTTGTCAGGGCCAAGATAGGGTCTCTTCTCCACAGAGCCCAGACTTTTTTAACCATAGTGGGACAGAGGCTTTATCTCAGAAGCACTTAAATAAATGAATACATCTCAAGGGGTTTCAGAAGACTACAATTTTTAGACTGGAACTGCTGTTGGTTTTATGCTTTGTGCTTGTTTTTCCTCTTTTAACTGTCAGCATTGATATTTCTGGATCGTAAAAACATGTCACTAGACTTAGCTTACCTTTGTAATTATGTCCTGTGTTTACTAAGATGCATTGTAAGCATATGGATAGGAATAAGGATAATACGTTGGGTATGCTGGATACAGCTGATACTATAAATATGTATTATATTAGTGATACCTCCCCTGGATACACACAAAAGAAGATAGAAAATTGCAGGGAATTCAGACAATGACCATGCAAAGGTTTCACAATTGTTGTTCTTAAAAGCTTAGATTGTTAAAGTTGTTAGTATCTTCTATATAATGTACATAATCACTTGAACTATTAGTGATATTGTCCCTTTTCTAAAACACAAATGGTTAAAAGAAGATTAAAAAAAAAGATAAAGCATTTACATTTTCACTGTTTGTTAGAGTTTGTGGTTTTATTATACATGTGGGAACACTGATTACAGGCAATCAGTCCAAACTGGGCTGAAGTCTTCTTAAAAATAATACCTTTAGCTACTACTTTGTCCACCCTTGGGTATTATGGGGAGGTGGAGATTCTCCATGCCACTACTCCTACATTCTTTAATACTCTCTTCTGTTAACACGAGTAGCTACCTTCTTTCTTTGTGCATCTTTGTATTGGGTGCTTGTGATGGTTAATATTAAGTGTCAACTTGAATGAATTGAAGGATGCAAAGTACTGTTTCTGGGTGCATCTGTGAGGATTTTGCCAGAGGAGATTAACATTTGGGTCAGTGGACTGGGAGAGGAAGACCCACCCTCAGTGTGAATGGGCACCATCCAGTTGGTTGCCTCTTAGCTAGCAAAAGCAGGGGGAAGAAGGTGAACTAATCTGGATGGCTGAGTCTTCCAGCTTTCATCTTTCTCCCATGTTGAATGCTTCCTGTCCTTGAATATCGGACTCCAGGTTCTTCAGCCTTTGGACTGTTGGACTTACTCCAGTGGTTTGCCAGGGGCTCTTGGGCCTTTGGTCACAGACTGAAGGCTGCACCATCAGCTTCCCTACTTTTGTGGCTTTTGAAGCCACTGAGACAGAGCCACTGCTGGCTTCCTTGCCCCTCAGCTTGCAGATGGCATATCATAGGACTTCACCTTGTGATTGTGTGAGTCAATTCTCCCTAATAAACTCCCTTTCATATATACACATATCCTATAGTTCTGTCCCTGTGGAGAACCCTGACTAATACAGTGCCATATTTAACAATATATTTATTGTATTAGTAAGGATAATTTTAAAAATCCTATCACATTGATATGACAGTTCAAAATAATATGAGACATCAAGCATACACCCATTAAGAAATATGTTAAAATAAATAAAATTTTCTATCTTACATATGATAGCCAGTTTAATGACTTTATCACCATCCAAAAATGAGAAGGTGGGAACTTACTCTATTAGGTATGTGATTGCCAGCATCTATGCATGGTAGGTTATATATTATACTTAATAGAATTGAAATTGAACCATTTTTTAGGCCAATGGAATTATTCACCAGGCAATGTTAACCTAAGTTCTCAGAGAATAATTATCTTCCTCAGACTGGTATTACGAATTTCCATCTAAATTCTACAAGACATTTGAGACTTTTGTCAGTGTACTGTAAATAAATGCAATCAATGTGCAACATTAGCCATACATAATATGCACATATTTCAGAAGTAAGTATTGATTCTTCCAGGAGAATAAAACATGTTTAGACTCCACAACATCATCAGGAAAATACTTACATAGAATTTTCTTCTTTACCCATGACATTTCTTTGAAAAATTAAGAAACTATTAAAAGTTCAATACATGTTTTATTATCCAGTTTTCCAGTGAATGAAAGTGTCTTACCTCTTTGGATGTATCAGCTCTCTTGAAGAAAAAGAAAGTGAGAGAATAGTTTCTATCTTAATTTTATAATTCAAGATTGAGTATAAAAATACACTTAGCCACAATTATGATTAAACAGAATGGAGACAAAATTATAGGTAAATGATACATTAAGCTGCTATTTTTAGTTCATAACATCTTTAAAGTGAGTTAACAGTAGGTATTTCTATAGTTAATGTCCTGTGTTTAAATATCAGTTCACTTTGATTCGTATTTCATTTGTATGTGAAAGGCAGGGAAAATTCATCACCATAGATAAGGGAGTAAAAACTAAAAAGTGAAACTTTGCATTTGTTTTTTATATGAATATGTTTATAGTAGCTCAAAAGCTACTATAAACTAATAGAGACCACCTGTGTGTTTTCCTCTGTTTATTTTGTTCACACTGTTATGAAGAAATATAGGAATATTTCTTTTATCACAAATTTACAAGTTCTCTAATGAATAACAACTCACATAATAAAATTAAACTCATTATTTCAAATGATTTTTCTATAAATCATCATTTATATAGTTCTTTTACTTTCTTCTATAAATAATTAAATAATTATCTGCAGTGGATAATTATCAGCTGTTTGCAGCTGATTAGATAATTCAACTTACGTAGAAATGAATATCAGAAAATCATTTGTAAAGTTCAAATAAGTTGTAAAACTTACTCTATTGTTCCTCTGAGGGTGCCACATGAGACCATCAGAATCAGCATCAACTGGTGCCTGTTAAAACTCAAATTGTGAATCCCTCTTGCCAAACTTGCTGACTCAGAATCTTGGTGATACACCAGACCTGCATTTTAACACTATCTCCAGGTGATTCTTTGTGTACTATAAGTTTGAAAACCCACATAATAGATTTTAAAATACATTATTTGTCCTCAGACTTGATCCCATAAATAGAACTTATGGTTTAATTTTGCAAGCTGGTTTAGGTACTGCTTTCCTTCTTTAGTCAGGTCAACTTTCTGTTAAGAATAAAAAATACTTATGTTACAAAAACACACAGACCCCAAAGCACTAGATAAAATCAAATTAATTTTATTTAAATGAAAAACTACTGATACAAACAGGAGACAGGGAAATACTAGGTAGAAGAGAGTGGTTCCTCTGCAAAGGCCCCACCCTCAAGCCTGGAAACCCATAGCCCTAAATGAGAACAGGCATTCCTGTTTTTATGCCCAAAAGTTGCCTTTTGGCCCACCATGCCCCCCTATCCTGTATCCATATAAACCCCAGACCCCAAGCTCCAGAAGCAGATGAGTAGAGGAACAGAAGAGCAGAAGAATGGCAGAATGGCATGGCAAAGAAACAGCACGTGAACGCTGAGAGGAATTCGGCTGGGGATGATCAGAGAGGAGATCAGCCACTGGATGGCCAAACTCTAGGGGAAGATCATCTTCCCACTCCCCATCCCTTTTCCAGCTCCTCACCCATCCCACTGAGAACCACCTCCACCATTCAATAAAACCCCCTTATTCATCTGTGTGCAACCTGATTCTTCTTGGGTGCCGGACAAGGACCAGGGTACCAAGAGGGCACTGAGGAGGTTAACACTTAAGCCATCTACAGATGGCAAAGCTAAAAGAGTGCACTGTAATACACACCCACCTGGGCTTTGGGAGTCATGGGCACCCACCCGTAGATGCTACCATGGGGCTGGAGCCCTAAAGCGCTTGCTCTGGCTGTTGTACCTGCCCATCTGCATGCTTCCCCTTCTGTAAGAGGTTTGAGCAGGCGTGGTGGCTGAACAGACACACCTGTCACAGGTCTTGCAAGGGGGGGTCTGGGAACACTCCCATTTCACAATAATCAACCCAAATTATTTCTTAAATTCCTTTTGGAAGGAAAATAAGAAGCAAGTTTACTTCACTGACACGTCAGTGTTTGCAACAAAACACTTTTCAAAATACTTCTGACAGTTACTGGAAACCACTCCTACTTAGAAATAAAGGCCTAGGCTGGGCGCAGTGGCTCATGCCTGTAATCCCAGCACTTTGGGAGACCGAGGCAGGCGGATCACGAGGTCAGAAGATCAAGACCATCCTGGCTAACACGGTGAAACCCCATGTCTACTAAAAATACAAAAAATTAGCCAGGTGTGGTGGCGGGCACCTGTAGTCCCAGCTGCTCGGGAGGCTGAGGTAGGAGAATGGCGTGAACTCGGGAGGTGGAGCTTGCAGTGAGCCGAGATTGCGCCACTGTACTCCAGCCTGGGCAACAGAGCGAGACTCTGTCTCAAAAATAATAATAATAAAATAAGAAATAAAGGCCTAATTTACCCAATATAGGAATTTATTAAGAATTAAATAAGTTAAAACCTTCATTATCAGAGCTTTTAATGTCCATAGGGGGGCAGGCAGATAAATAAGCAAAAAATATTCTGGTAGAGCTAAAATGTATAGCCTTTCTAAGGTTACAGTTGCTAGCCATATATGGCCTCTGAGTCTCAGATTACTCCAAATTGAAGGAGAGTTAAAGTGTGAATACTAATTTCTCCATAGGAAGCCCTTAGGCTGTGCCCCAGAACAGTGTTTTGGGTCCCTCCTGGAATATCCCTTTCTGGGGTGCAGGTGCATCCTGCTACGTCTGTCTACTCCAGGTGTTTCTTGTGTCAGTGGCCTACCAACAACTGATTTACTACTTCAATATTGAGAAAGTGACCAGGTAAAGGCAATTGCCATCAATTGGTATAAGCCTGGAGACAGAGCTCAGATATATATTGACAAGGAGTAGGGAAAAAATGTGAAGTAAAAAATAAAAACATTACCTGCTGACACTTGTAAACCAAAAATAAAATTCTAAGAGTCCCCCCAACCAACTGAATGGATCCCTCCTTTAGGTCAAGGGCATTCCAAAGTAAACCTGAAAAAGTAATTCTGGCCATAATAGGAAAATGGGTCGGTCAGACATACCCCATTACACTCCTGTCCTTCTGGAATTCAGGCAAAACTGACCTGCATTACGATTAAAACAGAGATCTCAAGACTGACAAAGCAGTCTGTAACAATAAAATACCAAATTCCAATCTGACTCTAGAATAGCATCACATCAGGTATAATAACAGGCCTGAAAGAAATCTGTCAGGTTATAGCCCGAGCTGAGGTCCGAGGGGAGTGGTTGGAGGGGTAGTGGGTAGCTGAAAGAACACCTGGGGGAGGGTAGGTAGCTGGGACATGGCCTTATTCTCTCTCTCTGAGAGCCCTGTGCACAGTATCAGCAGTTTTACTCTCTCTCTCCTGTTCCAGCAGCAGCTCTGCAGCTTCTGCTGCCGCCACAACTGCAGCTGCACTCTCTGGAGTGCATGACACTTCCTTGATCTCTCCTGTCTGCCTCCAAGTTGGCTGGCTGTCTTATGCATGCAGGCACATTAGCAGCAGCAGCACTCTTCACAGCATCAGCAGCTTTACTCTCTCTCTCTCCCCATTTCTGGCAGGACAGTTATACTCCTTAAAGAAAATAGTGGCTCAGAGCCAAGTATGAGCTTACACAAACAGGTTACATAATGGTTAGAGTTGTGTGCCTGTGCTCCAAACTCGCTGACTCATGTTGGACTACCTGTTTGAGTTGGCCTATTCTTGAACACAGCACATCCATTTTCCTTAAAAAAAATCAAAGTATTTTTACTCAAAAATATATTTCTTTGAATATTTTGAAATTCTCCTGTAAAGTTGTCTCTTGTGGGGGAAAATCTACACTCTGCAGAGAATCCCCTTACCTTTTCAGGTCTTTTTTGATCCAGGAGAGACTGAGAGTCTTTCACCTTTTTTGGTATTATTAGAGACACTTGCCATCTATTCTCTCCAAAGACTGCTACCTGCAGAATGTTGTTTTCACAACCCCTTATCTTAACCCAGACACTCCTATTTGTTCATTCCAGGTATGTAGATAATAACATAACTCTTTCAACCAAATGCCAATCAGAATATCTTTGAATCCTCTTATGACCTGGAAGCTCCTCTACTTCAAGTCATCCAGCCTTTCAGGACCAAACCAATGTACACCTTACATGTATTGATCAATGTCTGACTGTAACTTCTGTCCCACTGAAGTGTACAAAATCAAGCTGTTACCCAACCACCTTGGGCACGTATTCTCAGGACCTCTTGGGGCTGTGTCACGGGCCTTGGTCGCTCATATTTGGCTCAATATAAACCTTTTATACATTTTACAGAATTTGACTCTTTTCCTTGATGCACTATAGTTCTGACAGCCACATTCAGCCCCCTAAATGACTTGGATTTTGTGTGTAATAACTTTTGCACTACTTTTTCCTAATTGCAAGTTTGATTTAGCTGAAAATTAGCAGTGTTACACAGTACCACAAAATAATAGGAATAAGCACTAGTCTCTATTAATTAATTCTTTGATTTTGAAATAAATCTTGCCTTATTAGATGTGCTGCTAGAATGCTTCAGAATGAATTTTAAAAAAGAAAGACAGACAAAACCAGGGTCTGGAGGATATCGAGACCTCAGTATTACTTATCGAGTGTCATGACGACTTTAGATTTCTCTTATATTAAGAACATAATTATTAGAGTAACAAGTAAAAGGGAAGGACTTTTATCAAGGAAAATCAATAAATTCTCTTTTTTTAGCTCTTGAATGTTAATTGCTTCCAGAAAAAAAGATGATAAATATGATAAACACCTTACATTTGGCAGAGAAATCTTAATGGAAAAAATTCAGTACAACTGAGAAGGGATCTAGCCTATAAATCATACAAAAAATATTACAGATAGGTTTTGAGATAGGTTTTCTCTTGGGGTTTCCCTAGAGAAACCAAAGAAGAATTAAACCCACTGTTCCCTATGTTTTGCTAAAGAGTATCTTTTCTCTTCACCATAAAGACAATTTTTAAAAATAATGTACATTGCTATTTGTAATGTCAGAAAATTCCTCAGTTTGTACACTCTTGTATCTGCAGTGCCTTGGAATAATATCCCCCATGTAGTACATGTTTAATAAATATTCTGTATGTGAATGAACAAATAAAAGTACAAGATGATTTTATGCAGTACATGAAGTTGCATTGTATGCTTATATTAATAATTATTTTTAAAATGTACATATACTTGCATAACAAACCTGTGATTGGATTATGATTACATAAACTTTCTATTTAAAACATACTGAATAGTACTAATTAAAAATCATTAAATATAGCGTAAGTGGGGAATGAAATGGTAAATTTTTGAAATGGCAAGTTTGGCAAACACTTGCTTACAATAACGCAACCCACTCAATGGCAAGGTTTCTGTTACTTAAAATAATTAGGGAAGATAGATGACTAGTGATGCCATGCAAGAATAAACCTCGCTTAACTGAATTATTCATGGCATTAAACCAAAAAAATTTTCACCATCATTAATACAAAGTATTAATGTTTTAAATGTATTCCTACTGTTTATGTACCAAAATGACACTATCAAAGAAAAAATCATTTATATTTTCAACTAAAACATTTACTAAAAAGAGTAGATACACATCTACAAATAATAATTTACATTAGTACATACATATACCATTATTGCCAATGTCTTACCTCTTCCCAATTGGGAGAAAAGTTCTTAGACTGATGTATATTCACAGACTTTTATGCAGCTCTGATGAACACAATAGATTTCCTCTTTGGAAAAAATGTAGATTTTTATGAAAGAGTGAAGTAGTTAATAGTTTTTATGCTAATTCTGCAGTGGAATTCGTCAATAAATCTCAGTTTAATAAATCTGGCTTTGTCTTAGAGCAGGGTCAAAAAACAGTTTTTTTTTTCTGTAAAGGGCCAGGGAATAAATATTTCAGATCTTCTCGTCATATAGTGTCTGTTGCAACTGCTTATCTTTGTTTTGGTAGCAAAATGTCCAAGCCATTATAAACAATGTATAAAAAATTAGGTGTGACTATGTGTCAATGAAATTTCATTTCTAGCCACTGAAATATGAATTTCCATGTACTATTCACATGCTATAAAATATTTTCTTTATAATTTTTTCAGGCATTTAAATATATTTTAATAAATGATCTCTGGCCAGATTTGGCCTGCAGGCCACAGGTACCACCCTCTACTTCCAAGCAAGGTTAGAAATTAGAGGCAAAAGTGAGAGAAGTGAACATGAACTCTAATCCATAGGATAGATTGTGAGCAAAGAAGGGGAAAGAAGAAGAAAGGATAGGTTTTTATCTCAGGCTCTAGATAATCTGTCCAATATGCATAACATCTTTGACTTAAAAATATTGTTTCTTAACTTTTCTGACAATAAATTAAAAACTTAAAATTATTAGGTAGAGAAAGATACGGTGATGCAAATTTTAAACCCGAATTTAAGTAAAAAGAATGAACTAAATAAATTATTTCAAAGGAATACATACAAATGGTCAACAGGTATGTGAAAAAGTGCTCTGCCTCACAAATCATTAGGGAAATGTTTATTAAAATCACAATGAAATATCTCACCCTGGTTAGAAAGGCTATTATCAAAAAGTAATAAATGAGAAAGCAGAGAAAGGTGAACTCTTATCCACTGTTAGTGGGAATGTTACTGGAAAGGGGTCCCAATCCAGACCCCAAGAGAGGGTTCATGTATCTTGCACAAGAAAGAATTCAGGGTGAGTCCACAGAGTAAAGTGAAAGCAAGTTTATTAAGAAAGTAGATTAATAAAAGAATGGCTACTCCATATACAGAGCAGCTGTGAGGGCTGCTGGTTGCCCATTTTTTATCAGCAAGGTTTTTATGACCTGTATTTTGTGCTGACTTACTATCTCATCCTGTGACTTGGAATGCCTGACCATCTGAGAATGCAGCTCAGTAGGTTTCAGCCTTATTTTACCCAGCTCCTGTTCAAGATGGAGTTGCTCTTGTTCAAATGTCTCTGGCAGGAATATAAATTAGTACAGACATTTTGGAAAACAATATAAACATATTTCAAAAAACTAAAAGTAGAAGTAGCATATGATCCAGCAATTTCACTACTATGTATATTCCAAAGGAAAGAAATTCATTATGTTGAAGCGGTATCTACATTCCCATGTTCATTGCAGCACTATTCACAATGGCCAAGATATGGAATCAACCTAAGTTTCCATCAAGAAATGAATGGAAAAAGAAAATATTGTACATGTACATAATAGAGTACTATTCTGCCAGAAAAACAAATGAAATCTTGTCCTTTGGGACAACATGGATGATCTTCAAGGATGTTATGTTATACGAAATAAGCCAGACACAGAAAGACAAATATTGCATGTTCTAACTCATGCAGAAGCTAAAAAAGTTGATCTCACAGAAGTAGAAAGTAGAGTAATGCTTACTAGAGACTTAGAAGGGTAGGGAGGATGAAGGTAATAGCTCAGCATTGATTACCCAACATAAAATTATAGCAAGGTAGAGGAAATGAGTTCTAATATTCTGTAGCATAATAGGAGTACTATAATTAACAACAACTTACTGTATATTTTCTAATAGTTAAAAAAGATAATTTTGAATGTTTCCATTGAAATATTTTTGAGGTGATGGATATGCTAATTACCCTGATTTGATTATTACACATTGTATACATTTATTGAAATCACAGTGTACCCCATAAATATATATGATTATTATGTGTCAATAAAAATTATAATAAAAGCCAAAGAAAGAAAGAACAGAGTAAGAGTGAGCCATGTAATTGAGGGAGAACATGGAAAAAGATGTAGGTGGGGAAAGATATGGTGATGCAAATTTTAAAAATCTTACTTTGAGTATTTGTATTTTCTCAGTAAAATGGGAAGCAAGGTCCTCTACTACTAAACATGAAGCCAAGGGAAATGCTATTGCTGCTTTAAGGATGAAATAATGGTCTAGGAACATGGAAGTCAATATTTAATGTGACTGCCTATCTTCTTTAGGAATTATTACATGCTAATGACCTTTAATTTATAGTCAGAACAGTGGTCATGTTTGAATACTTTTTCTCAGCCATTTTCTCTGGTTCAGAAGGTATAATTTGGGTTAATCTGGAAGATGATTTAGTTAAGCCAGTAAAGTCAGAGACGAGTAAGGCATTTGGGTATATGTGCAAGAGCATGATAATAATTATTACCATGAAGTTCAAAGTAGGAAAAGGGCAATGCATATAAGTGGTCTAAAGGTATTCAAATATGGACAAGATCATTGGAAGGTCCTTGGTTCTGGTGGGATCAAATAATTTTCTCTTCAGAATTTTAAAGAGGGTTTAAAGCGTAGGAGACTAGGAAGGATAATGATAAGATTGTGGAGTAACAAAATTACATATATGACACAATCTAGATATGTGTTATCTTATGATTATGATGTACTCATTAGCGGGGAATGTGGCCTTTTCATCTGTGTTTTATAGTGTAATCTTTTGCATCATCTAACACAATCTGGGGCTTTTCATGCCTCTTCATAGCACATTGGAATCTTCTCAACATTTTTGGTTCTATATGCTGGTTGGTTGGTGCTAATAGCATCTGATGGGTGGGAGGTCAGAGATGCACTAAACATCCTACAATGAACAGCACAGCCCCCGCAATAAAGAATCATCCTAAGCCACCTCTGTAACCCTAACCACTACTGTCATCTGGCTGAGGAGGGAGCCCAGGAAGTACTGCAGGCCTCCATCACAGTGCAGTTGACTTACAGAAAAGTGGGCAGGACATTTTTCTATGTGGGTCCCTGCCCCTGCTATTCCTATTGGTCAGGGCCTCCTGAGCTGGGCCTTCAGCAAGACTGCCCTACCCCTACAAGAGCACTTCAGTTGGTGGCAGCTCTGTGTTTCTCTGGGGAGGAATTCCCAGAGACAACCCTCAGCCTCTCTGCCAATGCCGCTGCAGTTGTAGCACCCTTGCTGCCTTCTGGCTGGGGAAACAATAGAGACCATAAGCCCTTTGATGAAACCTCCAACACACTGTAAATGCCATACAGAGAGAAGCCCAGTCTCTGTTCCCTGTGAGCCCCCAAGTCTCTGCTCTTCCCCAGGAAGGGCCCAGGCGTGGTCCTACAGTGCAGCCACCCAATCCCTAGCTGAATGTTTCCATTGATAGCAGCTCTCTCTCTGGGTTGGAGCTCCCAGAGGCAACTTCTAGCCTTCTGCTGTTGCTACTGCATGAGTACCTTCCTTGCTGTCCTTGGGTTGGGGAAGGGACAAAGAGCCTGACTGCTTTACTGGCACCTCCAGAATACTACAGCTATCATATGGAGAGGAGTCCAGTCTCTCTTCCCTATGAGTCCTCTCTACCTTTCTGCTCATCACCAGGCAGAACCCCCCAGCTAGGGCCTACAACACAGCTGTCCCATTCCAGGCTCATCATTCTGACTGGCAGTAGCCCTGTGTTTTCAGAGGTGAAGCCCCAAGACACAAATGAAAAACCTTCTGCCATCGGCACTGCCGAGGTCTCCACCCTATCTACCCCCAAGCTGGGTAGAGAACATAAAGCCTGAGCTCACCATGGGGCTGTTGTTTACAGCCAGGGAGTCCAGTGCTGACATCTGCAGCCAGCCTTCAAGTGGGAAAGGAGCTCATAGTCTCAGAGCACTGAGTGGGAACATGGCTGAAAATGCAAGGAAATACAAAGGAGCCACCTAGATGAGCAGGAGCCGACCTACTGGCCATTATGCTTAAGCGCCATCTACTAAATCACAGCCCAAACTCCAACACCAAAAATACTTTACTAATATTCCTCCCTGTGAAATCAAAGACAAGAATTCAGCCACAAATAAAGAGCCTGCACAAAGCCTCTATCCTCTGAAAGGATCTGGAAGTGAAGGCAACTGACTGTACTCAAATTACACCACAGTTAAGAGAACATCAGCCCACACAGTTGAGAAAGAACCACTACAAGAACTCTGGCAACTCCAAAAGCCACAGTGTCTTCTAATCTCTGAATGATCACACTAGCTCCCCAGCAATAGCTGTTAGCCAGAATGAAATGATTGAAATGATAGACATAGAATCCAGAATCTGGATGGCAATAAAGATCATAAAAATTTAGGAGAAAGTTGAAACCCATTCTAAGGAATCTAAAGAATCCAGTGAAATGATTCAAGAGATGAAAGGCAAAATAGTCATTTTAAGAATGAAGCCAACTGAGTTGGTAGAGCTGGAAAGCTCACTTACAAGAATTTCATAATACAAACAAACAGAAATATTAACAACAGAATACATTAAGCTGAGGAATGAATCTCAGAGCTTAGAGACAGTTTCTTTGAATTAACTCAGTCGGACAAAAATAAAGAAAAAAATTAAAATAATAAACACAATCTCTGAGAAATATGGGATTATGTAAGGAGACCAAATCTATAACTCATTGGTGTCTCTGAAAGAAAGGGAGAGAGAGCAAACAACTTGGAAAATATATTTGAATATGTGGTCACATATTTGAATGTGTGAACCTCGCTAGAGAGGTCAAGATGCAAATTTAGGTAATTCAGAGAACCCCTATGATATACTACATGAGACGACCATCCCCAAGACACATACTCATCGGGATCTTTAAGATCAAAGCAAAAGAAAAAATATTAAAGGCAGCAAGAGAGAAAGAGCAGTTCACCTGCAAAAGGAACTCCATCAGGCTAATAGCAGACTTTTCAGCAAAAACTCTACAAGCCAGAAGAGATTGGGGGCCTATATTCATCGCCCTTAAAGAAAAGAAATTCCAATAAAAAATTTATATCCAGCCAAACTAAGCTTCATAAGCAAAAGAGAAATAAAATACTTCAGACAAATAAATACTGAGGGAATTTTTTACTATCAGATCTGCCTCACAAAAGGTCCTTAAAGGGAGTGCTAAACTTGGAAATGAAAGACTGTCACTGGGCACACACACACACACACACACAAAACTTTCAAATACATAGACCATCAACAGTATAAAGCAAATACACAATCAAGTCTATATAACAACCAGCTAATAACACTATGACATTATAAATCTGCTTCTATCAATATTAACCTTGAATGTAAATGGTCTAAACACCCCACTTAAAAGGCAAAAAATGGCAAGTTGAATAAGGAAGGAAGACTCAACTGCATGATATCTTCAAGAGACTCATCTCATATGCAGGGACACTCATAGGCTCAAAGTAAAGGAATGGAGAAAGATGTATTAAGGGAACAGAAACAAAACAAAACAAAACAAAAACAGGGATTGCTATCCTTATTTAAGACAAAACAGACTTTAAATCAACAATGATCAAGAAGGACAAATAAGAGCACTACATAATAATGAAGTGTTCAATTCAACAAGAAGATTTAAATATACTAAATAAATATGCCCCTAACACTGAAGCACCCAAATTCATAAAACAAGTTCTTAAAGATTGTTGAAGAGACTTAAATAACCACACAATAATCGTGGGAAAATTCAATACCCCACTGACAGTATTGGAGAAATCATTGAGGGTAGAACACTAACAAAATATTCGAGACCTAAACTTGACACTTAACCTAATGGACCTAAAATACATCTAGAGAATACTAAACACAACAACAGAATATACATTCTCCTCATGTGCACATGGCACATACTATAAAATCAACTACATTCTCAGCCATTAAACAATTCTCTCAAATAAAAAAACCAAAACCTAAATCATACTGATATAATTTGGATGTGCGTCTCTGACTGAATCTCACATTGGAATGTAACCTCAATGTGGGAGGAGGGGTTTGAAAGGAGGAGATTAAATCATGGGGGCAGATTTCTCATGAATGCTTTAGCATCAGCTCTTTTAGTACTGTCCTGTCAATACTGAGCGAGTTCTCATAAGATCTGGCAGTTTAAAAGTGCGTAGCACCTGCACTCTTTCACTATTGCTCCTGACTTGCTGTGTGATGTTCAACCTCCCACTTTGCCTTCCTCCATGATTGTAAGCTTCCAGAGGCCTCCCCAGAAGCAGATGCCGGTGCTATGCTTCCTGTACAGCCTGCAGAACCATAAGCCTATTAAGCCTCTTTTCTTTATAAATTATCCAGTCTCAAGTATTTTAACAGCAATGCAAGAATGGACTAACACGCATATCAACCACACTCTAAGACCACAGCGTAATAAAAATAGATATCAATAACAAGATCTCTCAAAACTATAAAATTAAATAGAAATTAAACAACCTGTTCCTGAATGACTTTCAGGCCAACAAAGAAATTAAAGCAGAAATCTAGAAATTATTTGAAATGAATGAAAACGGAGATAAAACATACCAGAATCTCTGAGACATAGATAATGCAGTGCTGAGGAAAGTTTATAATGCTAAACACCCACATCAAAAAGTTAGAAAGATCTCAAATTAACAACTTAACATCACATCTAGAGGCCCTGGACAAACAAGAGCAAACCAACCCTAAAACTAACGGAAGAAAGAAATAACCAAAATCAAAGCTTAAGTGAATGAAATGGAGATGAGAAACATCATATGAAAGATTAATGAATCCAGGAGATGGTTCTTTGAAAGAATTAATAAGACTGATAGCCTTCTAGCTAGACTAATAAGAAAAAAGAAAATGAGAAGATCCAAATAAACACAATCAGGAATGACAAAGGCGACATTGCCACCAACCCCATAGAAATATTAAAAAAAACCCTCAGAAGCTTTTATGAACACTTGTAAGTACACAAATTAGAAACATTAGAAGAAATGGAGAGATTCCTAGAAAAATATATTCTCCCATAATTGAGCCAGGAAGAAATTGAAACCCCGAAAGAACAATAATGAGTTCTGAAATTGAGTAAGTCATAAAAAATCTTCCAACCAGAAAAAGCCCTGAAGCAGATGCATTTACAACTGAATTCTGCAAGACATATAAAGAAGAGCTGGCACCAGTCCTACTGAAAGTATTCCAAAAAGTTAAAAAAGAGGGACTTGCTCATAACTTATTCTATGAAGCCAGCATCATTTTCATCCAAAACCAGGCAGAGACACACATAAAAAAGAAAACTTTATGCCAATACCCCTGATGAACATAGATGCAAAAGTCCTCCATAAAATACTAGCAAAGTGAATACAGTAGCACATCAAAAAGCTAATCCACCATGATCAAGTAGGCTTTATTATTGGGATGCAAGTTTGGTTCAACATAAACAAATCAATAAATGTGATTCTTCACATAAACAGAAATAAAAACATAACCCATATAATCATTTCAATAGACTCATAAAAAGTGTTAGATAAAATTCAATATCCTTTCATTTAAAAAACCCTTAACAAACTAGGTATCAAAGGTACATATCTCAAAATGATAAGAGCAATGTCTGACAAACCCACAGCCAACATCATAATGAATGGCCAAAAACTGGAAGCATTCTCCTTGCGAACCAGAACAAGACAAGGAGATTTACTCTTGTCACTCCTATTCAACATAGTATTGGTAGTCATATCCAGAGCAAGCAGACAAAAGAAATATAAGGCATCCAAATAGGAAGAAAGGAAGTCAAATTATCTTTCTTCTCAGATGTTATGATTCTATACTTAGAAAAACCCCATAGTCTCTGCCCAAAGACTTACAGATATGATAAACAACTTCGGCAAATTTTGTTTGAGTTAGTTTCAGAATACAAACTCAATGTGTAAATCTCAGTAGCATTTATGTACACCAATAACATCCAATCTGAGAGCCAAATCAAGGATGCAATTCCATTCACAGTCGCCACAAAATGAATATAATAC
The DNA here is from genome assembly GCF_000001405.40 of Homo sapiens. Lineage (NCBI taxonomy): Eukaryota > Metazoa > Chordata > Mammalia > Primates > Hominidae > Homo > Homo sapiens. The sequence continues at coordinate 69,973,969 of NC_000004.12, read as the reverse complement.
CGAGAAATACAGCTAGCCAAGGAGGTAAAAGATCTCTACAATGAGAATTACAAAACATTGCTGAAAGAACTCAGCGGCTACACAAACAAATGGAAAAACATTCCACGCTCATAGGTAGAAAGAATCAATATTGTTAAAATGGTCATATGGCCCAGAGCAATTTACAGATTTGATGCTATTCCTATAAAACTACTAATGGTATTTTTCACAGAATTAGAAAAAAAATTCTAAAATTCATTTGGAATGATAAGGAACCTGAATAACCAAAGCAATTTTAAGCCAAAAGAACAAAGCTGAAGGCATCACACTGTGTGACTTCAAACTATACTACAAGGCTAAAGTAATCAACACATCATGGTACTGGTACAAAAACAGACATGTAGACCAATTGAATAGGTTAGAGAAGCTGGAAATAAAGCCACACACCTACAACGACCAGATCTTTGATAAAGCTGACAGTAAGAAGCAATGAGGAAAGGACTTTCTGGTTGATCAATGGACTTTCTAGTCACTAAATGATAACTGGCTAACAATATGCAGAAGACTGAAACTGGACCCTACTTTTCACCATGTATAGAAATTAACTCATGTTGGATTAAAGACTTAAATGTAAAATCTAAATCTAAAACTTTAAAAACCCCAGAAGAAAACATAGGAAACACCACTCTGGACATTGGCTTGGCAAAGACTCCAAAAAATCTCCCAAAACAATTGCAAAAAACAAAGAAACAAACAAAAAACATTGATAAGTGGGACTTAATGAAACTAAACCGCTTCTGCACACAGAAGAAACTATTGAGTAAACAGACAACCTACAGAATGGGATAAAATATTTACAAACTTTGTACTTAACAAAGGTCTAATATCTAGAATCTATAAGAAACTTAAACAATCAACATGAAGAAATGAACGATCCCATTAAAAATGGGCAAAGGACATGAACAGATACTTCTCAAAAGAAGACACACGTGTGGCCAGCAATCATATGAAACAATGCTCAACATTACTAATCATTAGGGAAATGCAAATCAAAACCACAATAAGTTATCATCTCACACCAGTCAGAATGGCTATTGTTAAAAAGCCAAAAAATAACCGATGCTGGTGAGGTTGTAGAGAAAATGGAATGCTTATACTCTGCTGGTAGGAATGTAAATTAGTTCAGACCCTGTGGAAAGCATTTTGGAGAGTTCTTAAATAACTTAAAATATAGCTCCATTTAATCCAGTAGTCTGATTACTGGCTATATTCCCAAAGCAATACAAATCACTCTGCCATAAAGACATATGCATATGTATGTTCATTGCAGCAATATTAATAATAGCAAAGACATGGAATCAACCTAGAAGCCCATCAGTGGTGGACTGGATAAAGAAAATATTGTGCAGATACACCATATAATATTAATACTATGCAGCTATAAAGAAGAATGATATCATGTCCTTAGCAGCAACATGGATGGAACTGGAGGCTACCCTGAGCAAATTAATGCAGTAACAGAAAACCAAATACTACTTGTTCTCACTTTTTTAAGTGGGAGCTAAACATCAGCAACACATGGACACAAAGAATGGAAAAATAGACATTATGGTTTACTTGAGGCTAGAGGTTGGGAGGAGAGTGAGGATTGAAAAACTTCCTAATGGGTATTATGCTGATTACCTTGGTGACCAAATTATCTGTATACAAATCCTCCACAACATGCAATTTGCCCACATAACAAACTTGTGCATGTATCCCTTGAAACTTACACAAAAGATGAAAAAAAAAGAAAAAGAAAATAAATAAAAATCAAGGAAAAAAATTTACAGGCATACCTCACAGACATTGCAGGTTCACTTCCAGAGCACCACAATGAAGCAAATATTTCAATAAATATAAATAAAGAATTAACCTATCTAAAATGTCAATAGTGCCAAGGTTAAGAAACTCTGGTTTAAAGTATAGTACGTGCTTCATAAATGTATCCTGAGCTTGAATGAAATTTTATGATTATATGGAAAATAAAAGCAGTTAGTATCAAATGAGAAGTGTGTGCTATGAATTAGGGTTATGGGCTTTACGCTTTCATGATACCTGCTTCATGAACGTATTCTCTAAGCTCATATTTCTTATTCCATGATTCTTGATTACCTTTATTAATTAATTTTAGTAGCCATATTTCAGAGAAGATGTCATTGATTATATTCAAATAATCTCATTGAAGGAATTAAAACACTGTATCTGTATAAGAAATGCTACACTATTTCTCTTTATATAATGATTTGTTAATTACATGTCATATTTTTCATAAATTTGAATCATTATATAAATCCCCATGATTTATTTATTTTATTTTCCTTTTTCCTTCTATATTTTGATGAAGTTTTTAAATAGTATTCCAAATATTAGAAGAAAGAGGTTTCCAGTATAAAGTCTCTGTAAATTAGAGATAAAATCTTGACCAAGTTATGGAACTTTGCAGGTCTAAAGTTTTTCCTTCTCTAAAATAACCTTGGAATGTTACATAGACAATATGTAGATCCTCTTCCAGTTATTATTCCTTGAACATTTGATGTCCTTTTATTTTACCCTTTATCCTGCCTTCATATCTGCTTGCTTTCTTCAAGGCTTTATTTACATGGCTGCAGTTATTATCTTTACACTTCACCCACATCTCATGCTTGCGTATCTCATATTCGTCACCCAATATAGAAAAGAGCATTGGGTGAACAAATTCTGTTGCTAACAAATAGTACTAGAACTCTTTGCATTGAATATATCCTGCTTCTCGTTCAGCGCTGTCTTATCAAATTTCAGTGGGTGCAATTCTTTTTTTTATTATACTTTAAGTTCTAGGGTACATGTGCACAACGTGCAGGTTTGTTACATATGTATACATGTGCCCTGTTGGTGTGCTGCACCCATTAACTCGTCATTTACATTAGGTATGTCTCCTAATGCTATTCCTCCCCCCTCCTAATTTTACCTCTGAAAATAACAATTCTCTTTTTTTTTTTTTTGTGACAGAGTCTCGCTCTGTCGCTCAGGTGGCGCGATCTCTGCTCACTGCAAGCTCCGCCTCCAGGGTTCACTCCATTCTCCTGCCTCAGCCTCCCAAGCAGCTGGGACTACAGGCGCCCACCACCACACCCGGCTAATTTTTTGTATTTTAAGTAGAGACGGGGTTTCACCGTGTTAGCCAGGATGGTCTCGATCTCCTGACCTTGTGATCCGCCCGCCTCGGTCTCCCAAAGTGCTGGGATTACAGGCGTGAGCCACAGCGCCCAGCAGAAAATAACAATTATTAAATTGTTCATTGTGAAAGCCTGGGTTGCCCCACATGACATTTTGCTTATTTGTCATTGGGTTCTGATGCTTACTGGGCTCTTAGCACCTGGTTTTATCTTAAACCTCTGGCTTTTCAATTTTTTCTTAGGCAAGCCTCTTATTCTAGTGCTTTCCTTAATCATAGTTTTGCCCACTTTTCTGGGCTAATCAAGTCTGTAATTATACTGATTAGTGTGACTAAAAATTGATGAGCATTACAAGGCTATGTTATATTTATTGCACAATGCATAAAGCATTTTTCTAAGAAAAAACAAATGATATATAGAATGGACAAGGCATGCTTGTTTTTGTATTACTTTCTTAGAAACCTTAACTTTGTTGCCTGTGGCCTTGGCAACTCAGAGCTAAACCACAAAGCCACATTGGGTAGCTAGGGCCTTTCCTATTTGGACTTAGGACGCTGGAGTAATTTCATCATTTCTTTTCCTGGCTTCCTCCTGGCTCAGTATGAACATAAAATGAATATCAGCTGAACAATTCAAATGTATAGTAGACATTGACCTGGGTTTTCTGAGAAATATGAAATATATGTGACAATCAGGAGTGTCCCCCTCATTCATAGATCTAGGATGATATTAATGCAAGGTATATTATAAAGAAAAATAGTTATGTAGGTCTATACTCAGCTTATTTAATTTAGAAGGGCATCTATTTGTGCTTAAGTCCTGAATATATCTGTCATAGGCAGTAAATAGAAAAAATAAAAATTATAAGAATGAGTAACATCCAACACAGTCAGCCAAACACTTATGAATAGCAATCACTAAAGAGGCAAGGAAATTTGTAGACTTATTTTGTAAATGGGCACAACTCAAGTATTTTGAAGCCTACCTCAGTCTCTACTTTCGTACTTTGACCAAGACCCTGCTCTTTTCTGGGATTCAGTATTCTTTTTTGCCTCAATTTTCTGTACTTTCATAAACATTAGCAATCAATATTTACCTACTGGAAAACCAAAACAAAAACAAAGAACGTGAGCTCAAACTTGGTCAGTTTCATTTTAATAAATGTGTACCTGTATCATTTGTTCTCTAAAAATAGCCATTCTCTAAATGTTACTGTCCATCTTAAATTCTTCAATAGATCCCTCCATCTGCAGAATAAAATTCACATTCCTAAGGAGCAAAGCATGCTTTGTCCATCGTCGTCTGATTGCTTTCTCTTTTTGTGTTCACATTTTCATCCTCTCTCTTCCTTGAACTTCATTATCCAGGTTCACTACTTGATTTAGTTCTAGTTACTTGTTTCTCATATCCAAGACTACAGTCTTTAACTATTTTTAGCTAGAATTCTCTATCCTCCTCGATTAACTGCTTTATCTGGCTTCAAGATTCTGCTCAGGACTCATGGCCTCATGGAGATTCTATTTTCCTCTCCCATGAATCAACTAAAATGAACTAAGTATTCTCCTTCTGTCAATTGCACCTTCTTACTGCTTTATTAGCATATTCCTTACATGTCGTAACAAGTAGATTTTTATGTCTGTTTTCCCACGAAGGTTTTGACCTCCTTGAGGTCAAATGTATCTTTTATTTTTCATTTCATTCTGGATAATTTAGGAAATGCCTGCAAACATAGATATTTAATATGAAATACATTTTCCTCTAACAAACTTTATGTTCACCTATTTTCAGCATTCTGAATGTATGGCTATTCCTTGGATCTAGTCATCATACAGAAATTCTCTTCTTTCTAATGCTGAAATTCCCAAATGAAAAAATCTCTGTTTTTGTACTTCTCAAAATTGGTATCTTCTTAGGCCAGGTCTTTGCCTTTCTTGCCATCTCTAGTCATTCAAGCCCTCTTTTTAGTATGTTAGCTTAAACAATACCTGATGGTTTGCCATTTTTAACACAAACACTAATAATCCCAACCCTATCCTAACAATTCTCTTAACCTATTGATACTAAATCTCCGCCATCTTGCCATACAACTACTTAGATAAAAAAATCTGATATATAATCTCATATAAGTCATAATTATTGCTCGTGGATTTGTTATTCATTTTCATTTTCACATTAACCAAAAATTTCTGCTCTTTCAAAATTACATATATTTAAGATGTACAACATGATGTTTTGATACTTATATAGTGAAATGATTACTGTAGTCAAGCAAATTAATATGTCCATCACCTCACATAGGTTACTCTTTTTATCTTGTGGTAAGAACATCTAAAATCTACTTTCAGCAAATTTTTATTATACAATAAAATATTAATGATTATCATCCTCACACTGTACATTACATGTCTAAACTTATTCATCCTACATAACTGCAGCTTTGTTTCCTTTGACCTACATCTCCTTATCTATCTTCCACCCTGAACCCCTGATACCCATCCTTCTACTCTTTGTTTCTATATATTCAATTTTTAAAACAAGATTCCACATATAAATAACATTGTGTAATATTCGTCCTTCTGTATCTGGCTTAGTTGACTTAAAGATTCAACTATGTATAACCATGTCCTTCAATTTCAGTTGAGAACTCCCCCTTTCACCTCACTAGAACATTAAGACCATTTAACTTCAACTTCTCTACCTTTTATCTCAAACATGTATTGTATCTACTTATCTTCTTATTCCTTTTTGTTTTCTTAGGAAAACTGGTACATTTTTTATAGGTCTTATTCTTTTCTCCATGACTGTACAGGAACTTGTTCCATTAATTTACTCCCACTTCTTTGGTATGTTTCAACTCTTTCCTTATTGGCCTCTTTCTTGTAAGCTACAAGTCTTCCTTACCCTAAAAATACCTTCCCGTGGTTCTGATTATCCCTGTACACCTAGTCACAATCTTACAGTTCTCCTTATCTCCTCTTCTAAGTTTCTCAGAAGGGCAGTACACATATGTTACTTTTAATTCCTCACAAATTACTTACTTCTTAACCATTTGGAGTGTATCTCAATCAGCTGTGTAGCATTTCACTGTTGACCTCACTTGCTTCCTCTAGCAATGCAGGATATCAAGGAGAGGAAGTGGATTCTGTACTCTCTTATTCTTGATATCGCAGGTTTTTTTTTTTCCTATTTCCTTTTGCTATACCAGCCCCTGTAAAAGAAAGGATACTTGAATTTTGTTTTGTACAATTTCTTTTCTCACTTGATACTCTTTCCCTAGAGACCTTCACTTACTCCTTTGAAGGGAGAAATTACCTTTAAAAATTATACTCATGATTATTTCTTGAGTATCACATTTAATTTAAAACATCTTCTGGACACCTTCAAATTTACCACGTACAAGGTTTTACTCAGTGTTTCATTTCTAATTTCAGCCTGGTTTCATATTTTGATTTATAACATGGCTAACTTTTCAGTCACTCAGGCATAATATATTAATTCATTTCCCCAATTTTTCACATTTCTCGTATTTTAATGAGAAGTTTGTCTTTTTATTGCCTAAGATGCCCAGGACCATTTCCCTACTTGAGATCATCATAATGTCTGTCTTAGGCTACTGCAATAACATAACATAACAACTTCCTTTACTAGGTTACCTGATTTGTTGTCATAAAGTCATGAAATCCAAGAAATTTTACAATCCATTTTTCTTTCAAATCTCTAATATATTTGCTTCCACTGAATTATGTCACAGTGCATGCCTGACATTCACAGTCATCCATGATCTGATTCTATCAAACCTCTGCAATTGTAACTTGCAATGTATGCCCTCTGAATATCCTCAAACTGGTATGTTGCTCTTTCAGTTCCTGTGTTTTCTTCAGCCAAAATATCTATCCCCATTTAATCATCTCGCAAAATTCTACTCATTCTCTAAGGCTCAACTAAAAGAGCAGTTCCTTAATGGCAAGCTCCCCTGCCACACACAGCACAGAGGCCCTACTTTTCCAATTCAGGCATAATTAAATTGTACATATTTCAACCAAATGCTACATTGATAGATAAATTTTATAAAAAATTATCAGAAGGTTAAAACATGGGCTCTGAGACTCACATGTGATCAAACAGAATCACATGTAGTCAGACAGATCTGAGTCCAACTGGTATCTTTGCCATTAACAATATGGTTTTGAGCAAGTTACTTAACCTTTTGGCATCTCTGTTTTCTCAACCTAAATATGAAGAGGAGAGCTACCTCATGATGTTCTTGTGCAGATTATACAAGATAATATCTTTGCTTAGTGCTTGGCAAAGGGTTAGAACTAAGCAAAAAAACCCATCATTAATATTATCATAATTATGCTTGACCTGAAAAGAGATAATCAATATTAAAAGGTAAATAAAACTCCGTGATACTTTGCAAAATTTTTATTACAGATTTACTGAAGATTTTGCCTATACCAGCCACCCAGATTCCCTCTTCAAGTTATTCCATTACAGAGGAAAGTTTATTTATCTTGTGTACAAAATATTTGTTTTAACTAAATTATTTTTTTTTCCAAATCAAGTGGCCCTGGGAGAAACAGTTTGCCTCACATAACTAAGCTACCATCATGGACTTGTTATCTTGTCAGTTTCTTCATTTCAGCATAAAGCACTAACAACTGCTTAGGTTCACATGAAACTGTGGCCTTTGTGAAGCCCTGTGTATATCTAGCGTTCACATACAATTTTCCCACAACTGAAATCTCAAGGCCCCACTAGGCCCTAAAGAGACCTAATTATGTCCATAATAACTTGGGGACAGGGCCAGAGTATCACTGTCCTCCAGTCATTGTCTTTTGTTATTGAATAATTGCATTTCCTGGACAGGTTTCTTTTATCAACTTGTGAATTGTTCCCTTGTTATAATGATGCCCAGAATTTCTGGGGATATGTAATAGGCAGAAATCATTTTCTAATCATGTGGACTTCTTGGAATTAAAGCTCGCTATTGATCTTATTTCAAATCACAAAATTAGTGTGTCATTAAATATAGTATATAAACAGTCACAGAAGCTGATGGACCATCATCCATCCAGCACTACCTTCACTTCTCTTCAATCTTGGAAAAACGGTAAGAATTTTAGATACAAATTTGTTGTATCTTCTCCTAACCATGTATTTCAAAGTAGCTTGAGCTATAGAAGGAACGTAGTTACTTAAAATATAGTGTTTGAAATAAAAGTATTTAAGGTAGTACTGAGATTATTTTTAACACTTAGGCTAAAAAAGATAGAAGTGCCCAGAAGAATTTGGTAATGACATATAGCCTTCATGAGTTTAAGAAAATATAATAGCTAATTTTATGCATATATATATATATATATATATATATATATATATATAGTATGAGGCTAGTTCATAGTTAATATTAAAAGGAGATTCATTTTTTTAATTAATCTTCCAATTTGATTTAGCATATCACAGTTATAAAAAGAATTATACTTCAATTATAGTATGGGTAGATAAATAATTACTGGAAAAGCTTTGTCCAGCAGGTAGTTTACAGCAGTAGCATACTGAGTTGAGAAATGGAGGGAATGGTATGGGGGCATTTACTACTTTAAATGTTTATAAACAATGTTTTTAGAAGAGTTTACTCATCAAACTTGTCTAGAGCCTCAAACTTCCCAGTTTATTATCTAGTTTGTAATATTTCAAAACAATATTAAAATGAGACAGAAATACAGAATTAAGTAAAAAAGAAACAATGTGGTTTACTTTGTAAGAAAATTCTTAATGGGGTAGAAAAGACTTGGAAACCATAAACAAAGATAATAGATGATATAAAAGAAAAAGTAGCTTAGAGTGTACCAGTTGATAATGAAGCTCTGGCTTAAAAATTAGTATATAAAAGTATACCAGTATGTAGTATATTTATAGTATAGAAATGAGTATAAAAACTAGTATAATTAGTATTAGTATATATTAGTATATTAGTATATAAATTAGCATTGTAATTATACATTCGTATATAAAATTATTATATATATTAGTAGATTAGTAATAAAACTAGTAAAGTTTATATTACTTATAAAATATAGAAAATGCTGTGGGATCTTCCCTATGTGTAATTATATATAATAGAGTGTTATATTCTGTTTCTGAACCCTGACATAAAAATTTGGGAACTTATAGTGGTCTTAGGCAAAGTAAAATTAATAAAAACTTAATTAACATTCATAAAAAATCTAGAAAAAATATTTGTTTTCTGTAATAGAATTATGTTCAACCTTCAAATATTGAAAAGAACATCTCTCAAATAAATTAAAGACTTTTTTGATGAAGTATTTTAGTTCAAAAATTTAGTTCAAAAATTGAGTTTCAATATCTGAGAATGAAGATTTGAGTGGTGAGTAATATTGTGGCACAAACATTATTTTGAAATAAATTACAAAAAAATGTAAGAACACATAACAAGGAGATGATTTAGTATATTTTGGTCAAAAATATTAACATATATTTCACAAGAAGAGGTAGTCCCAAGCTTAGCAGTGGGCAAGAGGCTCTGACCCCTTGGCGGATCATCAAGAGAATCGTGTGTACATTTCAATAAAGAGAAGAGAAGAAGCCTAGTGTACAATATCTAAAGTCATGTGGCATAAAGGAGAACAGACATTATTAGCTATGTGGGGAAGATGAATATAAACGGAGAAGAAACAAACTCAATAGTCCAATAAAGTCTCTGGATAGTGACACAAATAAGGAAAGTGTTAAAATGAAAACCTCAGTCTTATTGGAAATGAGGAGAAATAAACTAAAATAGTCATGGTAACCGTTTAGTGAAAAGAAAAAAGGTAAAAATAAAATGTGACTTTTTTGTACACATTTTCTTGATCAGTCTCTTCCAGTAGAACTGAGGCTCCATGAGGGAGTAATATCAGGACTGTAATATTTTGTTCATTGCTGCGGTCCTGGTCCCTAGACAGTGTCTGGCAAGAACAGATTCTAAAGAAATATTTTTAAGTTAATGAATAAATCTTTTTTTAAATTTTATTTGTCTTTTGAAATTATTATTATTATACTTTAAGTTTTAGGGTACATGTGCACAAAGTGCAGGTTTGTTACATATGTATACATGTGCCATGTTGGTGTGCTGCACCCATTAACACGTCATTTAACATTAGGTATATCTCCTAATGCTATCCCTCCCCACTCCCCCCACCCCACAACAGCCCCGGTGTGTGATGTTCCCCTTCCTGTGTCCGTGTGTTCCCATTGTTCAATTCCCACCTATGAGTGAGAACATGTGGTGTTTGGTTTTTTTGTCCTTGCGATAGTTTGCTGAGAATGATGGTTTCCAGCTTCATCCATGTCCCTACAAAGGACATGAACTCATCATTTTTTATGGCTGCATAGTATTCCATGGTGTATATGTGCCACATTTTCTTAATCCAGTCTATCATTGTTGGACATTTGGGTTGGTTCCAAGTCTTTGCTATTGTGAATAGTGCCGCAATAAACATACATGTGTATGTGTCTTTATAGCAGCATGATTTATAATCCTTTGGGTATATACCCAGTAATGGGATGGCTAGGTCAAATGGTATTCCTAGCTCTAGATCCCTGAGGAATCGCCACACTGACTTCCACAATGGTTGAACTAGTTTACAGTCCCACCAACAGTGTAAAAGTGTTCCTATTTCTCCACATCCTCTCCAGCACCTGTTGTTTCCTGACTTTTTAATGATCGCCATTCTAACTGGTGTGAGATGGTATCTCATTGTGGTTTTGATTTGCATTTCTCTGATGGCCAGTGATGATGAGCATTTTTTCATGTGATTTTTGGCTGTATAAATGTCTTCTTTTGAGAAGTGTTTGTTCATATCCTTTGCCCACTTTTTGATGGGGTTGTTTGTTTTTTTCTTGTAAATTTGTTGGAGTTCATTGTAGATTCTGGATATTAGCCCTTTGTCAGATGAGTAGATTGCAAAAATTTTCTCTCATTCTGCAGGTTGCCTGTTCACTCTGATGGTAGTTTCTTTTGCTGTGCAGAAGTTCTTTAGTTTAATTAGATCCCATTTGTCAATTTTGGCTTTTGTTGCCATTGCTTTTGGTCTTTTACACATGAAGTCCTTGCCCATGCCTATGTCCTGAATGGTATTGCCTAGGTTTTCTTCTAGGGTTTTTATGGTTTTAGGTCTGACATGTAAGTCTTTAATCCACCTTGAATTAATTTTTGTATAAGGTGTAAGGAAGGGACCCGGTTTCAGCTTTCTACATATGGCTAGCCAGTTTTCCCAGCACCATTTATTAAATAGGGAATCCTTTCCCCATTGCTTGTTTTTGTCAGCTTTGTCAAAGATCAGATAGTTGTAGACATGCGGCATTATTTCTGAGGGCTCTTTCCTGTTCCATTGGTCTTGGTATCAGTTTTGGTACCAAGTACCATGCTGTTTTGGTTACTGTAGCCTTGTAGTATAGTTTGAAGTCAGGTAGCATGATGCCTCCAGCTTTGTTCTTTTGGCTTAGGATTTACTTGGCAATGTGGCCTCTTTTTTGGTTCCATATGAACTTTAAAGTAGTTTTTTTCAATTCTGTGAAGAAAGTCATTGGTAGCTTAATGGGGATGGCATTGAATCTATAAATTACCTTGGGCAGTATGGCCATTTTCATGATATTGATTCTTCCTACCCATGAGCATGGAATGTTCTTCCATTTGTTTGTATCCTCTTTTATTTCCTTGAGCAGTGGTTTGTAGTTCTCCTTGGAGAGGTCCTTCTCATCCCTTGTAAGTTGGATTCCTAGGGATTTTATTCTCTTTGAAGCAATTTTGAATGGGAGTTCACTCATGATTTGGCTCTCTGTTTGTCTGTTATTGGTGTATATGAATGCTTGTGATTTTTGCACATTGATTTTGTATCCTGAGACTTTGCTGAAGTTGCTTATCAGCTTAAGGAGACTTTGGGCTGAGACGATGGGGTTTTCTAGATACACAGTCATGTCATCTGCAAACAGGGACAATTTGACTTCCTCTTTTCCTAATTGAATGACCTTTATTTCCTTCTCCTGCCTAATTGCCCTGGCCAGAACTTCCAACACTATGTTGAATAGGAGTGGTGAGAGAGGGCATCCCTGTCTTGTGCCAATTTTTAACGGGAATGCTTCCAGTTTTTGTCCATTCAGTATGATATTGGCAGTGGGTTTGTCATAGATAGCTCTTATTATTTTGAGATATGTCCCATCAATACCTAAATTATTGAGAGTTTTTAGCATGAAGTGTTGTTGAATTTTGTCAAAGGCCTTTTCTGCATCTATTGAGATAATCATGTGGTTTTTGTCTTTGGTTTTGTTTATATGCTGGATTACATTTATTGATTTTCGTATGTTGAACCAGCCTTGCATCCCAGGGATGAAGCCCACTTGATCATGGTGGATAAGCTTTTTGATGTGTTGCATAAATCTTTCCATACATATTTATAACTTCTTTATGCCTTTTGAAAAATTCAATACTGTAAATGGGACTTTTTTAAAAGTGGGGATAGAGTTGTTAGCTGAAAAATCTGAATAGCTGGCAATGAAGTTTGGAATTTGAAAAATGAGAATCGCAAGCCAGAATGGATTTTGACCTCCTTCATGTGATATAACTTCTATTTAGTATTTATTCTATTTATTTTCTAAATGCAGATATTTTTGTTATATATTATCTCTCTTTTTTTTTTGTTTTATAAAAAGTAACCTTACCTACATAAGAAAGTATATCCAATTGACCAATCTTCCACCATTCCATTTTTTCTACATTCACAGGACTTAGTAGCCATGAAGGTCCTCATCCTCGCCTGCCTGGTGGCTCTTGCTCTTGCAAGGGAGGTATGTGCACAAGAAAAAATTCCTAAACAATCAATAAATAGTGGACTATATGCTTATTTGTAGAGAATAACATCACCAACATTTTTTACTGTATAAATAATGAAGAATTTCATGAGAATTCTCTTGGCTTCTATCAAAATCATTTATATTTACCCACTGTCTCAACAGTTTCCTATAGTGCCCCAAATGCTTCCTGCACCAATGTGCTGCTAGTCACTAAAGAAAAAGCAAACAAATCAATAAGTAATAAAAAATCATAAAAATGGCAACGAAATATAATATTGCATAAATACAACTCCAAAGATTCTCAAGCTAGATAAATATATCTTATTCCAGTGATAAAATGTATATATACCTTACAGCCTAGGGCACTGGGTCAAATCCTGTGTCTGTCTGTACAAAGACATCCATGGGATGAAGTACAGAGACAATCATAATCATGATCATAAATATATTAATAATAATATAATAAAAATATTTAATACAAATTAAAGTGACTCTTCTTTTACCCATAAAAAACTCTGTCTTTAATAAATGTAAGATAAAAATATATTAATAGATTACTAAATATAAAAGACATTAAAGTAATTACCTTTTAAACCTCAAAAGTCATATAACATTTTTTATTTCTCAAATTTGTGAAAGAGATAGCTCTGCATAAGTGATGTAAAAATTAAGTAGGATGCATGTTTAACAATGAGTTAGCTATAGAAGTTGAATTTTTAAACATCTTTTCAGAAGGAACAATCCAATGCATCCTCTGAGGTGAGATTATTTTTTTAGAGAAAATTTATGAACCATAAAATAGTAAAATTCTCTAATGATCTAGAAGATTTAGCTGGTTGTCAATTTTTTTTTCCCACAGACCATAGAAAGCCTTTCAAGCAGTGAGGTAAGTTAACATTCTACCCAATTTTAGAACAGTAAAATCCTGTGCTATTTTTCTATGGTGTTACATCATGGCAGTTAAGCTAATGCAGCTATGTTAATGACATATAAGTTCTAGTACATATTTCTTTTATGTGTGTTTAAGGACAATAAGTATCTGGATAATACAACATTCTAGAACTTTGTAAATTGGCTTGCTACTTGAAATTGTGTTATTTTGCTTCTTTTTTTTTTAATGAACCATATTGTCCTGTTTTCTGCCTTGAACTCTCTTTACTCTGAACTTATTCACCTTAAGCATATACTGACGGCCTTCTATGGGTCAGACATTGACTAGGAGCTGTGGTACAAACTGAAAAGTTAGAGATGCCAGTGATAGTTAAGAGCTTGCTAAGTAGTAGGTAGGCAGACGTGCAAAAAGGACACATTTTATAATTACAATAGCCACTTTAGTAAATAAGCGAGATTTAGTGTAGTCCTAAATTTACCTGAGAGAGTCAGGTAGATATTTATTCTTACACCACTCTTCTTGGGTGTGTGATCACTTGATAAGTAAATGGTACATCAATAGATTCTGTCTCTTCAGAAAGGTTATATGATCCTTAAGGGAAGTGTTTAACTCTTATGATTCATTTGAAGTGATCATAATGTATCAATTGTTATTAGAATATATTTTCAATGAGTATTTCTTTTTTTAAAAATCAGATGGGGTTTTAGATATCATTTGTTGTCAGGGAATGAGCATGGTGGTAGAGAGAAATTAGCATCTATTAATTGCTTTTTTTTGTACCATGTCCTTCTTGACTGCATTCATCTGACTTTCTTTTACATAACAAGCTCATATAGAACAGTTTAATACATAAGTTTAATGATTATACAAAGTTATTAATGATATTATCAAAGAATTAATGCCTTTATTTCCTGATTTATATTGCAAAGTAAGAATTGTTAAAACTAAACCTAATTTTATTTTATATTTTTCTGTAGGAATCTATTACAGAATACAAGGTAAATTTTCACATTTAAAATGTACACATTTTCAAAATTTCCTCCTTTTAATCTTTACAGATGGTAACATATCTTTATATATGATATATCTTTAGCAGAAAGTTGAGAAGGTTAAACATGAGGACCAGCAGCAAGGAGAGGTAATTTGTTAATGATAAGTATATGTTTAAAATTATTATAAAGTATAATACATACAAAAATATTTATAATGTGTATGTTGATTCTAAAGAATGATAATAAAATAAATGCCATATACCCACCAACCACTTTAAAAATTAAACATTGATAAAGTCAATATATTTTCTAGGATATGCATGCATTTTTAAACTCATAATTAATTTCTAGAATACAGACTAAATACATAATGATATTACTAATGGTATATCTGTTTTCAACAAGTACACATTGGTGGGAACATTTCCAGGTTGGGAACTATGATCCTCTTATTTCCAAGGTGGATATGGTAATGAAAAGGTGTATACGGCTGGTAAAAAAACCTATGTAAAATTTGTCCCATATTGCCTTTATTCCCATATGGACAACACAAAATCCTGTATTTCATTAAATTACATTTATGGTGATATGTTTACCCAATTATAATTTTCAATTGCTTTGTGTACCAATGAATTGTTTGGAGTCACATAAAATATTTCTAAAATCAAATTTAAACAAAAAAATTGATGTCTCTTGAAAGACTCAAGAGACTATCTTCTCCCAAGGGAAGGAATGTAAGAATTTGGCCGGTGTTAAATTACTTCCTGAGATTAGCCACAAATTAAGACTGATTTTCTTTTTCATCAAACCAAAACAAAACAAAAATAAACCTTGGAATTGTCCCTCTAAGTCTTTTTAAACTGATCTCTTTTCACTGTATGAAAACAATTTGGTCTACTATTGGCACAACTGTGTTGAAAAGTAAATTCTCTCTGAAGACCAAAGTGTACAGCTACAGCTATCCAGGCAATTCAGGAAAATGTTAAAAAAAGTGTTTCTGAAATATCCAAACATTGATTTCACTTTGGCCTGTGGAGTTACCCATGAAGTGAGTGGATTAAAATTTTTCAACAAACAGTTTACTCATTTTTCTTCGCATGACTCAAGATACTTTCTTAACCAAAATAAGTGAAATATTTTCTCCTCTCTTTTTACTCATTTATCATTGTCTAAAAGAGAGAAATGAATTCATTATGAATGGCAATTATAGCTTAATCAAGGACTCAAAGATTCTTTTTCCTTCTTTCCAGGATGAACACCAGGATAAAATCTACCCCTCTTTCCAGCCACAGCCTCTGATCTATCCATTCGTTGAACCTATCCCCTATGGTTTTCTTCCACAAAACATTCTGCCTCTTGCTCAGCCTGCTGTGGTGCTGCCTGTCCCTCAGCCTGAAATAATGGAAGTCCCTAAAGCTAAAGACACTGTCTACACTAAGGGCAGAGTGATGCCTGTCCTTAAATCTCCAACGATACCCTTTTTTGACCCTCAAATCCCAAAACTCACTGATCTTGAAAATCTGCATCTTCCTCTGCCTCTGCTCCAGCCCTTGATGCAGCAGGTCCCTCAGCCTATTCCTCAGACTCTTGCACTTCCCCCTCAGCCCCTGTGGTCTGTTCCTCAGCCCAAAGTCCTGCCTATCCCCCAGCAAGTGGTGCCCTACCCTCAGAGAGCTGTGCCTGTTCAAGCCCTTCTGCTCAACCAAGAACTTCTACTTAACCCCACCCACCAGATCTACCCTGTGACTCAGCCACTTGCCCCAGTTCATAACCCCATTAGTGTAAGTCCAAATTTACTGGCTTTGCTGTTTCATTCAAGATGTGTATGTGATGGTAGAATAAAAGAATAAATGTAGAGTAAATGAATTAAAAAAACAGTTTAGATAAGTGATTCTTTTATTATTATACTTTAAGTTTTAGGGTACATGTGCACAACATGCAGGTTAGTTACATATGTATACATGTGCCATGTTGGTGTGCTGCACCCATTAACTCGTCATTTAACATTAGGTATATCTCCTAATGCTATCCCTACCCCCTACCCCCACCCCACGACAGGTCCAGGTGTGTGATGTTCCCCTTCCTGTGTCCATGTGTTCTCATAGATAAGTGATTCTTAATGCTTACCTATACAATAGAATCACCTGGAGAACTTTTCCCCACAAATCCCAATGCCTAAGCTTACCCAGAGATTCTGATATAATTGTTCTAGTTTTTTGTGTAGAGGAAACTGAGTGTTGAGAAAAAAACTATTGCATGAATTCTGGTTTAATTAGTCTGTTGAGAATTCTGATTTAGATAAAGTAATTAAGGCTTACAAAAGCCGGAATTAAATTTAATAATATGATTGAATTTGGAAAAAAAAGCTAAAAAATGTTCTGTCATTTTCCTTGTGCACATCTCTTTTACACAAGCCTTACTTCACATCTTGTTTTTGCTATAAGTATATATGAAGGCAAAAGACTGAGATGCTTATTTCACTACTTACAACATTCTTAAGGCAAGTTTTCTTACTAAGAGGTTATTTATTTATTTATTTATTTATTTATTTTACACAAGCCTTACTTCACATCTGGTTTTTGCTGTAAATATATATGAAGGCAAAAGACGGAGATGCTTATTTCACTACTTACAACATTCTTAAGGCAAGTTTTCTTACTAAGAGGTTATTTATTTATTTGTATCTGTTTATTTTTAAGGTCTAAGAAGATTTCAAAGTTAATTTTCCCTCCTTATTTTTGGTAAGTTTTGGGAGTTTGGAGATTTAATTGATCATTTTTATACATGATGTCTTTTTACATTTAATTCTCCTAGAGAAGTCCAATACAGTGAAAATTTCATACATACAAGAACTTTTTTTATTAATTATCAATTTAATGGTTGACTATCATTTACTGACCTGAAACTATCTATCTTTTGCATTTCAAATAACTTTAATTTTATTTATGTACTATTGACAGATTTGACTGGCTTGCTTTCAAGGGCCTATATACTTACATTTGATTATCACTATTTTTAGGAAAGACAGAATATATACTTATTTTACTTTTATGGAAATACATTTGAGCTTTTGTCAAAAGCCTATTTGCATTTTTATTTCTAACCTAGCCTTCATAAAATTTGTATTTACTTTACTTAAAATTATCTTTTAATTCATGAGTTAAAATTACTCCAAGTGTAAAGGTTAAAAAGAGGAGAGAACAGCATTGCAATTCTAAGATATAAAGCCTTTTGGGATTATGAAATACCAGACATTTCACTGAAACAATTTCAAGTTCACTAATATTTGATGAACTTTGGTGAAGTTTGGTGAACAAACTTTACATGCCTCCAAACCGCAACAGAATGCATTTGCAATACAATTTCTTTTGTGAATTAGTCACACCAAAGTTAAAAGTGAAGAGAGTTGAATAGTTACGTGTTATAACATAACTAATTATATATTTGCTCTCTATTCCACAGAATTGACTGAGACTGGAAATATGATGCCTTTTCCGTCTTTGTATCACGTTACCCCAAATTAAGTATGTTTGAATGAGTTTATATGGAAAAAATGAACTTTGTCCCTTTATTTATTTTATATATTATGTCATTCATTTAATTTGAAATTTGACTCATGAACTATTTACATTTTCCAAATCTTAATTCAACTAGTACCACAGAAGTTCAATACTCATTTGGAAATGCTACAAACATATCAAACATATGTATACAAATTGTTTCTGGAATTGTGCTTATTTTTATTTCTTTAAGAATCTATTTCCTTTCCAGTCATTTCAATAAATTATTCTTAAGCATATTTCAGTTCTTCTGTCTTTTTTTCAAACCTAATCGGCCTCTTTAATGTTAACTTTGATTTATTATTGATGTTCAAAATAATCCTGGAAGAATGCTTTGAAATTGAATAGAATGTTTTGAATTGAATATTAAAAGATATCAAAAAGTGGAGGAAAAGAAAGGATGCTTTTATACTCCATTTGCTATAGAAAGTTTTGGGTTATGCCTATTTTCCCAGTGTCATTATTATAGCTATGCCTTTCACTTTCAAAATGATCCAGCATTGGATGTTAAATTTTGTGGTGACCCTGGGAAAAAAACTTTAAATGTGAAACCTGAAACACAACTTGCCACAGGTAGCTATGTGATGTTGTAAGAGCTTTAATTGCCACATGGATAAAATAGTGCAAAGAATTTTACTGAAGATTTGATTACATATTAGTAACATGATGAGTGTACTGTATAGTAAATGATAGATGATCCCTATTGCTCCACATTGCTGACATTGCTTATACCACAGCACCAAAGCATTCTAACAAATCAAAATGAACTGGGTAATGTGGTGTTAGCCAGCAACGCTGAAGAAAGTAAGGGATGTGAAACTCTGACAGCCATTAATTCTAACTGTGAAGTAGTTGTTTATTGTGATTGATTTTCTCTCTTTCTATACCAACTCCTCCACTTGTACATTCAATTATATCTTCCTGAGTTTATGCAGTGACTCATGTCTAGCAATTATCCCATCTTTCTTATATTTCCAGTGTTTCCCTGGCCCTTATTACAACATAAGCATCATGGAAGACCTGCTTATACTATAATATCTCCCATCATTAAAGAAAAAATCTGCTTCCTTAACACTGTACCTCCAAACCTCTCCCAATTATTTAGATTATATCAATTGTCATACTAAAGTAACCATAGGGTTGTTTCCATATCTCATATCTTATTCTGTTATTAACCCACTCCAATCAAAATTTCATCCCTCACTGAAACCACTTCTTTTCAAGGTTACCAATAATTTTCATATTGCTAATTTGTGTTCATTTTACCCAACCTCTCAGTGTTATTTGGTAGAATGTGTCGTCTTTACTTCTTTGAAACATCATTCTTCTTTTCATTTGAAATCCTTAACCTAATAAACCCTTGGTTTCTTCTTTAATACTCTAAACACTTCTCAGTCTCCCTTCTTGTATTTTCTCCTTTTCCAAATCCTTAAGGGTTGGAGTGCCCTAGAGATTAGCCTTACCCTGGCTGATCCTGTTCACTTCCCTGGCTTTAAGTACATTCTTATGCTAACGACTTCCAAATCTCTATCTCCAGACTTATTTCTTTTGTGAACTCAAAACTTATGTACTCAACTGCCTTCTTGATCTCCGTATTTAAGTATCTAATTAAAATATCATACCTGGCATGGCCTAGCATAGCTCTTAATCTGAATCCAGTCCCTAACATGATCTTTAATCAATCTTGTCCACATCAATACATAGCTTTACAGTCTCCACTGTCATCAAAACTAAAAGCTTAACAGTCACCATTGATTTATTCTTTTATCCTTGTTCTAGGTTGGATAGTGCCCCTCAAAATGCCATGTCTTTCTGGAAGCTCATTGTTTGGAAATAGGTTAATTTCAAATATAATTAGTTAAGATGAAATCATACTGGAGTGACATGGGCCCTTAATCCAATATAACTATTACTCTTATAAGAAGAGACACAGACAGAAACATAGGGGAGAATGTCATGTGACAACAGAAGCAGAGATTGGAGTGATGCATCTACAAACCAATAAATACCCAAGATTTCTGGCAGCAGCAGGAGTTAAAAGAAAGACATGAGACAGATTATTTACTAGATTATTCAGAGATCATGGACCTATCGACACTTTATTTTGAATTTCTAGCTTCCAGAATTGTAAGAAAGCAAGTAACAGTTGTTTTAAGCCACTTGGCTTATGATACTTTATTAAAGCAGCACTAGGAAATTAACACACTTTTCACATCCATTTATCAATGAGTATAGAAATTTCCACCTAGGGAATATACATTGAATTTCTCCAATGCTCGGTAGCTCCACTATTAATAGTTTATATTGACTCATCATCATCATCTCTTTCTGAAATACAAATGGCCTCCAAACTGCAGTTGCCCCTTCTGCAGATCTTTCTCACTAAGCAACCACAATTATCTTTCATGAGCATAGATTTTCTCAAATTTATGTAGTATGTCATAGAAAATAAAAAGGATGAAATAATTCAGTCATTCATTGAAAACCTTTCTTGGGGGGAGGATGTTCTTTTTAGAAAATGTAGGCTAGATTATTTAAACCAAGTTTTATGGTGAGCAAAACTAGAAAATAGGGATTAAAGACTTGAAAAATTCTTTTGAAGACACTGTGGAGCTAGCAAGTCAAAAAGTATTTGTAAGACTGGGAAGAAACTATCCCCTAAAGACGAGTCCAGCATGGGTGCCTTTGTTAAATGCTAGGCATTTTGCAATAACGAGAGCACAAACTAAGAGCCTGAGAAGCTGACCCACACAGACTTAGGATATAAAAACTGGACTAGAGACCTGACAAAGATGAGCGATACTAGAAAATTTCCCAAGATATTTGTTGAGTTGATGAAAAAATATACTTCACCAGTAAAATTGAACTGAAAATAGACAAACCTCACTGAAACTCAGCTTTGAATAATATCAATCCCTGATTGGGTAAACTGAGTGGATTAAGATGCCAACTGGATATGCCTATGGAGAAATTGTTGATGCCTTCCTTATAGGATACACAAAAATCAATGCAAGATGGACAACAGATCTAACTGTGATGGTAAAACAATAAAACTTCCAAGAGATAATAGAAAATATCTTTACTATTTTGGATTCAGAAAATATTTATTAACAATAACAAAGAGCACAGTCATACATAAATTATTGAAAATTTGACTTCATTGAAGAACTGATAATCACAGGAAACCATTCAGAGAATTAAAAGGCAAGCCAGAGATAGAGAGAGTATATTAGCAAAAACTATAACTGCTTGTTTCTAAAATATATAAAGAACTTCAAATCAGTGAGAAAGACAACCAATAAAATAATCTGTAGGTTCATACAAGAGTATGAGCTAGTCATGTAGCCGTATTCTAGCTACATGACTAGCCTTATATTTTAGTGAATGTAAAATATACATCTGCATACCATATGACTAGTGGTTCTACTTTCTTCAGGTGTATAATGATAAAGACAAAGATTATTCAATGACACTTATTAAAGTATGGTAAGGAAGACTTTCTTCATAACTATTGAGATAGGTACAGGGATCACTACAATGAGATTTTACGCTAGGAAAGAGAAATTGGGCTCAACTCCAAATACAGCATGAGCAAATAGGAATTTATAGCCAAGAAGCAGAGTGATGGTCAGTGAATGAAAAATTGCTGAGAGGAAACAACAGAGGTCAGGGAGATTCTGGTTAAGCTGACTTAACAAGATTCTTGCTGAGAACAGGCCCATATGACATCACCTGGGAAACTGTGGGGGACGAGAAAACGGATCAGATATTGAAATGAATCACATTATCAAGCATGGAAGATTATTGCTAAGCAGACTCAGCAAGGTTCTTTGCTTAAAGTAGATTTTACAAGGAAGTACACAGATGGGCCCAGAAATTTTAGGAGCCTGAGTAATGTTTGGTCAAGCAAAAAATCTTTCTCAATGCTGGCTTCATCTACAATTCTCAATCTACCAATGGAGATCATTCAAATCACCTCAGTGCTAGGAAGCTCAAAACTGCTTATGATCAGGGTTTCTTGTAATGAGTTAGTCATGCAAGCATATTCTAGATGCATGAATAACATAAACCATGGAAAACCACACTCACTGGATCACTTGATCTTAGGAGTTCGAGACTAGCCTGGGCAACATGGTGAGACCCTGTATCTATAAAACCTACAAATATTAGCCAGGTATGGTGGCACACACCTGTAGTCCCAGCTACTTAGGAGGCTGAGGTGGGAATATCGCTGGAGTCTGGGCAGGGAATGTTGCAGTCAGTCAGGATCACATCACTGCACTCCAGCCTGGGCAACAGAGAACCTCTCTCACAAAAAGAAAAAAAAAATTTTGGGGGGCGGGAATCTATGCACATACATACACAGAGGAAATATGGCCTCAGAAGATGGAGGCAGAAGTTGGATGATGCAGCCACAAAATACAGCTACAAGTTTAAGGATGCCAATGATTGCTAGCAACCACCAGAAGTAGGGAGCGGCAAGGAAGGGCTCTTCCTAAAGCCTTTAAAGGAAGCATGATCTTGTCAACACACTGATTTTAGGCTTCTACCTTCCTAAACTGTGAGAGAATGAATTTATGTTTTTTTTTTTGAACAGTTAGTTTATGGTGCTTTGTTACAACAGCCTTAGGAAACTAATATAAGAAAGCATCAAGATTTTGGTTAGATTTGTTTAAAAGGCTGGGTGAAATCTTGGCTCAAATTATTTAACAAATGAAGAACCAGAAAATATTAGCTTTACTGAAATGATTGAAAGCAACTTTTGCAAATGGGAAGACATTGAAATATATTCTTCAAGAGAGAAATTTTTAAAATAATAAAAGCTCAAATAATGTACCAAATTTAATTTGAAATTTTGCAATTGCAATTTGGTGTATCTTAACATGAAGAATAAAGAGTTTAATGATTCTCAGCTAAATAAGTGAACCTATAATTCAAACCAGGGTTATCATGGAACCACAGTCCCTTATCCAAAGGAAGGGGCCCTTCCTATAAGCAGAACCAACTAGCATTGCTCTACTGATGCATGAACACTCAGAGAAGCTGCAATATGATCACTTCCTTTGGGTTTAGGTTCTGAATAACTGTCGAGTCTCAAGATGTGGGCAAGCCATCTTTTCAATCACATGAACATAGCCTGCAAATTAAGTCAGTACAGAAAAGAGTAATAATGAGAGATGAACAAAAGAGTTAATGCCCACCTTCAAGCTCTTAAATACAACTGTATTTCACTCTTGTAATTTTGTATGACATAAATTTAAAAATTCCTTTCTTGTTTTTGTCAATTTGAGATAAAGTTTTTTTCTGTCACTTGGTACTATGAGAGCCCTGACAAAATCAAATCCAATTCCTGTATGTCATGTTTCTATGCTAGTAGATCTTTCATTGCTTATAGCTATAGAACTTAAATTTTTGAAAAAAAGTCTGAGACCAAGATTTTGAATTACACAATTAATGTTATAGTCAGTTTGCACTGCCATAACAAAATAACATAATAAACTGGATGGCTTAAACAACAGAAATTTGTTTCTGATAGTTCTGGAGGTTGGAAAGTCCAAGATCAGGGCACTGGTAGATTCAGTATCTGGTGAGGGTCCTTTTCCTGGTATGCAGACAGTCGCCTTCTTGCTGAATTCCATCTCTGTGGTGTCTCTTATAAAGGCACTAATTCCATTCAGAGGGGCTCCACCCTCATGACCTAATTAATTACCTCCCTAAAGCTTTGCCTCTAGATACCATCACATTAGGGATTAGGTCTTAAACATACGAATGTAGAGGGCACAAACATTCAGTAATAACGATTAAAATAACACAGGAATTCAAAATTAGGAAAGTAGAACCCCAATTTCTGAGTATAATATATTGAAATAGATGGAAAAATTAGTGAACCCATCACTCCAAAATGTTCATGAAATTCTTCCCACTGCACCTGTTTTTCATGATGAACTAATACATTTTTTGTTTATCTTCATTAATGGTTACCTTAATTTCCCATTCTTTATTGTTGCTTCACCATAACAAAGATTCAAATTTAATGTTGACTGGAAATACAAATTAAAAACAACCAATCAACCAAGCAAACAAAAACCTAGAAAAGGCTTCCTTTAATGTATAGCAGAGTATATGACTGGTATCTTAGGATCCAAATATGGCCAGTGAACTTTGATTCATTGAGGAAAAGAGGACTGCACATTGCGTATTTAAAAAATTGACAGCATTGAAACCAGGAGATTTTATACATGAATCCGCATTTCTAGTTTTTTTTTTCTATAAGTCCCAATATCAGGTCACACTTGGATTTTGTATTCCTGAATGGCAACAATGGATTTGAAAGAACAGTGGAAGGGGGAGGCATGCAATCTTCAGTTCATGTTTTTTTCACAACCATTATCTCACTCGTGTGAAATAAGGCAGTACAAGAGAGTTTTTAGCCATAGTGAAAACAGAAACATTCAGAAACATCTATAGATAGGTATTTTAATTCTAATTACACATCCATGTGTTTACAGACACAGCATAGATGACTATCATTTCACCTATTCACCCTGAATAAATTTTAAAAGATATTCTTAAATACTTTTATTTTCTACCCAAGTGTAGTTGACTAAAAACTCTAGTGAGAGGCACACAGAAATTGAAATTGCCTTTTTGAGTTAGGGAAAGCGGAAACAGCTAAGCTTGGTTTCAAACCAAGATGGTAACAGGTAAACTTCTAAACCAAAGTGGTAGTTAAAATTTTAGAGATAAATAATTATTTCATGAGAAATGGTTAAACCAGAAGTGATTTCTGTTTGAGGCTAATGATCATATCTCCAGGAAAAAAATTAGTGACAGTAACACTGGGGTGATTTTTGATATAAACATATAAATATTTTCATGACTGGTGAACAGAATTCTGGCTCAAGCTGTATCAAAAAAAGTAATGACCCTTCTCACCTCCCAGTTTCTAAATAAGAAGAAGTTTATGAATTCAAATTCCTTGAATGAAGAGAAAAATCAAAGATCTACAGGAAGGATCCTATTATAACATCATGTATCTAATCCTGGTCCTTACCATGAGCCTATAAGTTCTGGATATTTATTTGAAGAAAGGGAACTATCTGATCTTCTTACAGATACTTGAATCCATGCTCTATCTTATCACAAATTCCTTGGAATGAATAATGTCTCGATGATCTGGTCTTCATGTGGGGATTTCTTTAAGCCAGGTAATAGATGGTGTTGCCAACAGAGTTTGCCTCCTTTGTCGCCCAGTGACAGACTAAGCCATTCATGGTAAGTTCCCAGTTTAAAGACTACAGTTTATTTTTATTTTTATTTATTTATTTATTTATTTATTGAGATAGAGTTTCACTCTTACTGCCCAGACTGGAGTGCAATGGCGTGATCTTGGCTTACTGCAAACTGTGTATCCTGGGTTGAAGCGATTCTCCTTCCTCACCCTCCCAACTACCTGGGATTACAGGCACCTACCACCACACCCAGCTAATTTTTGTGTTTTTAGTAGAGATGGGGTTTCCCCATTTTAGCCAGGCTGCCTCGGTCTCCCAAACTGCTGGGATTACAGGTGTGAGCTACTGTGCCTGGCCCTAGTGTGTAGTTTAAATACATATAAAGTGAACTAATCCCCGTATTGCCTCACTGCTGTATGCAGTAAGGAGGTCAAAAAAAGACTGACTAGAAATCATTATCATGTCTCTTTCTATAATAAAAGAATAAATCAAAAGCAGTACTGCCTCTAAAGGGAAAATGCCATGAATGTTAAAGACTAAAATAAAGCAGTGTGATGAATCATATTATAATATTATTCTGTTTTCTTATTTGGCCTTTGCAGAGATATATTTTATGAAGATGCAGGAGCCTGCCTCCTCCATTAATTTCCTGCAGGCCCAGAAGTCTCAGTATTTTCACAGGCTTTCTCTGGATCAGAAAACAAGTTGTTTCTCCTTGTACTTCCTAACATAGGGAGAAGGCAGAGGACCCAATGCTAAATTGGTTTCTTTAGATTTTTAAGTCATAAAATATTGGATTTTATATATACATAAAATCACACATACATAAAACAGTGTTCTGAATATTCTATCCCTTTATATAGAATACATTATCATTTTATATTCTCTCTATATATGTAGTAGGATACTAATGTATATAAATTTGGTAGAATACTGAGCATCTAATGTCTATCTAGATGGTCTAGGCCATGGGGTGAGAAGCTTTTTCACTTGTGTGTTATGATCTGGTGGATCCAATGGGTCATTAAAGGATCATGACAGATTGGTTGGTGTGGGAAGTTTGGAGTAAACCTTGACAGGTAAATCTCACCTGGGGCTTTGAAAATATCAGAACAAGTAACTATTTTTATTTAGAGAAATAGCTCCTACTTCAGCTCTGAAGGACACCAGGTTACTGTGTTCCTGAGCTGATCTTTTAATGACTATTATCTATTTCTCTAGCTATAAACTTAGGTATAATCAACCGGATTGGACTCAAACAGGTCCAGATGGCATAAGTAAACTGTATAGTCAGGTTGCTCAAACTCTAGTGTGCCCACAACTGCCACACTGTTGTTCCTCTCTGCAGCTCTGACAATGTCCTCATGGAAAATGTTCTACAAACCACTGACTATAAATTAAAGATATTGGACAAGTTTATAAATGCCTTTTATGATCTGGCTGCTAGTGCCATCCAGAAGTGAACAGTTCTACAATTCTTCACTAAAATGTGATTGAAATTGTCATAAAAAATTAATGAAAACAAAATGTTACATACATGACACTATTAATAGGATTATGTAAATACTGGTGATGGAATAATGACAGAAAATATGGATTTTAATTTAATGAAAACAAATGTTACATGCAAAGACTCTTAAGATGATTATGTAAATACTGTTGAATGGAATGATGACGGAAAATACGGCTTTTGCCTTAAAGTGTAATTTATTGAAAAGAAAAAAGAAAATCTCTGTCACTGCACAAAACTATTTTAATTGATGGCACTTACAGAACTGGCAATTCAAAGACTTTTTAAACAAAATGTCCACTAGAAAACTTAGTAAACACTTTAATACCCTCTGATTAGGTGCCCTCCATATGGCAAGACACAACTGAAATTTAGACAATAAACTCTCTAGGAAAATTTAGCTTAAGAAAAAGAATGATATGCTATTAAGTAGATAACTCAAAAAGAACAATTTCCTTCAATATGGGATTTTACTATTCTAAAACAACAGTCCAGTCTTCAGATAAGATGGTTTTCCTTGAGAGGAGAAATTCAGAGAATGAAATTTTCAATCATATCTGTAAATAGAAATAGAAATATGTGGTGAGTTATATTAAATATTTTTGAAGAAAAGAAAAGCTCTTATGGTAGAACACGTTTTACTATTTTCTCTTCGTATTAGACAAGCTCACAATGTTATTTATGCTTTCCTGTTACTGACATACCTATCCATTGCTCTTGGTTTTTAAGCTACAAAGACATTTTTATTACTAAATTGTATTTTGTTTTGTGGTATTACTGAAGATATGGCAATGCAATTAGAATAAAAGGCTTTCACATAGGTTAAAATTTGGTCATTTTCCTTGGTTTAATGTATTAGAAGGGAAGTTTCCACCACTGGAAAAGGAAACACACACACACAAACACACAATTGGAAGCTCCAATGTAGTGGTGAAAATAATTGAACTTATAGACCTTTTTAAGTGGTGTTGACAGACTAACACTTTATTTATCTATGTGACTTGTTAAGGATGTCTATTTGACCATAAAAAATAAGATCAATGGTTAGATACATAATTTCCAAACTTACCAAGGGCCCTAACTGTGGAGTTCCTTGAGAATTTACTTAATTCTTCCGAAATAATGAAAATTGTTAAAATCATGTGATTAAAGGAAGTCATTAATAAAGATTTGCTAAATCAGGAAAAAATGGACTTTTACCTATTCAGTGTTTATTTTGCCCACAATATACTTAACAGAGATTACTATATTTGATCACCCTCAGGATTATAATAAATAAGGATTATTATAAAATTTCAAGTAAGCAAAAAGGTTAGGATTTGAATTTAGGACTACTGAACACCAAAATATGTGCTATATTACCTACCCAGTGTTTTTATACTTATCATAGGTATAACCAGAAGGAAGTCATTTAAAGATTAGTAAAAGCGCAAAAAGGATAATGTTGAATTACATGTCAGAAGTCTTTATATTTTTAACTTGAAAAGAAGTTATTTTCCAGGCTCATTAGAATAAATATCACTTATAGAATAGATAATACTGTTCCACATGTTACTAAGAAATTGATAATATTAGCCACAGGTCCCACAAAATATTATCAATTTTCCATTTCAGAACATATTAGTCCTTTGCAGTAGGCATTGATTTGCCATGTTTAATCTAAATCTGTTCTTATGGTATCCTCTCCAAGCTATTCTATTTCATTCCTTTGGTAGAACATCAAGATGTAGTAATTTAAATGAACTTACCACCACTGTAGCATGACGTTATTTTTTTCATAATTTTCATGAGCAGTGGGATTGGAGATGTCGGAAAACGGTGGGAAAGGAACATACTGCATGATTTGTGGATAGTACCAAACAGCATAGGGGTAGGCAGCAAGTTGGTTGAGCTGCTGGAAAGGCTAGAGGGAAAAACATTTGAAAAGCAACAGTGTATGAGCAATTGCTTTTTTCAGTCCCTGAAAAATATCAATACATCTCATTCATTTCCAAGATGCCTGTTAGCATGATAAAAAATGATTACTCTGTGAGGGAAAAGAATAAATCAAAATCTTCTATGGTGAACCATGTTGAAGAAACTTTCAGAAGGTGCTCTTTTAAGACACCTGAGGGGCAATGAATAAATCACTTTTTTTAAGGACATTATTTAAAACTGAACTCCAAGAACCCACATTACTCACAGGTCCACTTATCAGAGCCCAGAAGAGAGTAGTAGCATACATTTCATTATTATTTACGTTATAAACTCAAGGGAATTTTTGCCATTTAGATATATAATTTTCCTTAAAGCCACTGGGGTCAAAGTACAGGCCCCGCACCCAGGGTCAACATAGCTGTCTTTCAGAAATGCCAGGAACAGAAAAAAATAATAATTCTTTAATTCCTAGGCCACTGTTCTTTTCAAACACTAGAGTTTTGGGGCCAAAACTATTTTCCTTTCTATAATTTTGGAATAGTTGCTTCTGTTGATTCATAATGAGATTACACTTAATTTTTTCTGTGTACTAATAATTGCATTGTTCATAGAAACAGTTGCATATAATTCTCTACATATTCAGGTGGAAGTTCTTTGCTGGAATTAGGAAAATCTTTAAAAGCATTTAAAATGTTGCTGTGGACACCTGCCTATGTAAAGATTAAAACAAATATAAAATCTAGAATTTTTTAAGATAAAATAAGGTAACTACCTCAAGATAGAACTGGCCCTGTTCTTAATAGAGAGACCGAGAGAGAGAGAGAGAGAGACAGACAGACAGACAGAAATAAGTGTCTATGATTTGAATGTGTTTCCCAAAGATCATATGTTGGAAACTTAACATGCAATACAACAGTGATGAGAAGTGGGACTTTGAAGAACTGATTAGTTCACAAGGGCTCTGCTCTCACAAATTAATTAATGCTATTATCATAGGAGTGGGCTTACTGTTGCAAGGGTGAGTTTGTTTTGACTGAGTTTGACCCTCTCTTGTGTATTCTTTTTTGCTCTTCCACCATGGGATGATGAAACAAGAAGGCCCTAGCTTGACAGATGTTGGCCTCTCAATCTTGGACTTACAGCCTCCACAACTGTTAACCAAATAAATTTCTGTTCATTATAAATTACTTAGTCTGTGGTATTCCGCTATAGCAGCACAAAACAAACTAAGGCACTAGTTTAGTAATTTACATCCAACTGAACATGAGGATAGGGCAAATTATTGCTACTCCAAACCCTCATTAATATGAAAAATGCATATATAGTTGTCACACTTTTTTTAAAAATAATTACATTGAAGTAATAGGTCATGCCTGTAATCCCAGCACTTTGGGAGGCCAAGGCGAGTGGATCACTTGAGGTCAGGAGTTTGAGACCAACCTGGCCAACATGGTGAAAACCTGTCTCTACTAAAAATACAAAAATTAGCTGGGCATCGTGATGCTTGCCGGTAATCCCACCTACTTTGGGATGCTAAGGTATGAGCATCACTAGAACCCGGGAGGCAGAGGTTGCAGGGACCTGAGATTGTGCCACTGCACTCCAGCTCAGCAACAGTGTGAGAATCTGTCTAATAATAATAATAATAATAATAATAATAATAATAATAATATTCACATGGAAAATTAAGACCAAGTAATTCTTTGGGGCCCAAATGAAGAGAATACTTGCCTTTATTTTCTTTTTACTTTAGCCAGTGACAGTGATTACAGAATTTCAGAAAAAAAAAACTGAGGGTAAAATTTGATGTACTGTGAGGAACTAAAAGTTTCTTTCTCTAGTTGTGGAGGATGTTCCATGGCTTTCTTTACATGGTTTTTTTTTTTTTAATTAGCATGTTGTACATAAATTGAATCATTAATGGACAAGAGACACTGAATTAAACATACAGTTATTATCTTTAAATGTGAAGACACAATATGTCACTGTAAACATCAAGACATGGGAGTTTTGGAGGAGGAAATAAATTGATAGACACATATTGTTTTTCTCCACAAATGAGAAACCAAAGGTCCAAGAGAATACACAATGTGCTCAAGGTCATATGCTTAGAAGTTGTCAGAACTGAGATTTAAGTTGGGAGTGAGAAATGTTTGAGAAGAAAAAAATCTCTTCAAGAGTAGGGGGCTATTTAAGAGCAAACATATTTAAGCTTAACAAAATATTATCGTTTTGTAATATATTAAGCAAAATATTACCACTTGGACATGGCTGTTTTCATTCATTCTGCGAATTTGCTCCTGCATAAAAGGAAACACATTCTAAATTACTTAGACATCTTCTGGTACAACACATTTATCTTACATTGCACCAGAAGTATACATAACATCATTCATGAAATTTAGAATAGACTGTATTCTATGCCACAGTTAGCAAAAAATGTCAAAACACTTTTTATTTTCTAATGTCAGAAAAAAATTTTAGCTAAAGGCTAAGCTCACTATAGTTTGGAAAAATAAACAATTAGTAAGGTTCATACTCTGAGGAAAAATAATAACCTACCATTTCTCTAGGACTACATATTTTTCTATTTATGGCTATTTATTAATTATTTAAATTTTGTCTTTTGTGACTTTTAAGTAAAATATTATCAGATAGTGTTGGTAGAACACTCTCTCAGAATATATTTATGTTAAAAGAGAATCATGCATTATAAAAACATAACACATGAAGGAAATACTAAAATATTTTAGATTTAATAAATAATCTCACCTGGGCATGGGCAGCTTGCTAGGGAGGAGAAAACATTCTGTTTTAGTATTTTCATTTTATTTACTCATTAATAAGAAACATTTGCTGGGTACCTTCATTTGTTCAGGGACAATGTTAAATACTGGAGATACCACTGTAAAATACTACAAAATCTCTCAGGAGGACAAGTAGGTTCTAACAGTTGTGGAGGTTACAGACTAGCCATATCATATCTATGGTACTAAAATATATTATTCAGGTAATTTTCTAGATCAATAATGATGAATTCTATTGGGGTACTAATGTGTTTAAATTTATTTGGATACTATTTTAAACACAAGTTACCTGAAAATGGAAACTAGAGTAACAATTAGGGTCCATATTAAATTCATTACTGATTTTCATCTTCCTCTATTGATAACGATTAAAAATGCTAGCATGCAATTTTGCTGAACTAAAACCAAGCATTTCCCAAAGCCTTCATTACGTCAAATTTGTTTGTAGTTACTGAAAGGTTTTTATTGTCCTCCCAAAAGAAAGACTTTTATGTTACTCAAAAGGGTCAAAACCAGTGTTAAGCAGATTATGTGAGTTTTGACAGAAGCAAATCTGATGTTTAGCATTCCTGTTTCCTTTCCCAGAATCTATCCTGTTTCCTTAAATGGAAAGTTTATTTGACATATCTGTGATTTCACAGGTAAGCATATTTGTGAAATTCTCAACCAGGACATAATGTATCATCAGGGAGGTTAAAAGTGGATTTGCAGTAGAATGTAGTCACTTTCTCCCTGGTTAGTAAGTATGGATAATATATAGAACTTTAGTCCAGGAATAAAGAGAATGAGCATTGCCCGCAAATATGCCGGCAATCATACAAATAACTTGCCAATTATTGGTCAAGGCTAGAATAAATAATTTCTTAAGAAAAATAAAAATATATTTAGAAATGGCCCCAATTTAAAATTTAATATGTTTTAATTCTATAGTAGAATATGATTTTGTATTATAATGAATAAAATATTACCAGCTGAAGTTGGTTGTATTCGTTCAGTCTACAAAACTGTTCCTATTTAAAAAGAAAAATATTCTCAATTGCTTGGATGTCATTCAGTCCAACCCCATCATTTTCATATGATGAAACAAGAATCTAACAATGCTCTTTCCCAAGGGTAGAGAATGAGGAACTATTACACCTGAGTGCCATTTCTACCCCAAATAATTTGGATCTCTTCCATTATTCCCTTTTAAAAACATTTTAAAAAGCAACTTCTTGAATTTAAATTATAATTCTGTCTGATATAAATTAGTACAGCCAATTTTAGTTACAATATATCAGAATTATTAAGAAAGTTAAAACTGTTTTTTTGTTTTCTGACTGTGAAGATTTAACTTTGGCCAAATTATATTAGAATATTAAATGGACAGGGAAAAATAATTTTTCAAATGCTATCCAACATTTATTGACAGTTTGCTCTGTGTCATGGATTACATTAATTGCTTTACATCATCTAATATTTATTATTATTGCCATTTTAGGATTAAGTTATAGACTTATACTGGGAAAGTGAACGGTTCAACATCACATACGTGTAAAAGGTAGAGCTATGAGTTGAACTCAAGTGTAACCAGATCTATAGACTGCCACTTAAATACTATGTTATGTAGATTCAAAAGGAGACTATAAATTACAAATATTCAACTAAAACTGTGAATTAGATAACTGGGATAAAAAAAGTCGCTAGCTTTATTTTTAGAGGGGGAATAAGAAAACATCTAGATCCCATCAGACTAGTTACAATAAAGTCTAGCAGATATTGAAAAGGATAAATAATTTATTAATACAACATTCTCACTCATTCCTTGGTATATTTATTTGCCTTTGATAAAACTTTAATGCCACCTTTCCAGATGGCATTGGTATAGCATGTTTTCCCGTGTGTGTGTGTGTGTGTGTGTGTGTGTGTGTGTGTGTGAAAGTAAGTGCATTTTAATTATCCTGGAAAATATTAATATATTTTAAATTTAGCAAATATGTCTTACCGCACACTTACTGAGAGACATTTCCTTTAAAAAAATTAAAACATGCATAGTTTTAATTTCACGACATTAATTTACATTTAAAGTTAAAATATGAATCAACAAAACTATTACTAAATAATTGCAGTGAATTGATTTTAGTGATAAATTCCCAAAAAACTGAGACAAGATTAATAATTTGAACCACATATTATAATCACATTGCTTTTCCTTTTCTCACTGCTTTAACCACTACATTGCTCCGAATGCTGGGGGTGGATGTGAAGTAATGATTTTTATTCAATTAACAGAAACCCCACTTAAGTGAGTTGGTTTTATTTTGGTAACTTGCATGAAGGTCTTCTTCCAAAGTCAAAGGAAAAACCGCACCACTTTTTTTGTAGGCTGACTTTTTTTCTCAAGATTAACACAGGGCAAAGAGTGGAGAGTAGCTGGAGGAGTCCAGTGTCTGATTAATCTAGAATTGGTTAAATTCTAAATGGTTTATGAAATGTTTACTTCATGGGTTTATAAGCATGGTAATTGTTAGAATTTTTAATGATAAGATTGAGTTTTAACAAAATCTGCGAAGGACAAAGTAATTGGTTAAAAAAATAATTTGGACATCACAGATGGCCAGATAAGATTGTTTGCCCAGAAATAATTTTGTCAATTTGTCTCTGACAAACAATTGCTTTCTTACTTCTTTTGGATAGCTACTCACATACTAAAACTAGAATAGTGCCACATATACACTGCCTTGTACAATGAGACCTTAAGGGATATGTAATCCTCACGGTACAAGTTTTCATAATTTTTTAAATTAGTTGGGACACAGAATTAATATCAAAATTATTTACCTCACTCGATGAACTGATGCTGGATTCCATCTTCTAAAAGAAAGAAATCTAGTGTTAATTATCCCCTGGGATTTTTAGAATTTGAAGGAAACTAGTTCCATGTCATCATGGTGAAATGCTTACCATGGTAACATTATAACTGAATAAGTGGTATGGAAAAATTCAGGCGTACTACATTGTATTTTCTTGGAGTGTGAATTTTACTTGAAAAATTATGGTGGTAGGTTTAATAACTTATCTGGGAACATAAAAACTTAAAAACAATTGTTTTTAATTTAGGAAAACAAACACAAGTTTATCATTGAGTAGAATGCAAAATTTGCATAGATTTTTGTGACAAAAATGAAACCTCTAAGAAAGAACCATATTTAGCTGGGTACCCAGAACCCTGGGTTAAACATCTGTTCTCATCTGTCCTTGGGGCTTCTTTGATGTGAATAAAATGGAAACATTAAATACAATGCACAATCTTAAGATGAAATTAAAATTACATTAGATTTTAAAATATTTACTTTGAAATATTTACTTTTTCTTCAAAGTCATTTATGTTTATATTTATATATACATATAATTTTACTTTCCAAATACATACATATTTTAACAGATTAATTTTAATATTCAACAGACTTTATCTCTGGGGATGGTTGATTAACCATATGTAATAAGTCAGCATTTAAAAAAATATAATTGTAGAGTAGGTAGTATAGCTCACTGATCCTAGGTAATTGCTGCCATAGATTCTTTCTGCCCAAGGAGAGGGAGAGGGGCGTGGGTTGACAAACTATTAAGTTGGTGCAAAAGTAATTGAGGTTTTTGCCATTACGCTGTAAAAACTGCAATTACTTTTGCACCAACCTAATAGTATTGCCATTATTTTTAATGGTAAAAAGCACAATAACTTTTGCACCAACCTATACCTGTTGGGTAGTATGCTCACTACCTGTGTCTAACATACTCATGTAAAAATCTTACATACATACATGCACTTGTATCTAAAATAAAAAAGTAATCTCATGCCCTGGGATGTCAGAGTCAGTGTTCTGTGGGACTCTCATTTTAAACATCCATGCACCTTTTGTTTTTATTTTATATTTTAATGAATAAGCATTTTTTTACTAATTATTATTTAAATGGCTTAAATTCCGTCTTCCAATTTCAACTTTATCTAGCACAACATTGTACATTCTTGAGTATAATATTCCTGTTTGAGAAGTTCAATAAGTTAAAATTAGAATAGGATTAATTTAAAATTAAAATGTTAACATTTTAAAATTCAGTTTCTTATTTTGCTTAATTTCAGAAGACAGTCTTTTTAAAATGAAGCATGCTGCATATACTATGTTTGATACGTAAGTGTAGAGTTCACTAGAATGAATGGGTCTTACCTCAGGCTCTGCCACAACACAGTTCTTAAGAAAGAAAAAATAATCAATTTCATTTTTCATGACAAATAGTCAAATACAAAAGTAATGATTACCAAATAAAATGGATGTCAAAGAAAATAGAAAACTGAGACAATATAAAAGTAATAAGAAAAACTAAAAAAACTGCCTACTTTATCTCTGAGCCAAATGAATCTGCATTTTGAAGTTTAAATAAAACGTTTCGGATTCTTCTATATTGTAGCAAATCAGTGAAAACAAGTTTACATTTTCCTTTATCCAGCATGACTTTTTGCTTTCCCTCTTTTAAAACTTGGCTTCTGGACTCTGAGCAGGACACTGCACTGAAGCTCATGCAGTAAATACAACTGGACTAAAGGAGAGCACTGATTTAATGGTGTGTAAATACCTAAGCAAAAGAACTTGCTCCATCTAGTATGTTTTGCTCAGTTTTCACGACTACAGCAATACAGAGATCAGTGACATTATCCATAGAATTTAAATTTAAAATATTTGTGTTGGTTTGGTTATTCTGGCCAATGTATGATACACTATTTCTTTTCTTTCTTTGAATTAGAGTTATCTGCCATAGTTTTTATTTAAAATAATAATTTATTTGGGGAAATATGTATTGTTTCTTTTCCTCATATTGGTTTAATAATTTTAAAACAAAGGGTCTCACCTGAGTAGACTCATTCCTAGTATCCTGCCAAGACAGTCAATCAGTTAGGTATGACAGATTGTTAAGAAGATATATATTTTATCTCATAAAGTTTGAGCACCTGCTCTCTCAATACCAATTCTACTAGAAAACTAGTAGACAATCCAAATCAAAGATGTTATGGTTAAAGAAAATAATTGAGTATGACTATGTAAATATTCTTGAGCCAGATATTGTATTACTTCATATAATACCCTTGATAAAGCATTCCTTTAATTTTGGTGATAAATGTGAATACATAATTGCATTTATTTGTTTATTTGTTATTTCATTCATTCACACTAATGCCTTGTTTCATCACAGTTGCACAATTAAGTCAATGAAATCATTTTCTTCAGAATTCTCAGCAGACTCCATTAGTCACTACAAATGTATGAGTGAAAAGTTCAAGGAAAGGACAAAACCATAGAAAAATGCTTTTTTTTCCTAAAGGAAAACTTTTTTTCTACTACAAGAATATATACTTTTGCCATACTCTTTCAAGAAAAACTTTGGTACCTTGATTTCATCAGTCTGTTTTTCTCTCAGAATGTTTCTCTGCTAAAATCAATAAAGTGTACCTTGTAAAATATGTTTTCATGAAAACAAACTTTTAACATAATTTAAATTTCATTGATGTTTCTTACCCTGTTCATACCATTCATGTATTCCTTAGGGATAAAAAAGAAAACATAAACAATATTAGTGAAACAAGACATACATGAGTGGAAATCTATGAGAAACTGTACTTCACATCGTGCTGATACAAATTTAAAAATAAATCCATTTTTCCTGAATGAACTAATATTCCTTATTATATCATTTCTAACCTTAAGTGGTCTTTCTCACTACACAATTAAGTCAATCAAATCAGTAGTCTTCAGAATTCTCAGCAGAATTCATTAGTGCTGATACAAATTTAAAAATAAATTTATTTTTCACAAATGAACTAATATTCCTTATTGTATCATTTCTAACCTTTAAGTGGTGTTTCCCTACTCCTTCTTTGTGTAAGGCTAGTATGTAAATGTGCATTTAACAATATTTTTAAGTTTGTTCCACTCAAATTTGTTATCCTTGACTTTCACTTTGTTTTAGGCACTGTTCTGAGTCTCCTGATCTTAACACTTACTTCTCTTTGTTAATTGCACGGTAAATTCTGTGGAGTCATTCTTACCTCTCTTGATTCTAATGGTATAGGCTACAAAAAAAAAAGTTATGTTAAAATTCATTCATAGTTGAGTTATCTATCAAATCATTTAGATAATGTCCTTGAATTAAAACGTTATGTTCTTCTATTCAACAATTAAGTCAAAAATTATAGAGAATGTGACACATATGTATTATTTATAGTTAAGAGCATTCTATTATAAGGAGTGAGGAAATTGTAAACCTCTACATACGTCACGGAAAGGAGAGCAGAGTGTTTTGGAGAGGCAAACGTTTAGGTACAAATTAAAATATAAAGCAGCTCTTTAACATATACATATCTTGTTTTTATATTCTTTCTGGGTGTTTGGATGACTGAATGAAGGGAAGGGTTGATTAACTTAGGTTAAACAACAACAACAACAAAAAACCACTTTGTTTTAAGGCAATTTCTTGCTCTGTTGCCCTTGTGCTATCACGACTCATTGCAGCTTTAACCGCCCATGCTCAAGTGACCCTCACACCTCAGCTTCCCAAGTAGCTGGAACCACAAGTGCATGCCGCCACATCCGACTATTTTTTTTTTTTTCAAAATTTTTTTTGTAGAGACGGGGTTTGGTTATGTTGCTTAGGCTCATCTCGAATTCCTGGGCTCAAGCAATCCTCCTGCCTCAGCCTCCCAAAGTGTTGGGATTACAGGTGTGAGCCACAGCACCCAGTGAAAAAAACATTTTTATAAACAAAAATTAAATAATTTTTCCCATAAAAGTATGTTTCTTCTTTTAAGAATAAGTGGATAACACTTACCAGAAGAAGCCTGAGAAACTTTCCTTCTTTGATAATTTCTTATTGAAATTAAATTGTGAATTATAAAAATAATAAAAACACCAAAAAACCACATTATTCTCATTTGAACACAAATGCTCCATTTAATTCGGTAAACCAACAGATTTCTTAGCTAGAAGAACAAATAATTAGTTTTAGTTTTATGATCTAATTTTACAATCTAAAGAACACCTACACCTTAATTAGTTCCTTCTTCACCAGGCCAGTAAATTTAATAAGTCTATGCTTACCAAAATGGCTAAGAAGTCAAATAGGAATTTCATCAAAACAGAATTTAGAGAGCAATCCAGGTACTTGAGTTGTTGGATGCATTTGAAGGGAAATAAAAATTGTAAAGAAGAAGACATTCAACATGCATGACAGCTAACTGAAAGAGAGCAAAAGGAAGAGAGAATCCTGACTCCCCATAAACAGAGCTTACCTCACTGCTCTCTGATGGATTCTGTAAAAAATAATAATTTTTAAATGGTATTATTCCAATTGCAGGACAGAATGTAGGATTAGTTGTGCTCATAGAAAGTTGTGGTAGAGGTAACTAATTCAAGATTCAACATATCAAATGAGACCAAACTGTAAATCACATGCTTGAATATGTGTAACATTGAAAAAAGCAAGAATACATTAAAATAAACATGTTAACACATTCTGTTTAATTAACTATTTCTCTGGAATAAAAATAAGATTTTTATTAACATAAATGTTTATCTAAGTCAGTGTGCCGTCCTCTAAGTTTTGTGAGAGCAAATACCATCTGACAGTGCTTGAACTAAAGAAATGATGCGTCAGCAAAAGTGAAGCAGGCTGTTTCATAGAGAAGGGAAGCGCACATTTGGAGTTTGTGCTTCACAATTAGAGTGAGTTCTTGGAATGCAGAATAGAATATTTACCTGAAGGCGTTCTGGGTATCTAAGAGGAAGTTTCTGTGAAAAACAATGCAAGAATTGTAAAACAAAAAGTAACTAAAATGACAATAACAATATAATAATACACATATAATACGATGATTTTTGACACTGCCATTTTCAAAAGGTATGTGTTTTAATAGCAATATTTGTCAGAGACCAAGTTTCTCTGGGACTACAGGGAAAAAAAAAGAAATCATAATTATTTTTAGACAAATATCAAAGGAAAATAATCATTTCCTTTCTTTAGATTATGGCTGGTAGTTGAGAAAACTATGTAAAACATCTTTAAAAAAGTAAAAATTCTGGGTTAGTTTGAATCCAGAATAATAAACAATTTATTTAGTTTTCTGAACTATATATATTACACCATAGTTCTAAAGATGATTTTAAACTAGTATAAAAAATGTTGGGCAAAATATAATTTCCTAATTCAAACGCTTTCTGGGTTTTATTTTTATCATCACTTAAATTATACGAAAATTGATCTCATTCTGCATTTTGAGTGTGGAGACAAGACCACGTTAAACAGTGACATAAACAAATAAAGAACCCTATTGTTTGCTTTGGAATAAAAGTGTAACATCTATTTTCTGGGCTGCTTTTCCCCACTTCCTGGTAGAATGACAAGATAAGAACTGCTCAGACAGTTCATTCCTGAGGAAGTTTTATCATTGTTTTGGTAACTTGCAAGCAGAGATTTCTTTCTATTGATGCTTAGTTTATAGCATAAACAAAGACTATTGGTTCAGAAGTTGACAATTCCTGATTCTGCACTTTCCAAAGGAGAATTTAGAGAACAAGTCTGTCAGTGTAAATGACAGGCTATATCTGCATTTCAGAAATTTTTCTTCTGTATGAGATAATTTCAGTGTCCAAATATCCCTTATCATCCCTCTAAACTGATGTTTTTTCCAGTCAGGTGATTCCTGTTTATTCTTCTCATTCATTAACTACACATAACAGGAGAGAACAGAGAAAACTTTTTGGTTCACATACTTATCTAATTGATATAAACACTCTTTTTGAGAAGAAAGGTAATTTTAATTCACATTATCTAGTTTCATTGTCTACAGTGACCACAATAAATTGATCACTCAATTAGCTGAATCACCCTAGTTTTCTATCCCTTCTTGGGGGAAGAAAAGTTGACACAAGCCATCTCAAATAAGGGTTTGATTTTGATTCCAAAAGTAGGATACATTGGAACATGTGGCTTTGTGTTATATTTGGTAAAGAAATGTTGGACAACTATTACATTTTTAGAAATATGAGAATTTTGTAGTAGACTCAAGGAACAGGCCTAATCACATTGTTTGTTGCTATTTATTATGTTGTGCATTACCTTATTCTTTTTCTTACTTTTAAATTTTTAGCTCTTTTTTATTGTGGGGTGCTTATAATTCAAGTCAGACATTTTATTCAGAGTTAAGGCTCTC
Source organism: Homo sapiens (assembly GCF_000001405.40). Classification (NCBI taxonomy): domain Eukaryota; kingdom Metazoa; phylum Chordata; class Mammalia; order Primates; family Hominidae; genus Homo; species Homo sapiens. Next base: position 69,932,790 of record NC_000004.12, on the reverse strand, counting down.
AGTGGACTATGCAATAATGATGAAAATGTGAAGCATTACTGCATTTCTATTGTCAAGACTTCAGAGGCCAATTAGAGATCATCCAGTGCTTTAAGATTATTTCTCTGGGTATCCTATGTTTGATGAAGTGTCAGGTCATTTCTAACAAGAGTCTAAGACTTTCTAAATTCTCTACTGAACTTACAGGCCTGGCAAGAGCAACAGCCACAAGACAGGTGAGAATGAGAAGCCTCATGGTTATCAGAGCCTATGTAAGAGAACAAAAAAGAAAGAGTTAGATATTATTACGTTAAATTTGTTTCCTGAAAAAAATTCTTGATTTTTCAACAAAGGAGCAAATTATGATAAAAGTAGGCTGATTTGAGGAGCTGTAATGTGAATTTTTATAAACTTAAGATTTTAAAAACTTTACTACTCAATATCAATGTTTACCATTCTAGTTATTTTTCTTAGTTCTTATATTATTTAGAAATACTAATTTCTTACAAACATTTTTCTTCACTAACACTTTAAAACATAACATTTTGTTCTTAATGTAATAATATGGCTTAGAGAAATAAAGAAGTGCTAATATTGAAATACAATTGAAAAAAGAAAACACTTTTCCTCCTAGATGACAAATCAGATTTTCTAAAGTGGGCAATAAAGTTAAATCCACTGAGAACTGGAATTTAATTTTATTGAAAAGTTTTGAAAATGAGCTTCTCTTTTAAATCTATTTGAGAGCATTCTTTTCTTTTAGAGTCTTCATGAAAAATCCTGTCTGCACGTTATGTAAAAGCTATTGATCTCTTTCAATTTTTAAATAAAGAATCTAGCCATAACTTCGTGTTTTGCTACATTGGAATATTCATGACATAAATATATAAAGATGATTGAATTGGATAGAATCAAAATATTGACATGTCTTATATTTGATTTCCAGAGTTTCATTAAATTGCAAGAACCCCGAAATATGGACATCCACATGTACTGGGAAAATGGTTTCCAGAGAAATCATTAGAAAAAAAATCAGGTCACACATACTATTTGTTCACACCTTAATCAACATACAAATGCTGACATTTATATATATTGCTTCAGTCTACAAATTTTAGAATCTAAATGTGTTAATAAAAAAGGCATATTTTTGAACCCAAATAAATTTACTATTTGTGTCTTTCTGAATATCTAAATTTAATAATCATTACAAAGTAGCCATCAATAGCTAATTATCTATAATAGATATTCACATTGTAGAGTTAATTTTGTTGCCCAAATGACATGAAACAAAAATGGCCTTGAACTATTCTGCTAGAAATGGTTTTTGCTATGGTAATTACAAAAATAAGAAATTATTTGCATAACAACTTCTCATAGAATTAGGTAAAAATAATTTAAATTAGCTTACCCCAAGCCTCTACTGAAATTATGTATCAACTTTAAAAATATATTTTAGTTACAAAATTATCAAAAAATGATTTGGTATTTTTATAAAACTGTATTGATTCATCACCTAAAGCTGTAAAATGGTATCAGAATTTGCAAAAGGATTTTTAAGGTGCCAGAAAATCATAAGAAGTTTTAATATTTGCAAACATATGGAAATGGTACAAATATACTTAGTAAACAGTGGAAGAAAGAGATTAGATAATGTAAAATGATAGCAATTTTGCTGTATGTAAACGCAGTACCTTAAGCCCAAGTCTGGAGAGAAGCAAGTTGTGTTGATGACCAAGATGATGGCCGATCTCTTTGCTTTACGCTATTTAAATGTGGTAATTAGAAAATGCTAATTTTGTGGTTTCAGTTCAACCAATAGGTTTATTTAAATTCTAAGAATTCTCCCAAATAGGAAACTAATTTTCTGTCCAATTCCTTTCCCAGGAAATTCTGAGAATTTTCAACAGGGAGTGATTCATGCTATGATAACAGATTACACAAGAAATAAAGTGGCATTATTGCAAATTAAAATACAAAAATTTCCAAATTTATGGCTATTATAAAAACATGATTTTATGTTGAAGGGATAATTTGACAGGAACATATTAATAAAATTCTCTGTATATCTTTTGAAAAATTCAATTCCTATAATGGAAATCCTGGGGACAAAATAGGGTCTTAGAAACGTTCCAATTTCTATCAGTGTACCAGGCCATTAAAAGAATTCATCATTTATTTACCTTTTAAAATGCAGCTTGTCCTCTATTATTTATTGTGACTATCTGCTTTATGGATTAACTTATACTGTATATGCTCTGATCTTTTTTTCAAAGAAGGATATCCAACTGTCCTATGTGTTTTGGTGATATTTAAGCTACAGCAGACAATTTTTTGTTTGCTTTCTTTTAGGCATATTGGTTGTGATAGTATTTATTTAACAAATTATAACATTGACTAATTAGAAGTAATATTTATTCATTAATTTTAATTTTAAAAGATTTTGGAAAATTATGCCATACCTCTGATTTCCTGTTTTTTAAAAGTAAATAAAGGAAAGAAATGAAAATGCCTCTCTCCTATCCCAGACTCTGTTCCTTTATGTTAACTATCATTATACAATGTAGAAAAATACTATATCCTGAGGAAAATATCTGTAATAGAGAGGGTTTTTAAAAATTGTTGTTGACTGCGACTTTGCTTTTTTACAGGAAAAGAATCATACTATATATTTTAGGAAATAAAAAAATAGTAATGATATTTACAGCCTTTTCACAGTCATATGAAAAGGGCATTATTCTGGGTTAACACACATTTCAGACTGGTTAATTTCAGATTGGGGATCAGAAGAGATGTACTTTTCCATATTAAAGTTCTCTTTAGTTAGTGTTTTCCTTACTGACTACATCACATAAATTTCAACAACTTACTAGTGTTTCCTATTCACTGTGATTCATTTAAGAGGCTGAGACAAGCATCAGCTGTATTACAGTACCTTGGTTTTGTCTTTTCCCAGAAGTGTACCCAGGAAAACTGATTTATTTTACTCCTAACTCAAAATCAAGCTATACCTACCAACCAAAAAAAAGGCCAGGACCAGATGGATTCACAGCCGAATTCTACCAGAGGTACAAGGAGGAGCTGGTACCATTCCTTCTGAAACTATTCCAATCAATAGAAAAAGAGGAAATCCTCCCTAACTCATTTTATGAGGCCATCATCATCCTGATATCAATGCCTGGCAGAGACACAACAGAAAAAGAATTTTAGACCAATATCCCTGATGAACATCGATGCAAAAATCCTCAATAAAATACTGGCAAACCAAATCCAGCAGCACATCAAAAAGCTTATCCACCATGATCAAGTGGGCTTCATCCCTGGGATGCAAGGCTGGTTCAACATACAAAAATCAATAAACGTAATACAGCATATAAACAGAACCAAGGACAAAAACCACATGGTTATCTCAAAAGATGCAGAAAAGGCCTTTGACAAAATTCAATAGCCCTTCATGCTAAAAACTCTCAATAAATTCGGGATTGATGAGACATATCTCAAAATAATAAGGGCTATTTATGACAAACCCACAGCCAGTATCATACCGAATGGACAAAAACTGGAAGCACTCCCTTTGAAAACTGTCACGAGACAGGGATGCCCTCTCTCACCACTCCTATTCAACAGTGTTGGAAGTTCTGGCCTGGGCAATCAGGCAAGAGAAGGAAATAAAGGGCATTCAATTAGGAAAAGAGGAAGTCAAATTGTCCCTGTTTGCAGATGACATGATTGTATATTTAGAAAATCCCATCATCTCAGCCCAAAATCTCCTTAAGCTGATATACAACTTCAGCAAAGTCTCAGGATACAAAATCAATGTACAAAAATCACAAGCATTCTTATACCAATAACAGACAAACAGCCAAATCACGAGTGAACTCCCATTCACAATTGCTTCAAAGAGAATAAAATACCTAGGAATCCAGCTTACAAGGAATGTGAAGGACCTCTTCAAGGAGAACTACAAACCACTGCTCAATGAAATAAAAGAGGACACAAACAAATGGAAGAACATTCCATGCTCATGGATAGGAAGAATCAATATTGTGAAAATGGCCATAATGCCCAAGGTAATTTACAGGTTTAATGCCATCCCCATCAAGCTACCAATGACTTCCTTCACAGAATTGGAAAAAAAAGTACTTTAAAGTTCATATGGAACCAAAAAGGAGCCCGCATTGCCAAGTCAGTCCTAAGCCAAAAGAACAAAGCTGGAGGCATCATATGACCTGACTTCAAACTATACTACAAGGCTACAGTAACCAAAACAGCATAGTACTGGAACCAAAACAGAGATATAGACCAATGGAACAGAACAGAGCCCTCAGAATTAACACTACACATCTACAACCATCTGATCTTTGACAAACCTGACAAAAGCAAGAAATGGGGAAAGGATTCCCTATTTAATAAATGGTGCTGGGAAAACTGGCTAGCCATGTGTAGAAAGCTGAAACTGGATCCCTTCCTTACACTTTATACAAAAATTAATTCAAGATGAATTAAAGACTTAAATATTAGACCTAAAACCATAAGAACCCTAGAAGAAAACCTAGGCAATACCATTCAGGACATAGGCATGGGCAAGGGCAAGGACTTCATGTCTAAAACACCAAAAGCAATGGCAACAAAAGCCAAAATTGACAAATGGGATCTAATTAAACTAAAGAGCCTCTGCACAGCAAAAGAAACTACCATCAGAGTGAACAGGCAACCTACAGAATGGGAGAAAATTTTTGCAATCTACTCATCTGACAAAGGGCTAATATCCAGAATCTACAAAGAACTCAAACAAATTTACAAGAAAAAAACAAACAACCCCATCAAAAAGTGGGTGAAGGATATGAACAGACACTTCTCAAAAGAAGACATTTATGCAGCCAACAGACACATGAAAAAATGCTCATCATCACTGGCCATCAGAGAAATGCAAATCAAAACCACAATGAGATACCATCTCACACCAGTTAGAATGGTGATCATTAAAAAGTCAGGAAACAACAGGTGCTGGAGAGAATGTGGAGAAATAGGAATACTTTCACACTGTTGGTGGGACTGTAAACTAGTTCAACCATTGTGGAAGACAGTGTGGCAATTCCTCAAGGATCTAGAACTAGAAATACCATTTGACCCAGCCATCCCATTACTGGGAATATACCCAAAGGATTATAAATCATGCTGCTATAAAGACACATGCACACGTGTGTTTATTGCGGCACTATTCACAATAACAAAGACTTGGAACCAACCCAAATGACCAACAATAATAGACTGGATTAAGAAAATGTGGCACATATACACCATGGAATACTATGCAGCCATAAAAAAGGATGAGTTCATGTCCTTTGTAGGGACATGGATGAAGCTGCAAACCGTCATTCTCAGCAAACTATTGCAAGGACAGAAAACCAAACACCACATGTTCTCACTCATAGGTGAGAATTGAACAATGAGAACACTTGGACACAGGAAGGGGAACATCACACACAGGGGCCTGTCGTGGGGTGGGGGAGGAGGGAGGGATAGCATTAGGAGATGTACCTAATGTACATGATGAGTTAATGGGTGCAGCACACCAACATGGCACATGTATACATATGTGACAAACCTGCACATTGTGCACATGTACCCTAGAACTTAAAGTATAATAATAAAAAAAGAAAAAAATCAAGCTATATAAAAATCTTCTGTAATTTATGAAAAGAATCTGTATCCTCATTTGTTTATTCATTTATTTACTTATTTATTCAGAAAGATGAAAGTGCTGGACAAGGTATTGCAGACATAAAATTTGAGCAATACAAAATTTCCAGCCTCAAAGTGTGATGGATAATTAACACACAAAAAGTAAAGAATTTTAATTTTTACAAATAGTCCAAAAACAGAGATTTGAACAGGGCCTCCGGAGTATGGAGTACCTGAGGACAACTAAGACTGTGGGCCATACCAGACAAGGCCCCTTAGATGAATTTGATAATAAGAAGCCTTGACATCACAGGGGATCAATTAAACAATGACAAATGTCTAATTTACATCATAAGGCAAACCACCTCTTAGTGAATTTACATAACAGCTCTGGAAATTTTCATGAACTCAAAATCCAGGGTTTTTAAAATCTGTAATGTGGCCAGGCATGGTGCGTCATGCCTGTCATCTCAGCACTTTGGGAGGCCAAGTTGGAAGGATTGCTTTAGGTCAGGAGTTTGAGACCAGCCTAGGTATCATAGCAAGAACCCATCTCTATTTTAAAATAAATAAATAAATAAATAAATAACCTATAATCCCCTAGGGATAAGGATCAATCTCCTCCTTTGCCTCAATTAGTTATTAATAATTAAAGAAGGTTAAGTCGGTTTTTCTTTTTAAAAAATATATCATTATTATTGTACAATATAACTATCCACTATAATTTGAGAAAACATGATTTTATATGATTATTGTAGATTTGTGCAATCAATGCCCACTCTGCAAGATTTTTACTGAGGTTTAATGCATTATCTTGCTTATTTTAAATTTGGTCAGTTCTAACCTTTAAAAAGCATTTGAAGCATATATTTAGACCATTTGTGGTCAGATGGGAATTTGTCCCATAAGTAAATACAAAATGAAATTATTTTCCGAAAGTCAGTATTTAATTTTATGTATAATAGGGTCACATGTAGCTTCAATATGTAATTGATCATCCAACATTCAACACTTCTAGTAATGAGAGGGTCAGCTCTTAATTACTGTAGGACAACACCGTAAACCAGGACTATTCCAGGCATACTAGGGCATGGACACTGTAGTCAAACGACACTACTACTTTTGAACATCTAACAGATTCCCTAAACAAGTGAAAGTGGAAATAGATCAGGTAAGTGGCAACTACAGAAAGCTTATTTCTTCTTAGGATTCATACTCATTAGAAAATACATACAGGCCAGGCACAGTGGCTCATGCCTGTAATCCCAGCACTTGGGGAGATGGAGGCTGGCAGATCACTTCACGTCAGGGCTTCAAGGCCAGCCTGGCCAACCTGGCATAACCCCATCTCTACTGAAAACACAAAAGCCACGCATGGAGGTGCCTGCCTGTAATCCCAGCTACTCGGGAGGCTGAGGAAGGAGAATCACTTGGACCCAGGAGGGGGAGGCTGCAGCGAATCGAGACTGTGCTGCTGAATTCTAGCCTGGGCAACAGAGCAAGACTTTGTCTCAAAAAAAAATAATAATACATACATACGTTCAAAAATGAAAGGAGACCTCATTACCAATAGATAGATTTTGAGAAAAAATAGTTTGTCAAGTGGTAAATTTTACTATGCAAAATTATGTATATTACTGCTACACATTCTGCTTCATATTTAAACCTGCTCTGGGAAACTCATTTTGTTGAAGTCAATAATTCAGAGCATGAAATTTCAAAGGTAATTTGTCATATGTCGTCCCAGGACATTTGACAAAAGATTGATAAGTCTTCTAGGAAAATGTTCTTTTATTATGCAGCAAACGGCTAACCTTCAAGAAAGAAGCTTACTGAGAAATGTAAAAGATATTTTTGTTTTTCTGTAGAAACTCACATATAATTTGGAACCTAAAAGAGAATTCATAAGGGATGCTTAGTAATGTGCTTAGGTGTTGTCTGAATAGAAACTAAAATAGAGTTATTTTCAGGAAGTTTTCATTTAGTATGAATATATAGTAGTGTGTCCGGAATTGGTGGGTTCTTGGTCTCATGAAGCTGCGGACCCTCGCGGTGAGTGTTACAGCTCTTAAGGTGGCGCGTCTGGAGTTTGTTCCTTCTGATGTTCAGATGTGTTCGGAGTTTCTTCCTTCTGGTGGGTTCGTGGTCTCGCTGGCTCAGGAGTGAAGCTGCAGACCTTCGCAGTGAGTGGTAACACCTCTTAAAGCGGCGCTTCTGGAGTTGTTAGTTCTTCCAGGTGGGCTCGTGGGCTTGCTGGCTTCAGGAGTGAAGCTGCAGACCTTCACGGTGAGTGTTACAGCTCATAAAAGCAGTGTGGACCCAAACAGTGAGCAGCAGCAAGATTTATTGCAAAGAAGGAAAGAACAAAGCTTCCACAGTGTTGAAGGGGACCCCAGCGGGTTGCCACATGGGCTCAGGCAGCCTGCTTTTATTCTCTTATCTGGCCCCACCCACATCCTGCTGATTGGTAGAGCCGAGTGGTCTGTTTTGACAGGGCACTGATTGGTGCGTTTACAATCCCTGAGCTAGACACAAAGGTTCTCCACCTCCTCACCAGATTAACTAGATACAGAGTGTGGACACAAAGGTCCTCCAAGGCCCCACCAGAGTAGCTAGACACAGAGTGTAGATTGATGCATTCACAAACCCTGAGCTAGACACGGGGTGCTGATTGGTGTGTTTACAAACCTTGAGCTAGATACAGACTGCTGATTGGTGTATTTACAATCCCTGAGCTAGACATAAAGGTTCTCCACGTCCCCACCAGACTCAAGAGCCCAGCTGGCTTCACCCAGTGGATCCCACACTGGGGCTGCAGGTGGAGCTGCCTGCCCGTCCCGCGCAGTGTGCCCGCACTTCTCAGCCGTTGGGTGGTCGATGGGACTGGGCGCCGTGGAGCAGGGGGCAGCGCTCATCTGGGAGGCTGGGGCGGCACAGGAGCCCACGGAGCAGGTGGGAGGCTCAGGCATGGCGGGCTGCAAGTCTGGAGTCCTGCCCGGCCGGAAGGCAGCTAAGGCCCGGAGAGAAATCTAGCGCAGTGCCGTTGGGCTGGCACTGCTGGGGGACCCATTACACCCTCCGCAGCCGCTGGTCCGGGTGCTAAGCCCCTCATTGCCCAGGCCGGCAGGGCAGGCTGGCTGCTCCGAGTGCTGGGCCCACCAAGCCCACGCCCACCCGGAACTGCAGCTGGCCTGCAAGCGCCCAGCGCAGCCCCGGTTCCCTTTCACGCCTCTCCCTCCACACCTCCCTGCAAGCTGAGGAAGCCGGCTCCGGCCTTGGCCAGCACAGAAAGGGGCTCCCACAGTGCAGCGGTGGGCTGAAGGGCTCCTCAAGTGCCGTCAAAGTGGGAGCCCAGGCAGAGGAGGCGCAGAGAGCGAGCGAGGGCTGTGAGGACTGCCAGCGTGCTGTCGTCGTCACCTCTCAGTAGCACTGATACGTAGCGCTTATGCTTAATTTCATGCTTGAAATTAGAATAATGCCTTTTAAAAATCTGTGATGCTCTGTCAGTAGGTCCTTGGAGTTCTAAAATAAAGCACGCAATCTTAGTAAAGTGATATAATGTAGTGGTTGTAAGGCAGTGCTCCAGTGTTAAATTGTGAGTTTAAATCCTGGTTCCCACCAACCAGCTCTACTATCTTGGGTAAATTGTTGTGCCTCAGTATTCCCAAATGTTCAATAACATTCACTTTCTATGTAATAAGGAGGAAAAGTTAGATTGCACATTTAGAAAAGTGCTTGTAATAAGATGAATATATATTTAAGATTACACATTATTAGACATGATTTTTTTAAAGAAAAAAAAACGCATTACTTTATGCCCAGTTTATCTTCATACTTCATGAATTTGGAAACTTTGGAGAATTCATGAATTAAACTTTTATATTGGTATATACATAGAAAATGTTTGGAAGGAAAAAAGGAAAGTTTCTAATAGAGACCATGAATAAAAAAGGTTTGCCATGGCATGTAAGAGGGATGTGGAAAAGAGAACTTTAAACTTTTGTTTAATGAAATCCTGTACTATTTGATTATTTTTACAGGATAAAGACTGAAACAGTCTTTTTCAAACTTTAACATGTTTATAAATCACTCGAGTATTTTGTTAAAATCCAGAGTCAGATTCATTGGGTCTAAGGTACATCCTGAAATTCTATATTTTATACAAGTTCTCAGATGAGAATTGTTGTTGGTCTATGTAACACCCTGAGTATGAAGGAACTGGTAGATTTGAAAATGTAATATTTAGTCTTCTCTTTTAAACTCACATGATAGTGAGGATTTTTATATAAAACACTATTGGAAAAAAGCACAAGAAAATAGCAGAAACATGCAACATGTATAATAAAAACAAAGTTGTTTAAAAATGCTGAGGCCGGGTGCGGTGGCTCATGCCTGAAATCCCAGCACTTTGGGAGGCTGAGGTGGGTGGATCACGAGGTCAGGAGTTCGAGACCAGCCTGGCCAACATAGTAAAACCCTGTCTCTACTAAAAATACAAAAAATTAACCAGCCATGGTGGTGGGCACCTGTAATCCCAGCTACTCAGGAGGCTGAGGCAGGAGAATCGCTTGAACCTGGGAGGTGTAGGTTGCAGTGAGCCAAGATCCTGACATTGCACTCCAGCCGGGGTGACAGTGTGAGACTCTGTCTCAAAGAAAAAAAAAAAAAAAAAAAGCTGAAGCATGTTTTTATGAACTTGTTTACCTGCATCACAATGTGTAAAATAAAGCATTTCTTTACTCAACACTATGCTGTCTTTGTAGGTAGGAAGTCCTCATAATATCCTCCTACATAATACCTATACCACCACCGTTCTGTTACTACCAATCAAAAATTCATTCCTCTTGCCACTCATGAGGCCTACTCAAGACATCCCCAAAAACTGGATGAAAATTCAACTGTGATAACCACAACCTACCCACTTTACTATAGTAAGTACTTTCTGAAAACATGTATAATTTGATGAATAATTTTTTTTTTTTTTTACCAATCAGAAATATCTCTTTCTCTGACTTGCTGGAACATAGTTTTTGTAATTGATATATTTTCCTGAGTCTAAGCATTGAACATTTTTGTATAATAATGTTATTATGGGGATATAATGCATTTAATAGACGCTATTGGTTAACAGAAACATGGTTTACCAGATTGGTTACTAAGCCATCCATCAGCAGAATGTAATGTGTTATTCCATAATTAATTAATATGGTTCTTTAAAATGATCAAAGTCTTTTTACAATTGTTATTCGACTTGCTACTCACAAGAACTGTATACTATAGGAAAAGCAGGTGTTTATTTTTCTTTGACAGATAAGAAAATCAAAGCTTTTATAACTTAAGTAAATTAATTTCCACAGGAGGCATATAGCAGTTAACAAGTAAATAGCAATTTAAGCCTTTCAACATCACAGCCTATGCTCTTTCAAATATACCATGTTATTCACTGACTCAGTGAGAGCACTTATTGTATGCAAGATATTATATCCTTGGATAGTTGTTGGAGAAAGTAAATCGTAACTAGTGGGGGAATTTCTAAATGCACTAAGATGAATTTATTTAAGCCATCAAGAGAAGGAATGAGAGTGAGAAAAACTAGTAGAACAAAGTGTCATTGGATTGCTAAAGACAAACTGTACAATATTTCCTCAGAAGTCTGTTGACTTTCAGATATGCAGTTTTCTTAATTCAACATAATCCAATCAACATCTTTGGATCCATTTTTCCTTTTTAGCTATTACAACAATATCAATAATAAGAATGTTTCATTGATTACTTAAATTTTAGTAGCTAGTAAAAGATTTTGGCAGCCATATGGATGTACTAACCTGCCAAAAAAGTAAATAATTGAACAGAAAGGACATTTTCGGATTGAAAAATTTAAGGATAAAGAGATTCCTTAAAAACCTACACTTGCAGCTACCATATGATCCAGCAATCGCACTACTGGTCATTTCTTCAATATACTGCTTTCCTTAAAGCAGTATATCAAAGAGGCATTTGCACCTCCACGTTTATTGCAGCAATATTCACAATAGCCAATATATAGAATCAACATAGGCATACAATAGCAGATGAATGAATAAAGAAAATGTGTTATATATACACAGTGAAACACTATTTGGCCATAAAAAGGATGAAATTCTATCATTGACGGCAACATGAATGAAACCAGAAGACATTATGTTAAGTTAAATAAGTTAGAGACAGAAAGTTAGGCACCACATGTTCTCATTCATATGTAGAAGCTAAATAAACATTGATCTCATAGAACTCAAAAGTAGAACAGAGGACACTAGAGGCTGAGAAGGTGAGGGGGAATGAAAAGATAGGGAGAGATTTTTTAAAGGATACAAAATTACAGCTAGATGGAAGGAATAAGTTCCAGTGTCCTATACCAGTGTAAGATAACTATAGCAAACAAAAACATTAAATAATTTCAAATAGCTAGAAGGAGGATGTTATATGTTTCCAACACAAAGAAATAATAAATGTTTAAGATGATGGATATGCTAATAACCCTGATCTGATCACTATATATTGTATGTATCCACACATCAGTATGTACATCATAAATATGTACAATTATTACATGTCAAATCAAATATGTAAGAAAACAGAAAATAAGTGTTGATGAGGATGTGGAGAAATTGAAAACCTTGCGCACTGTGGGTGGGAGTGTAAAATGACATTGACTCTATGGAAAACAGTATCGTGTTTTCTCAAAAATTAAAATTAGAATGATCTCATTTTCCAGTAATGCCAATTCTGGATATATACCCCACCAAAAAAAATGGTGGTATAAAAGAGGTATTTATTCACCCATCCTTTTATCAGCATTATTCATATTCTCTAGAGGGAAAAGCAACCCAATAAATAGATAAACAAAATGTGGTACATACTTATAATATAATATAATTCATCCTTAAAAAAGAAATGAAATTCTGACACATGCTACAATATGGATGATCCTTAATGACATTTTGTCAAGTAAAGTAAACCAGTCACAAAGGAACAAATTATGTATGATTCCACTTAAATGAGGTACCTGGAGTAGTCAAATGCATGGAGGAAGAAAGTAGAATGATGGTTTCTAAGGGCTGGGAGAAGGGGAAATGGGGATTATTGTTTAATGAAAATGAAGTTCCATTTTTGCAAGATAAAAAATGTTTTGGAGATTAATGGTAGTGAAGATTGCACAACCATTTAAATGTATTTCATGTGCCCCTAAAAATGGATAAAATGGTAAATTGTATTGTATGTGTATTTCACCACAATTTTAAAAAAGAAAATTGTCAACCTTAAGTATAATAATATAATAGGTAAGTAGTACCAGTCTAAAAATAGGAAATGATTAAATTTATCACTTTGTAGGAATCAAATCAGTCCTTAGATGGTAGCTTTAAAAATATTTCACTTATGGATGATTTCTTCAACATAAATGACATTAAAAATATCAAGATAAAGCATGAGAATTCAATGTGAATAACTGGGAAGACCTTTACAAATAGGAAATAAAGCCTGAAGTTCATTTAGAGTTCATTTTTCTTTTTCTTTTTTTTTTTTTTTTTTTTAAGGTAGAGACTCTTGTTAATGGAAAAGGGCTAAGGAAAGTGAGGTAAAGGTCATTTAAGTAAAACAGGTTGGGATGAACATGGAATGAAGATGAAACCTATGAATGAGAAAGGTTCACTAGAGACCCTGATGGACTGTAGATAGACACAGTAATACTGAGAAGAGGACCAAATAATGGAGTGACAGATATGTCAAGGCAAGGACGCCACTTGAACAAACTGGTGCAGAACGTAATCAGAAAGTAGAAGTGGTTATAAAATTGGATGGTTTTAATTTGGGTTTAAATTTTGGCCTTTCCTGGAAGTAAAGGAGATGGAAAAGTTTACTAGCAATATAAGTGAATTTTTATGGACACAGCGAAAATGGCTATAAGAAGACTGTGGGGCTAGCATGTTTCAGGAAAGGGATAGCATGGAGGTGAATTGGGAAGAGGAGACAGCAGTCTAGAAGTTTTTTGAACATAGCTAGTTATTATGCATTATAGCAATGAAGAATGTAGTATGGTAGAAAAGATTTCATGGAGGCACATGAAAATTCGTAAAAATTTTTTAACAAGTAGGCTGGGTGGGATGTGACTCCCACCTGTAGTACCAGCACTTTGGGAGGCCAAGGCAGGAGGATCACTTGAGGCTAGGGGTTCAAGATCAGCCTAGGTAACATAAAGAAGACCCCATCCCTACAAAAAAAAAAAAAAGAAAGAAAGAAAAAGGAATTAGCTGGGTATGATGAGATGTATGTGCCTATACTCCTAGCTACTTGGGAAGCTGAGGTGGGAGGATCACTTGAACCCAGGAGTTCAAGGCTGCAGTGATCTAGGATGGCATCACTGCACTCCAGCCTGGGCAACAGAGAAAAACCCTGTCTCTTAAAAAAAGTTAACAAGTAAAATTTATCACAGGATTTAGTTTGTAAATGGCTCATAAAAGAAAGAAAGTATGGAAGAAGTCCTCATTTCACAAAACAGACAACATGTGATGGGACGCGGTGGCCAGGAATTTGAAGTGACTATCAGTATTTGTGCAATATTAGAAACATTGAGAGTGAGAGGAGAGGTTTACAGATAAGTGTTAATAACCAGTGTGTAGAGACATGAAATTAAAATTTAAAATAATTTGGTCAGAGAAACAAACATAAAATAATACATTTTATATTTTGAAATACACTATAGTTGTTGAGGAATATCAGAACTTGGGAGGAGTACAAAAGAGGAATTGTCATTCTATACGTGAAAAGGTTGAGAGAGAAGTCTTGAGAGATGAATAGGAGGGTGAGCTGAGGAAGTGAGGATGGAGGAAGAGGATTACATATGGAGGTAGGAAGGTGTGCTGATGGCAGTGATTTGAAGTGGATGTACCATGGTGCTAATAAGGGAAGTGATGGGTGATATACTTGGAAAGAAAGGCTGAAAGTGAACATGGAAGGCCATACAGTATAAAAAGAAATGTGGACATGATCTTGACAATTGGAAATTCTCCTTCCTTATAAGCAAGGCAGAAGAATGAAATGTTGACACTCTCTTTCCATGGGCCTTGAGATGAAGCTCTGCCATGCTCTCACCCCACCTCACGTTCCTCTAGCTCTTTCCTGGATGCTACAACGTACTCCTGTTGTTTCAAATCATTATGATCATGAACTGTTTCAATCCAAGTACCTTCAGGAACTTCCTCTTTCTCTGCCTGGAGACTCCATAAGAAAGATATAGGGGTTATATTCCTCCCTGATTCAGCAATTCACACGCCATGTTTCTGGCTGCCAGTTTACTGTTTCCAAGCACTCACTCAAGGAGACAAGGAAGGGCATTGACTACAATGAACTGTTTATTGTCATGTCAACCCTCTAATGCAATTATATTCCTCCAACAATAGTAAGAGCTGGCATTTATTGAGCACTTACAATGAGCCAGGCACTCAGGTATAGTGCATACGTTGGAATTTGTGCCAATTGACTTTATCCAGAGCCTCCACACTTAAGCACTGTGCTTTATTTTGTAAATTATACCCCAAAAGACTTGCTGTGCCTTGGATAAATATTTGAGCAGTGAGTGGAGTTCTACAAATGACTTTATAATACTTTTGTGTTTTATTATTTATATTTTTATAATCAGATTAAGAAAATAAAGTCAGTTTTAGAAGTTTAATTTGTAAAGTGAGGTATAAGGTGTGAGTTATAAGCTCTTACTTATTGAAGAACAGTTGTAGATTGAGTTATTAGTTAAATATGTATAATATTTTTAAAAATAAATAAGATGAATAAGTGACAAAAATAATTGACCAAATAACCAATCATTGATGAAGAAATACTCATGACAATTATAGTCCTCATTTCTGCAACTAGTCACATGATCATAGCTGGTATTGATAACTACCTTCTTTTGCTACCCATTAGCTCTGTGGTTTATGTATATGAAGCTCGTGTATATGACATTACATATAATTGCATAAATCGCTTATTTTCACTTTTTCTTATATCATCATTTTCTCAGTCATTTTTACAGATTATTAATTTTCAGCAAATTTTAAGCAGTTGATCTCATTCTTCAAAATTCAAAACATAAAACAAATAGTTGTAAACTTTTTGGTTGGACTATTTTTCCTTACTGATTAAATATTGACCTTTTCATTTTCTGGGGCTCTTTTAAAGCCCTAAGAACCAAACCTGGAAAATCACAGTTCTATACAATCCCATTGAATGGCTCTACAACATTTCATCTTACTGTTAAATCAAAATTTATTTAGTCTATATGGCCAATAGTTTTATATCACATATATTAATCTGGTTTTAGATTTTGTTTATTTGCTTGCTTCATATCTCATAATTTGATAGTCAGTCAGTTGCCCCAATCAAGATATAAATTAACTTTCTATATTCAGTAATTATAAAAATATTGCTTTGGTTTTTAGAATAGGTAACCTAGAAGCGATTAGGACTATGCTGGCGAGAGAAAAGGGACATCTAGAATTTGGTGGCCAGAGAGGATTTCGACAGATCAGTAAGCAGAACACAGTCTGGACAGGGTAGGCTTGTGGTATGTATACTGCCATTGGAGATCCTGGGTAACCTAAAGCCATTCAGCTTGGTGGTTGTCTTCATCCCTTCAGGCTGCTATAACAAAATACCATAGATTGAGTGGTTTATACACAAAATAAAGATATTTCTCACAGTTCTGGGGGCTGAGAAGTCCAAGGTTAAGATATTAGCAGGTCTGACATCTGGTGAGGGCGCATTGCTGATAGAAGGCACCTTCTTCCTGCATCCTCATGTGGTGGAAGAAACTAGCTAGCTCTCTTTTGTCTCTTTTATAAAGGTACTAATGTCATTTATGCATACAGGGCCATCATGGCCTAATCATCTCCCAATGGCCTCAACTTCTTAAACTATTACACTGGGGATTAGATTTTGATGCATGGACTCTGTGGAGACACAAATACCTGAACTATAGCAGTGGTACTGTTGAAGTATCACTTCCTAGGTGGTTAGGAAAATGTTAGATACATGCGTACCTCAAAGTTTCACCATTTGCCTATATCCTGGATCATACTCATCACTTTCCTCTTAGCATCTAAATTTCCCCTCATATTTATTACAGAATGCAGGAGTCTTTTCTAACCCCAAGGGTTGGTTGTTGGTTGTAAGTAACAGAAAGCAGCTCTGGCTGTCTTGAGGAAAAGGTTATTGCAGAGGAGAATTCAGAATTACTGAGATTTTATATTAAGTAATCAAGGTATCTCTGAAAGGTGTAAGATAGAACAACAAGGGTATCTCATTGGAATAGTTTGAGCATTACAGAGCAGTTGGGCCAAAATATAAAAACTTGTCATTCCCTTTGGGTTATTCAATAAAGATTTGCACTACCAGGAGAGAGGATCTGATTCTCTGGGTCATTCTGGCTTGGATTAATCAGGGTTCTCCAGAGGGACAGAACCAATTTTATATGTATATATATATATATGAGTTTATTAGGGAGAATTGGCTCACAAAAGCACAAGGCAAAGTCCCATAATAGGCCATCTGAAAACTGGGAGAGACAGAAACTGGTAGTGGCTGAGTCCAAGTCCAAAAGCCTCAAAACCAGGGAAGCCAACAGTGCAGCGATCAGTCTGTGGCCAAAAGCCCAAGGGTCCCCACAAACCGCTGGTGCAAGTCCCAGTGTCCAAAGGATAAAGAACCTAGAGTCTGACGTCCAAAGGCAGGAGGAGTGGAAAGAAGCATTCAGCACAGGAGAAAGAAGGAAGCCAGAAGACTCAGCAAGAAAAGCTATGCTACCTTCTTCAGGCTGTTTTATTCTAGTTGTGCTGGCAGCTGTTTTGGTGGTGTCCACCCACACTGAAGGTCGGTCTTCCTCTTCCAGTCCACTGAGTCAAATGTCAGTCTCCTCTGGCAACACCCTCACAGACATACCCAGAAACAATACTTTACCAACCACTTAGGCATCCTTCAATCCAACCATGTTGACAACTGATATTAACCATACATGGCTATAACAAAGCATGGAGAATTAAGATTTGGTTTTTTTAGCTTGCATAGCAGGAAATCAGGTAGTACACATACCATCACACTAAGATCACACATAATAGAGCAAATCAACATCTCCAAAAGACATTCTGAGAGCTATTTAAAACTAGAAGTTTGAGGATTTGCATAGTATAAATCCTAGTCAAACATGGAAATCTTCCAATTACTTCTGCTGATAAGTAAAACAGTAAGTAATTTAAATAATCTTCAAATCACTTATGTTTGATGAATTATAGCAAATTCTTGTGATACATAAAGTAACACAAATTTAGCGTTACCAGTATGCATAAGCTGTGGTTAAAATTGCATTTATTGATAAAGGGGGTAAGTAACACATAAGAGAGTTTTACTTTAGAGAATAGTAAATTTTGTAATTAGATCACATTTATAAGAGAGTAGATATTGTAGACAACAACTACATGTTATTTATTATATTGTAAACATAGTATATACTTGTTTACTTCTTTATTTTTGGACTTCTCTATTAAAATGTGAGAATCTTTTGTCTTGACATTTATACCTAGTACCATGCTTGGAAACATACATATAGAATACAGAGATAAATGTGTCCCCATAGATTGAGATGAAATAAATAATAACATCTCTGCATTTTATTTTCTAAGTTATTAATATATTATAGAATAACATTGCTGACTATAATTTACTTAATAAACTTGAAATTTGGAGTGCTCTGGAATCACATGTTTTTCTGGCTTCTTACTGCTTTTGAGATCTGAAGAAACACTGTTGGAAAAATGCCTTCTTTTGAAAAAATATGACTTTTTCTTAAATCTATGATAAAGGATTACTGAAATAGTATTTTTATTTTTCATGCACCATGAAAGGTATTTTCATCCTTACAAATGTGAGAGTAGTTAAGGTAAGATGGGATATTTTCCATATTTCCAAAAAGTTGGATGAGAAATCACAATCCTTGAGAGACATGCTTTGAAACAATGTGGCTTTCTTTCTTAGCAGTCAGAGTTATCCCATGTTAAGAATCCTGCAGGGCAAAACAAAACAAAAACAAAACACACACAAAAAAACTGTGTAATTAATAATCAGTAGTTTTATAGGTGTCTTGAGGTAGTTACGTATATTCTTCTCTGTGGTGCTAAACTTCCAACTCTAATCTACATTTTGCAAACTAAATATCTAAATGTGACTAGGTAAAAAGGAAAAAATCACTGTAATCAAATACATTTAACAAGTGTTGGCTTAAATGCTATAAGAGCTTTTTTTTTTTTCCTTCAGTACCAGGGTTTTTAGAGCCTTTGATTTACTAATCTGTTGTACAAATTTCTAAGAGAAAGGTAAAAAGGCATAGACTATATTATTTCCCAACAATATGAAAATCTTTTTTGCTTTTTTTTTTTTTTTTTTTGGAGTCCTGCTCTGTCACCCAGACTGGAGTGCAGTGGTGCGATCTTTGCTAACTGCAACCTCCACCTCCCAAGTTCAAGCAATTCTCCTGCCTCAGCCTCCTGAGTATCTGGGATTACAGGTGTGTGCCACCATGCCCAGATAATTTTTGTATTTTTAGTAGAGACAGGATTCCGCCATGTTGGCCGGGCTTGTCTCGAACTCCTGACCTCAGGTGATCCATCCACCTCGGCCTCCCAAAGTGCTGGGATTACAGGCGTGAAGCACTGCACCTGGCCTTGAAAACTCTTTCTTTTTGACTTATCAATTACATCTCCTGAAAATACTGGGAAATTCTAGTACAAATAACTAGGAAGGAATCTTATTGGTGCATCTCAAATTTTTAAATCTGCCTTGGTTGTCATATGCTGTCACTTTCTGATGCTAGAAGTTCCACACAGATTTCTTTTCCTGTAATGACATCCTGGCGGCCTTTCAGTGGTTCGTGTTTTCTATTTCCAAGTCTATGCATAATTTCTCACTTGTCATCCTGAAAAAAAATGATCAATCCCCAAGGGAAAAGAAGTTTTAGTTCAAGTTGAAAGTTATTAAGACAGGAGGTGTTCATTGGCCATAACACAAATGGGGGATAGACCATGGAGCAAGAGCTTCTGGAAGTTGTTAGGAAAAAAATAGACTTTTAAATTTCCAGCATCTGGTGTAGTCTATAGGTTATATTATCTCATAGCTGAGAGAAATCATAATTTTTGTGGTAATAAAGATAAATCCCTTATCTTTGGTCTAGAAATGTGGACTACCAGGCAGATTCAACTAACACATTATTGTTGAATGAACGAATACATAAATAGACCAATTAAATTAGACATTACAGACTCTGAGGACAGAAGGTCAAGAAAAAAAAAAACTGCTTACGATAAACTTGATTGCTTATAGAGATCTAATGTCCCAGTAATCATATTGGGTCACTTAAATTGAGTAATCAGAGAAATATTCTGGCTGTAATATTATAATAACAACAGAATTGTATATAATATTATCATAGCAGTAGAATTATACTGTAGTACAGTCATATAGCAATAAAATCATGTTGCACAAGCAAAAAGAGTAAATTAAAGATTATTAATGCACTTCACATAATATTCTCCTTTAACTATTGAAACAAAGTTTCTGGCAGACGTAGAGCTGTTCCTCCTTACAGAAGTAGTGCTCATGTCCATAAAATGACACAATGCCAAACACTGTGTATTGGGTATTAGATTAGAGATGCCAAGTTTTATTCCGTTAGGAAATTCAGACTGTCCACAAGTAAAGTTGTGATTTAGTTAGTTAAAATATGTGTAGTTTAATAAATAATTTTAATAACCTGTTTAAATTGAGAAATTCTTTGAAAACCAAGAGCATGCATACCTAGGGTGACTAGCAGGCCTCTACCACTACTCTCTTCACATAGAAAATAAAAGACAGAATATATATACATAAATATGTATGTATATTCCAGTATACATGCATACTTAAATATATACTTAAGTATATAAGTATATTATATATATACTTAAATATATATGTAGAAAGAATATCTATGTAGCTATCCATAAGGCAATTTAGCAATACCTGACTATGTTTTTCTAATTTAATTCAGCTGTTTTTATCTAGTAGGATGCTTTTTACCAAAGTGACAATGGCAGAGGTTCATTAAAATTTTTGATGGTGATAAAATTAATACCATGTTGCTGGTACATATCCTGCGAAGGAAATAATATAAAATGTTAATTCTTATATTTTATATTATGATTCAGATTATGCTGAATTTGAAGAAGAAACAATTTCATCTTCAAATTTTTGTGGTATAAATAAGTTGAGGGTTGAAGTGGAAAACATAGAAACCTTTGTCTGACTCCAGTTCATGCTATGATCAAAGTAGGTAAAGCAACTGGAAAATAAATATAACAAATAAATAGAGCATATAGAAACATTCAGAGGAAAACTAAAAGCTTTGCTGGAAGCAATAATAGAATAACCAAAAATGTTTTCATCTTCAATGCCTCTTTGAAAACCTGTGGAAAAAAAGCATGTGCCAGAAATAAACCAAACAAAAAACAAACAAAACAAAACAAAACAAAAAAAACCTACACATTTAAACACAATCATTTAATGTAACTTTTCTAAGATTACGGAACATCGTTTTGTTAATTATTCAATTTTCTGTTTCAGGCAATTGAGGTAGCTAGTCAGGGTCAGACTTGGAAAGCAAAGGATAGTCTGAATTCTTCAGACTACAAAGATAAAAATAGAAAACATACTAAATAAAAAAAGATAATATTGCATTTGTTTCTAGACACTATATAAAATGTTAATTTCAAAAGGCAGAACTAAGGCAATGACATTGTTACATGGTTATTTATAGGATCCTGTGAATGAACAAATCATTGTTCCAGGTTGGTGATTTGAACACAATTGATACAACTCAATCTTCTGCATTACAGAGTAGAACTTTTTACAACTTGCACCTTTTGTCTTCTCAAGTTTCTATTTTATTCCATACACAGCATCTGGTGAATTGTGTCTAAACTTGGCATTATTCACATATATTTTCTTTGTCACAAAATTATCTTTGTGATGAATTCTCGCAATTCGCTCCTTACCATCCTCTGCTTCAGTCAACTGCCCAATTGCTATTTCTCAAACTTACTTTTGCTTTTTCATCTTTCTACCTTTGCACCATTTTTTCTCAAACTCTTGAAATATACAGATCTTTAGATGAAAGAAGTAATAAATAATGAAAAAAAAGGAGTTGAGGTATAAAATAGACATCAGTTGAAAATCAAGCCACATATCCTAGTATAATTGGGTAAGATAAAAATGTTCTTTAAAATAAAATAAAGGCAGACATTTCTCTATTTTTTTGTGACTCATAAAAACTTGTTTAATTTAGCAAAGATGTAGCAGTGTCTTGACTGATTAAATTTAGGTTTAAGATCTGTTAAACTGTTCTGCAAGATGAAGTAAAAGAGTTTCTGTTATGAGTGAAGACAATGTTTATATGCTAGTTGAGTTTTGGCTTTCAACAGTCACCTTGAAACAAGGATATGAGAGTCTTGAATTTAGCTAGAGGTGACAGGATATGAATAACTCATTTAAAAAGAGGTAAATTCCAACATATGGCTCTAAGACATGGACAAGAAAAATGATGTCTCCTGAGAGACTATTGGAGTTTACCTCATAGATTTTACCAACTTTGTCATAATTTGGTTTTAGTATGTGTGTTTTTTTCTGAAATATTCCCTTCTGATATCAAGTGCGGAGAAATGATAAAATATTCAACAGCTTTGTGTAATGATATCTTGAAGAGTGGAGGAAAGCCTGTATTCATGCTTGGAAAAAATAAAGCAAGAAAAGAAATTCAATATGAAGAAATTTTAATGCAATCCCCAGGGGAAATGCCAGGAGCAACAGTTCAAGATGAGTCAGAAAGAAGTTTCAAAATCCTCTAATATTCTGGAGACTTCCATTCCCTGGCGTATATATACCTGATGGTTTTAAACAAGAATAGTCCTTTTTGCTTATCTAAAACCAAACAAAAATTATTCCAAATTCCTTTACTTCATTCAGATTTAAAAAAATGAAAATGAAAATGTTTGTATTATGAGCCCATGTTATTAAATAGATTCTTTTAGGAAACAATTTAGTATAAAAAATCTAATTATAATACTTTGTTGAATGAAATTATAAATAAATTGGTAGCAAAGATAAGTAATCTCATTTTCCATTTAAAAAATACTGTGTGACATGCACCTTAGTCTCATTGACATCTCACAGCCCTATCACTGTGGCACCTCAATGTGACTTCACAGCTCCATCACTGCTCACCATACCAATGCCCTGTAGCCTGCTTTTCTGTTCCTTTACTTACTTTCTTTTCTTTTCTTTCTCTCTTTTTCTCTTCAATATCCTTTACCATCCTGTAGTCTAATGCATACTTTCTAATTTATGTATTAACATTTTTTTCTACCTATACTCCTTTACAACATAACTACCACAAGATGAGTCTTTTTTGCAGTGTTGTCTACTAATGGAATCTAATAATCTAAAGCATAGTATTGGGCAAATAAATAGATTTTCAAAAGTAAAAAGACAAACAATATCCAAATCAAAAGTTAGAGATTAAATAATATAAAGGTTTTACACATTGCATTGATACATCATACTTCCTTAAACTATTCTTATTTTAAGAAGCCAAATTTATTTTTTCTCTTTCTCACTTCCTCTACCTTCACTGATCTAAGGTTAGTGTTTGGATGTGGTAATTGTTGTAACAAAGTGCAGGAGTACATTCATTGCTTTGTAATTTTATTTTGTTTTGTTTTTTGGGATGGAGTTTCACTCTTGTCACCCAGGCTGGAGTGCAATGGCGCGATCTTGGCTCACTTCAATCTCCGCCTCTGGGGTTCAAGCGATTCTCCTGCCTCAGCCTCCTGCATAGTTGGGATTACAGGCACCGGCCACCATGCCCGACTAATTTTTGTATTTTTTTTTTTTTTGGTAGACATGGGGTTTCACTATGTTGACCAGGCTTGTCTCGAACTCCTGACCTCAGATGATCTGCTGCCTCATTTCCCAAAGTGCTGGGATTACAAGCGTGAGCCACCGTGCTCAGCCCATTGCTTTGTAATTTCTAAATATATTCAGTTTATGGATATTGCTTTGTATAATTATGTAAGCTTTATAGAAAGAGTTAAACATAAATAAGGAAATGATGATGAAAATAGTTTTTGTCTTTAGCATACAATAATTCATGAGTTTGAAATAATGAAAAGTATTAAAATGATGCATTAGGAAATTAAGATGTTACAGATAAAGTGTTCAGAAAATAAATACAAGTATTTCCTAGGAATGTTCTGAACTCGCTGGCAACTATTTTAAAGTAGACAGAACCAGGAAATTTTTTGCAAGGAATATTTCCCTGACATGAGGTCTCTAGCATTGGTATCTTCCTTCAGCCAAAATTAAACAAGTAAATGGGAAAAAAGAACAAATTGCTCTTTTAATTCATGACATAGATTAACTATACTTTAAACTATAAGCAGATTGTACTTATTTCACATATGTTCTTTCAATTTGAAATCTCAAAGTATTGAAGAGGGAAGAAGTAGAAAATTATTCAAATTATATGGTCTAATCAAATGTTATTCTACTACTGATCTAATATTGATATATCAGGTTCTCACAGTTAAAATTATAATTTGACAAAGTTATTAATAGTTAATCTTCTCAAGATTTAAGTATCAAGTAAGCTCAGAAAAACAATATTGTATTTTTTAATATTTGGAAAGGAATAGAGATACAAAAGTAATGAAGTGATATGAATAATGCTATTATGTCTCACTTTATGAATATGGACATAGACCAGCTGTTTTAGATAATAAAAAATGCACTTCCATTTCAAAAATGTAATTCTAAAAGTAATATTTATATGTAATATTCAGAAAACTAATATGGTTGTTAAATATGATTGAAATTTCCAAGTAGCAACCATAGATCATGCATAACCAGTACATGACTGGCTCAGGACCACACAAGCTGTTGAGGTCCCTGGCAATCCCAATCAGAAATCAGTTTCACCAAGTTTTTGCTTTTAGACTTAATTCCATTTCACAATATATTTTGTCTCTATCTTATCTCGTAGCCCATGAGGTTCAAACCTATCCTTTCCCTTTAATGACAAGAGGACATTTGCCCTACACTATGTCCTGTTCACTGATGCAAACAATAATCCAAAATCTTCCTTGATCTTCATCCTTAAATTTCCTTCTGCAACCACCTGTTATGAGATCAGATACTTGGTTTTGAAAGTAGTCAAATGGTGATGACATCTGTAGGCAGACTACCTCTGTTTATGGGATCACACCTGAAAATATGGGAGATGGAGGTAGGAGGTAATTTAATATGTGAGAAGATATTAGAAGAAAGGGCATCTGGGGTAAGAGTCAGAGACCTGTTGGGAAGAAAGAAGAGAGGAAAAAGGAAAAAAAAAATGACTTTTGAGCATCTGGCTCACTCAACACACTTCGTAGTGTAAATGATGGCTAAATGTTGTCCCATAACTTGAATAATTTTGGGGGGTCTGAAGCATTCAAATGTTTGCAACATTTAAAAATATGATATGTAATTTAGTAATTTGTGTCTTTCTTGAGAAATCAGATGAACTAACAACACTGGTCTGACATTCCTACAGGGAATCTGTACAACTCGGTCAGGGGCTGAGTTGTGTCTGTTTTAAGCAAGTTATGCACTTTCAACTTAACTCACTTCCTGCAATGCTCTGTTAACATACATTTAGCCTGATTCACTCATTTTCTTGTTGTTAACTGCTTGGTTCCATAGGAATTTGAGTCTGGACAAAACACAAGCTCAGAAATATTGCTTATTCATCCATTCACCAATATTTGTTAATAATGTAAATTGTCTAGAATATTGTACAAACTGATAATGATTAATGCAAAGATACTTTAAATCATGGGTCTTGCTTTAGGGAGATTTAGTTGTCGAAAGGGAAATAAATGAGCCCAATATCAGCTGTAATCAAGGTGGAAAAAGACTAGTATCTCAAAGTATGCTATCACTATATAAAAGAGAAAAAATCCAGCTAGGAAATCAAGGAAAGATATTAATGGAAAGAATAGAATCAAGACAGTGACTTGGTAGCCAGTTCAAGGGTAGGTAAGTGAGTATTTATGGAGAATGTTGTGGAGATAAATCTCATTATCTCTATATGAACTTGTAATATTAGGCATTTCGTTAAATTTAGTAAGGTTTATATATGTATATGTATAAACATATGCATATATATGTATTTTATATTTATATAATGTATTTGTATGGTCTATACATGGAGACAATATTGATATTATTAATCATTTGTCCTTCAGCATATATATATATAAACTCCATCAAAAACTTTTTTAGGAAAATCTCCAAGGTTTTTAATAAATATTTTATGCCCACTTCCATGCATCTAAATAAAACCAACTTTAGATTGTTTAATAATAATTATTAATTGAATAATTATAAAGTTCCAAATACTTTATGTACATTATATCTTTTAGTCCTTACAAGTACCCTGTGAAATTATCTCTAGTTTACTAATGTGAAACCTGAGCCTAAGAGAGGTTAAACAATTTGTCCACAGTAAGATAGGAAGTGGCAGAGCCAGGATTTGAATCCAGATAGCCCCAGGGATACTACTACTATGATATATAATGACTGCATATGCAAAAGCAACTTTTTTATCAGTGGGAAAAAATAAAACATTCAAATGTCGGACATTACAAGTGGACTAACCCAGGGCATGAATGTTTCTCATGTGATTTGTTAATTTCTCTTTTCAAATTTTTTATTTATTCATTTATTTATTATGAAATTTTTGTGGGTCCATAGTAGGTGCATATATTTATGGGTTATATGAGATGTTTTGACACAGACTTGCAATGTGAAACAAGCACATCACAGAGAATGGGGTGTCTATCTCCTCAAGTATTTATCCTTTGAGTTACATACAATCCAATGATACTCTTTATTTTAAAATGTACAATTAAGTTATTATTAACTATAGTCACTCTGTTGTGCTATCAAATAGAAGGTCTTATCCATTCTTTCTGACTATTTTTTATACCCATTAACCATACCCATCTCCTCCTACAACCCCCTACTATGATTCCCAGCCCCTGGTAACATCTTTCCATTTTCTATGTCCATGAGTTCAATTGTTTTTATTTTTAGATCGCACAAGTAAGTGAGAACATAAGATGTTTGTCTTTCTGTACCTGGCTTATTTCACGTAACATAACGATCTACAGTTCCACTCATGTTGTTGAAGATGACTGGATCTCATTTTTTCTTATGGCTGAATAGTACTCCATTGTGTATATGTACCACATTTTTTTTATCTGTTTATCTGTTGATGGACACTTAGGTTGTTTCCAAAACTTAGCTATTATAAACAGTGTTCCAACAAACATAGGAGTGCAGAAGTGCTGCAACAAATATAGGAGTGCAGGTATCTCTTCGATATACCGATTTATTTTTGGGGGGTTGCATACCCAGCACTGGGATTGCCATATCATATGGTAGCTCAGTTTGTAATGTTTTGAGGAATTTCCAAACTGTTCTTCATAGTGGTTGTCCTAATTTACATCCCCACCAACAGTGTACAGGGGTTCCCTTTTCTCCACATCCTCTCCAGTATTTGTTATTGCCTGTCTTTTTTATATAAGCCATTTTAACTGGAATGAGATATCTCATTGTAGTACTGATTTGCATTTCTCTGATAATCAATGATGTTGAATACCTATTCATATACCTATTTGCCATTTGTATGCCTTCTTTTGAAAAATGTCTATTCAAATCTTTTGCCCATTTTTTTGGATCAGATTATTAGATTTTTTTTTTTCTGTAGAGTTGTTTGAGGTCCTTATATATATTATGGTTATTAATCCCTTGTCAGATGGGTAGTTTGCAAATATTTTTTCTCATTCTGTGGGTTGTCTCTTCACTTTGTTGATTGTATCCTTTGTTGTGCAGAAGCTTTTTAACTTAATGTGATTTCATTTGTTCATTTCTGCTTTGCTTGCCTGTGCTTGTGGGATATTACTCAAAAAATCTTTGCTTAGTCCAATCTCCTGGAGACTTTTCCCAATGTTTTCTTGTAGTAGATTTATAGTTTGAAGTCTTTAATTTTTAAATCCTTTTTGATTTGATTTGCAAGTGTCAAGATATAGGGGCCTAGTTTCATTCTTCTGCACATGGATATCCTGTTTTCCCAGAATCATTTGTTGAAGAGACTGTCTTTTCCCCAGTGTATATTCTTGGTACCTTTGTGAAAAATGAGTTCACGGTAGTTGTCTGGATTTGTTTCTAGGTTATATATTCTGTTTAATTGGTCTATATTACTGTTTTTATGCCAGTACCATGTTGTTTTGTTTACTGTAGCTCTGTAGTATAATTTGAAGTCAGGTAATGTGATTTCTTCAGTTTACTTAGAATAGCTTTGGCTATTCAACGTCTTTTGTGTTTTCATATAAACTTCAATTTTTTTTCTACTTACATAAAAAATGTCATTGGTATTTTGATAGGGATTGCATTGAATCTGTAGATTGCTTGGGGTAGTATGAATGTTTTAACAATATTGATTATTCCAATTCATGAAGTTGGAATATCTTTCCATTTTTTGTGTGTGTCCTCTTCAATTTTTTACATAAATGTTTTATAGTTTTCATTGTTGAGATCTTTCACTTCTTTGATTAAGTGTATTCATAGGTATCTTATTTTATTTGTAGCTACTGTAAATAGTATTACTTTCTCTTGATTTCTTTTTCAGATTGTTCACTGTTGGCATATAGAGATGCTACTGATTTTTCTATTTTGGTATTGTATCCTGCAACTTAACTGAATTTGTTTATTAGTTCTAACAGTTTTTTGGTGGGGTCTTTAGGTTTACCCAAATATAAGATCATATTATCTGAAAACATGGATAATTTGACTTCTTTCTGTCCAATTCAAATACACTTTATTTTTTCTCTTGTCTCATTGCTATAGCTAGGTCTTCAGTCTTCCAGTTCTATGTTAAATAACAGTGGTGAAAGTGAGCATTCTTGTCTTGTTGCAGATTTTAGAGAAAAGGTTTTCAGGTTTTCCACATTCAGTCTGATACTAGCTGTGGATCTATCATATATGGCTTTTATTGTTTTGTGGTATATTCCTTCTATATTCTGTTTTTTTAGGGTTTTTATGATGAAGGGATGTTACATTTTATCAAATATATTTTCAGCATCAATTGAAATGATCTCATGGTTTTTATCTTTCGTTCTGTTGATATGATGTATCACATTGTTGATTCACATATGTTGAACCATGCTCACATTCCAGGGATAAATCCCACTTGGTCATGGTGAATGATCTTTCTAATGTATTGTTGAATTTGGTTTGCTTGTATTTTGTTGAGGATATTTGCATCAAAATATATAAGCAATACTGACCTATAGTTTTCCTTTTTTTTCTGGTTTTAGTATCAGGGTGATACTGGCCTTGTAGAATGAGTTTGGAGGTATTCCCTCCTCCTCTATTTTTCAGAATAGTTTTTGTAGGGTTGGTATTAGTTCTTCTTTAAATGTTGATTTGTTAATTCCTCTTGAGTCTCCTCTCTAGAAATAAATAGCAGCCTCTTCCTCTGAATTCTCAATATGACTGTGTTGAAAAATGTAAAATAGATTTTCAAATGTCCTGTGACCTATCTTTTCTTTTTTTTTTTTTTGAGATGGAGTCTCCTTCTATTACCCAGGCTGGAGTGCAGTGGCGCGATCTCAGCTCACTGCAACCTCCACCTCTCAGGTTCAGGTTCAAGTGATTCTCCTGCTGTGGCCTCCCGAGTAGCTGGGATTATAGCACCCACCACCACGCCCGCCTAACTTTTGTACTTTTAGTAGAGACGGGGTTTCAGAATGTTGGCCAGGCTAGTCTCAAACTCCTGACCTCAAGTGATCTGCTTGCCTCGGCCTCCCAAAGTGATGGGATTACAGGCATTAGCCACCGCGCCCAGCCAACCTATCTCTTTAAACACTAAAATACTTTCTTGAAGACCCAGAAATTGTATATTAATACAAAATAATAGGGCATGTTAAGTGAACGGGAATTTAAGGAAGAAAATAATACATTATATTAATCTGTTGGATTAGCAAAATGTTATCCTCTATGATACTCTTTTAACAAAAAAGATCAGCAGTAACTAGGGGTCTAGACCAATATTTCATCTTTGATTTGTCTGTTTTCAATAACCCTTCATTCAATTAAATGCCAGCTCTATCAAAGCTTCCTTTTTAGTCTCCTGCAAATTTACTATATCTCCATTCTCCTCAATATAATCTTCCCACTGTCTCCATCTCTCTCCATTTTCTGTAGTACTCAACTTTTCCACACTATAGCTTCTGTGATGTTTTCAAAGCTTGAATCTAAAAATGTCACTCTCTTGTCTAGAACACTAAACCTTCCATGACAACTAAAGTTGAGTTAGTTGTTTCTCCTCTATATTCTCAGTCTCTCATGACTATCCTTATTTTAACATTTATTTCACTTATATTAGTAATTTACTATTTTTTTTCCAGATTAAGCTGTAAGTTACTGAAGGGGAGGAAGAACACATTGCCTGACATAGTTGACAGTGACTAATCGTTGAATGAATACATAAGTGAGAGATAAAGTTAAAGAGTATGACATTTAAAACATCACATTAAATGCTTTACACAGAGGCAAGGAAGTATATTCATTATGACAATGGATCAATTTTTAAAACTCCATTTGTCACATACTCTAAAGATTGCTCTAAGGAGCCAAATTTGTTTCCTATGAATTTCATTATAATCTTCATTTTATAATAGTTGGAAAACAATAACTGAGAGTATCTCTGAAAATAAGTATAAAATAATACATAACAAAATAGAGCATATTTAACAAAACTATAATCTGGTACTAGTTTGAGATACATTTTTTTAAAAAGGTTACCCCTAAAGTTGTGATATCATTTGTTATCCTTTGATTTCCTTACTCTCATTAGGTTCTCAATT
Source organism: Homo sapiens (assembly GCF_000001405.40). Classification (NCBI taxonomy): domain Eukaryota; kingdom Metazoa; phylum Chordata; class Mammalia; order Primates; family Hominidae; genus Homo; species Homo sapiens. The sequence goes on along the minus strand of NC_000004.12, from coordinate 69,902,047 downwards.
TTTTAAAATACTCTAATGATGTGGTATATTTTAAATATATAATAGAATAGATATCATTTTATTTCTTTTGATTCATTTAAGTATTTTGAATGCTTACAAATTAGTCTTGGTAACAGTATTTTGAAATACTTTGTATTGAGATAAGATCCCCTCAATAAATGTGGTGAAACCTAGACTAGTCATCTCTTACAGGAGATGTTCAAGAAGGATCCAAGGTGTACAAGTTATTGGTCTAAAAGCCCTGAGGAATTTCTTCTGAGCCTGACATTTTGTGATTCAGCTCATATAGTATTATCTTTCAATAATACTGTATGGCAGTTTCTCTCAGAATCATGTATATTATAGCATGTCCTACATATAGTACAGCAAATCAGAATAATTCTCATTAAAAATAACATTGCAATGAACATTTCAAATGAAATTTTATGCATCAAAATGTAGATGTATAACATTTCCTCCTTATTCAATTTCTTTTTGCCTAGTTTCCATTTTATTATGTATACAAAGAGAACTTTAAACATTTTGGAGATTTCATGTTGAAACAATACTATTAGTTGCATAAATTTTCCTATTTTACAATTAATAATCAACAACTGAGATTACTATCCTCAGTCTGAGATGTGGTCTTTGGTTCCTGATCTCATTTAGCCTTACATCAGACTAATATGTTATGAAATTGAATTAAAAACACATGTTTAAGTGACATGTAAAGTGTTATAATTGAATAATTTGCTCCTTTACATATTTTCACTTGAATAAGAAAGATCCACTTATTCACCTGTACTCTTTAATATGAGAAATGTCCTGTAAAATATGAGAGAAAAATAATTGCTCAAAAAAGCTTCTGTTGACAGGGATGTCTATAGTTAGAAGGGAAGTGAATCTTGAGAAGCCAGAGATCTGGTGTAGAGGGAGTTCTAGAGTTCAGAGCAGGACTCAATTCTGTTAAAATCTCAGAGACCTCAAATTCTACAAAGCCTCAAAATAAATAATTTACTGTCCTACATATGTACTCAGGCTAAATTGATTCAAATGGAAGACCAATTTATTTATGAAAACACATAAACAAAAAAGAAAAAAATGTACTTAAGCATCAACCAGGAAGGGTTGAATTTTTATAAGGAAGAAATTTCCCCAAATAAAAAATATTAAAATTCTAAATTCTAAATGTTAAAAATTTCAAATTAGATTAAATTAGTCTACAGCATCTTATTTTGAAAATGTCGTAATGTATTTTATTCACCTTTTTAAATAAAAGCTAAAATTTACCTAAAGGAAGGATATTTATTATATTTAATGTCCTCCTCTCTCTCCAGTTTAATGAATTCTGAAAAATTCTCTTTTGTTTGGTTTGGTTTTTCAAGTCTATTTTTATCTTGATGCAAACTTATCTGTACATAAAAACAGCCATCTTTTTATACCTTTTCTAGAGTTGATAATGAAAGTTTTTTAACTAAAAAAATTTTTGAAATATTGCCTGCATGTAAACGTGATTGACAGTGTTGCTACTGTTTGATTTATAGACAGAAACTTTCCCAATGTGCACAACTATAATATATCAATTTAAAAACAACAAAAGAAATTTCACTTTTCCCATAATAAACACCATTGTAAAAACTGGTCAGTCAACAAACACCCACTGAGGACGTATGAGCACTAGCCATGCAACTCTCTCAGTCCTTTCCACTTTCTCACATAATTAACCTCAAGTAATTAACCTCAAAAAGAAAACCTGTATTTTCTTTTACTGACCTCTCCTACACTTCTTTTAAAACCCTAATAATTCCATTTTAATTTCTTTAACTATGGTCTTCATAACTTTTCCACATTTTTAATGGTTTTCATTATATACTTGCTAATTTTTTAAAAATATGGAATCCTTTATACATAATTATAAGTCAATATAAAATATTTTTATCACAAATTTAGTTACATTGGATCTAATTTCAGCACATTGTATGTACTGATTCAAAAAAAGTGGTGACGTCAATCTTTTAAAATAATCAAAGGAATTGAAATACTATTGTGATTTGATGCCCATCATCACCTTAGGTCAGGATTTCGAAACCAGCCTGGCCAACATGGTGAAACCCTGTCTCTACTAAAAACATAAAAAATTAGCCAGACATGGTGGCGGGCACCTGTAATTCCAGCTATTTGGGAGACTGAGGCAGGACAATCACTTGAACCTGGGAGGCAGAGTTTGCAGTGAGCTGAGATCACGCCACTGCACTCCAGCTGGGCAACAAGAGTGAAACTTTTTCTCAAAAAAAAAAAAAAAAAGAAATGAACAAGCTCTTCCTTAGGTTTCAGAAAATATACATCATTCATTTTGTCACTTACTGTACACAATTTTATTTCAATATCATATATTTCTAACATAGGAAGCCTTCTATTAATTATACTTTTATACTCCTCAATCATAAGACTATATTAATACAATGAAAATTAGTAGTCTTAAAAATATTTTTAGTGACTATACTTGTGTAAATGTTAAAATACGCATGTAGTTTGAGTTATTCTTGTGTGTTTGATCAAAACAACATATATGCATTTGCTTATATATTAGTTACTTATCAAAAAGCTGAAATTATAGTAGAAATTCTTATTTTAATGATATGGGTGATAGGATTTATGGTGCCTTGGTTATAGGAGGATTTGCTGACAACTATCGTTTGAATTGTTCCTTTAGTTTGCACCTCAAAGGTTTTTTTTTTCTCTCTTAGAGCAACATATTATATTTAGATTTGGGTTGAATAAAGGGTATGTCTTTATTATCCTTTAAGTAGAAGGAATTTGATTGTAAAAGGGTGGGTGAGAAAGGAGGACTAATACGGTGCTGCTACCATGTGTGTTCTGAATAGAAGTTTAGGGAAGAGTATGATTGAAGGTTGAATGTCTGTGAATTGATTTCATAAAAATACATGTGTTTGATAGACCTCAGAATATATTCATGAGCCCCCAGGTATGTACCTATCAGTTTAAAGACTATTGTCCCATGAAATTATAATTTCACGTTAAATGTAACTTTCCTTTCTATTAGCCTCCTAAATGACTGCCCTGAAATGCTTTGAAAGAAATCTGGTTTGCCCTGGAAGAACACATGTTTTCCTTCAATACCATCTAAGACACCTCTGGTCTGAATTATCTATCCCAGCAACAGGACTGTTGAACCCTACTGAAAACAACAACAACAAAAACAATATTATGCACATTGTTGCTTTTATATATTTATGAGCTCCAAAGGCATCAGGACCATAAATATTGCCCACAAAAACTAGTGTACTTCCTATTTTCCATTCTGCTAATTTGGTGGTCCCTCTGCCATGAAAACCTGACTGCATCAGATCTACATTCACTGTTCTTGCCATCAAACCTGCAAATTCATTTGTCTGCACTTTGCTTTGCCCTTTCTTTCTCTTTTCAATAGAACAAGTGTCTCTCTACTTCTTTAAATCAAATATTCCACAAGGCTGAGTATTACAAGGACTGTGCTCTATTAATGACCTCCACAGTCTGTGTACTATTAACTCCTCTGCAGCATTTAATATTACTGACTCTTTTATTTTCAAGGAATTTCCTCTTCTCATGTCATCTCTAATAAGATAAAATATCTTTCTTGCTTTTCTTCCTCCTGTTTTCTTGGATAGCTTTCCTTCCTTAACCATTCCTTATTGATTGACATTTTCAGAATTTTTTTCCAGCCATTGTACATGTTTGCTTTGTGTGTGTGCATGGTGGAGGAAGATGGTGTACAATATCTTTGGAACACTATTTCCTATATTTTGGTCATTTCTCATATTATGACTCCTCATCTTCTCAAGGTAGAAACCTAAAAATTTACTTTGAGCCTCCCTTGCCACTACTACAGTAAAGTGCAAAGCAGATTGTGTTTTATTAAAGCATGTTTTCCTACTGGCTCCCCATTGCTCTAGGATGATAGTCAAACACCTAAATCACCTATGAGTCTCTGCATGATATGGGTCTTGTTTAGATTTTTAACCTCACTTCATACCACCCTGCAGCATCCATCTTTTCTCAGGGATACAATCACAGAGACCTCCCTCAGTTTTAAGAATGCATGAAGCTCTTACTCCTTCAGCTCTATGCACGTGCTGTTCGCTTCTCCTGGAATATTTCTTTGTTGTATTATTCCACTCTATTCCTGCTCTTGCCTGGCCTACACCTGCTTTATCATAAATTTCCTTCCAGTGTTTGTTACATGACCCTTTTCTGAGGTCTAATTTTCACAAGTATCAGCATTGTATTTTACCAACACTGTATTTTAATTGACTATTTACATGTTTGTCTTTCCCTACAATGAATTCTTTGAGGACAAGTAGAGACATTGTGGTATCATCAGCGACTTGTAGTACTTGAAATATACATGACCACAAATTGATTGTTTTTAATGAAATTGAAATTGAATTAGATATTCATCCCTAACCCCATAGCCTTGACATAAACTCAAAGGAACAAAAAAGAACATGCTTGTAGTTGACAATTTCTTTGTATGTTTTGATGACTAATACCTGATGAGTTTAAATGTCTAGGATCTAATTCAGTAATGATAGAAATGTGTAGACAAATAAAATTGTAATGCTTGTCTCTCAACAAAGAAAGACAAAATAATTCACATTCTAAAGTCGTGTATTTAATTGTAGAATTTATAACTGAAGGATTTGTTATGATTTTGATGATAGGTTTTCTTTCAGGAAATAACAAACTGTTTAATATTATTTCAAACCAGATACAGAATTTCTGACTGTCTAATTAAAGAAAGATGATTTACTGCAAGACCAATTTAGTTTTTCAGTTCTTTGCATTTAGTCATCTGAGTATATTATGTTGCTCTTTGATGTCACCTAATGATCAAAGTTGATACTTCCTTTATGGAAAGAAAGGGATCAAAATTAAAATAGATTTCTTGCCCACAAACCTTCTCAAATATATAGGGTGTAGAGAGCATTATTAAGTCTCCCCAGATTTTGTTTTTTTTGTGTGTGTGTATGTTTGGCAGGCAGGGGTGGGGTGATGGAGAAAGGGGAGTACTGAGGGGGAAAAGATGGTACTTTGTAGTTTTCCTTAGTCCTTTTACTAATATTACTTGGTCACTACAGCTATTCCCCAAATGAAAAATTAAAATATTTCCATTTGGAGTGGTCAGAGAACACTCAAATCTATAAAGTAAGACTTTGCACCTTTTAAAGACTTTATGTATGTCACAAAAAGGTGTTTGGAGTTAAAATAAATCCCAAAGTCTGGATTTGCTCTTAGCTTTTAACAGTTGGGTCAGCATCCTTGAAAACTTCTTAGGTTTTTACCTCCTCCTACTGGAACTAAAGGGAATATCACTGTTAACACCATCAGAAATTTAAAAACAGGAATTTTTTTTTCTTTGAGTATTTAGTAGACCTCATCTATAAAACCATCTTAATCTTATATATACTTTCTGTAAATCAGTAAATTGCTAATTAAATTTCTTTGGAGGTGCTAGCATTATTTAATTACTAATTAAATTATTAAATTTCTTAATTGTTATGACCTTACAGTATTCAATAACTATTAAAGAAATGTAATCAAAACATAGCATTTATAGTTATTTCTTTATATTTATTATTGAGTAGAGTTATATTTTATCCAGAATAGCTCCATTTCATCTATGTTTAGTGTATTGGCAAAAGAGAATTCTTCAATGTCTCTCAACCATTTCTTTGTATAAATCACTGATTCTCATTTCTGGTATTATTTACATACACCATAGTATTCCTCAATCTATTTTATCTGAATTTCCTCAATTCCAATTCTTATTTCAAAAAAAAAATCACTTTTTCTAATCCAAGAGTTCTTTTATTTTCTACTCTTGTGTTTAATGTTGAGCTTTGCATACTTTGAGTGTCTGAAACATTATTTTTTCTAAATTTTAGATACATTATCTCATTTTTTTAATAAACATTTCATTTTAGAACAGTTCAATACATACAGAAAATTAGCGAAGACAGCACAGAGAGTTTCCATATATCATCTATATCCAGCTTTTCCTGTTACTAACACCTTAGTGTAGTATATTTGTTACAATTAGTGAACCAGTATTGATATATTATTAAAGGCCTTGATCACCTTTTAGTCCCAGGAGTTCAAACGAGCAGTTGAAACACACTTCATACAATTTTTGAAAAAATTCTTTAAAAATTAGAATACTTCACTGTAGAAAATTTTACAATTTAATGTTGTATAACCTGACTTTTGCTTACTTGTTGTACTATTTATTCTGTGTACTTAAATTAGAATTTTATTCCTAGGTACTATATGGTTGGTGTATAGCCAAGGTGCTACAGGACAAAGATTCCAGGTGACCTCTTCACTTTTGTCTCACCAAAAAATCAAAGAAAATCTAAAACTGATGCTCTTCCTCTCATTATAATGTGTTATATTTGTTTAGACAACAAAGATGAGAACAAAGGATAACACCTAGCAAAGAATGAATGTCCGTAAGAAAGCAAGGGGGGATGGGATACAAGGCACATGTCACAGTCCTGGACTTTAATAAGAGAAGGAATGCTTCTTCCACTTAACAGAAAGTAACAAGATTTATGCAAGTGCAAGGAGGTTTATAGGCTTGTCAGTAGATAGGATAATAAAGATGTTACTGACTGTGGCCTCTATTTTTTTCTATTCTGTTCCCATCAAACAAAATTCTGAATCATTCTTTGATTGTAATTGTTAAAAGAAGGGTTTAGAAGTTTGGGGAGAATAATGAAAGTATACTAGCAAAAAACACCAAAATGAAATTTTATCAAAAAAACCTCAACAACGATTTATCTAAAAATTAATTTGATAAATATTTCAATACTTGCTAAATGCAAGGAACTGATAAGTATTGTGATGAACAAATATAAGCTGCACAGTCATTGCACTCTAGCAGTTGATATTGTAGTAAACTTCACACTTATGGAATTGTCTTGTTGAATGTGGAATGGCTAGAATCAAAATGCATAGAGAACGCATAATTTTCTTCCCAAAGTCAGAGTGATGCGGAATTGAGCTTAAATTTCATTTAGTATCTGTGTAACAATAGACAATTTTAAAAATATCCACTAAGTCTCAGCTTCCTCCCTGGAAAGTGGGAGTCCCCATCTGTGAATCACAGTGAATACTGATGAGTTTTGAGCAAAGCACATAGCACAGTTCCTGGTGCATAAAAAGGGTTCAGTAAGATATAAAGATGATGACAATGATAATGAAGAATATCAGGCGCTCTAAGGAAGATTTTATTTCTGGTTAAAAGCTGAATCTATTATATGTAAATTTTATAGATTACCAGACTTTCATATATTTCCTTTATTTAAACTTTCCCCATATTCATTTTTCATCTCTTAGTTCATAAAATATATAATAAAGTATTTATATTATTTTATCCTCTATATGATACTGTGAATTGGGAGATATTTAGCTGAAGGAATTTTATGAATGAATAATAAATTTGATATTCTTACTCTAAACACCTAAAAGTAAGTGCTTTTCTTCTTGAAATTCTCCTATTTGACTGCACCTTTATAACCCCTGGTGCGTGGTCCACACACAAAACCTTTGTACACCGAGCAGCATGTGTCAATATACACCATATTTTTCTGGAGTCGCCTTTAATCTCAGGTTGGAGAAAATGTCCTGCCCTCCCTCACTGCTGGTGTTTACCCTTCTTAAAGTAGGTATGGTGATTGCTTCCATAAAAAAGCTATTGCCAAATTGTTCGAGACCTAAGAAGTTAAATTTTTTTTCCATGGGAAAATTCGTATAAGAAGCAAAGTCCACCAACCTCATACCATAAAATGTTTATCATCCAGATTAACACTTGGAGAGCTAGCTAATTATAGACAAAACATATGAGAGTTTGGGAAAATCACCCATGTAAGTCCGTACTACCCATCTCTTATAAAAGTGAATTCTAATCCTACTTGTAGTTAAAAAAAATCGAAGTTCCTGCTGGTTGTAAGCAATGTAATTTAATTTAATTCAACCGTGATGAGTACATGTTATGGCAGTAGGCACTAAGGATACAAGATTTCTCTTGTGTCCCTTTCTTTCAAGATGCATACAAGCTAGTAAAGGAGATGTATGCACAGACAGGTGACAACCAATCTTACACATGGTTGTTAAAAACATCAGCAAGCAGTAGCAACAGCTATTCTTTTTCATTCATTCATAAAGTACATTCATCATATTACTTCCTTTCATCTTACATTATCATCTCTGTTATTTCTCACAACTAAACAGTAGGAAACAATCTTTTTATTTTATTTATTTTTAGAAAGGGTCTCACTTTGTCATCTAGGCTGGAATACAGTGGCATGATCATGGCTCACTGCAGTCTCAACTTCCTGGGCTCAAGCGATCCTCCTGCCTCAGCCTCCTGAATAGCTCAGACTACAAGTGAGTGGCCACCATGCCTGGCTATTTATTTAAATATTTTGTAGAGATGGGCATTGCACTATATTGCTCAGGCTGGTCTCAAACTCCTGAGCTCAAACGATTTTTCCGCCTTGGCCTCCCAAAGTGCTGAGATTACAAGCATGAACTACCTCAGACTTATTTTATAGGTGAGAAAATTAGATGCAGATGTATTAAATGATTAAATGACCATGCTGATGTCTTGATCTTGAACTTCTCAGCCTCCAGGACTGGGAAAAATACATTTCTGTTCTTTAAAAATTACCTAGTATTATATATGTTATTGTAACAGCATGGAGAGACTAAGACAATCACATTTTTACAAAAATAATGACAAAAATATTTTACGAAAACATAAAAATTCAAGCAGAAAAGTCAGTTTTAACTTAGATTTCGAATGCATTAAAAATTACATTCATTCTACAAATCACACTATTCCTCTCCCATGTCTGCTTATGATAAAATATAGACATGGCTCTGAACACAGTAAATGTAATTCTTATGTTTTAAATCATTTTTAAACAAAGGAAAACAATTCAAATTTCTTTTTAGAAACAGGATCTCCTATATTGCCACCGGAGTGCAGTGGCTATTCACAGGTGCAAACATGGTACACTGCAGTCTAGAACTCCCAGACTAAGTGATCCTCCAACCTTAGCCTCCCAAAGAGTTGGAATTACAGGTGCACACCCCAGCACCAGCCAATTTTAAGTTTACATCTCTACATAAGTTTGTATCACATTAAAGTTATTTTAGGCTGGTTATGGTGCTCATGCTTATAAGCTGTATCACATTAAAGTTATTTCAGGCTGAGTGTGGTGGCTCATGCTTATTTAGGCTGGGTGTGGCAGCTCATTCCAGCACTTAGGGAGGCTGAGGTGGGAGGATCACTTGAGGTCAGGAGCTTGAGAACAGCCTGGGCAACAAAGCAAGACCCTGTCCGTATTTGTTTGTCCTTGCATTGCTATAAAGAACTACCTGAGACTGGGCTATTTATAAATAAAACAGGTTTAATTGACTGATAGTTCCATAGGTTGTATAGGAAGCATGACTGAGGAAGCCTCTGGAAACTTACAATCATGGAGAAGGCGAAGGAGAAACAGGTGCATCCTACATGGCTAGAGCAGGAGGAAAAGAGTGAAAGGGAAAGTGTCATGTGCTTTTAAACAACCAGGTCTCATGAGAACTCACTATCACAAGAAAAGCAAAGGGGAAATATGCCCCCATGATCCAATTACCTCCCACCAGGCTATTCCTCCAACACTGGGGATTAAAATTTAACATGAGTTTTGGGTGGGGACACAAATCCAAACCATATCACTTTCTCTACACAAAAAGATTTTTAGAAATTAGATGTGTTGGCATGCACCTGTAGTCTCAGCTACACAGGAGGCTGAGGCAAGAGGATCACCTGACCCCAGAAATTCAAGGGTAGCAGCAAGCTATGATCATACTACTGCACTGCAGCCTGGGTAACAGGGCTAGATCCTGTCTCTAAAATGATACTACTATTACTACTAATAATAATATTTTTAAAAATAGTTACTTTACATGAAAGAACTAGTTTTATCATGCCATAATACCTTTGGAAAACTTTTATCATCATATATCTATATTAATGAATATTTCACAGTTCACTTACATAAATCTAGTATAGATCAAACTTTCCAACAAGATAAAACAATTAATATAAATATTTTTCTGAGAGCAAAGATATTCAATATTTATTATTGCTACCTTTACAAAATACATTGACTTTCAAAAAAAAAATTGTCAGCTGACAAAGGGACTAATATACAGAATCTCTACGGAACTCAAATATCTCAATAACAACAACAACAAAACCAATGAATACTATGTATCCATAAAAAAGAATGAGATCATGTCCTTTGCAGAAACATTGATAGAGCTGGAGGCCATTATCCTTATCAAACTAACAGAGGAACAGAAAAGAAAATAACACATGTTCTCACTTAGTATTCCATGGTGTGTGTGTGTGTGTGTGTGTGTGTGTGTGTGTGTATAGTGTGTGTAATACACCATGGAATACTACTTGGAATACATGGAATACATGGAATACTTGGAATTCCATGGAATACATGGAATCATAAAAGTGATGTGTGTGTGTTCATGTGTATAGACATAAGTATATATATTTATACATATATATACACATATACAAACCATGAAAATGTTTATACACACACAACATGGAATATTACTCAACCATAAAAAGTGGTGTGTGTGTTTATGTGTATAGACATATGTATATATATTTACATGTATATACACACATATACAAACCATGAAAATTCCATGCACACACACACACACACACACACACACACCATGGAATACTACTCAACCATAAAAAAGAATGAAATCATGTTTTTTGTAACAACAGGGATGGAACTAAAAACCATTATCTTAAATGAAATACCTCAAAAACAAAAAGTCAAATACCACATATTCTCACTTATAAATAGGAGCTAAATGATGCATACACATGAACATAGAGATTGAAATAATCATAGAGACTTGAAAATGTAAGAGAGAAGTGAGGAATGAGAATTTACTTAATAAATACAATGTATACTCTTTGGGTGCTGGCTACACTAAAAGCCCAGACCTCACTGCTAGGCAGTGTATTCATGTAACAAAACTACCACTTGTACCCCTTAAATTTATAAAATAAAATTTAAAAAATAATTACCCACAATAGTTGGTAGTACCATTTGAGCAATATCTGAAAACTCACCATTTGTGATTGAACCTCTACTGACTACTTTTTGTTTGTTGGTTTATTTATTTAATGAACTCAATTTTTTTAAGAATATTTTTGGTTTCACAGGAAAATTGCCAGAAATGATGAAGAATTCCCATGTACCCTTCCTTCCCCAACAGTTTCCAGTTTCCCCTATTAACATAATGCATTAGTAGGGTACATGAGTTACAACCGATGAACTAATATTGATACATTATCATTAACTAAATTTATAGTTTACATTAAGGTTGACTCTTTGTCTTGTAAAATTATATGGGTTTTGATAAATGTGTAATGTCATATTTCCACCATTACTGTGTTATGCAGAATAGTTTTACTGTCCTAAAAGTGTCCTCTGCTCCACCTATTCATCTCTCCTCCATTTCTCAAACCTTGATTTTTTTACTGCCTGCATAGCTTTGTCTTTTTGCCTATAGTTGCATCCATTTCAGACTGGCTTCTTTCTACTACCAATAAGCATTAAATGATTTTCTATGGCTTGATAACTCATTTTTTATTGCTGAATAATAATTATTGTATAAATATGCTACAGTTTTTCTAATAAAGGACATCTTCATTGGCTCTAACTTTTGGCAATTATGAATAAAGTTTCTATAAACATTCAGTGCAGGCTTTGTATAGACATGTATTTTTAACTCACTTTGGTAAATACCTAGGAGCATGATTGGCATATCACATGGTAAAACTATGTTTAGTTTTGTAAAAAATTGCCAACCTGTCTTCCAAATATGACTGTAGCAGTTTATATTCCTGCCAGCAATAATGCAAATTCTTATTGCTTCACATCTTTATTAGCATTTGTTGTTGGAATTATTTTGGATTTTAGCCACTTTAAATAGGTGCATAGTCATATCTTATTATTGTTCTAATTTGCAGTTTCCTAATGTCATATGATGGTGAGATCATTTCACATACTTATTTACCATCTGTATATCTTGTTTGCTGAGGGGTCTTCAGATCTCTTGTCCATTTAAAAATCAGATTTATGAAAAAAATGAACAGTTTTTAAATATATTAAAAATCATGATTACAATGAAAAGTTTGGAGTAACAACATGAAGACAATAGAAACACCTTGAAATTAGTTCTACTTCCAAATAATACTTTTAAATTCTTTCAAAAATACTAATTATCTGGCCTCAGACTAATGCTTTTTTTCTATATTTTCTAAACAACTTTTGGAATAAAAATATAGTAAGTACTTTTGATTATTGATAAATAAATAAATAAATAAATAAATAAATAAATAAATGGGGGAGGGAGGGAGGGAGAATGAACTAAAATACTAGAGATTTCTGTGACCCGATAAGTATCCAGCAGAATGTTCCATCCAAATATTAAGGTCACATTTTGTATATTCTTTGGCAGTTTGTTACAAAGCATGGGGGTGATTTTGTTTTTAGTCATGGTAAAAAAAATCTGTTTTATAAGTTTATGTGTTATAAAAGCCACTGTTACAAGGTAATGCTATGAACAATATTAAGAGATTAACTGCAATATAATCTTTTTGGAATTTCATGGTGGCCATAAACATACTTCATTTATTTCACTCATCATAAGGTACTTCAGATTCTGGCAGAAGAGTTTCTAATTCCATTTGCCAATGATTTACATTGAATACATATTGTCTGTGCTATTACTCTGACAACACATCACCACAAATAATTCCTGCATAATTGTGTTCCCCTTTTACCTGGACTACTGGTACCCTAACCATAGCAACAGGGTAAGTGCAGGTAACTGCTGTAATACCTTCTGTGGATCTAGTTAATATGTGCATATGACCAGATATCCTCAGTTCCATAGTGGTGAACATTTTATAATACTCAAATGCTACAAACTGGGTTGCACTATAAGAAAATATTTGAATCATAGTTGTCTCATTATCTTTATACAATCCAAGGTCCTATCTTTTGAGGGTAGGACAAAATGCAGAAAATATCAGTTCTTAGTTTAATGACTTTCTGGTGAATCAGGCTTTTTATCTCTTTTAAAATAGGATCCAGAGTGTGTATTGTTAAAATAAACACAGTTTCTGGAAAATGACTTTTCAAACAAAATGATAGAGTTATCCATAATATATTATTCAAAGTGATGAAAGACAATCCACATAAAAAGTTAAATAACATGAGAATCCTCTGCACTGGACTATAGAGTTCACCATATATGAGAAAGGGTGAGTTCTAATGTATAGCATTCATACCACAGAGAAAGTGCAGTGCTAAGACTAAAATTTAAAGCAGTGTGCTTGGGTGGGGAGGAGTTGTTTTAAATGTTGTGGTCAGGAAAGTCCTTTCTGAGGAAGTGGCATGTGAGTAGAAATCTGAGTAAGATAAATGAGCTAGTCATAGAGGTATGTTGAGGAAGAGCATTTCTGAAAAGAGGGCATAGCAGTTGCAAATGTCTCAAGTCAAAGACTTGTCTTGAGTGTTTGGGAAGAGAAGGAGGCTGGTCTAGATGGAGGAAAGAAAGAGGGAGAGTAGGAGGAGATAAGGCAAGTAAGGGGAGCCAGATCAACACATTGATCTTCAGGTCACTGGAACTTACTTGGCTTTTCTTGGAAAACTCATCACAGGGTTCTGAGCAGAGAAATAAGAGATCTGACTTTTATTTTTTATTAAAAGTTTTATCTTGGCAGCTGTGTTGAAAATAAAGATGGGTTTGGAGATATAAATAAGAATAAAAGCAGAAAGAATAATTAGCAGCTCTTATGACTAACTATCCAGGCAATGGCTAATGCTGATTTGGACAAAAGTGAAAATGATGGATATAAGAAGAAGGGATCATAGAGCAGACGGGATTTGCTTATATATTAGAAATGGTAAATGAGAGAGAAAAGCAAAGGATGACTCCAAGATTTTGGGGCTGAGCAAGCCAAAGAATATTTCAGTTAAAATTTACCCACTTGCCCTTCCACCTTCCACCTTGATATTGGACTTCCCAGCCTCCAGAACTCAGAGAAATATATTTCTTTTCTTTATAAATTACCCAATCTGTGTTACTCTGTTATAGCAACACACAACTGGTTATAACAGGGGCTATTAAGCAGAAGGAATTTTATGAGTGTTCTGGGTGAGTGATATAAAGACAATAACAGTGCTTCCTGATATCTGGTGTTCCTCCTTTTCTTGGGCGTTTGGGACACTACATTTCTTAGCCACCTTAGAGTTAAGTGGAGTCTTGTGACTTTCAGACCAATATGCTATAATCCAAAATGAAATGACAGGATGTGACTCCTGTCATTTCTCCTATCATTCTCTCTTCCTCTGCTATGAGCAAACAAAAACATTTCTTCAGAGATTCTTAATCTGGGATCTGTGAAGAGAATCAGAGTCTGTGAAATCAAATGAGGAAAAAATAATTGCCCCTGTATTTTCAATAACCTCTAAATTAAAATTAGCACTTTTTAAAAATTATGAAGATGGCAATAAATGACAATAATATTGGCAGTATAGATAACCTTGTAATGAGTGGAAATTAGATCTATCTTCATGTCATATGAGATATGGCTTTCCTTATGTTTCTACATTATAAATATAAAAATATTAAAAGTATATAACAGCAGTAAAAACTTTTTATTGAAAAACCTAACATCATTGTTACCTTTTTAATATATGTTTGTGTGTGTATACATGTTTATATTTATTCTTTTTTTGACCAATGTTTATTTAAGGAAAATTGTTTACATACCCCAAATTAAGACAACTCTTTTAGAAAATTATGCCTTGAAAAAATATTTAGATATTTTCCAAGTAAAATTGACTATCATTAGAATAAAATACACCTCTTTTGAAGTTAATAAAGGGACAGTGTGTGGGGGCCATTGTTTGAACTAAGGCATTACTGCAAAGCATTTTTTTGTTAGTAACCATATTAATTGCTCTGTGATTAGGAATAATATTTTAAGCACTTAAACATATTTTAATTTTATATTAATTTTACCTTTTAATATATATATATAACTTCAATTGTTTTTCACATTAAGCAGATGTCTTTAGATAAATTTGTAAACTAAGGAATAAATACAGCTATTTAAAGTAAACCAATGTTTATTGGATTATATTCCTAATTTACAAAATTTACATCACTAGAAATAAATATGCAGTTCTACAACATGTCTCTTTTGCTATTATCAAATAATATGCTGAGATAGATGAAGTGTAAGAGACAATATGTCATAATGTACATGCATAAAAATGGTATAATATAACACAAGTAATTTTAATAATAGCAAAGCTGAGAAAGCACTTAATGGCCAGGAATGGGTTATTTTATGTAATCCTAACAGCAAATATGTATCAAGTCTCTTTAAGCTTGGAAGACCACATCCATAAAATGAGAATAATATAACTATCTAGGATTTATGTTAAAGTCTTATGAGTTGTGAGACATCTAAGACACAGTCTGTTAGTTGCACACTAAAAATTTGGGGTAGTTTTGAAGCTGAATTTATGGATGTGGGTTGTTTCTCTGGGATTGAACATTCTAAATATTTTACTTGTTATTTTTTTCTATTGTCTTATCTCAATAGATTGTGATGATTGAGGCTTATTTTTTTCCTATTTAGTAGGCTGTACTTGGGTGCCTACTAGGCCCTCAATAAATATGTGTGAAATAAATAAATATAATGTCATTTAATCTGTGTTCTGAAATGATGGGATTAAAAAAAAACTGAGGAAACACCCAACACCAACCCTGCAACCTAACCACAAAAGTATGATTCTCAGTGAAATTGAGTATTGGTGCAAATGGTACATTTTTAATATCTATATTTGTTTATATTATCTGAAAGTGAACATGAAGCTTGTGGAGCAGGGATTAGAGATATTATTACTTAGAACAATAACCTTATCACTCTTCCTCTGCCTTAATTCTTTCTTCTTCTGAAGAAACGTGATAAGAAACAAATGGGCAGAACTAAAAGTAGGAAGTTAGTTACTACACTATAAAAAAGAAAACACCCAAAATATGAATTTGGGAGTTTATATAAATGTTATCCTCAGAGAGAGAGAGAGAGAGAGAGAGAGAGAGAGACCTATCTCCCTAATATAAACAAATCATAATTGTTTTGTGAGAACGAGAGGGTCCTGAGTTCTTAACCTTTGGAATGTTAATAAATATCTTTAGGTAGAACATAAGCCAAGTGCCTGTAGCTCAGAAAACCCTGATATTTCCTTGATTCTTGATTTTATTCCTCTTTGAAACATAAACACATGCCTCTGAGAGAGTAAATTTCAGTTCCCACTGTCTGTTCATATGCAGTTTAATTGCCAAGGTTTGTTTGTTGACTTAGATCACAGATTTCTTTGCTCAGAAAGCCTTAGCAATACAAAAATTTTAAAACATTTTCTTCTATAGTCCTACTGTCCAGCCATCTTTTGACCTATGCTCTTTTCAAATATAGTATAGTTTTAGTCTTTTCTCTTTACAAGTAGTTTTCGATTCACCAAGTAATACACAGACATGCACACACAATCCTAACATTATGGAATTTCAAACAATTAGATTAAGCAAAGTCACTCATTGGTGTCACTCAATTTCACATTCTTGTTCTGAGATACTTCCAGATCCATTTGTAAGCATTTGCCTGTATATATCCATATACTAAAATATATACACATATATTAAGACACAAAAATACTGAGGTTTATATATAGACATGTATAATATATCTAAGATGTTCTTGAATGACACAAACTGGAGGAAAAACAATGAATAGAGCGTGAGCTCCTTAATGTAAAATACAAAAAACAAAATTATTTTACTAATAAATGGTTTGATACTGATATAGTTAGGTTTTGTGTCCCCACCCAAATCACATTTTGAATTATAATCCCCATAATCCCCACATGTCAAGGGAAAGAACAGGTGGAGATAATTGGATCATGGGGGCAGTTCTTCCATATTGTTCTCATGATGGTGAGTGAGTTCTTATGAGGTCTGATGGTTTTATAATTATTTGATTCCTCCTGTGTTCACTCTTCTTCCTGCCGCCTTTTGAAGAAGATGATTTGCTTCCCCTTCACCTTCCTCTGTGATTCTAAGTTTCCTGAGGCCTACAAAGCCATGTGAAACTGTGAGTCAATTAAACCTCTTTCCTTTATAAATTACCCAGTATCAGGCAGTCCTTTCTAGCAGTGTGAAAATAGACTAATACAGTTAATTAGTACCAGATGTGGGGTACTGCTATAAAAATACCCAAAAAGGTGGGATGAAATTTGGACCTGGGTAACAGACAAAGGTTGGAATAATTTGGAGGGCTCAAAAGACAGGAAGATGTGGGAAAGTTTGGAACTTCCTATAGACTTGGTGAATGGCTCTGATCAAAATGCTAATAGTGATATGAACAATGAAGTTCAGGCTAAGGTTGTCTCAGATGGAGTGAAGGAACTTGTTGGGAACTGAAATAAAGGTGATGCTTGCTATGCTTTAGCAAAGAGACTGGTGACATTTTGTCCTTGTCCTAAAGATCTGTGGAACTTTCAACTTGAAAGAGATGATTTAGGGTATCTGGGAGAAGAAATTTCTAAGCAGCAAACCATTCAAGATGTGACCTGGGTGCTCTTAAAAGTATTCAATTCATGCATTAACAATGAGATGGTTTGGAATTGGAACTTATGTTTTAAAGGGAAGCAGAGCATAAAAGTTTGGAAAATTTGCAGACTGATGATGCAATAGAAAAGAGAAATCCATTTTCTGGGGAGAAATTAAAGCTGGCAGCAGAAATTTGCATGAGTAATGATTAACCAAAAGTTAATCACCAAGAGAATGGAGAAAATGTCCCCAGGGCATGTCAGAGGTCTTTACCGCATCCCCTCCCATCACAGGTCTGGAGGCCTAGGAGGAGAAAATGTCTTTTTGAGCCAGGCTCAGGGCCTTGCTGCTTTGTTCAGTTTCAGAACTTGGTATCCTGTGTCCCAGCTATGGCTAAAAGTGGCCAATGTACAGCTCAGGGCATTGATTCTGAGGAGGCAAGTCCCAAGCCTTGGTGGCTTACACATGGTGTTGGGCTTGTGGGTATACAGAAGTCAATAATTGAGGTTTGGAAACCTCCCCCTAGATTTCAGAAGATGTATAGAAATGCCTGGATGTCCAGGGAGAAGTTTGCTGCAAGTGTGGAGCCCTCATGGGGAACCTCTGCTAGGGCAATGCAGAAGGGAAATGTGGGGTTGGAGCTGCCACAAAGAGTCCCCACAAGGACATTGCCTAGTGAAGTTGTGAGAAGACGGCTATGATCCTCCAGAACCCAGAATGGTAGATCCACTGACAGCTTGCACTGTGCACATAGAAAAGCTGCAGGCACTCAATGTGAGCCCATGAAACAGCCACAGGGTCTGTACTCTGCATAGCCACAAACTGCACACGGCCATGGGAGCCCACCTCTTGCAACAGCGTGCCATGAATGTGAGACATGGAGTCAAAGGAGATCATTTTGGAACTCACCAAATAACTAACCAGCCAGAATTGGACTTGTATTGGACCTGTAGTCCCTTTGTTTTGGCCAATTTCTCCAATTTGAAATAGGAACATTTACCCAATGCCTGTATCTCCATTGTATCTTGGAAGGAACTAACTTGCTTTTGACTTTACAGGCTCCTAGGTGGAAGGGACTTGCCTTGTCTCAGATGAGACTTGGACTTTTGGGTTAATGCTGGAATGAGTTAAGAATTTGAATTTTTAAGTTAATGCTGGAATGAGTTGATACATTTCAAAACCAATCATGTCTTCCCAAAAGGGGAGTCTTAATTTTTGGGAAGTTAAGCTTTCCCAAAAGGGGACTCTTTATTTCCCTTTTGGGAAGGCATGATTGGCTTTGAAATGTGAAAGGGATGTAAGATTTGTGAGGGGCCAAGAGCGGAATAATATGGTTAGGCTTTATGTACCCCCAAATCTCATCTTGAATTATAATCCCCTTAATCCCTACATGTCAAGAGAGAGACCAGGTGGAGGTAATTGGATCATGGGGGCAGTTTTCCCATGCTGTTCTCAGGATAGTGAGTGAGTTCTTACAAGACATGATGGTTTTATAAGTGTTTGATAGTTCCTCCTGCATTCGTTCTTCTTCCTGCCACCTTGTGAAGAAGTTGTCATTTCCCCTTGAACTTCCTTGATTGTAAGTTTTCTGAGGCCTCCCTAGCCATGCAGAACTGTGAGTCAATTAAACCTCTTTCCTTTATGAATTACCCAGTCTTGGGCAGTTCTTTATGGCAGTGTGAAAACAGACTAATGCAGATAACTTTACCTGATTTTTTCCCTAAATAGAATGTTGTTTCTTCCTTTCTTCTTTCTTCTTTTGAGAAATCTGAGTTGTCATCTAAAACTCAGCTCAAATATTTCCTTTTTCATGGACCCTTTCCTCACTCTTCAGGCTTAGCCATTATTCTGCTCTAAGGACCAGGGAGGCTGGAAGGAAGAGGAATGAGCACAGTACTAAGGGAACTAAGCCATCTGTAGAGCTTACCCTCCCTGCAGGAGTGTTCACAAATAAAAGTACAAATTCCAGTGTGGAGTGTGACAACCTGGAGGGTGATTGTAGGTGTTATTCATGTCTATTGGGGAAAAAAGGTTTCAGGTAGAAAGCCTCTTATAATGGGGATATTTGTAAATAAGTGGGTAGGAGTGGGAAGGCACTGTGTTAGGGTTCCAGATTTCTTTGGTTTTTGAAATAGGATTTTCTCCAGTAATTAGAATGACCAGGAAAAACATCTGATCCTAAAGGAGATGCAGTTGGAGCACACATGAGGTTCTCCTCCAATTAGTACGAAATAGCACAAAATCCCAGTCAAGGATAGGGGCGAGGAGTTGCTTCATGTGGATTAGCACGCTTTTAAAGTTAATCGAAAAGACTAGAGCATAGTGAATTAAGTGATATTTTGAGGAAATGGTCTTAAAATGAGAAAACTGATTAAAAACACTATTCTCTTCTACCAAGCTCTGTCAACTTTACGTCAAGCACTAGAGGAAATAACACCATTGTAAATTAAGGCCTTCTATCTGAAATTGATCAAGAATAGGGAATGTGAATACATTTATTTTTCCTTTTTGTACTTTCTTTGTACTGTGCTGTTATATTCAGTATGACACATTATGGCAGTGTTATTATTATGTGACCTCCTTCAAAATAAAGGTCTACCTTTTACTGAACTGTGTTTTCACTGGCTAGCATAATGTCTGGCATTTAGCTAATGCTAATAAAATGTTTCTTGAATTAATTTTTAAATAGTCTTATATATTTAATTGAAACAACTATTTGAATTGAACAAAAAAAAAGATACTACTCAGACTAATTCACTCTCACAGAACTTGATAAAACACCAGCAAATTAATAGCTTTGACTGTCTCTAAACTTTTGGATCATTTTTGATTTTTCCTTTGCTCCAAGCCAGAAATCCAAAAATGAAATAACATTGCCTAGTCAATCTGCCTGCAGATATTGAAATGTGCCACTAGAGAGCAGCAGGATACTGTGCTGCCAGCATAGTCTGAAGCCTCAGTCTGTTCTGGGGTTGATCAGATGACACAGTCTTCAACAGAAAATTATTCTACTGCTTTATATAGATGAACAATTATTTATAGAATTAAAATATATAATTTTTGCCTAAGGAGTCCATTTTTACATAATTTGTAATTGGTAAGTGGTTTATTTTTATTTTTTTACTGACATAGCATCAGTTTTGTTCAGCTGTTTGAAAAAAAATACATAGACCATGAAAGGAAAAAATAATAATTAAGTGATTAAGAAGTGGAAGGGTTCTTTTTATTTCACATATTACAGTAATATTTTTAGCTTCTATGTTCTTTTTTATTTTTCTACAATGACAACATATGTATTTTGTAATTAAAATGTAAATATCAGGGAAATAATTAAGACATTTTGGTGTCACTTTGCTTGCACTGGTTGAGACTGGCCAAATCTGATAGCAAAGAAATGAAGAGAAGAAGGGCAGAAAGAGAACTCACTAGTGAACAATGTCACCTGAGCTCCTAAAGTTGCAAAGCTCACATTGAAATGGAACTGCTAGTGCAAGAGCTTTCAATCAATCACAGAACCACCTGACAGAACAAATGCTGGACAAAAACCAACCATTTGTAAAAGCAATATGACAACAACAATAATGACAAAAGATAAAATACCCTTCCCCATATAGGTAGGATCATATAAGACTTCTCTGAAAAAAAAAAATTGAAGCCTACAGAAGGATGAAAACTAAGCCTTGAACAATTGAGAGGTATGACGATTGTATATAGGAAGATATAAACTCATACAGATGACAAGTCTTCCTAAATTAATTAATAAAACAAAAGCAATAAAAGCAAAAGATTTGTTTTATATTTTAATTAGACATGCTGATTCCATGTTCATACAGAAAAATCAACAAGAATGGCCACACTTAAGCTCTTTCAAGGAGGCCCCTAATTCAGGTCTCACAGTCTCACATGGTTGCAGGCACACCTTGTCTTCTTACCCCTTCAGGCCAGGAGTGGTGATGGCTTCCTACCAAAGCCAGTCCCTGGGGTTCTTAGCACTTCTCACCACTTTCTTTATCTTGTCTGTACTTTCATGAATAGTTCCTTCATTAAACTATCTTCAACCAGATCCTGTTGAGTGAAATTATATTCCTGCTTGGCCACAGTAAGGTTTTTTGTTTATTTATTTGTTTTGTTTTTGTGAACTTGGAGTAGGGAAGGCTTTTCTATTCAGAGCTCAAAATCAGACACCACATAAGAACCTTAGATAAGATTGACTACATAAGATCAAAACATTTCACAATGTCTGAACTAACGTACACCCCACCAACAGTGTATAAGCATTCCTTTTTCCCTGCAACCTTACCAGCACCTGTTATTTTTTGACTTTTTAATAATAGCCATTCTGACTGGTGTGAGATGGTATTGCATTGTAGTTTTGATTTGCATTTCTCTAGTGATCAGTGATATTGAGCTTTTTAGACAGTGTAGCAATTCCTCAAAGACCTAAAGACACAGATACTATTTGTCCCTGAAATCCCATTACTGGGTATATACCTAAAAGAATATATATTGTAATATTATAAAGACACATGCACTTATATGTTCATTGCAGCAACAGCAAAGACATGGAATCAACCCAAGTGCCCATCAGTGATAGATTGGATAAAGAAAATATGGTACATACACACCATGGAATATTATGCAGCCATTAAAAAAGAATGAGATCATGTCCTTTGCAGGGACATAGATGGAGCTGGAGGCAATTATTCTTAGCAAACTAATGCAGGAACAGAAAATCAAATACCACATGTTCCCATTTATAAGTGGGAGCTAATGATGAGAACACATGGACACATAGAGGGGAACAACACACACTGGGGCCTATTGGAGGGCAGAGGGTAAGAAGAGGGAGAGGATCAGGAAAAATAACTAATGGATACTAGGCTTAATACCTAGGTGATGAAATAATCTGTACAACAAAACCCCATGACACACATTTAGCTATGTAACAAACCTGCACATCCTCACATGTACCCCTGAACTTAAAATAAAAGTTAAAAAAACAAAAAATAAAAAAAATCTGACAGGCAAAAAATGAAATTAAATCAAAACTCTTTGCATTGTAAAAAATCAATTCAAAAGTAAAAAGATATGTGATAAATGAGACTAAATATCTGTAACTCTTAATATGGAGTAAGGAGTAATGCTTCTAGTACATAACATAGCTCCAAAAAATCAATCAGGAAAAGACAACAACTAAAGAGAAATCTGAAAAAGAATGTAAAAAAAATGTAGAGAAAAAGAAAGGCAGATGGCTTTTAAACACATGAATACCTGTTCAACCTCACTCACAGTAAAATAAATGTTAGTTAAAACTATGCTAGGTAACATTTTTCTAACAAATTGTCAAAAAAATTAAACAATAATAACACTTTATTACAACTCCTATAAAAGACAATTCATGAATATCTAGAAAAATTACAACTAATAAATATTTTGAGCGAACAATTCTAATTATGGGAAATTGCCTTACAGATACACTTGCAAACATGCAGAATAATACATTTATAAGATTATTAGTATCAGCATTGCTTATGTTAATAAAAGATAGGAAATAATATAGTCAGTAAAGTCCAGTAAATACATCACAGTAGAAATCCTTTCAGAAATAAGGAAACACAGCTGGGTACAGTGGCTGATGCCTGTAATCCCAGCACTTTGGGAAGCTCAGACAGGAGGATTGCTTGATCGCAGGAGTTAAGACCACCCCCTTTGATTAGTGAGACCTCATCTCTACTGCAAATTTAAAAATTGGCCAGATGTGGTGATGCATGCCTGTGGTCTCAGCTACATGAGAGGCTAAGGTGGGAGGACAGCTTGAGCTGGAAGGTCGAGGATGGAGTGAGCAGTGATTGCACCACTGCATTCCAGCCTGGGTAACAAAGTCAGAGATCCTGTCTCAGAAAAAGAAAAAAAAAAGAGAGAGAGAAAGTTTTATATGTGTTGCTATAGAAACACCTGTTATATTTAAAGAGCAAGGTACAAAACAGGCATTATTTGTATAAAAACTATGTGGAACTAAGCATTTAAAAAATATTAGGAAGGTTATACAAACCCTAATAATAGTGGTTATCTAATGGGGGTGAAAAATGAGAATGAGCAGATAGATAGAAAACAAGGATGGGGAGATTCTTTATAGTATATCATTTTATACATTTATTTTTTGAGTGACAAGTTTTGCTATGTTGCCCAGGCTGGAGTGTAGTGGCTATTTGCATACACAATCACTGCACACTATAGTCCAGAATTTCTGGGTTCAAGCAATCTTCCTGCCTCAGCCTTCCAAGCATCTGGGACTAGAGGCGTGGGCCATGGTACCTGGATTCTCTTTTACATTTAATTTTATTGTGATACAATTTGAAACTTTTTATTCTAAAAATGAAAAGGATGAATAATTAAAGTTTATGTAATAGAAATATATAGCTTCTAAAATTAGTCATATAGTTTCCCCTTGATGCTGTTCTTGGATCCAAAAGTGCAGCTTTAGAAAAGAACTGCAAACCCTTGTGAAAAGTTGTCAGAAACCTATTTTTCTCAAATCCAGTCCTCTTTTCTCTCTGTCTCCCTCTTCTCCTTAATTCACATTGCAAATAAAATTTGGCTTCTCTGGTGCCAAATGCATTGACTTGCATATTCAAGAGACCAACCCAAAAGGATCTTGAACTTGAACGTCTAGATACAGATTTCTCATTCCCAATCTGATAGCCTTAATTGAGAGAATGTCTACTTCCTTCTTGGTCATCTGTGGTCAAAAAGAAAGGGTCACTCTTACAAACTTGACTGTTGAGTTTCTAAGTCTGTAACGTTCAGAACATCACTTTTTTAGCTGGAAAGAAACCCCGAAAGAAGTTTATTATCTACAGGAGTTGTGATAACATTTTTGAATATATAATTTCACATAGCCTTTCAGAAAATCTATGAGGAAGTTATATGAACTGCATCTACAGATAGTGCTCAAGGAGGTTAAATAAATTGCTTAAGGTCACAACGATTAAGTGACAGAACTAAGATTCAACTTCAAGTGTGCCCTAAGTCTAGAATCAGAGCTCTAAACCCTTTCACTGTACTCTTCCCTGAAGGCTAGGCTCAGTAAAAGTTACTCTATGAGGAGACAAAACAGTTCAGTCTAATTCTATAGCTCTTTGATGGCCTGGCTTTAACCCAGGATAACATCTTAAATATCTGGAGGAACAGATGAAATTTACTCCCTTCAAACCACTCTCCATAAATATTGCTTATTACAACCAGGCTTTTAATAAGTCCTGGACAGAAGATAATTCAAAGTTATTATCTCTGGCAAGTTATGCTTGACTTGTTCTTTCCTACTTGAGCAAGATACAGAGGCAAGCATGGGGTAGAGGAAGCAGTATGTCCTAACCAAGGAGCAAAGAGAGGACATGGAGCTCTTCTTGTCCCCTCACACCTCTGTGCTCACTCATTTGTTTAGCAAGTGTTCATTTTGCACATACTAAAATAACACGTGTGATGGTTTGCAGTTTACAAAGCATGCTTACTAATATTTTCATATTTTGCCTGTTCCATTTAATGAAAGAAGATAAGTGTTGTTATCTTTTATATTAAAAATGTAGTTGAAATAATTACCCTGCCTTGCTTAATTCATGACAAGCAGACAAGGCAGACTCGCCATCATGTCTGTCCTCATTACTACCCTGTATTTTTCAGTAGTCTATGGAAGGCACCTTGAACTTCCAGGAGAACAGATGATTAACATTTGATTTCTCATCTCAGCATATTCACAATTTTGCAGCATTACTGATAATGTAAACTTTATCTGAGCCCTGTGCTCCTGGAAAACAGTGAAAGTTAAGTAAATCTCTTCACCCTTTTGTGTTCCAGAAGATGTATCACTGCAAAGATATACCCTTGCCCATAGCCATAGATATGACTCATGCGTGGCTCCCTTTACCTATGACAAGGGCAGAAACAGACCCTCCACATTCCCATCCTTTGCCTAGTAAATAATTAGCTAAGTGTTTAACCTCATTGACCAGTGGGAAAAAAATGTTTTTAACTAAACTGTGGTTAAAATTTTCTCCTTTCCCCAAGACTTCGACCCACCCTAAGCTTGATCAGCAAACAACCCCTCTGTAATATCCCATCCTGAGAGTAGGCTGGCCTTAAGATAAAACATTCTCTGATTCACTTTTCTATCAGGACACCCTTTCATTCTACTTCTCCACACGTTTCTTTCCAGTCTAGTTGACTCCTATGTATGAAAGAAAATTCTTTCTACCAAACTCTTAAGACATTTGCTGATCTTGCGGTCAGAACATTCTCCCTATTGCAGTAGCCCACCTTCCTGTACTACAATAGTCACTCTATCCTCTGCCCCCTTGAAACAATCCTTTCAAATAAAGTCCTTCTTAAATACTGATTTGTTTTGTATTTAATATTACAATTTAGAGGAAACATTCTCCTTATCACTGCCAGAGCAAATGTTCTTCTGAAACGTTAATCTGACCTTGTTATTCCCATGTTCTAAACTCTAAGCATGTGATTAATTGCCCAATTCCACCTCGTAATACCAACTCTGAATGTTTACAGACTTATTTCTCACTTCTAATTACATATGGCTTATGTCCTAGATAAAATGAAAGACTTTTATTGTCCTATAAAACCATATTTTTTTCTTCAATCCATGCAAAGTAACATAACTACTAGATTACTTTAGTGTCCTCTGTACTATACTTTTAAAATACAGTGCTATTTCCTTTATATATCACCACATAAGTTAATGTAACAATTATTTAATGTCCATTATCAGCAATAATCTAAAGATTCATAAAGTCAAGAATCTGTGCATCTTCTCTAGTATTGGTAACTCAGCAACTTGGAACATGTTTAGCATATGATAGACATTGAATAAGTATTTCTTTCATTTACTGAGTGAATATACAAGTGTAATATAATACAGGGTGGATAGATTTAATGAGGTGTGTATAAAATGGACGCCAAGTTTTGAAAGGAGGAAATTATTTCCTAACAAGGTTTGAAATAGGGTATATCTAACAGGTGACCTTGAAAAATTCAGGGTTAGATTTGTAACTCCAGATAAGAAAATGGCATTTGGCTATTGCAGATAAAAAGAATAGCAGAGAAGTGAAGATGATAAGAAATGGTTTATAAAAAGCATTATTGGCAAAAGTGTGGGGGATATATATATATATATTAGAATAATGGATGATAAGTGAGTAATTAATGGCAGAGAGCCTATAAAAAGCCAAGACCACCATTTCTACATAGAGTATCCTTGTGCAAAGTGAAAAGAGGTAATCCTTACTCAGGAAAACTTATTTCCATCTCTTTGAAAGTTGCAATAATGTACCCACTTTTTGAAAAACAAGGCACTTCACTGATTTACAAAATTAGTGTAATCAATTATATAGAAAATATTCAAACCCACTGTAGGTATGATAGTAATGATGCCCTGTTAAATTCCTGTATTCAACCTGCACAATAGTACTGCTGGCCTGTGACTCATTTTTGACCAATAGAATAGAAAAATGACACTGTGCCTCCTGAGGCTATGTCATAAAAAGTGTAGTAGGTTCTTCCTAGGATTACTGATACATTCACCCTGGGGGAAGTCAATTTTCATATATGAAATCTGAGTTCATCTTACTACCTGATTTCATCTTACTCTGAGGAAACTCAAGTGAATCACACAAAGAGGCCACATGGAAAGAGAGTGATGCTGGCTATCTCTCAGTTGTTTTAGCCATCTTAAGTCAGGGTGGACCATGTAAACAAT
Source organism: Homo sapiens (assembly GCF_000001405.40). NCBI lineage: Eukaryota > Metazoa > Chordata > Mammalia > Primates > Hominidae > Homo > Homo sapiens. The sequence continues at coordinate 69,874,512 of NC_000004.12, read as the reverse complement.
AAAGGTGAATCTTGATTTTTTCAGTTCTAGTAGACATAAGAAGAACTAAAGTCCCAGATATATTGTTCCCATCAAGCACTTTTTAAGTCAAATTTCCAGCCATTTGAGCCACCCTAACAGAGGCTTCAGACATCATAGAGATACCTCATCTGTATTTTACCCTGAATACATTACTAACTCTCAGAAATTATAAGCATAACAAAATAATTGTTGTTTAATTCTAATAAATGTTAGAGTTGTTTATTAGATTGACAAGCAAAATGGAGGATGTCATCATTGTCAGATAATGCTACGGTCTTCTAGTAACTACATTACAATGAATCCTTTCAGAAAGTATTAAAGGTAATTAGCATGCTTACAAATCTTGTATTTTTATTCTTATTGTGTCCTCTGAAATTACAAGGAACAAAAGCAGGTGATGAGGCTAGGCAGTTGGGGTAAAATAGACTGGCCTGAAAACAATTCAATTAAATTACCATGCAATACATGGCACAGGGACCAATGACCTAAACAAGCTTAGGCACAATTCAGGAAGCTTCTCTATGGATCTATATGGATTATTGGAAGTCTGTAAGTGATTCTGAGCTAGTTGTAATTTGGAAATTGTGTATGTTAATTTGGAGAGATATAGTCTTATTTTCTAGGACCCCTTCTGTTTTAGTCAGCATTTACTGAAAGAAGAGACCACTGCGAAACATCTGAGATTTACAAGGAGAAATTTATTTCCTGCTCACACTGCTATGGCTCAGCTAGGCTCTGCTGAACTTCATGTGTCTTCTCATTCAAGAACCAATACCCATGTCACCTCACCTGATGTTATGAAAAGTGACATCATCTTCTCTTCAGCCTCCAGTGCTATTTTCAGTTGAACACAACTGATATTCCAGGTACTTCTAATGTGAAAACCATGAAAGAAATAAAACAAATAGAAGTATAGCATTTTCATTCTTGCCACTTGGTTTTCAACAAACTATTTTTCTGGAGCTATCAGAGGCAAGATCAGGGATTTTCCCAGGAATATCCCCAACTTTGGTGAACAAGTTATTCTCTTTACTCTCAATAACCAATGCTAAGAAATGCTGAAAATCAAAGTGAAAAATAAAATCTCATGAAGCTATAAACTCCTTTTGCTATGTTTCTCTAACTATGGTTATTTTTAAAAATTAAGGTGTCTTTTCCACTCCTCTATAGAAAAGGGTCTTCTCATTAGCTTAACATTGTCTATGTGGTCTTTGTTTTGAGGTGTGAACCCTGAATATCTGAGACAGGTGTCAAGTAATTTAGAAAGTTTATATTGCCAAGGTTAGGATGTGCACCCATGACTTAGCCTCAGGAGGGCCTGATGACATGTGCTCAAGGTGGCTGCAGCACAGCTTGGTTTTATACATTTTAGGGAAAAGTGAGACATCAATCAATATATGTAAGATGTACATTGGTTCTGCCTGGAAAGTTGGGCCAACTCAAGCAGGGAGGGGGCTTCCAGGTCGCGGGTTACTGACAGACAAACGGTTGTATTATTTTGAGTTTCTGATTAGCCTTTCCAAAGGAAGCAATTACATATGCATTTATCTCAGTGAGCGGAGGGATGACTTTGAATAGAATGAGGGACAGATTTGCCCAAGCAATTCTCAGCTTGACTTTTCCCTTTAGTTTAGTGATTTTGGGGGCCCCATTATTTATCTTCCTTTCACATTTCCCCCCTTTTATTTTTTGAAAATCTTTTGGAGAAAGCATTTTAGAAGAAAATTAGTCTCTGATCTCAGGTTTTGTCTGATCTTTCATGTCTATCAGGGTTTATTCCTAACAGGTAGGTCCTGAGTTATTAGGAAAGCTAATTTTTAGCAGGCTAAGAAGTCTCATGTCCTATGAAGAGAAAAGAGGGAGAGAAGGGGAGAAAAACAACAACAAACAAACAAAAATCCCAGAAAATCAATATAGGCCACATTACTCTGAAGTTCATACATCAGTAGGGAGGTATGAAAAGGATTTCTGTATGTAAATGGGTTGTTTTTTTTTTTCTGAAGTTTAAGTTGTCTAGATTCAGTTTGCAGGGCTTTAGAAAAGCACAGGTTAGTTTTCAGTGATGTCAAATTTGGAAAATGAAGGAAAAAAAGAAGAAAAAAATGGAAAACTCTTTTGGATGCTTGTAGCCAGGAAAAATTAGAATTCAGTCCAAAATGTAAAAAAATAAGAAACATAGAAAAATATTAGGCAAGACTAGAATCAAACAACAGGTGTACTATAGTTTTTGAAACATAATTTTTTCAGTTTCCAACTTTTACTAAAGAATAATCTTGGTAGGACTGATTTGCTTTATTATACTTGTCCAGATTATTTGTATACAGTGAAGCAAGAATAATTATTTTTCACATAGGCTTTTAAAATTGGCTTTGAAGGAAATTTGTTCCATAGAAGGAATCTCAGATAAGACATTTTTTCAAGTTAAGACCAGCCATAGATTTTTACCATCAAATACCTATGATTTGGGTGAATTCTTCTCCTCTTGAGGTTCCAAGATAACTTGGGGATCCTGGACCCATCAGAAAGTGTCATTCTTTACTTACCACAGGTCAGGAGCCCTGTACAGGGTCTGTGTAGTCAAGGTATGAGGTCAGTTTTTTCAAATGGCATTTATTGGCTCTATAAGTCAAGTTTGATTCCTTAAAGAAAAGCATACCCTTCCAGTCAAAACCTGGATAAAATAAACAGTTTCTCCAATTGTGTCCTGTTACAAATGAAAACAGATTCTTATTGCATTTATGCAAGTAGCTGTACTGCCATAAATTAGGAATATTCACAAATAGTTTCCAAATTCTGGAGAAGTCAGGTAAAGAATAACAAATATGCTTCTGATTGTGTTCATAAGCATATACTTGATTGTTAAAAGCCATCAATAGCTCAAAAGAAAACTTTTCTTGACTCTGAAAAACAAAGAAAGGATCAGCAACGTTTAAGGAAAAAGTAACAAAGATTATTTCGGTCTTCTATGAGTTCAGTCCATGCAGGTAATTCCTGTTCTGCTTGATATTCATGAATATTTCAGCCCTCCATGAGTCCTGAAAGGTGTTCCTCTACTCTGATGTTACAATCTCCAAAGTTATCAGAAACTTATATTCAAGAGCATCTATTAGAGTTTTATAGCTGATTATAAACCCACTTTCTAAAGAGGACCAAAACAAGACAATAATTGTCCCTGGATTACAAAAAGTTTTAGGGCAGCCACAGTCAAAGACACAATTGAAAAGAAAACCTGTTACCTCTGCGGCACAGAATGATTTAACATAACAAGTATAATTATTACTGATAACATACACTAAGTCATATCAGAATTATAGGAGTTTCCCATAATTTTGGAACACATTCCAATAACATATTTATACAAATACAGTGCAAAGAAAACCAAACACCATTTTCTGTTTGGTAATCCTTCTTGTATAATTTTTATACAAATTAACCAAATATGTAGTTTTTGGACTTTAAGGATTGAAAGGATTAATATCTTAAATGATTAATTAGTCCAGAAAAAGACATAATTAATAATTTGATTTTGGACAGTTTGTCAAATATCGAAGGTTTAAAACACTTGATTGATATCACAAAATAGGATCACAGGTCATTTTAAAGTAGTCATTTATTTAATCAAAGTGATAACTCAAGGATTTCATAAAAAGGTGAAAACCTTCATTCTTTGAGAGAGGACTTAATTTTCCAAACAATAAGTTGTAATGAAAGCAGCATGAAGCCAATTAAATTTGTTTTTCAAAATTTAACAACTTATAACATCTTGACCATAAGATAAAACTTTCATAAGCCTTTTATAACCTTTATTAAGGAGTCAGTTAATGCTTCAAGGAAACCTTGTTAATCTGACATAGGGACCCATATACTGCTCTTGCATCAATGTGCCTTTGACATTAATGGTTAATTTATAGAGAAACTGAACTTATTTTATCTCTCAAAATTGGCCCTTACAGTCTCACTCGCCCACCTATTCTGCAATAGTCCCTGGGTCTTGAGGAGTTGAATAGCTTTAATTTCTGGCCCTGTGTCTCAGCAATGCAGTTTATTTTGATTGGCATTATATTAGTTAGGGTTCTCTAGAGGGACAGAACTATATATATGGGAGTTTATTAAGGAGTATTAAGTTCACATGATCACAGGGTCCCACAATAGGCCATCCGCAAGCTGAGGAGAAAGGAAACCAGTCCAAGTCTCAAAGCTGAAGAACTTGAAGTCCGATGTTCTGGGGCTGGAAGAGGCTGGGAGGCTAGGCCAGTCTAGTCTTTGCCTGCTTTTATTCTAGCTGTGCTGGTAGCTGGTAGCTGGAAGCTGGTAGGTTAATCTCCTTTGGCAACACCCTCACAGACACACCCAGGATCAATACTTTGCATCCTTCAATCCAATCAAGTTGACACTCAGTATTAACCATCACAGGCATCTTCTATCAGGCCTGAAAATGAGACTTTAATTGCTGTCAGTGTTTAAACTTCAGCAGAACTTGGTGTCCTTTTCAGCCCATAAGTCAAAGGCTTAAAACTCTATGTCACAAGTACTTTAAAAGCACATACAGAAAGACACACAAATGCAATAACCTTAATTAAAAATAATTTTAATCTGTTTTTTTAAGCCAACCAAAACTTAATAATAATGATATAGGAATTGTTTTGATAAACTATAAAATCTGTTAGGCCAGTTACCAAAATGCAAAAGAAAAGACCTTCTGCAGTGCATAGAATATTACTTTGGAAGAAATTATTTCCTATAGACTTTAAGAAAACATTGTTAGTATCAGGCCACAACAAACAGAACTCGAGGGAAAAAAAAACTTAAATGAGCTGAAAATGAGTTGAAGGAGAGTGCTACTATATCACTTCCCTTAAAAGGAGAGAGAAAATTGAAAATGGCAAGATGTAAAAAAAGTTGAGCTTTGGGTTAAAAAATTAAAGTCCCTTATAATTTGTTAATATATGTAGCTATTTTCAGTAAGCCAATATAAATATCTTATTTATTAAAAATTACATAAGCAAAGATAATTCTGTTTTGGGCTGGGATTATAGTTTTGTAATCCCTATGCCAAATTTTGACAGCTTATAGTATTTGGCAGGGATAAGAATAAAATTGCTTGATTAATAAATGGAAACAAAAAGGTATGCTGGCAATTCTTAAGGCATTTCTAATATTACTTTACCAATAATTTTAAACCTGCTGATTTATTAAAGATTTTACTTAAGTCTCGTAAACATGAAAAAGCATTTGGCTAGTCTTTCCTCCTTTCTCATAAAATATTTGATTGAAGTACTTTTATTTTTCTTTAAGCCAATTAATTAGGGCTCTTTTATATATTTTTAGTAGTGAAACATTGTGTACACAACACATAAATACATAGATGTATTAGGCATAGCAATAGAAGTACATCTCATAGATTCCTAAGACCACCTTTTTTTTTTCCAATTAGACTGCAAACTCAATAATCTGTTTCATTATCCTGGCAGCTGTCAGCTAAATAGCCCTAAATCTGTATATTCAAAAGAAACAACTCTTAGATAAAAAAATCAGATAGCAAAATTTACATATCAAGTTACAGAGAGAAAAAGTCTGGTAGTTCTAGAGGGAAATTAAAGATGGATGCCAAATCAAACATAAAATTACAGAAAGTTATCATAGGATTGTATGAGGAGACCAATTTTATTTAAGTAGAAGCTACCTATATTTTAACCAGATCTCTGAGCTCTGGGCAGAACCCATACTGAATCCGGGTCTCCAAAGAGGGAGAATTATTATGAGGCTAGACTGCATGATGCTTTTACAGTGCACTTAAAAAAATTTGTTTTAAACAAAGACATTTCTAAGTGCCTAAACTATACTCTTCCTTATAAACCCATGAGTAGCTTTTGTTGCAATAACTATTTTAGTAAACAAATCAGATAATAAATCTACCTTCAGGTGATGTTTGCTTATTATACAGTAGTGTCTATAAACTAGGCCAAATTTTGTCTTCCCTGTCAACTGATTGTAGAGAATTCCCCATGAGGCCATAAATACAGTTTGGGAGAGAGAAGACAGTGTAGCAGTAGTAGGAGCCATGGACATTTGAGCTACTTCTTTATGTAACTTACTTGTGCCCAGTTACATTTATACCACTTCCATTTGGTGATGAAGTATTGCTGCAAATGCCTAAATTCATAGCTTGGTGGGTCAGGTAACATCCAGTTAATAATAGGCAGCTCAGATTGCGTGATAACTTGGTGGTACCTGATCAGGCATTCAGTTTCTACTGAGACTCAGTAGCAGTCCAAGATCTGTCTCTCAAAAGGAGAGTAGTTATCTGTAGATGATGGCAAGGCCTCTATTGCAATTAAATTTTGGGCTCCAGAGAGCATCTCTGTCTATCACTGAGACTGCAAGCACTGTGAGTCTGCTGGATCATAAGGTGTAAGTGGCAGAGCAGCTTACACAATAACCTAGATCCCTTTTGCAGAGCCTTCTCTTAATCTGGACACCACTCCAAACTAGCAGCTCTCTGTTTTTATAATTTTTTTTCACTTGACCTGGAAGTTTTCTTCTTATACAGGTAAAGTAAAAATATGGTAGGCCTCCTGTCTATTTCACTTCTGGAATACCATAATTAACTAGCCAATGTTGTAGGCCTATGTGATTCTGATTGCTAGTTTGGCTGTGCTCTCCATTATGGTAACTATACCCTACCTCCCCTTTGGTGGTTGAGTACCACCACTTAGCTGTTGCCACCCTCGGACTTTATTACACCCGTTGCATTTAAGTTTTTCATTTGAGTGACTGTGGTTCCCACTGAAAGGCCTGAAATACAGAGAAGGGCAATCACAGAGCTCTTCAAGGATGTTGGAGCTCCCCTCATAAATTAAAAGGTATATTTTTGGTAAGATAGTAGTAAAAGTCTATCTTCTGGATCCTCCCAGGATGAGGTCTTAAATAAAAAATATATTATTAATATTCCAATCTCCCTAGCCTTTGAATTCCTTTCTATACATTATACCAAGGCAGATTGGACATTTCCAATTCAACCATGGTGGGTCTTCTTTTAATCCATGTTTTAGCCTACCAAACAAACAATATGTTAGAGCTCCTTCTATCTCCCAGAGCTGCAATAGTAAATGTAGAAACTGTTTCAGCCAACCAAACAGATTTTTAGAGTTCTTTCTATCTACTTGAGCTGCAATATTAAATGTGGGATCTCAACTTAATGAGGCTGTATTAATAAATTTGGCCTGCTATAACTGTATGCTCCTTCCACCATTATTCCACGTTGTTATTATCCATTTCCAAATATGTTCCCCATGTTTCTGCCTGCATAAATTAGAAAACTCAATTAGCTCTTTAGAGCTGTACCTTGCCTTTAGAGGTCTTCTAAGACTTAAGTCTAGAGGCAAAGGAGGTTGTAGAGTGGGTACTGAGGAGAATTGTCATTGTCTTGCCTGGCAATTGTCTCAGGAGAGGCCATTACAGCTTTCTTGGGCAATTCTGGGATAATCTCATCAGACAGAAGCGGAAAGGCTGATACCACTGTAGATGGGAAGCTGTTACCACCTGGGTTGGGAATGTCACTTCCACTGGGGGTAGAGAGACAACTTCTGCTGGGCAGGATGGAAGATTGTGATGAGGGTAGAGAGACTTCTTTTACTGGAAAAAATACATCAGAATCTAGGGGCTCAATGTCCCCAGCTTCATCAGCTTTCTACATATCAGGTTTCCCAACTCACAGGATGCCAATTCTTTCCCAATCAATGCCCTCACTTTAACAGTAGATACCCTGCAAAGCTGGGAGTTCAACTTGGGTTGCAATTTACTCTACCCAACTTGGATTGTAGTTTTGTTGCAAGATGAAATCCTGCATTTGATTTTCAGCAATTTCAGCCCTATTGTTACAGGAGATATGGCTTTCCCTCAGGGCACACCTAGAAGCTCTTACATCATTTATTCATCACTAGAACTGAAAATTGAATCTGTCAGCTCATCCTTTTATTTCACCATGTTGTCCAGTGACATTAGAAGGAACCACCTGACGTTAAATTCCTGAGTTTAAAAAAAGTTCAAAATTATTATATATAGAATCACTTTGTTCCTTGCTTCCTATAATTGGTTGATTCAGAATATCCAGTACAGATATTTTGAGTATCTCTATGAATAGATCATACCATAGACTATTAGTGCTCTCTTTACTACTGGAAATAGAGTCATTAGTGTCTTTAAATCTAATCAGATTAGCCAATTCCAGAAACTCCAGAACTGATTCAGAAAATTAGTTCTTACAATTGTGTTCATCCAGAACTACTGTTAGTACCGAATACTGTATTAGTCAAAGTTTGTCTCAGTCAATTTGTGTTACTATAAAGGACTTCCTGAAGCTGGGTTATTTATAAAGAAAAGAGGATTATTTGGCCCGTGGTTATGGTGAGCGAGAAATGGAAACAGGCATCACACAGCAAGAAAGGAGTAAAGAGAGAGGGTAGGGAGGTTTAGTTTTTAGTTTTTTCAGTTTTTTAAAAAAGTTATTATTATTAGATCTTGTGGGAACTAATAGAGCAATAAGTCATTTATTTCTGTAAGGACAGAACCAATCCTTTCGTGAAGGATCTGCCTCTATGTCTCAAACACCTCTCACCAGGCCCCACCTCTATCGCTGGGGATCAAATTTCACCATGAGATTTGGAGGGAACAAATATACAAATTATATCATGGTTCTTAAGAGAAACAGAATGAATAGGATATATAGATATATAAAAGAGGAGATTTAATATGGGATGATTTGGCTCATGTGATTATGGAGGCTAAGATGTCCCACTTCTGCTGTCTGGAAGTGAGATAACCAGGAAGGTTGGTGATGTTATTCAGTTTAAGTTTGAAGATCTGAGAACCAGGGGGACGTAGGAGGATGGTTGCTGGTATAAGTCCTGGAGTTTGAAGACCTGAGAACCAGGAACTCCTATGTCCAAGGGCAAGAGAAGATGGATGTGAAAGAAGAAAGAGAGAGAGAAATGCCCCTTCATCTACCTTTTTGTTCTATTCTAGCCCTCAGTGGATTGGATGATACCCACCTACACTGGTGAGTGCAGATTTTCTTTAATCAGTTTATTAATTTAAATGCTAATCTCTTCCAGAAACACTCTCACAGACATGCCCAGAAATAATATTTTACAGGTTGAGTGTCCCTTATCCAAAATGCTTGAGATCAGAAGTGTTTTAGATATCAGATTTTTCTAAATTTTGGAATATTTTCATTATACATACTAGTTGAGCATCCCAAATTCAAAACTCTAATATCTGAAATACTGCAGTGAACATTCCCTTTTAGTGTCACGTCGGCGCTCAAAAAGTTTTGGATTTTAGAGCATTTTGGATTTTGGATTTGGGGATTTGGGACACTCAACCTGTATGAGCTACCTGGGCATCCCTTAATCCAATTAAGTTACATAAAATAAACCATCACAAAAAGAAAGGTAATCAAAACAATAAGAGAAAAATAAGATTTCCCAATCTTCTGACCAGCTGATAAAAGCTTAAATTCAAGGGAAAAATCCACAAAGTATGTAAGTCCACACAAATATAGAACCATACTATGAGGATTTTCAAAAGTATTTGCAAAACTAGCAATGGCATTTTACAAAGTATAGAAGTATGCTTCTGCAGTAATTATGTGATTACCTATGTAGTAAAGTAATATGAATTCTAATCTATTTTACATTAGTTGATTATTTTAAAATATACCAGTATGTCAAAATGATTAGATGAGGCTAATTTGGTGTTAACAGTAAAGTTTATATGTCAGTGAGTATGGTTTTGAGTTTTAAAACCAACTCTAACAATTGGATGACAGAAATATATCTGATAGGAGTGACAATAAACAGACTACTAAATTTGTAGTTGACAAAATCTGAACTTTTTTTTACTACAATTAAACAAAGATGATAAGTTTTGAATTTTTTTTTTTTTTTTTTGAAACGGAGTCTCGCTCTTGTCACCCAGGCTGGAGTGCAGTGGTGCGATCTCAGCTCACTGCAACCTCTGCCTCCCGGGTTCAAGTGATTCTTCTGCCTCAGCCTCCTGAGTAGCTGGGACTACAGGCACCCGCCACCACTCCTGGCTAATTTTGTATTTTTAGTAGAGATGGGTGGTTTCACCATGTTGGCCAGGCTGGTCTCGAAATCCTGACTTCAGGTGATCCGCCCACCTTGGCCTCCCAAAGTTTTGAATTTTTTAAAAACTTGACATTTAAAATATCTGAAATTTCCTAATATCTATGTGCTTAAATAAATACTACTAAAAAGTTAATTATGTCTTTCTTTTCTAACAAGACTTTCATGGAACTCCATGAGAGACAGAAGACTGTGTAGTCAATTTTTAGGCTCATGGAATATTAAAAACTGAAGCCACAAAGACAAGTTAATGTACAGTGAGACTTGCAGTTTCATGTCTGCCATATAAAGAGAATGTGAGTTGTCACTCTTATCCTTACAACAAGAAGAAAGCTGAACAAAATGAGAATCAATGAATCTTCTTAGATCCATCAGAGAATTGAGGTCACAGTGTGAACTACAGCCCCTAAAACTGCAGACACAGTGAAATACATAGAATGAGAACAAACAGAGACCAGAAGCTGCTGGAGCCAGTAATTGGTAGAAACAATTAAATAGTAATTGATGAAATAAATACTACAGGCTAGGTGGGGATTCACTTGAGAGTTAAAAACTCTTGGGAGTCCAGCCTTAGAGACGCCCCACATTTTTTGTGAGCTTTACTTCCAGGACCCTCATCAGGTAATCACAGTGAAGAACAGAGAAATATCCTCTTGTGCTTCAGGGAAAAGGAGAGGCAAAATAACCCTTTTGAAATAAGCCTGTTCTTCACAGCAAAAACCTGGGCGTGCATGTGCACACACACACACGCACAACATTACCAGAGGGCTTTTCTGACACCTGGGAGAAGGGAAGAACCCAAATAAAGGCCAATCTAGACTTCTTGTTTGACGTAAAGGCTTGGTGGCTGGCTGAGAAGCACTTGTGAGGGTCACGGACCCATGAAAGGCTGAGACCTGATAATGGGATTTTAGAACCTCCACCCCCAATACCTTTCTGGTATATCAATAAGGGTCCTATACAATAATAGTGGTTTACAACTAAAAGAACTACAAAGATTAGACTTTATTTAAGAATGAATTTCTAGGGAAACTGGAAGACAACTGAAGAGACAAATACAAGAAAATTAAAGGAATGGAAAGCCGGTGACACTAGAGCTATAGCAAATGTTAATCACAGCCTAACAGTCAGAAAATAGCCAAAAATCTAACCATACCAAATGCTGGCAAGAATGGGAAGCAACAGGCACTCTTGTTCGTAGCTGGTAGGAAAACAAAATGGTGCAGCCACTTTGGAAGACATTTTGGCATTTTTTTAAACATTGTTTTACCATACCATCTAGCGATCACACACTTAGATATTTACTCAAATGAGGTATAAACTTGTGTCCACACAAAAACCTGCACATAATTGTTTTTAGCCATTTTATTCCTAATTGCCAAAACTTGGAGATAACCAAGATGTCCTCTAATAGTTGAATGGATAAACAAAGTGTGGTATATCCACATAATACGGTATTGCTCAGCAGTTCAAAAAAAAGAGTTATTTAGTCACCAAAAAAGATGGAGAAGTCTTGAATACATATAGTTAGGCCAAAGAAGCTAATCTGAAAATGTTGCATACTGTTTGACTCCACCTACGTGACATTGTGGAAAAGGCAAAACTACAGACAATAAAAAGATCAGTCATTGCTAGGATTTCAGAGTAGGGAAGGCAGGATGAATAGGTTTAGAACGAGGGATTTTTAGGGCAGTGAAACTGTTCTGTATGGTATTGTATTGACAAACTTGTGGCAATATGCATTTATCAAAAACTATAGAATTGTATACAACAGAGAGTAAATCCTAACGTAAACCATGGACTTTAGTTAATGCTGATGTATCAACACTGTTTTTTGTTTGTTTGTTTGTTTTTTGGGTTTTTTTTGAGAATTAGTCTGGCTCTGTTGCCCAGGATGGAGGGCAGTGGCACCATCTCGGCTCACTGCAACCTCTGCGTCCTGGGTTCAAGAGATTCTCCTGCCTCAGCTTCCCAAGTAATGGGGATTACAGGTTAACTTTGACAAAGGCTCAGTTAAACATGCAACTTATTTTCACATTATTAATATTAAAATCTTGCTATTTATAAAAAAGACTCTATAGGACTTTTAATCTTGATCCAGAGAAAGTGTGTGCTACAGAAAAAGCCCAATAGTCACAAAAAAGCCACAGTAATTGTTTTGGGAACTCTGTCACACAGAAGTGCCAGCTTTACACTTGTTTTCAGTGTTTCAGAGTATAACAGCAGTATGTCTGTCTGCATATCTGCCCACATTCTTTTTGTTTGACATTATTATAATACTTAATAAATGTACATATTTTCAAGATATCTGCCCAAATTCTGAGGGTCAAGATAAACATTAAAAACCGGTCCTTATCTGAGATCCATTTTTTTTTTTGACATTGACTCAAACATTTTGTAACTCAGTCTGTACCCATTACTCATGGAGAAGAATGAGGTTTCAGGGCCATCTTGCCTGTTGTTTTGTTTTTATCAGTAAGTGAATTCTTAACATTAGAAAGATTTTCTAAGAATAAATGTGTATTGAACATCTGTGGTTGCCAGAATTACATGAGTTAGGAGCATTTGTGACATCCCTGCAACCAATTGTTTACAAGTGAAAAACAGACAGATGTATTGAGGTTAAATCTGTTTATATTAGCTTGTGCTCATTTTCTGATTTTTTTGGACTAAAAAATGTTTTCGCTAAACAATAAAGGAAACTTCATAGATTCTTGTCATTAAAAAAATAAAGTGAAGCTATGCTGCAAGGTTAAAAATTATATTCTGTATTAAATTTGTATATATATACTTAATTTTTAAAGGTACATAGTAGGCATATGAATGAGTAAATTTGTACATTTAATGATTGTTTTTCAACACATATTTTATTTAACTCAAATAATATGACAGACTGCATAAAACAAAGTAAAATGAAAATCTAAATTTGGGTCCCTGGTTACTCCTTTTCTACCTTAATTTTCTATTATGAAAAGCCCCATTTTTCAGAAACCACTTAACACCTCTTATTTTGCATAAGGCTAGATATTGCTTTCTATAACAACTATAGCCCCCTTAACTTCTTATATTTCTTGAATAAATCAGCCACTTTTATTCAGTAAATACATATTCAATGCCTAGCCTACTAGATGCCAGAAAAAAATGCTAATTACAGAGTAAGACCCTGTTTTCAAGCTATTTATAATTTAAAAAGTACTCTGGACAAGCAAACATTGATTTACAACACAGTAAAATAAATACTAGTTAGGAGAAAGTTCAAAGTTTAAAAGTCACTAAGAGAAACATAGAGTCTTGTAAGAGTGAGCCTCTCAAAGGAAATGTAATCTAACAGTAATTAATAGAGAAATAAGAAATAACAGGGTTGGAGGTGTTGATGGGGTGGAGCAAAGGATAATTTTCTTAAGTGACAGAGTAGGTGCAGAAAAATGAAAAGAAAGGTAATGCATTTGTGGATTCCACAAACCCTTGGCCATTTATTTTTCTAATTCTCTTGTGTAAATTCCAAGTGTTGGTAGCTATCATTACCTGAAAAATTCACAGTATGCTATTTTGTGGTTGGGAGCAGAGAGAAGTCAGGTTTCTAAAATAATAATCGAAAGGTGAGTGATGTTTACATTCTTTCTTTAGCTGTCATCTGCTTTTTAAAATTTTCAGGTCTGCTTAAGAGTTAAAGGCAAAGAGTTTAAATAGGTGTTTTCCAATTGACATGTTAAGATACAACCCAATGACTTCTTTGGCAGGTCTTAATAAACTGAGCTAGGTCTGATTGAGGGTCCTTGCTGTCTTATTTCTTTCCTCATTGGCTTCTCTTTCTTCACTCCAATAAGTTTATTCTTTTGAAAGTTAACCATAGTCATGCTATTATTTGTCAATGAGTGAATAAGGGATTCTCCCTTCCCAGTCTCTCTTCCCAGGCCTCTTCTTTCTCATCTTTTCCTTTTCTCCCTCCTTCTTCCCCAACCCCTGACGGCAGACTTGGGAATTTGAATATGAGCCAAATAATTAAAAAAATAACAGCAGGATATTTCTACATCTCCATGAATGAACATGACTCTGTGTGGTTACTGCAGCTGCAGGTATGCATTTACATCTACATTAACTATTGCATCATGGACTTCATGAAGCCAAGCCCCCAAATTAATCTCCACCTCCTTCTCTGGCATTCAGGATATAAACTCACCAGAAACATTCCAAATGCAGAAGTGGTTCTCATCTTTTTTTGCAGCTTAAGATCTGCCTTGGTATTTGAAGAGATATAAACTAGATCAATTTCTTTCACAGGATCAACTAAACAGGTTGTACTTTTTTATTATTAATATCAATACTTAGATTTTAGATATATAAAATATAGAATGAAAATTATGTATTACAAAGCTCTTAAAAATAAAATATACAAAGACCAAAGTCTTGATTGATACTTTAGTTAATTAATGATGTGAAGCATTTAAAACCTTTTAAAATAATTTGTTGTTAAAAATAATATTTTACATTTATGTAGTATTTTGTTGCTTATTGCTTTAATGTAAAATTACAGTACCATTGCTATCTTAAAAGTGCTGAATGCTGGACGTGTTCTCCATTTTACCAATGAGAAAATAAAGCAAGCAGGGTAGAAGGAGGTAGAATAGAGATTGACTTTTAGTTTTGTGTTCCTGTGATAAGGGGTCTTGCAAATAGGGGCATTACTTTCATGTAAGAAACTTCAGATAAATATGACAGAAATCCAAAGTCCTTGGTAAATAATTAATATGTAGGTCATTGACATATATTGCCTTTTAAATCTGTGAATCCTTACTTAGTAGAAACTAGAGAGCTTCTTGATCTAATAATTGAACTTAACAAATATTTCTGAACATCTACTTTGTGTCATAGTGCTGGAGATTGGGATAGAAACATGTACAAAAGTCACTTTGCCCTCATACAGGTAAATCTAAGAAAGTAGGGACTATGAGAACCCTATGTATCTATATCCACCATAGTATTCTAGCACTGACTACAGGGCCTAGGAAAAGGGTAGGCATTCACATAGGGAGTATTTGCTGGATAAAAGGCAGGTTGGAAGATGCAGGAGGGGAGTATGCAGAAAGAAAGGAAGAAAGAGAGGAAGGAGAGCGGGAAGGAAAAACACTTTCTGAGTTTAATTGAATTTATAAGTCACAATTTTAACAACTTTTTTGATGTTTATTTCTGAACAACTGACCTACATACTCAGAATAAAAAATTGACAATTTCTAACTGAAATAGATCTTTTGAGAAAATGGGGATCACATAGGAAGTAAATCCATACATTGTAATATGAGACAATTTACCAAAAGGAATAGAATGAGAAAAGATATTTTATTACATGCCACCTACTTTGCCTCTCAGACCAAAATTGACTATGAAGGAGTAGCTGGAAGTCAGCCAACCACTTAATGATAAATCTACCACTCCCAGCTGACTATAAGCCAATTCTTATAAACTTGGCTGAACACCAAGAAAGTAATTCACATGAGTAAGCAAACCAATAGGCAGGACAAATCGTGGTGCATTTTATACACATTTCTTCTAGTGAAAGATCTATTTTCTGAGACTAAGGAGAAGGCTTGGGGAACAAGTGATTTATTGATAAGGCTAATATGCATTTTGGAAATAGAAATCTCATATTTTTGGTGACATTACATCTGATATGATGTAGAGGAAGGTTTTTTAAAAGTTGAGATTGTCCTAAGGGCTGGGGCAATTTATGTGTGTAGAAGAACTTATCAGGCAGGTTTTTGGGCAAATGTGAACAGGAGGAAGATCTAGAAAGGCTAATGTCAGGAAAGACAAAATGTGTTGGGAAGCTATGTCAGAAACTTGAAATAAGCTAAGTTTGGCAGTTGAAAAAACAAGATACTAAAGGAATTTGAAAGCTAATGAAAGAAAGTATGCCTAATTAAAAATTCTGTTAGTAACCTTGAACATGAAATAGATTGTCATGGGATCAGGAGATGAATTAGGAAATGATAACCATCTTGCTTAACCTTATCATTTTTAGCCAAGTCATTCAATGGGAGTATCCACTACCTTATTGATCGAATGGGGAAAAAAGTAATTTTAAAGGTCACAGAGGAATCCTTTATACTCTCAAGATTCCATTTCTTTGATATAACCATTACAGTGTAATTAATTTCATCTTTTCTTTTAAATACATTCACCAAGCATTTGGTTTATTTAAAAAAATGATACATATTCAGGAAGTCAAAAATCTCTGACTTAGATACCCGGCAATAATAATCAAATGTAATGATCTTTATTGTTATTTGACATATACATAATTGGATAATTTGCTAAAATAACTGTAATTCTGGACCTCTTTGTCTTTTTATATGCCCCAGCAATTTTGAAAGAAATTGAAGGTTCTGTGGTTTTTATTTATCACGGAATAAATATAATTGAATATATCCACATTTTTATTTAGTTTTAAGCATTTTACTTCATAATCACTTGTGCTTTCCTATTCTTTTATGTGTTAGACATCTTTCTAATAAGGTTAAAAACTCTCTATGTACCAAAACTATTTGATATGCAACTTTACTATGTTTTTGCCCCATATGTGCAACAACTAAGAAGTGCTAGGTATGTAGGAGGGTCCCGTTATATACATAGTTGTTAATGGTGAAATATTGTTAAGTACATACAAAGTATAAAGCAGAGGTTTTTTTTCAGTGTACCACAATGAATTCTGAACTTGACTATTATGAAAAGTTTGAAGAAGTCCATGGGATTCTAATGTATAAAGATTTTGTCAAATATTGGGATAATGTGGAAGCGTTCCAGGCAAGACCAGATGATCTTGTCATTGCCACCTACCCTAAATCTGGTAAATCTCTTTGTTGTTCTTTTTTCACCTAAAAATAACAAACACACTGTAAATGGTAAATATTAAGGTGTTCATGTCGTACACACTCATTCTCTATATTAAGAACAGATGCGGTAGTTTTGATATGGACATAGAAAAGGTAGCTCTATTCCATGACCACAATTTTTACCTGTAACTTGAATAGTACATTGAGAAATGGATGTTGTTGAGCACAGTTAGAAACTTACATAATATATACTAATGAACCTGTATTCATCCCATAATGAAAATTTAAAACTACCAACTGTTTACCTTATGTCATTAATGTTGTCGTATATACAGCGTATGACCACCATTTTTACAGGTACTCTAAAACTCTCTTTCAGCTCACCAGCCCTTTAAGTCTATCTACAAAACTCCATTTTTAAGCATAGTTCTGGAGTTTTACAACTGTAGACTTTTAGAAATTAGACTAGTCCGAATTCATATTTCTTCATCTGGTTGTTCCATTTACCACTTAAAAATAAAGCCAAACACACTAAGTATGCCCTTAGTTATCTTTTTTTTTTTTTTTTTTTTTTTTTTGAGACGGAGTCTCGCTCTGTCTCCCAGGCTGGAGTGCAGTGGCGCGATCTCTGCTCACTGCAAACTCCGCCTCCTGGGTTCCTGCCATTCTCCTTCCTCAGCCTCCCGAGTAGCTGGGACTGCAGGCGCCCGCCACTGCACCTGGCTAATTTTTTTGTATTTTTTAGTAGAGACGGGTTTTCACCATGTTAGCCAGGATGGTCTCGATCTCCTGACCTCGTGATCCACCCGCCTCGGCCTCCCAAAGTGCTGGGATTACAGGCGTGAGCCACCGCGCCCGGCCGCCCTTAGTTATCTTGACTCTAAATCTGCTTCTTTATTTTCTTCCCTATTGGAATAAATGGCAGCACAATACCAGTCATCTGAAGAGGAAACCCGTGAGCTATTCTAGATTCAATCTCTCTTGCTTATTCATCTGGCATTTGTAATCAGTCAAAACGTTTTGGTCATTTAGTCTGGTAGATAGGTCTCACAGTCAGCCTCTTAACAGGTCTCTTGTCTCCCTTTCTATTGATCCCTCCTCCGCTACTGTGTTTATTCTGGCACTAGAGAAATTCTTCTAAAACACAATCCTGATAATCTTGCTCTTCTGCTTAATATAATATATGTCAGTACCTTTTCATGATTTTTATAAAAATAACTTGGACTCTTTAGTGTGAACTACAAGGCTTGTTATCTGCTTGCCTGAGCCCCAACTCCTCTCTTCAGATAGACCCTTTGATTTACGTCTTATAGTCTATTTCCAATTATTTTCCGAACCACTATACCATTCTTAAGTACCAACTTTAGATTAAAAAGAGAGACTGGGCTTCTGCCTGGTAGAACTGTTTCTTACCTCCCACAAGTGGTGAATTTATGCCAGTAATTATTAAGGCTAAGCTGAAGGATCACATCCTCTCAAAGGCATTTCTTGTCAAAATGTCATGTCAGCAGCAACAACAGTAGCAGCAGAACACTGTGTTATAGATTTCTTCTTTGCAGTTATTTAAATCCCTGTGCCATATTATACAATAGTATCAATAAAAACAAAATTTATTGTAGCTATTGAACAATGTCACTGACTTCAAAAGGCCTTTAGCTCCCTAAGGACAGGAACCAGATTTATCCTTTGCTAAGTTTTCTGACCTAGGACCCAACATGAGACATAATATACCATCAGTAAAATTTTTGATTGGAAGCATGCTTATTCAAGTCTTCTTACTTTTTAGATGTAAAAATTAAAGTCCAAAACTGTTAGCAGCTTGCACAATGTCACAATTCATCATGAACAAATTTGGACACAGGTCTCAGGTGTGCTTTACTATAATATTTATCTTTATCTCTTGAGGTTATTTTTGTGTTCTAAACATAAAATATTATAGAAAATATTTCCTGAGTCTGTGGCTATTCAGACACCCTTTAAATAGTATTGCATTGGTACCTTCCAACTTTTTCCATCCATAAATGCAGCACTAATGTCATCAACTCTACAGGGTCAGCAGGAGACTCAGGTTTATTTAATTTTTACAGGTACAACCTGGGTTAGTGAAATTGTGTATATGATCTATAAAGAGGGTGATGTGGAAAAGTGCAAAGAAGATGTAATTTTTAATCGAATACCTTTCCTGGAATGCAGAAAAGAAAACCTCATGAATGGTAACGTTCAAGTTGATTTTAAAAACTATTTGCATATATTCTAAGGTGTGTATGTACATGGTACAAGCAATGAGATTATAAGCAAGAATGGCAATTAGTATCAGGTCTTCTACATAAGACAGCATATAAATTTAAATTTAAATTTAAATCTTGACAGGCTTTGCAGTATAGTATGTGTACAGCATATGTCTGGAATAGAGTGAATAAGGACAATTCTTGTATGCCTTCAGCAGAGTTTAGTAATATGTAAACATTTATTTCTCTGTGGGCTAAATGTGATGATATTTTAAATATGGAGAAAAATACCCATAAATTTTTCAATGATATATGCAAAAGTATATTTACCACAGATTCTTTTAATATTGTGGAAAATTGGAAACAACCTAAATGCTAATCGACAAAAGAATAGTTAAAGGTTGTGTAATAACACTATAAAATCATTAACATTTTTGGATGTTTCTTGAAATTGCAGTTTAAATATAATATTTTGAGAGAAAAAGATAGTTAGAAGCTATCAAAACGTTCATCTGTGTGCATGGTATTGGGATGGCTGTAAATTTGAGAATATAAGTAGATTTGTATAGAAGGTTGCTTGCCAAAATATGAATGATATCTCTCAGGTGATGAAATTTTATTTCATTTTATATTTTTCTATGTAATTTTCTCTATCTATATTTCTTTCTTTCATAGTAAGTATTATTATGAACACAATATAGAATCTTTTAATTTTTAATTTTTGTGAATATATATTAGATGTAAATATTAATGGGGCACATGAGATGTTTTGATATAGGCATGCAATGCATAATAATTACACCATGGAAAATGGGGTGTCCATTCCCTCAAGAATTTATACTTTGTGTTACACACAATCTAATTACAATATAGAATCTTAGAATTACTTCTATTTTACAAATATCTATATAAATCCACATAAATAGTTACAATTTTTGAAGTTGCTTAACCTTTACTTTTTTAAAAATCAGGAGTAAAACAATTAGATGAGATGAATTCTCCTAGAATTGTGAAGACTCATTTGCCACCTGAACTTCTTCCTGCCTCATTTTGGGAAAAGGATTGTAAGGTAACCAGAGTCAAGTGTTCTCAAAACTTCATCCAATTCCAAGAAATGATAGAGTGATCTCATCAGTTATACACACTTGTTTATTTATTCTTTCATTGAATCTATAGACACTTAACAAATGTGGAATAAATACAGTCAATATTGTCAGAGAGTCTATATTTTAATTCCAACTCTGTCTTTTGCCAGATGTGGTTCTAAAAAGTCCAGTTAGACTCCCTAAGCCTAAGTTTTTACATCTGTAGAAGAAAGATAATAATAACATCTTTTTCATGGAATTGTTATAAGGATTACATGATAATGCTTATAAAGTGCTTCACCTAATTCCTAGCATATTGTAAACAACAAATGTTAGCTACTTTTGTATTTGTTGTTATTACTAATTGTATTGAATATCCTCCCTTTGCAAAATACTGTGCTTGGTGCTGTTAGGCATGCAAATGAACCATAAAAGGATAGGTCAGATAACTGTCATATAATAACTATGTATTGAGTGCCTATTATGTGTTAGGGACATAAGAGTAAGACACATGCAAGCCTTGTCTTCATGGACACCTAGTCCATTTCAGAAAAAGGACAGGTTAACAGACAAGACAAAAAGTATCATAGGTCAAGTAAGAGAGAGAATTCAAACTCAGACACTGGGGGTAGGGAAGGCATCCAGGAGCAACATCTCAGCTGATATTTGAATGATGTATCAGTGTGATGACAATTCAGAGATGATCTGAGGGGGCATCTAAAATCAGTTCAGCTTGGCTGGAAGATTAAGTGTACATATTGGCTAAATAAGTAAAGGCAGATTAGCTAGGAACGGATTATAAGAAATATTGAAAGTCAAGTTAAGATGTTTGGACTCTGACATTTTAATGGTAATGAGGAGTAATAGACATATTAAGCTGACGGTTTACACTGTCAGTTTTGCTCTTTAAAAATAATATTATACATGACCTCAAAATACAGAGAAAACATGAAGTCTGAGACCACCAATTCTGTTCTTCAAGACCTTTCTCTCACCAGTGCTGTTCTTCAAGATCTTATAGTATTATTTGCAGTCATCACTAACAAAAAGGGGATATATCCCAGTCATTAAATATTTCCATTTTGTAATCCGTTACATGGCATATTTGACATTTCCTGGAGATCTACAGACAAAAATCAAAGATTGCCAGGTTAGTTTGTTTTTATCATTAGCAATCCTAGATAGACGATATACGTCCTGCTGAAGTCATTCCATGCATAAGGGCTGTCTCATTAGTAAAGACCAGTTATGTACTTTCCAGGAGATGTGTCATTATTATTTTTTAAGAGATTTGACCAAGACACTTTTTTCCTTTGGAGGATAGTGGTGGACTTGCTGTTAACTCCTTACTTCTCAAATGGAAACAGGTACCAGACATTTATAATAGTCCAAGCCTTCACAAAGCTGCTTATTTTTCAGAGTTTATCAAAGACTAGGAGATAGTTGGAGGGATTCATGTTTGGAGTATTTCCAGGGTTATTTACAGAGAAACAACAACAACAAAATAAAACAAATAGATACAGGATATTTGTAAATATCCTTTATGCAAATAGATACAGGATATTTGGAATGATGGAGCAGAAACTGTAAGTGATAAAGAGAAGAAAGTGACAAAAAGTAACAGGCTAGTAGATAATATAAATAACTGAGGCCAACGGATTTGAGCCATTGGTTTGATTGTAGGAGAGGTATGTGGAATAACTGATGGGGAAGAAGGAAGAAGCGGGATTTTTTGGAAGAAAAGATTATGGCTCAGGATAATTCTTCAAAAGTGAAACCTTTATGGTGAAGGCAAGATTCAGTATTTGGTTACAAAAGTGGTTACAAAAGTCTGAAGTAACATAGAAGTAATGATCAATGACTACATGAACTTAGAGAATCAAGTAGATCACACACACCAACAATAAAATTACACAGAATGATAAAAGAATTTGAATGGAGAGTGAAACCATGAGGCAGGTGTTCAAATCTTCAGTTAAAGCAAGGGAATGGCCACAAGCTTAGAAATAGCATCAGATAGGAGAGGTATAGATTAGTTAGTTAAGTATCATAGGAATAGAATAGGGGTCTTTTTTTAATTATACTTCAAGTTTTAGGGTACATGTGCACAATGTGCAGGTTTGTTACATATGTATACATGTGCCATGTTGGTATCCTGCACCCATTAACTTGTCATTTACATTAGGTATATCTTCTAATGCTGTCCCTCCCCGCTCTCCCCACCCCACAACAGGCCCCAGTGTGTGATGTTCCCCTTCTTGTGTCCAGGTGTTCTCATTGTTCACTTCCCACCTATGAGTGAGAACATGAGGTGTTTGGTTTTTTGTTCTTGAGATAGTTTGCTGAGAATGATGGTTTCCAGTTTCATCCATGTCCCTACAAAGGACATGAACTCATTCTTTTTTATGGCTGCATAGTATTCTATGCTGTATATGTGCCACATTTTCTTAATCCAGTCTATCATTGTTGGATATTTGGGTTGGTTCCAAGTCTTTGCTATTGTGAATAGTGCCACAATAAACATACGTGTTCATGTGTCTTTATAGTAGCATGATTTATAATCCTTTGGGTATATACCCAGTAATGGGATGGCTGGGTCAAATGGTATTTCTAGTTCTAGATCCCTGAGGGATCGCCATACTGACTTCCACAATGGTTGAACTAGTTTACAGTCCCATCAACAGTGTAAAAGTGTTCCTATTTCTCCACATCCTCTCCAGCACCTGTTGTTTCCTGACTTTTTAATGATCACCATTCTAACTGGTGTGAGACGGTATCTCATTATGGTTTTGATTTGCATTTCTCTGATGGCCAGTGATGCTGAGCATTTTTTCATGTGTCTGTTGGCTGCATAAATGTCTTCTCTTGAGAAGTGTCTGTTCATATCCTTCACCCATTTTTGATGGGGTTGTTTGTTTTTTTCTTGTAAATTTGTTTGAGTTTTTTGTATATTCTGGATATTAGACCTTTGTCAGATAAGTAGATTGCAAAAATTTTCTCCCATTCTGTAGGTTGCCTTTTCACTCTGATGGTAGTTTCTTTTGCTGTGCAGAAGCTCTTTAGTTTAATTAGATCCCATTTGTCAATTTTGGCTTTGCAAGGACTTCATGTCTAAAACACCAAAAGCAATGGCAACAAAAAGAATAGGGGTCTTTAAAGTGCAAAATTTTTAAGACAGATTACAATCACAAGTGAATCATTGGGAAACTGGTAACTTTGACTCAAGAGAGATGCAGTGCAAGTCATATCTTCAGGAAAGAGCTAGATTTCCCTTGAGGACAAAAAAATGAGCATGTACAGTAAAAAGTTTGGGATATTGAATAAGATCTGCCAAAATAAAGAATATAAACTAATAGAAGTTTAGGGAAAGAGAGATCACTCTTTTTTTCTATCTGGGAAAATAAAAAGCCTCATGGAGGACCAGAAGGCAAGCTATAAAATACAGATAGCATTTTGAGAAACAGAAAACATTCAAGAAAGACAGACTAGAACAAAGAAGACAAGGGGTGAAAATTCTGAAGTAAATTAATGCATACAGTGGCAAAGGGTTCCATTCAGCTAATAGATGAAAAGAACTAGGAAGGGTTATAAGTAAGATTGGAAAAGTTCAATATGGCTAATGATGGATTTTATATGAAAAATGTTCACTTTTATTCTGCAGTTTTTAGAGGCTTTTACAAGAGGGCTATAAAACGAGAGCTATACATCTAAGAATAAGCTAGATTTCTACAACATTGTTAGAAAATGTCATCAGTAAGACAATTTAGTAGCTTTAGTTTAGTGGTATTCCATAAACAGTGGATACTCAACAGCATCCTTTCATGACATTGCTTAGGTGCCTGAGGGCCTAAGTAGAAGCCCATGAGGATACTGGACTTTACTTTCACAGATCTTTTCGTGTAACATTGAGTATCAGACCTAGAGTAGGCCACAGATGATCTAACACAAATCATTTGTTTAGTAAAGAAAACATTTAGGTCAAAAATTACTGTACTGTTTTTTCTTACTGCCAAAACTAGAAACTAAAACCACAGTTTTCTGAAAACTAATTCATTGGTATTTCTTCTGCATGTAAAATGGAAACTAACAAGGTGTTGGCAGAGGTTATATTTTCACCTCATAAAATGTTTTTTTCCTGTAATATTGAAAGTGAAGAGACCTCAGAACTATTTTTTTTTAATTATGTGGAGTGATGGTGTAGTATAAAGACCAGAGCACTGTATAGTTGACTGAATGATATGCCAAATGGTTTACTCTCATTGATTTACTCTCAATGCTATATTATCACTAAATTTCAGCTTAATCTCTTCACTTATACATTGAGAATAATAAATAATGTAACTGACTTAATTTATATTGATAAAATTTACAACACTCAAATGAGGTATTATGTGTGAAAATGGCATAATAATGTTGTTCTGTTTGTAGTGAGAACAAAGAGAACAACACTACAAAAACCACTGTCACCTCAGGTTATTGAAGATGTCTTTATAAATAATTGTACATGTCTTATGCATTTTGTAAAATTAATGTGTATTATGTTTATATTTGAAAATGTAAATCCTTTTTAAAAAAATCTTGATGAGACTGTTTGAAAAAAATGTTAAGTGGTTTAATATACAATTTCATCCTCTTAGATAATCTATCTTTGCCGGAATGCAAAGGATGTGGCTGTTTCCTTTTATTATTTCTTTCTAATGGTGGCTGGTCATCCAAATCCTGGATCCTTTCCAGAGTTTGTGGAGAAATTCATGCAAGGACAGGGTAGGAACAGCTTCTTTACACTGAATTTTTTTTCAAGGTTTTATAAGACAAATGCCATCTCCAAGTAAAAGTTTTTAACTGTTCTGGTACGTTTTCTTCCCTGATTCATAGTTAAAACACAGAAATCTAAAGGCGCCTGGAGGTTTAGAGCAAGCATACTGTGTCCAGATGTAGAAGGCAAATTGCAGAATCTGAGCACTCTGGTCCAACACCTAAAAATAAATATATAGAATTATGTTTGGGAGCTGGGGGTAGCAATTTTATTCTCCAAGATTGAGACTCAGTGTCTGATTTTCTGCCTTGTCTCTTTTTAGTAGAAACAAATGTTTTACACCGTATTATTACAACTCTATTGAACAATGGGTTGGGGAGAGATTAGAGAAGAGAGAATGTTCACTTATTTCCAATAAAATTGCCAGGTTCTATATGAATATGGAATTTACAAAGAAGTTTGACTATCTACAAAACTCTTCCTCATTCTACCCAGAGTGCAATCTGAATATTTTAACCAGGTTTCTCAAATTTGTTAAGAGTTACTTGAGCAGATATTCTGGAAAATTTTTCGTTTTTATTAAACACTTTTACTAAAGTGTTTAGATTTGAGGAAGAAAGGGTGCAGGATAGTCTAGTATTCTAAAGAAGGCCATTCTGATCATGTAGTAACAATTATAAAGAAAAATAATAATGTGTTTTCATATCCACAGATGATAATATTGACTCAAGACAAATAAGGTATATGTGCTTTGTGTTTGTTGCTACATTTTGGGAAAATTTTTGCTAAAGCATAATGAGTAATACATATGTCTTAAGATTGTCAAGACCTCCACTGCAGGGCAGAGAAATATAATTTTGCATCACTGCAAAGGGAGAAATAAGATCACTATAAATTTCACTGTAGAACATTTTCTGTAAGGAAAAATTCCCTAATGGAGTCAAAGAACAGAGGAGGCATACAATGACTTCAGGCAAAGCAGAACCTTTTGACTCACACAACATTATATTATTTTGTCAGCTTTATATTTTATGAAACATTTTTACTATGAGTGAGGCAAGAGAAAGAAAAAGGAAGAGACAGCATTTGGTTATATTACATCATTTCTAAAATCTAATTTCCTGGAGTGAGAATGACACTAAGGGTACCTACGAGAACATTCCTTCCCATGTAAACTAATAGTGTAATAAATACTCATATAGTTACTAGTTTTAGTTGCCAAACCTAGTTTGTAAATGGTAAATTTGAGACCAGAACTATATTCTTATGACTATCAGACCACTGATAGTTTCACTAAGTCAACTCCCTTCACTAACAATTTGATTCTACACACACACACACACACACACACACACACCAGTTTCAACAATTTTCTCATAAGCTTTAAATCAAATTGATGAGAGAACTTTCCCTGTTTTTCTGTCATAAACTACATTATCTGATAAAGTTCATACTATTTTTACATACATAGATTATTTAACATACTTTGCCTCTCTTGCTGCAGAGAACTTTGCTTAAGATATACAGCTGATCTATTCTAATTTCATGATTATCTATTTATATTTATTTGTTGTTATTGTTGCTTGAACACTAGTTTTCGAGCAGTTTTAGAGATGATACCACTTTTACACTGTTTTTCTCTCTAATTTTAGTTCCTTATGGTTCCTGGTATAAACATGTAAAATCTTGGTGGGAAAAGGGAAAGAGTCCACGTGTACTATTTCTTTTCTACGAAGACCTGAAAGAGGTGAGGAACTGGGAACACATAAGCAACTTGGTAATTTCTAAGATGTTAGCATTTGAAAATACTCTGGATACAAAAATATTCCTTTAAATAAATGATGACAGCCATCTCGTAAATTTTTAAAAGGAAAGGACCAAAATAATACAGATACTTTAGCATAGATTTGAAGCTAGCAAATAAAAATATTCTGAAAATAAATACATTTTAAACCACAAGTCTCAAAAATTTCAAAGAAAAAATTTGAAAGAACTTGACTTCATGAATCAATAACACACACACATAGGCACACACACACACACATTCACACACAAGGAATCAACATGGGCAAGCAATTAACTGGTCTGCAAATGTAGAGATGTTGCAATTGTTAGATAGGTCCTATAAAATAACCATGCTTAATATGTTTAAATAAATAAAAGATGAAATTTTAAAAATTACAAAGAAACAAAAACTATTAAAATTGACAGAGCAGATTTGAAAAAAAATAGCCAAATACAATTTCTAAAAATAACTAAAAAAATATGAAAAATTAAGAGATGGGTTCAATAATAGATTAGACATGGCTACATAGTGAATTATTGAAGTAAAAGATGGAGCTAAGGAAATTCTATAGAATGTAGCACAGTGAGATAAATAGGCTATTTGATGAAAAGTAATGGTTCTTACTAAGTATTAGCATTTAAAAAATAAAAATGTTTTTGGTATATAAGATACAGTGATAATGTCTCACATATATCAACTCAAACTTCCAGAAGAAGAGTGTAAAGAGAATGCTAAAATATCAATACACAAATTTTTTATGGCCTTAAAATTTTCTTATAATCTAATTTTTCTTCAGCTTTATTGTTAGTGTAATTCAAAATAAAAATCACTATGAGATACCTGTTTTACACCCACTACACTGATAACAATTTAAATATCTGACAATAACAAATATTAGAATGTGAATCAGTGAAAAGTAACACACTGTTGATTGTAGTGTAGAAAGATACAAACACTGGAAACAACTTGTCATTATCTAGCAAAGGCAAACATGCACATAGTTTAAGACCCTGAAATTCTACTCTTAGACATATACTCTAGAAAAACTCTGACTTGTGTACATTAGGTTAGATATTCAATAATTTTCATAGTAGCATTCTTAATAACTGCAAAAATTGAAAACAACCCAGATATATATACCAAAGAATCCATATATAATGTATTTTATTGTATTACAATTAGATATTATATTATAATGAAAGGAAGTACACTAAATATACACATCAGCTAGGTAAAATCAAACTATATGTTGTCTAGAGATTCATACCTAAGTTTGAAACCTATAAAGTAGAGAAGATAATAATTTGAAATTAGCAGTTTTTTTCCTTTTCTTTTCTTTTTTTTTTTTTTTTTGATTGTTTTGTTTATGTGGGATGGGAGTAGAGGTGAAGGGAACTCAAAAGAAAAAAAAACTAAGAAAACTGTGAATGTTCTATTTCATAAGTTAAGTAGTAGGTAATAGGTGCTGTATATAGTTTTCCTCTTTAAATGAGATATATACATATATCTCATAATTTTTAAAACATAGAAAACATAATGAGTTTCTTTATTAAGAGGTGAGAAATTTTCTCTATTTTCTTATCCTTTACTATCACCAAAAAAGCAATTGATATCCATGTCTTATTCATATATTTGAATAACCTTTAAAATCCTTTATGGTATTTCAGTAATTTTAGAGTGTTTTTGGTGAGCATTTATTTAAAATAAAATCATAAATAATATTTTATAAATTAAATTATGTATTTATAGAATTTAACACTAGATCAAATTTGAATAAGAAAAGCAGTCATGATCTACAGTTTATTATATTATCCAATACTGTGTTCTGTAATTAGACTATTAATGACATTGAATTTGAAATACACACAAACAAAATTAAATAGTTACTCCAACTCTCTTCCTCCATTTCAAATTGTCCATGTCTACTTACTCCCGATTTTGGTCAATAATAGCCATGTTTAGGTTTCCTCTATATTTGAATTAATAAGGCTAAGAATGTACAAATTAATTTTTATTTGTTTCTACAATGTATCCAGTAGAAAGAAATCAAGACATTATCACTATATATATACACATATGTCTGTATATATAAAATAAGATTTTGTGTATATATTATATATATATACACATACATGTGAGATGCCTATTTTGCACCCATATATACATATAATCTTTTTTCTTGTGTCTTGAAGCATCATCTTTTTTTAATTTCAATTTTTAATTTTTATGGGTACATAGTAGGTGTATATATTTATGGGGTACATGACATATTTTTATATAGGCCACCATGCGTAATAATCACATCAAGGTAAATGAGGTATTCATCACCTAAAGCATTTATCATTTCTTCATGTTACAAACATTCCAATGATAGTTTTTAATTATTTTAAAATGTACAATAAATTATTGTCTACTGTAGTCACCATGATATACTATCAAATACTAAATCATTCTATCTAGCTCTATTTTTGTACTTATTAACTATCCCCACTTCTCTTTTGAGTAAGATAGACAAGTAAATAAAACATTACAAAAATACACATGTGGTAAATTAGATTTATTTAAACAATTATGGGAGCAAAACAGGGTCATCTACCCAAAATTAGAATAGCCAAGGATATTATCCTAAATAAGTTGATAAATAAGCTGAAATCGAAAAGGCAAACTACAATTTATTGAGCAGAGAATTTAGAAACAGCATTTGATTGGCATAGAGAGAAATGTGCACTTGAATACACATTGCGGTTAGTATTGCAAATAGTTGCACTGAGAGATATAGCTGAATAATGGTGTATATTATAGGAGTGGCACAGATATGGGGATGTTTGTAGCTATGGTGTACAGACAACTGATGTTGCATTGTGAGTATTTGACTTTTTACACCTTTTCTTAATCTTTCTTGTTTCTTTGTTTCTCACTAATTACACCAATAAATTAGGAGAAAAATGAAAATTGCCTGTATATCTTTATCCCCCAAACTTGATTTTTCACAGGGGACTTTAGGTTTTGAGTATGATGTTTGTTTTCATAGACAACATCTATTAAGTGTGATTATGCATCAAGGACTACAATAAGCATTCACAAACATCTCATTTAGTTTTTTGAATAATCTTAAAGTATCTTTTATAAGCATTTTATGGATGAGGAAAATTATACTTAAAACAGCTTTTATAAAATTCCCCCAATTAGATTTCTCATTAGAAATCTAATTCTAATATCAGTAGGAGAAAAGAGAAAGGTTTATTTTTTCTCTTTCATTTAGATAGTGATTTATTCAGTTTTAGCAATTTAGTTCTCAAAACATTTTCTCTCCCTAGGATATCAGAAAAGAGGTGATAAAATTGATACATTTCCTGGAAAGGAAGCCATCAGAGGAGCTTGTGGACAGGATTATACATCATACTTCGTTCCAAGAGATGAAGAACAATCCATCCACAAATTACACAACACTGCCAGACGAAATTATGAACCAGAAATTGTCGCCCTTCATGAGAAAGGGTGAGAAAAATGTGGTTTGCCTCGATACTAGAGGAAGTCACAAGGTGACATGGTTATAGGCAAAAATCTAGTGAGGTATTTTAATGCCTATGAACCCAGCTTAAGTTTTCTTCAGCAGTCTTTCATATTTGAATACACTCTTTAAGTTACACTTCTATTACATTGCAATTACCTGTTGATTATTTATTATATGCATCATATTATGTTAAAATAACTAGCAGACTCCTCAATCTCAGCATTGGAAATAGTATCACACTCTACTAGCTGTAATTTACCAAGCCTATGTGCCTCAGTGTTACAACATGTATCATATAGTTCCTTTAAGTTCTAACCAGAAATTCCGCAGAAAGATTTTATTCCTCTCTCTTTTTGAGTTGAAGAAATAAGTTTAGAATAGTTTGTCAACATTTTTTAACAAGTGGCAAACACCTTTCAAGGGTAAGTGGCAAAAAATAGAAATTCAAATATAGCTCTGTTTAGCAAAAAATATCAACATATAAGGAGAAAAAAATTCTATTTGGGGGGAGACATAGCCTGATGAGATATAGCCAGTTAACAAATTTAAAGGCATGTAAGATATTCAGATATTCAGAGCACTGGGACACCAGTCTATTTATATATGAGGAAGCAGAAACAAACAGAATAGAATCAAATCTTGCTCTTTGAACCATACTGTCAGTGAGAGTCAGGGAATTTGTAAAATAACAAACCTGCCACTGGGGAAAAAAACAAAACAGAACAGGGATCCACTGAAAAGAGATTCAGTTCTCAAACTATATTTTAATTATGTACTCTTTTGATTATATGTTTCCTTTTTCAAAATTCTACATATAAATGTTACAGAGGACTTAAAACGGTTGTCTTGCTTGCAAACGGTGACTTGCTGCTGTACCCTCAGAACCTATCTGATTTTTTTAGGATACACATGTTCTGTCTTCTGGTTTTTGGGTTATTTCAGTGGGAAAGTTTAGAGCTCCTTGAGCAAGAGGGCAAGTGAACTCTTGAATAGTTTAAAAAAGAAGGTGGGCTGGGCGCGGTGGCTCACACCTGTAATCCCAGCACTTTGGGAGGCCGAGACGGGCGGATCATGAGGTCAGGAGATCGAGACCATCCTGGCTAACACAGTGAAACCCTGTCTCTACTGAAAATACAAAAAATTAGCCAGGCATGGTGGCGGGCGCCTGTAGTCCCAGCTACTCGGGAGGCTGAGGCAGGAGAATGGTGTGAACCTGGGAGGTGGAGCTTGCAGTGAGCAGAGATAGCTGCACTGCATTCCAGCCTGGGTGACAGAGCGAGACTCTGTCTCCAAAAAAAAAAGAAAAAAAAAAAAGATGAATTCCTTCTGCAAGGTGAGTGTTGGAAGTATGTTAAAAAGCAAAACAGGAAAAGCCTGCTGGACTATTATAATTACCCAGATGAGAAACACTCTCTGGCTGGCAGTAGCAGAAGTGTTTAAGAGGCAGTAGATATAAAGAAAGCCTGAATATAATGAATTAGATGTTGTGGTTAAGAGAATAACGTCCAAGCTTATGTGTAGATACCTGGTGTTGACTCTACACAGGTCATTAAAATGTAAATGGAGAAAACACAATATGCTAAGGAATAAAATGAATTTATTTTTGAACTAATTGTATTTGGAAAATTTGGACATTTTTCAGGTGGCAAAATCATGTAGGCAGTTGTATATAAAGCATAAGTCTGGATTTTAGTGCTATCAGCATTAAGATGATATTTAACACCTTGAGAGTGGGTAAAACATGGATCTTATCCTGGGAGCCCCAACAGCTGAGATGAAACTTCAGAAGAAAAATAAAGTAAATGGCATAAGAAGAAAGAATCAGAGAATTAAATTTGTTGTTTTTTTAAACCAATTAGGACAAATCCATCTTTGTAAGCCCAAAAAAGTATATCATTAAAGGTATACATTTGATTCTTAAAATTGAGAATTACAAGTATAATATTTGATTAGGTGTTAATGAAAGTGATGAAATTAGCAAACCTAATGATTCTTTTTGGAAGACTTAATATTTATTGAGCTTTCTTTTTTGTTACAGGAATTACAGGAGACTGGAAAAATCACTTTACAGTAGCCCTGAATGAAAAATTTGATAAACATTATGAGCAGCAAATGAAGGAATCTACACTGAAGTTTCGAACTGAGATCTAAGAAGGTCTTTCTTTACTTAACATATCTGATATTAAAGATTTCTTTTCATTATTCTCCACTTTTTCTTATTTTAGATTGCTAGAAAAGACATAATCATGGATTATGTTGACATTTTCTTTTTAAATTTTTGTTTAACTTTTTTTTTTTTTTTTTGAGACAGAGTCTCACTCTGTTGCCTAGGCTGGAGGACAGTGGCACAATCATGGCTGATTGCAGCCTTGACCTCCTTGACTCAATTGATCCTCCCATCTCAGCCTCCCAAGTAGCTAGGACTACAGACATGTGCAACCATGTTTGGCTAATTTTTTTAATGTTTTTTTGTAGAGATGAGGTCTTATTATATTGTCCAGGCTGGTCTTGAATTCCTGGGCTCAAGCTTCCCAAGTAGCTGCAACAACAGGCACACACCACCATGCTCAACTAATTTTATTTCTATTTTTTGTATAGACAGGGGCTTGCTATAGTGTCCAGGCTGGTCTGAAACCCTTGAGCTCAAGTGATCTTCCCACACCAGCCTCCCAAAATACTGGGATTACAGGCTTGAGCCTCCATGCCTGGCCCAGGTAACATGTTTATTGAGCTGTACATGCATATGAGAAATAAGAAACTTTTTTTTCCTACTATCATCTCTTAAATTTTGTTTTCTTTTTCTTTTGCTTCCTCTTCTTCTTTTCTATTTTTTATAAATATCATGCACAACTATAACCTATGGGAATGATGTAGTAACACAGATTATTCATCTTGTTAGAGTTGTATTAAAAATAAACAAGCATTTCAAATTATTTTTGTGATTGATTTTCCATTTAGTAGGACATTAGTATATAATAAAAATGGTGCATGAACTTTGAAGACTCTGGAAGAAAGAATGAAATAATATATAAATAGGGGGCATAACTATAGCTATGATTTCCCTCCTTATTTTCTTTTATTTTCTTTTTTTTTGAGACGGAGTCTCACTCTGTCTCCCAGGCTGCAGTGCAGTGGCGTGATCTCTGCTCATGCTCACTGCAAGCTCCACCTCCTGGGTTCCCGCCATTCTCCTGCCTCAGCCTTCCAAGTAGCTGGGACTACAGGCGGCCGCCACCACGCCCGGCTAATTTTTTGTATTTTTAGTAGAGACGGGGTTTCACAGTGTTAGCCAGGATGGTCTCGATCTCCTGACCTCGTGATCCACCCGCCTCAGCCTCCCAAAGTGCTGGGATTACAGGCGTGAGCCACCGCGCCTGGCCCATTTTCTTTTACTTTCAACAAAATGAGTTAATTTTAAATTTACCTTAGTCTAACTCCAATTTTTCAACATAACACAACAGATTTCCAAACATCCAAAAATAATTCCAATGAGTGTGATTTATCTTCAGCTAGTTTGAAATATTTATGCTTTAGGGTTCCTTCTGTCCTATATGCAATCCAACAAATGTAAATATTGTAAAATAAGTTTTAAAGAATAAGATATTTGGCAGTAAAATATAACAAAAACAGAAGAAAAAAGAATTAAAATTTTTTATTGTTTTTTATTTAAAACATCTTCTATTTTTAAAATTGTATTCTTTTTCTGTACTATGTTTAGTCAATGCTTCCTTTCACTAACACAGAGGAGACACAAGATCATTACATATTTACTTAGGGTCTTCAGTAGAATGCTTATCTAGACTACAATAGACTAAAAGGCCAAATCTGGGGAGAAATCCAGATGATTTATTTTCTTACTTTTTGGAGAAAAGTCCATGGATTTCTGAGCACCCTATTCAATAGTTATAGTTTTTAAGAATCAAAGCTTTTTTTTAATGTTTAATATAGTTATTAATTATACAAAAATTGGAGAGTCTTGGAAAATATTAAGATATTGTTGAGGACAGTGTTTACCGGGGGAATCAGAATCAATCCCTGAAAACAATTGTTTTACATTTTTTATGTGCCCATTTAGTCATAATTTTTAAAATTTCACATTATAATGTCCAATAACTTTTTTAGAATGCATTTTGTAAGATTCATAGTGATGTTGCCCACATTATAATTGACGTAAGTAAGCAATAATAAACCTACGTATATTTCTGACATCAGTCCTTGGTGGAACAACACATTCCAGTTTAGCCTGAATAAAATTTGGACCAACTATATCTTTCCAAAGCTTGCCAAGAAACTTCTGTATCTTCTTTGGAGAAGTAATACGGCTGGGATCTAGCTTCAATTTCACGTAGAAACTTCAACACCTTTAGATTATTGGCATCTTCCTGGAGCTGGGCTTACAGTCCATATGGACTGGAGACAATGAAAACCTTGGACGGCATCATGTGGTAAAATACATAGGGGTGGCCAATGTAGCTTTGGTTCTGTGCTTCCAAGAAAGCTACAGAATTTTTTTACCTCATTGCTTAATATTTCCTAATAATTATATCTCTAGAACAATGCCTTCAGGCCCAGATAAATTCACAGAAATACTTTTTAAAGGTTTATGGACTGACTGATTAATACCATGTGTTATCATTTGAATGTGTTCCCCAAAAGTTTATGTATTGAAAACTCAATTAATCTGCCCTCATAAATGGATTAATTGATTAATGAGAGCTCTGCACTCATGAATGGATTGGTGTCACTATCCCAGGAGTGGGTTCATTATTGCCAGAGAGACTTTATTACAAAAGTGAGTCCTCTCTGGCTCTTACTGTCTCACATATGATGCCTTTTATGTTATGTTGCAGCAAAAAGGCCCTCACCAGATGCCAATGGCATGCTCTTGGACTTTTCAGTTTCCCAAACTAAGCCAAACAAACTTCTGGATTTTGTAAATCCCAGTTTATGTTGTTCTGTTATAGTGACAGAAAATAGACATTCTGTCAACACTAGGAAGTACTCAGTTAGCACTTATGGGTGTGGTAATTGCTCATAATTGGAGCCATCCCATAAAGTTCATCCATATGGTTAAAATACCTAAGAATTCAACTTGAGCAACGAATAAATGAAGTAGTATGAGACTATGCCTGACAGCATAAAATAAACAAGCATCCGTGTTGATATAAATAAATGATTAAATAATTAAATGTGGTAAATAAATATACCATACAGAAGAATTTCACCTACTTATGTATAGTTCCCCGTGCCATTCCTTAAGTGTGAGATCCATATTGGGACTTTCTTATAAAGGGCAAGTGCAGTATGAGGGGAAGAGTAACTTTGGAGTGGAGAAACCCTACCTCAGCCAGGTAATTCCCCTTTTGTATATAACTAATTACCTGATCAGGCAGATCACCTTCTATGTCCTGCTCTCTATCAGACCTCTGATCTCACTGCCACTTTCCATTCCCCAGGCATGCTACTTGTCTGCTAGGCCTCTGAAACTCCTTAGCCCCTTGTATGCTACCATTTTCAAGGGAACAAAGGGAAAGAAAAAGAAAAGAGAAAATAAATTTTCACTTATTTTTAGGTCTAATGTCTTCAGGGTCCAGTAAAAGTACAGCGTCATAAAAGACCTCCTTCTGCTCCCTTTGCTGACACCTACCTTAGCCTCGTAAGCCAGAAGACTTGAAAAGGTTCTGGTCCACATCTCAGGTAACTTCTGAGAAATCAAGAAATTCTTCATTGTAACAGCAAGGTTTAACTCTCTTGAATTCTGTTCTTTCTGGATTTTGGCCCAATATTTAAAAATTTTCTTCTCAGTTCAGCAAAATGAAAGAAGCTTAAAGTAAACAGAATAAAGTAAAAAAAAAATAAAAACAATTAAATTAAACTGGATACAGGAAAACAATGGAGAAAATTAATGAAAGCAAAAGCTAGTTCTCAAAAAAAGATTAATAACATTAATAAACCTCTACAAAGACTGACAAAGATGGGAAAACAGAGGACCTACATTGCTAAAATCAGCAATAAAATAAGAAATATAACCACAGATTCTACAACCAGTGAAAGCATAAGAAGAAAAGTCTGTAAACTTTATGCTAGTAAATTTGACAATTTAGAAGGAATGGCCATTTCCTCAAAAACCACATACTACCAAACTCATACAAAATGAAATAAAATACCTGAATAGTCCTATAACCATTACACATATAATAAAATACTCTTGAAAGAGAATTCACAAAGCCTAGATGACTTCAGTGAATTTTATGAAACATTTAAAAAAGACACCTAGTAATGGTAATGATACCTGTCTTAAAATATTAAAAACTGGCCAGGAGCAGTGGCTTTCACCTGTAATCCCAGCACTTTGGGAGGTCAAGGTGGGAGGTCTGCTTGAACCTAGGAGTTTATAACTAGCTTGGGCAACATAGTGAGACCCCATCTCTACTATTTACGTATAACTGGTTTGAGATTCTTGTAATTTTTCATATAACCAAAATATTTTCTATTATGTGGTTCTTTTTTGTCTTTAGGGTTTGAATCATAATGCTGAGAAGTGGCAAAGTTTTTAAATTTTCAAGTTTATCAATCTGTACAATAATGGAATTTAAAGTTGAAGTTTTAACCTCTCATTTAACAAAATATGAAGATAGAGTTATATCTTCATCCTTTCTGAACATCCCAAACAAACACTTTCTTTGACTCCATAAAAAGATCTTGATTGATTAATATGTTTTTCTTATCTTTCAGGGAAAAAGCCAAATAAACCTTAATAAGAATAATAATTATTATTATTGTTAATATTTTATTGATCATTGCTATGTGTCAGGGATTGCTCCAAATGTTTTACTCATTTCATTGTCACAACTCTTCAATAAAATGGAACATAAAATTATTCCCATTTTAATGATAATGACATTATGGCAAAGAAAATCTATACAATGTACACAAATTATCCAAAAATCACACATGGAAAGTCCTTGTGAAAACCTGCTCCCAGATCCATAGTAGATGCTCAATAAATGGTAATTTCTGCATCTATCTAACCCCTACCTACATTTTTTTTTTTTTTTGAGACAGGGAGGGTCTCGCTCTGTCATGCAGGCTACAGTGCAGTGGCACAATCATAGCTCACTGCAGCCTCAAACTCCTGGGCTTATTTCATCTTTCCACCTCAGCTTCCCAAGTAGCTGAGACTATAGGCACATGCTACCATGCTTGGTTCAACCCTGACCTACTTGTTATTTTACAAAATAGAAAACTTTTTGCTAATTGTTTTATAACAGTTAGATATTGTCTATATTTCAATCTCCAATTTACAATTTCAGATAAAACCATATCATCATGATAAAAGCATGATGACAGGAACACAGTATTATTACAGAAACAAAGACAAAATAAATTAATACAGATACACAAACACATGTATGCAAAATTATACTTTTAACAAAGATATATGTTTTACTTTTGAAATATGTTTCATTTAGACTGCAAAACAAGCAAGAAGATTTATTATGAATCAGAGTTGTTTGTG
Organism: Homo sapiens; assembly: GCF_000001405.40. Lineage (NCBI taxonomy): Eukaryota > Metazoa > Chordata > Mammalia > Primates > Hominidae > Homo > Homo sapiens. The sequence continues at coordinate 69,836,625 of NC_000004.12, read as the reverse complement.
CTCTCAGGAAGGAAGATAATGATCTAACCAATCTCTTTCACTGGGAACTGTTTTCTGAATATTATAAGGCCCCAGGGATTCCAGATGGAATACAGTATAATTAACTCTTCACCACCAAATACCTATGTTAGAAGACCTTGAGAATAAATGATTGCCTAATAGCAAATGGCATCCTACTTCTTGACTACACTTGCACCTGAGGATACAAAAGGACAAGGTGTATTTAACCTTAGAATGTCTCTATAAGATGAAAACAAGTAAGTGCAATTATCTCCACTTAAAGTCTAAAGTTGGCAAACACTTATAAGATAAATGACTTGCTCAAGACTGACTAGGAGGAAGAGTTTTAGTATAAAAACTTAAACTCATTATCTCTTTTTTACATGGGACTGAATGGAGGATTGAGAATGGCTCTTTATGTGGAAGATAACATATTTAATATATTTTCTTTCGTTTTAAGGCAGTATTGAAATGAAAAAAGAATAAACTTCTAGATTCTGATAGTATACATGGTAATAATGTAATCATTTTAGTAATAATTAAGCTATATTGGGTAATTTTTGCATGCCAAACAGCATACTGCATATTTACATGTTAAATCATTCCTTTTATGAAATTTTAACAATGACAATGATGTAATAGCAATGATTCTATGAAGAATCTGCTAAGATAAAGAAGCCTAGGCCAGGAACTGTGGCTCATGTCTGTAACCTCAGCACACTGGGACGCCAAGGAGGGAGAATAGCTTGAGGCCAGGAGTTTGAGACCAGCCTGGGCAAAACAGCCTAGTTTCTACAAAACAACCCAGTCTCTACAAAAATAAAAATAACATAAATAAATAAATAATCCTCTACTCAATAACAAAGTTCATTTGCCCAAGGATACGTATTTGGTAACTGAACATTTCTAATGATAATATGAATTTCAAAACTATTATTATTAGTTTGAAATGTTAGTGTATGATATAGAAATCATACCTATCAATCAGTATTCAGTAAATATTTATCTTCTACATTTATTTTCTTTAATAATATACCTTGGTCACTATTCCTGTTTATTATTACACCTTTATCTTCCTTACATTCCCAGTCATAGCCTTTCTATCTCCACTTATCATAAATTCAGTTTGAATCTTCCAGTTCTCCAAATAGACATAATGGTTATCTTTCTCTGTTTCTAACACTTTTGTAACAGTTCAAGTTATTCTCTCTATTTAAGATCCAGTGGTGACAAAGTGTTAAGTGCTGAGCATGCAAAGACAGTAAGACACGCACAGTTCCACTTTTATGGAATTTATAATGTAATGCCACATAAATTAAACAATCAACTCTAATATTAGTCATATGCATTTAGCATGACAACAGGATGCTTTGGAAACACATAAAGGATACGTACCCAAATAATGGAAAGTTTCTTAGGGAAAGTGATATGGAAACTGAAGGACAGTTAGCAATCAGCTGGGCAATAATGGAGCATGATGTTCTGGGCAGAGGGAAAAATATGTGTGAAGGACTAGGTAAAAGAGTTTAGGGTAATATAATTCAGAATATGTGATGCAGAAAGTAAGAGGTAAGGATGGAGTTATGCATATGCCTGATAGTAAAGAAACTTGAGAGCATTAATAAAGAATATAAAATTTTTGACTTCTTGATATGGTAACAATTCTTCAGCAGCTTTGTAACCAGCAGATTCAGTGGAGTATCATGATAAGTATAGGGAGAGGATCCATGTTGTCAGAAAATGAGGGGCGAAATAGAAATGAGGAAATAGAAACAGCGATTTTCCCTGTGACTGCAAGATATTTATTGGGAAATTTACGTAAATTTTATGATCCTACTATTAATATTACCACTGGATTAGATTTATAATAAGGATATCTTTCTGCTCTTTTTCCTTCTATACTTTCTTCTCCTGCTGATGCTACTGTTACTACTACAACTGTGATAGACACCTTTTTTTAAGCACTTCAGAGGAATAAAACAGGTGAATTAACTCATTGGTTCTCACAAACTGGTGATTTACCAAGATCACTCTGGCCTAAGAGTGGACCATTTATTAGAAGAAATGGATAAAGCAGTTAAGAAGCTGTTGTTATCCAATTGAAAGAAGACAGCAGCTTGAGATGAACACTGAATATAAGAAGTGGGCAATTGAAGTGATGGTTTACATGAATAGATCAGAAAATGTCATGGTGACTAATAGAGGCAATATGAAGGAAGTGAGAGAAGACAAGGTTATAGTTTATAATATTGCCTGACTGTCATTGACAAAAATAGCAAAATAGAAGTCTTTTCCTCCCTTTGTTTGAGGCAGGGTATGGATACAATGATGAATTCAATTTTGAATGTGTCAAATTTGAAATGTTATGAGATATCTAAGGAAGATGTCCAGTAAGCAGCTTACTATACAAACCTGGAGCTCAGGAGACTTAAATGTAGAAGTGGATATAGGAGAAAGTGTAGCATTATCAGAAAAGAAGGCTTGTAGCTTGGAAGGAGTAGGATCTGGATAATTACCAATATGTAGGGAATGGGCAGAAGAAAATGAGGTCACTAATAACAAATCCCCCAAAACAAAATGTTTCAAGATAAAGGAGGAAAACCAGAAGAAACTGGTACAACTAAAGCTAAGCTACAAAGAACATTTCAAAGGATGGAGTGGTAAAATGGTCAAATGCTATAGGGAAGGCAAATACAATTAAAAAGAAAGTATTGGCTTTAAATTTAACAACAAATGTGATTATTCTTTGATGGCTTTTAACATAGAATTATTTGCAAATGATAGTGGAGTAGTGAGATGGTGGGAGAAGAATCAATGTCTCCATGGGTTAGTGCCATGAAAGGGAGGAAAAGCAATAGAAACAGCAGGAATATAAGTTCCTACAAGTAGATTGACTGTGAAAGTGTGAAAGAGTGGAGAGAACTGGTAGTACTTTGCCTATGGTTAATATTCAGTAAATTATTAGTGGAAAATGGCAAGAAAAGGCATGTGCTACTTAAGCTTATAATCTGTTTTGATGTTCTTCACTGTCCCTTTATTTGTTGGCAAAGCTTCTCAACTTACCTCTTGGCATGGTATAAATTGCATAAGAAACTACTCAGAATTTCAGATTGATACTTGCCTTCAATTGTTTATGAAGGAACCAGACAGTAAGTTCCTTAGCAATTTCAGTCATGCGTGGAAATTCTACCTAAGTTAGCTGTACAAGTAAGAAGTCTGTTATTAGGAAATTACATTGTATTCCAAAAGCATGCCTATTCTGGCCACTCTATTGTAATACTAGAGATGCTTTCTATGCCTGAAAACAATTTTCATGCTAAGATGTTGAGTGTACACCATGCAGCCACATGAAACTAGGTATTTTACATATTATTACATTTTAATCCTCATATCAACAATGTTGACTGGTATCATATCCCTCATCTAAAACATCATAATATGTTTTAGATGAGGAAACCAAGTATCATGCCTAGGGTTCCATATAAATTGCAGAACCATAATTTGTACTTAGGCACATATAGTGAGGCAGGATATTAAAGAAAGAAAAGCAAAATAAAAATTAAAAGAAAAAAATAAAACAAGCTGCCTGTGTTAGGCAGACTCATTTCAAAGGCAGTAACAGGCAAAGTTTTGATAACGTTATCTAAGGGCCAGAGCTCAAAGGGATGTGCCCTGAAGACTTTCCCAGCACTCCCTCAATATAGAGATGTGAGGAGATAAGTTCTCCTATCTCTCCTTTAGTGTAAGTAAACTTCCCCCTCGAATCCCATGCCGTCTGCTATGTAACTATATCTTGCTCCTTGCTCTGTAAGTGTTATGAGTTCTTGTTTTCCCTATAGTTAATGATTGTAGGTTCCTGCTTTTTCATCTAAGCAGTGTAACAAAGGTCACCAGACGTGCCTGAGCAGGTCTAGCTTACAGCCAGCTGGACGCCATGGTGGGGGGGTCGCAAGATGAGTATTTGTGAAACTCCTTTGAACTTTGAACTAACCCAGATAATGACCATCTGGGCTGCATAGTAAGGGGTATACTAAACCTGAGTTATATGCCTGGCATAGCCTGATTAAGTGCCTTTGTCTTGTTTCTGTACATTTGTTTTCGCACCACTTAGGAGTAGGTATATGAGCAAGACCTTGTCTTTGTTCGGGGCCCAGTCTTTGGACATTGAGTCTGCTGTGTCTGAGTGCACTCAATAAAGATTCTCCTGCTTTACTCCGAGGTCTCTCTTGCCCTCCTGATTTTTCTGCAACATTTCTGGTGCGCCAGCCAGGAGGGAGAGATGACAGATTGGCTGTCTCCTTTGCCTGTGGGTCTGGGGCTCCCAGCCATGGGAGATCAGTTACCCCAAGCATGCCACTGGGAGAACCTCAACCTGAAGGGGAGATCGGCTCTCCTGCTTCTCCGGCGCCCCTCCCCTAACAGTGCAACAGAACCTGGAAGGGGTTACAGGACAATCCCAGAAGCAGCTCTACTGAACTGTGGTAAGGTTTTGGGGCTCAAGGCAGGACCTGTCCCGTAAGGACAGAAGAGGAGCTTGATCACCTCCCGAGGTATAACCACTAATTTGACCCAGAGAGGCTGGAGGTGAGAGTGGCTCTGCAATTCAGATGAAACTTATACCCCAACTGACATGGTATGTGAGAGAGGATTGCTAAGTCAGTTAGAAAAGGGAACTGGGAGAGGGGAAGTGTGTGAAACTGCGTGAGAGATGGTTCTGGGAGGGACTAACGCAGGAAGTAATGTGGGGAGACACAGATCTCTTAGTGTGGACTGTGTGCTCCGAGCGGTGTGGGACCGACCTGGGCTAGTGACAATCCACATCTGGCTAATAGGAGCTGCCCCCTGGCTGCAGCATCCGTGGTGGGAATAAGGAACTCTCCTAGCTAAGCAGCATCTGAAAACTCCCGTAATAGGAGACGGTCTGGTCGGTCAGAAAAGAAAGAGCGAGTGCACATCGTAAAGGGAGGAAATGTGGGGACAGTTGTTGAAACCCACTCCATTGGAATGTACGTTAAATAATTTTAAGAAAGTTTTTTCAGGGGATTATGGAATTAAACTGACCCCCCAAAGGTTGAGAACTCTCTGTGAATTAGAATAGCCCTCTATTGGTGTCAGTTGGCTGGCCGAGGATATTATAGATAGGGAGACAATAGGCCGGGCATTTAAGGTGGTGACCAGGGTCGGGGGACAGCAAGGGTAACCAGACCAATTCCCCTATATCAATTCATGCCTCAATATTATATAAAACTGACCAGCATGGTTGCAACCCTGTTTGGCAGCATATTGTAAGACACTAGTGGCCCAAGCAGCCGAACCCAAAAGTAAAATCAGCCATGCTGGCAGCTGCAGAGAAAAAGAAAAAGCTACAGGAAAGGCAAGATAAACGAGTTTTACAGGCACCTCAGGAGGAAACAGAATTTCCTCATCCTCCTTAGGTTCCAATCAACCCCCCTTTACCAAGACCAACTGCTTTTGCTGCTGGTTCATCTGTGAGGCCAACTGCCCCAGCTGCCCACAAGGAGTTAAATCCGAGTGGGTACATGCTCCCAGCCTCACCTGAGAAGGAGGAATCAGAGCTACAGAAAGTTAGGGCGGAAAGCCTAGAAAGTCAGGTAGGCTGTCTCAGGTCTGGCCGTGCCCAAGTCATGCAAATTGCTCTTCAGGAAATGAGAGGACCTGTCTATTATCAAGAGCATGGCCACATCCAGGGGGCAGAGTGAGCTTTTGTTTACCAGCTCTTTTCAATCACTGATCTCATGAACTGGAAGCATCATGCTCCCTCCTACACAGAGAAGCCACAGGCTTTTATAGACTTGATGCAGTCCATTATTCAGACAACCAATCCAACCTGGCCAGATTGGAAACAGCTTCTTCTGACACTGTTTAATATGGAAGAGTGCCAGAGACTGACACAGGCAGCCCTCCAGTGGCTAGAAGCAAATGCTCCTGCAGACACAGTTAATGCCCAGGCATATGCGCAGGGCCAGTTCCCTGAAACAGACCCCAATTGGGACCCAAATGACGCATCCCAGCTGCAGCATCTGCAGCAGTACTGAGAGGCAATCCTGCATGGGCTAAAAAATGGTGGGAGAAAAGCAGCCAATGCAGGAAAAAATCTCAGAGGTGCTCCAAGGAGCAGATGAAAGACCAAGCCAGTTTTACGAAAGACTTTGTGAGGCATTTCGGTTGTACACCCTGTTCAACCCTGAGGCTACTCAAAATCAGCATATGGTAAATACATCATTCATAGGGCAGGCCCAGGGCAATATTAGGTAAACATTGCAGAAGATGGAAGATTTCATGAGCATGAATGCTACTCAGCTTATTGAGGTAGCCACCAAGGTGTACATTAACCAAAATCAGGAGGCAAAGAGGGAGGCTAATTGAAGGCTTAAGAAAAAGGCTGATTTGCTGGCAGCAGCCCTTACAGGAAGGGAAGCTGGCTTTGCAAGGGGACACAAACATGGGTGTGGAAGAGGCCAGACTGGACAGGGATTTGAGAGTTGGCTGAGACTAGAAAGAGATCAATGGACCCAGTGAAAAAGGAAAGGACACTGGAAGGACAAGTGTCCAGAGAATGATAACAAGGAGAATGGTCTGGGCCATCGTATGGGAAGGCCACCAGCAGGGGGATACCACACCCAGGACTAACCACTGATCTGATTGGACTGGCAGGGGCTGAGGGATATGAGGACTAGGACAGACCAGGCTCCATCTCTTTGGGCCTCCAGGAGCCTATGATCACTTTGGAAGTAGGGGGCCAGTTGATGGACTTTATGGTAGATACTGGGGCTGAGCATTTGGTAGTGACCTGACTTATAGGGCCACTATCCAAGAACTGTGCAACCATTGTAGGAGCCATTGGAGTTTCAGAAAGAAGGCCTTTCTATCGGTCAAAGAGATGTGTAATAGGAGGACAAGGAGTCCAACATGAATTCCTATACCTTCCAAATTGTCCAGTTCCTTTGCTGGGAGGAGACCTACTTCAAAACCTGCAGGCACAGATTACATTTGGGTGGCAAGGGAATGTAACTTTAAACCTAGCTCACCCATAGGCTATGGTGTTAACCCTTACTGTCCTGAAAGCTGAGGAATGGAGGCTATATGCAGAAAAGACCCTGGAAGCAGGAGTAAATGATATGCACACATTACTTACTAAAATTCCCAGAGTTCGGGCTGAAAGTAACCTGCTTGGACTGACAGTAAATCAGGCACCAATTGTAGTGGACTTAAAACCAGGAGCAACTCTGGTTTGGGTCCATCAGTACCCACTACTACTTTCCAAGGCCATATGGGGAATCCACAAACACTTAGAGCGACTTCATAAGCATAGAATCATAGTCAAATGCCAGTCACTGTGGAATACCCCTCTCTTGTCAGTGAGGAAGCTGTCTAGTGAATATAGGCTAATGCAGGATTTGCATGCGGTAAACCAAGCTATAGTGACCATCCACCCAGTGGTGCCAAACCTGTATACTTTAATGGGACATATTCCAGCAAGTGCCACTTGGTTTTTACAGTCCTAGATTTAAAGGATGCATTTTTCTGCCTCCAGCTGGCACCGATTAGTCAGACTATTTTTGCTTTCCAGTGGGGTCAATCACAGTACACTTGGACAAGACTCCCACAGGGATTTAAGAACTCTCCCACAATCTTTGCAGAGACACTGGCCTCAGATCTTAAAGACTGCACCTCACCGAGCAGTGACTGTGTCTTGCTCCAGTACATTGATGATCTCCTTCTAGCAGCCCCAACCCAAGAGGACTGCTATCAGGGGACTCCTGCACATGTTATGGAAGGCAGGATATAAAGTGTCAGGGAAAAAGGCTCAAATCTGCTCTGAAAGTGTCCAGTGTTTAGGCTTCTATATAAGCCAAGGGAAAAGATGGCTCGGTAGTGAATGGAAGCAGGCTGTTTGTGCACTTCCTACTCCAACCACCTGGTGACAAATAAGAGAGTTCCTAGTGTGTCCAGAATTGGTTCCTTCTGGTGGGTTCTTGGTCTTGTTGACTTCAAGAATGAAGCCACGGAAGCTTGCAGTGACTGTTACAGTTCTTAAAGGTGGTGTGTCCAGAGTTTGTTCCTTCAGATGTTCAGATGTGTCCAGAGTTTCTTCCTTCTGGTGGGTTTGTGGTCTCGCTGACTTCAGGAGTGAAGCTGCAGACCTTTGCAGTGAGTGTTACAGCTCTTAGAGGTGGCATGTCCAGAGTTGTTTGTTCCTCCTGGTGGGTTCATGGTCTTGCTGACTTCAGGAGTGAAGCCACAGACCTTCACTGTGAGTGTTACAGCTCTTAAAGGTAGTGAGGACCAAAAGAGTGAGTGGCAGCAAGATTTATTGTGAAGAGCGAAAGAACAAAGCTTCCATAGCATGGAAAGGGACTTGAGTGGGTTGCCGCTGCTGGCTTGGGTGGCCAGCTTTTATTCCCTTATTGAGGACGGTCATCAAGGACAGGAGATTAACACTGAGAAGGCCTCACCAGTGTCAAGGAGGAAGACAATTTCCTGACCATCAATGGTTAAATGTACCTGGGACTCAGTGAGGGTGACATGTGCTGGCACTTGCCTCAAGCATCCTCAGTCCTGTTGTTGGATCATCTGGTTGGGGGCTTCTGGCCTAAAGAACCTTTGCCCTCTGGGGCAGTGTGCCTTCCAGTGATTGCATCGGCATAGCAGACATGAATGAGGGGTTGGCATAGCAGACATGGATGAGGGGGTGGCTTGTTTCTCATTGGACAATCTTTTTTAAAGTGTCCTAGTAAACCACACTGATAACAAGCCCTCACGGGTAATTGGCCTGCTCCATTTTCTGTCCTCTCTGAACCACCAAAGTTTGTTTGTCTGAGGGCCATGACTAAGGCTGCGGCCTTTCTCTGATCTCGCTTTTCCTTTTGGGCCTGTTCCTCTTGGCCCTATTATAGAACACCGAGGTTGCCAGGTTTAATAATGCCTCCAGATTTTGTTCAGGGCCCAGGGCTCGCTTTTGGAGCTTTCTCTTGATATCTGTGGCTGACTGGGTAATAAACTTATCTTTTAGGATCAATTGACCCTCGAAGGAGTCAGGTGACAGGGGAGCATATTTCCTTAAGGCCTCTTGTAGCTGCTTGAGGAAGGCAGAAGGATTTTCTTCCTTTCCCGGAGTTATGGTAGACATCATTGAATATTTCATGGGCTTTTTTCCTAATTCTCCTTAGTCCTTCTAGAACACGGGTCAACAGATGTTTGCGACTCCAGTCCCCATGATCTGAGTCGAGGTCCCAGTGGGGATCCATACTGGGGACAGCGTGCTGACCAGTAGGGAATTTGTCCCTTTCTTCAGCTGTCATTCTATCATTTACTTGACTAAGATATCAGGTATCTCCAAACTCTCGGGCTGCAGTTAAAGCCACATTCTTTTCATTAAAGGCCAGGGTTTGGTCTAACAATAGCATGACATCTCTCCAAGTGAGATAGAAGGTTTGCCCTAGACCCTGTAGGACATCTATGTACCTATCAGGATCATCTGAAAGCTTCCCCAGGTCTACCTTGATCTGCTTTAAATCAGAATAGGAGAAGGGGACATGTACCTGGGTTGAGCCAAATTCCCCTCCCCCTACAGCTTGAAGGCGACATAACCGATAGCTGGGGGATTTTTGTGGTTCCTTGGAGATTTCTTTGCTTGTTTCCTTCTGGGAAGGGGAGATTAGAGGAGGCTTATCATTAATAGGAAGGGGAGCTATATGGAGGCTAGGATATGGGGGTAAGCTGAGAGGTCCTCCTGTGGGATGTAAATTGCAAGATTTGCATAGTTGTGTATTCTCCTTCAATGAAAAGAAAGCTTGGACATAAGGTATTTTGCTCCATTTGCCTTCCCTCTTACAGAAAAGGTCAAGCTGCAGGATAGTATTATAATTTATACTTCCCTCAGGTGGCCATTTTTCCCCATCAGAGAGAGAATATTGGGGCCAAGCCATAGTGCAGAAAAAAATAAGCCACCTCTTTTTCAGGGTTTGTGGGCCAAATTGGTCCCAATGAGTTAGGATGCATTTCAAGGGTGAGCCTGTTGGTGCTTGAGTGTTTCTCATCTGAAAGAAAAAACCACCTGTGGTTTTGCTTTGTTTCTCCCCTGCCCAAGAACCCGCAACAGTCCCTGGACCCTGCTGATCGGAATAGTTGCACTCACTGACACAGCAGCAGAAACACTAGTTTTCCTCCTAGACCACAAGGAGGACCGAGGAATGTTGGATTTAGCAGTCCTTACCAACACATTCTCAAAAACCTGCACCCATGCCTGTCCTCCTAGACCACAAAAAGGACTGAGAAAAATCAGATTTAGTGGCCCTTACCGACACATTCTCGAAAACCTGTTAGAGTCCTAAGCATTCTCCTGTTAGTATTGGAACTTTACCCCATCCTATAAAGATGTTATGTCCCCAGAATGAAGTGGAGGGCCATACCCTGAGGGAAGGAAGGAATCTCCAGGGTTGGAAGAGTGACGCCTTTTTTCCTCACTTATATGAATAGGAAGAATACAGTTTCTGAGGCTCCCCATATCCTAGCTTCAGGAATAGCTTTTGTTAGGCCTGCTTGTCTGAGGAGGGACCCTAAAATTCCAGATAATACCCCCTACAATGGGGCTTTGGGCAAAAATTATGTCTTTCCAATTAGTGAGCCTGGGTGCCTAAAGAAGGGAATAGAGTCCTCGAGTTTACACTAGAAATCATTCTTATAGGAGGAACTAGAAAAGCACCAGAAACAGGGAGTGGTTTTTAGAAGTGGGACTAGCCTCGGAGAAGAGAGGCAAGAGGAAGTTTGTCTGACAGGCATTAGGACCCAGGAGGCAAGGGTCAGGATAGATAGGATAGATGGGCGAGTCTCACTTAGGCGACATGACTTTCAGAGTTTCGCTTATGGCTGCAGGGTCAACCGACTTGTTGTCGGGACCCCGGAGCTGAATGGCTTTCCTCTCTATTGACACTCGGCTCAGCCCAGAAGTACAGGAAAAGCAGAAACTGGTTCCAGGGAAACCAATGCTCCCAACTCCGAGAGTCGGGGATTGTTAGAGAACACTTTCCCAGAAAGCCTGACACCCGTGTCTTTAGTCCAGCAGGCATGCTAGTTGCTTTTAACTGGCCAACAGGTGCCTGGTATTTAGCCCCCGAATTCTAAGGAAAAATAGGACAGAATAGCAAGTGAAAGGGGTCTGATGCTACTCACCACTTGGTGATTGTCCCTTCACGGTTGCCAAAATGTGTCCAGAATTGGTTCCTTTCAGTGGGTTCTTGGTCTCACTGACTTCAAGAATGAAGCCACAGACCCTCGCGGTGAGTGTTACAGTTCTTAAAGATTGTGTGTTTGTTCCTTCAGATGTTCAGATGTGCCCGGAATTTCTTTTTTGGTGGGTTCGTGGTCTTGCTGGCTTCAGGAGTGAAGCCAGAGACCTGCGCAGTGAGTGTTACAGCTCCTAAAGTGGCACATCTGGAGTTGTTTGTTCCTCCTGGTGGGTTCATGGTCTCGCTGGCTTCAGGAGTGAAGCCACAGACCTTCGCAGTGAGTGTTACAGCTCTTAAAGGTGGCACATCTGGAGTTGTTTGTTCCTCCTGGTGGGTTAGCGGTCTCACTGACTTCAGGAGTGAAGCTGCAGACCTTCACAGTGAATATTACAGCTCTTAAAAGTAGTGACCCGAAAGAGCAACCCAAAGAGTGAGCAGCAGCAAGATTTATTGTGAAGAGGTAAAGAACAAAGATTCCACAGGGTGGAAAGGGACCTCAGCGGGTTGCCACTGCTGGCTCTGGTGGCCAGCTTTTATTCCCTTATTTGGCCCTGCCCACGTCCTGTTCATTGGTTCATTTTACCGAGCACTGATTGGTGATTTTACAGAGTGCTGATTGGTCCATTTTACAGAGTGCTGATTAGTCCATTTTACAGAGTGCTGATTAGTGTGCTTTACAGAGTGCTGATTGGTGCATTTACAATCCTTTAGCTAGACACAGAGTGCTGATTGGTGCATTTACCATCCTTTAGCTAGACACAAAAATTCTCCAAGTCCCCACCCGACCAAGAACCCCGGCTGGCTTCACCTCTCACTAGGGGCAGCAGGGTTCTGCTGCGTCTGGATCCCAAATTTCTTGCTCATGGCTAAACCATTATGTGAAGCCACAAAGTGAGAAAAAAGGAGCTCCTCCTCTGGGAGACTGACCAGGAGAAGGCCTTTAAAGAAATCAAAGGACCCTTGACTCAGGCTCCAGCTTTAGGGCTGCCAGATCTAACTAAGCCTTTCTTTTTCTATGTCCATGAGTGAAAAGGAATGGCCATAGGGATCCTAACCCAAGTCATAGGGTCATGGCACTGCCTGGTGGCATACTTATCCAGGAAGTTAGATTCTGTGGCACTTGGATGGCCTCCTTGTTTTAAGGCACTATCTGCCACTGCTCTGCTGGCACAGGAAGCTAATGAACTGACTTTAGGACAGCAACTGACAATCCAGGTACCGCACTCAGGTGTAACTTTGATGGACCAAAGGGGGTACCATTGGTTATCAAATCCGAGAATGACTTAATACCAAGGGCTCTTATATGAAAATCCCTGAATAACTTTAGAGATTGTGAATACTCTAAACCCAGCTACCTTGCTCCCCAATGAGTCAGTGCCAGGAAGTGCCCTTCATTGCCGTGTGGATGTGGTAGATGAAATGTTCTCAAGCCAGAGAGATTTGACAGATCAGACCCTCAGGGACCCGGACATTGAATATTTTATTGATAGGAGCGGCTTCATTCTAGGGGGGGTCCACTGAGCGGAGTATGCAGTAGTGACTTTGGACTCAGTAGTAGAGGCACAGTCTTTGCCTACAGGAACTTCTGCTCAGATAGCAGAGCTAATAGCTCTGAGAAGGGCTCTCCAGCTAGCAAAAGACCGAAAGGCAAATATTTACACAGACTCTAAATATGCTTTTCCACTTGGCATGTTCATGGGGCTATTTACAAAGAAAGAGGACTTTTAACTGCTGGAGGAAAATAAACAAAGTACAGGAAGAAATTCTACAGCTCTTAGACACCGTATGGGCCACAAAGCAGGTGGCAGTGATGCACTGTAGGTGGCACCAGAGGGCAGGAACATTAGAGGCTAAAGGAAATAGAAAGGCAGACACAAAGGCAAAGTGGGCTGCAATGATGACTCCACCTTCTAAAGAGGAAGCCTTAACTATGCCTCTCCTCCCAGAGATCCCCCTCTCGGAGACCCTAAGCTACACTCCAAATGAAAGAGCTTAGTTTGCTCAGGAAAATGGAAGCTACGTTGAAGGAGAATGGTGAAAATTCTGCAATGGGAGGCTAGTTGTACCTGAAATAGTGGCCCAGATAACGACCATCTGGGCTGCATGGTGAGGGCTATACTAAACCTGAGTTATCAGCCTGTCATAGCCTGATTAAGTGCCTTTGTCTTGCTTCTGTACATTAGTTTTCACACCACTTAGGAGTAGGTATATAAACAAAACCTTGTCTTTGTTTGGGGCCCAGTCTTTGGACGTTGAGTCTGCTGGGTCTGAGTGCACTCAATAAAGATTCTCCTGCTTTACCCTGAGGTCTCTCTTGCCCTCCTGATTTTTCTGCAGCAATAGCACCAAAGCAACTGCTGTATTTCCTCATACCACATCATAATTCCACAGGGAATTATGGATATACTCAGCACGGCCTTTCAGGGCCATTTTGTTGTAAAAAGTAAAATAAACATTATCCTCTGCTCTACATTAATTTTGCAGGACCATTTTTTTTCACTTTTTTCTTTATTTGTGCAATACATATTCTTCTAAACATCTCCCATGTACAGCAGTTCTTTATGACAAATACAACGGTCGAGGGGGAAAGCTAAATCAGAAATGGATTCCACATTCAAATAACTTAGGGTCTAGAAAGAAGACAAACCATGTAATTAAGTGACCATAAAACAAGATGGGGATGAATAAAAGTGATTGTAGACAGTAAACACCATAACAAAGTAGTAAAAATCTTGCAGTACAGAACCTAGAGTAATTCTTGACTCCTTTTCTGTTCTTTTTCTACAGACAGGGTCCAGGTTGGCATGGTCACAGTTCACTGTAACCTGAAACTTCTACGCTCAAATGATCTTCCCACCTAAGCCTCTCAGTCTCCCGAGTAGCTGGGACTGCAGGTGCATGCCATCACGTTTGGCTAATTTTTAGTATTTTGTGTAGAGATGGGGTCTTGCTATGCTGCCCAGGCTGGTCTAGAACTCCTGGCCTCGAGTCATCCTCCTGCCTTGGCCTCCAAAAGTGCCGAGATTACATGTGTGAGCCACCAATGTCTCCTTTATTTATTATTCCTGCAAACTAAGCAAATGGTTTAACTTAGAGCCTCAGTATCTTTACCTGTGAAATGGTAATAATAGTACCTACCTTAAAAGTTGGTGTTGGATTAAATGAATAAGTTACCCTGATCTGTTTCATTGTCTACCAACAACAGAATTGTTGAGGGAATTAATTATATCACAATAATTACATAAAACCTAATTGATATTAGTTTAATAAAAAGTAATGTATAAATGTTTGTTCTTTTCCATTGCTATAGCTAGATTAATATTGATCCAGAGCATAGAAGGACCATTCTTGCTTTTCCAAGTTATTCAATCTGGATAGTTCACAAGTGAGCAACTATACATAATTAACAACAACCTAACTATTACAACTATATAGTTCTGATATGTCAGTTATAATATCTGTTGATTTAATTATCAAACCTCAATGTAATGGTTATGAGCTTTTAATATTTCTTTCCCATTTACCCAAAAGCTTTAAATTACATTTCTTTGATATGACAGAAAATAGGAAATGGAAACTAAGAGATTAGAATTAAAACATATTTACTATCATAGCTTTAATATAACCATGGTTACATTGTTTAATGCACACGTAAAAGTAGCCAGGGACAGCTGGGTAGCCTGAGGTTCCCATGCTAGGAAGGAGAGCATCCTGCTAAGGATTGGAGTTTAGAGACACACGAATGAAAGTATCTGTCAGGATGGAATGATCTAGATATGATGGCCATGGATCTTCATTGATAGAGAAACTGTCTTCTGTATTAACTGACAGGAGAAAAGTGAAGAAAAGCAAAGGATATTCAAATGACAGATAATTTGGCTGCATAAGGGAAGAATAGTTCTAACTTCAAATCCAGCCCTTTCATATCTGTGTCTTAATGTTGCTCCATGTTTTATGCCAATCAAATTTGATAACATGAACTAAGATTTTTTATAAGGTATAGTGTATGGAAAAATAATACAGCCTTATTCTTAGGTATCAACAGACTATTAAACAAACTGTAATCATAAGATATGAAATTGGGTTATTTATTACAGTGATAAACCGCTGAACATTGTGTGAAAAACGTAGGATAGTTTTGCATTAATTTTAAGTTTTTATAAATTCTATAAACATTGGGATTTATTAAAAAACAGTGTTTTAACTGATGATATTCTGTTGGAATTTTCTAGCAATAAATGGGTGTTTTGTTCAACTCTTCATTTGTTTCTTGTTTCTGCTGTTGTGATTTATTGAAGTATATAATTTAGTAATCAAAGAACATTCATTTTACTTAGATTTGTATAATGTTAGAATGGTGATCATTAAAAAGTCAGGAAGCAACAGATGCTGGAGAGGATGTGGAGAAATAGGAACACTTTCACGCTATTGGTGGGAGCGTAAATTAGTTCAACCACTGTGGAAGACAGTGTGGGTGATTCCTCAAGGATCTAGAACTAGAAATACCATTTAACCCAGCAATCCCATTACTAAGTATATACCCAGAGGATTATAAACCATTCTACTATAAAGGCACATGCACATGTATGTTTATTGTGGCACTTCTCACAACAGCAAAGACTTGGAACCAACCCAAATGCCCATCAATGATAGATTGGATAAAGAAAATGTGGCACATATACATCGTGGAATACTATGCAGACATAAAAAAGGGTGAGTTCATGTCCTTTGCAGGGACGTGGATGAAGCTGGAAATCATCATTCTCAGCAAACTAACACAAGAACAGAAAATCAAACACCACATGTTCTCACTCATAAGTGGGAGTTGAACAATGAGAACACATGGACACAGGGAGGAAACATCACACATTGGGGCCGGTCGGGGGTTGGGGAGTGGTGGGGGAGGGATAGCATTAGGAATACCTAATGTAGATGATGGGTTGATGGGTGCAGCAAACCACTATGGCACACGTATACCTATGTAACAAACCTGTATGTTTTGCCCATGTACCCCAGAATTTAAAATATAATAATAATTTTTAAAAAGATTCACTAAAAGGCAAAAAAGAAAGAAAGAAAGAAAACAAACTGAAGTGATCATTTTATACATTTCTCATATTATTTTAGACAAGTAAAATATGGCTCAGCAATATGAGATATGTAGCTCAGGGTCGTACTGCTGGTTTGTGGAAGAACTGGACCCAAATGCCTCTTTTCAGGCTCTCAATCTTATGCCTAGAAGAGCCCCAGAAATTAACAGCATTCCAACTATTAAAATATTTTAGTTTTTACATATTTAAAAAGGAGTTAATAAAATCTGTCCTGTCTATGTCAAGGATCTGTTGAATATAAAAATATCACTTTTTAGGAGAATAATGAATTGACTATTATCACTTTAGTATTCACTTTTCATGGTTAATGCACATAATATCTTTTGGTACAATATTTGCTTATTTTAACTCATTAATGAATATGCGTGTCAATAGTTTTGTTCAGGTTAACATAGACTAACCCTGACTATTATCAACATGTGGAATGTTGCATTGTTCCCAAGGTCTTATAATTATACTCCAGAGGACATTATATTTCAAGGGACACGTTCAGAGAAGTAAACAAAGAAGAGGCCTAAGGGAAACAATCATCTTCTTTCAACATTTCCTGAGCTTTCAACAACTCAATTTCTTTCACATATTAAGTTATATACCACTCAAGGGCACTATCATTTTAATGAATTTTTCTCTTTGATTCTTCATCTGAGAATATTTATTAAAAGCTCTCAGGAATTTAAAGGTAAGTTTAATTTGACTACATTTCTTCCATACGTACTTTGGTTGTGAGTCTTTTAGGAATAATCATGCTAATCTAGAATATTGAACTCATATACAAAATTTAAACCAGATTCAGGAAATATTAAAACATGTTTATTTGATTTTTCCCCTTCAAAGTGTGCTCCATAATCACATATATTCACAAATCACATATTTCAGAAGTTACAAAGAACTGTATATTAATCAAGTTAAAATGTATTTCATAATGGTTTTCACACATGAAATAAGGTTCAAAATGTATAATTTCTCCCATCAGAAATGATTGCAAATTAAATTTTACATTTTATATAATTAGGTAAAATATGTGAGTACTAAAGGACAAATATTATTAAAACAAATTGGTAGTGTGATTCAGCTTTTCTAAGTTATTTAATATGCTCTTTAGTATATACCTCACATATGAGTATACACTCTCATATATTTATAATGTACTTCATTGTATGAGATATTGAGCCAAATATGATACTGTTTTCCTATCTTTTCAATCTAGAGTACTCTTCTGTACCTTCATTTAACCAAATTTCATGGTCAAAAGCCTTTATTATAGCTTTGCCAACCACCTCACCATAGTTTGGCACTTCTCTTATGTAACCTTGTATTTTTTTGTCTTTTCAATGTTTACAACACAGTATAGAATAGTAATTAAGATTGCAGGCCTTGGAGTCAAACTATCTGGGTTCCAATCCAATCTACTCTGCCACTTGTTGACAGAGTAGCCTTAAAATTGGATTATAAAACTAAACCTAGTAGATTCTTAAATGAAGATTAAAAATATAATATATGCACTGTTGTGTTTGTTTTGAATAATCATTTAGAATATCTTAATTTCATTCTGAGTGGGACTCTGTCTATCTTTTTTTAAATTTGGTCTTGAGGTCTCTCTCAGGAGAATGGCTATAAAATTTAGCTGTGCCCTGTTGGGGCTCCAGAGTATTTGGATGTGGATGTTTACAATGTGCTTTTCACAGGATACTTCTTTATTCTGGTGGACAATCTAATGCTTAAGGATCTGATCTGAGACCAGGTGTCTCTCTCATAGGAAATTTGTTTACACTGGCAGACAATCCTGTGGCTCTTATCTGATCAATGTCAAGTTTATTCCTACCAAGATAACCATTATCTGTGAAAGCTCTGACTAGGAAAGAAGTTAGACTTGGGTGTGTCAATCAGACAGACACAGAGTAGCAAATCAACAAAACACATAAAATAACTGAGGTAGTTTATTACTTACAGATCCAAAGAGAAGAGGGCAGTATGCCCCGCACAGCACCAAAGGGAAGGAGGGAGCTGTCCAGGACACTTGTGTTCAGTCTGCAAGTGGGGAGCAAGGGAGAGAAAGAGGGAGGGAGTTGTGGCCAAATCCTTTAGTGGGGTTCAGAGATTTACCCAAGCAGGTTTCCCACAGGAAGTTTTAATTGGTGGGTTCATGGCAAGCAAGAGCAAGTTTCATGTGCACACTGTGACTGAGAGATGGTCCCTGCAGCATATCTGTGCAGTCCATGTAGGGTGTGCACATTAGTGGGGTGAGTAAGTAGGTTGTCTCTTGCTGTCCCATAGGGAGGTGGTCACCACACTGAGGGACTGAGGGGGGCAGAGAATTGGAAACTGTGTCAAGGGTGCCTACTGCTTCTGGTATGATAAAGTGTGGCTTATATTCAAATGGATGCAGAAGAAACGTAAAATTATAAGAATTCACTACACCTACTAATACTTCTCAGTATATCCTAAAGTGGTAACTTAATGATCAAAATTATTATACAATGGTAAACATAAATAACTTAATTCCTGATAGTTTTACCTAGTGTACTAGAGAAATTTCATTTCATTTCAATATACATTTATTTACCTCAAGTATAGGTCTTGGAATTAGAAAGTCAAATATATGTCCCAATCCTAAGACAAGAAATCTAAACTCTAATTGGAGAAACAGATTAAATAAGTAATAATAACACAGTGGAATATATGAAATAATAGCATCATATTCAAGATATGGAAATGGAGAAAAGAGAATAACTCATTTTGTCTGTGGACCACTGGAAAGACTATTCAGAGGATGTGACTTGTAAAAGATATTTGAGAAATGAATAGGAGTTTTCTAGGTAGACAAAGAAATTAAGGGTCTTAGCTTGAAAAATGAGACATGCAAGTGCAACAGCTTAGTGTGAGGGGGACGGATCTATGCTTAAAAAAGAAATATATATATATATACACATATATATATATACATATATATATATATACATATATATATATATATATACACACACACATATATATATATATGGCCTTCTTGCTGAAGGCTAAAGCCTAACTGTGCTAGAGGGAAACAGGGAAAGTCGGAGAAGTTTGAATGTAAAATCCGTGGTAAAGATCTTTAAACTTTATCATTTAGATGATGGTGTTGTGGTCAGGTTTTAGGAAGATCTCATTGATCTCAATCAATGGAGAAGGGGAGGAACTAAACTTGAGAATAGGAGGACTAATTTTAAGACCTTTGCCATAGTACAAGATAGGTAATAGTAAGGAAATAAATTAGGGCAGGTTATTTTTGGCAATAATAATGATAATATTAATAATGGCTACCATTTATTATGTTTTATCAACATACACACTGAACCCATTATCTTATTTCTTCATCACAAGAGTTCTATAAAGTAAATTATTACTTCCATTTTAAGATTAGGAAAATGAAACCTAGGTTCATGATTTGTCCAGAATCACATTGGTTAGCAGACCTAACATATGAACTCTGAACCTAGAGACCTTACAGTCTTAACCACTAAGCCACTTCATGAAGAAAAGTTGCTATTCTGAAGGATACTTAGAAGATAAAGCAACTAGATTTGTGAATCAATTGAATATGCAAGATTCTAAAATTATTCCCATATTTCTGAGTTGTGCAATAGGGTAAATATAGTTTCACTAAAATATTAAGTACACAGGAATCTGGGACAAGAACTGGTTCAGTGGAGAGTAAGGCTAACAGGTTAAATTTATGTTATTGAATTTGAAATGCCCAGGGAATTTCTAGAGGAAAATGGGCAAGAGTAGCTGGCTCCATAGGTCTGGAACTCAGGCCATAAAATAAAACTAAAGATAAATCTGCATTCTTGAGGCATCAGCTTATAGATGCTTGTTAAAACCATGGGGAAGTGTGTAAAGTAAGATAAAAGAGCCAAGTATGGAGCTCCAAGGAAGAATAACATTTCTGGCCTAAATAAAATAGAAATACTCCTTTGGGAAATTGAGAATGCGGTAACACGGAAATCAAGAGAAGAGAGTTCCAAGGAAAATACATGGTCGAAAATATCAAATACCATATAAAAATAAAGACACATATGGATTTTACTGTTTATACTGTGTTTCAACATTGAAAGGGCATTGGGAGTTTATGAGAAAAATCACGTTTCTTTATTTACATTCATCCCCTCTTAACCCTTTCTCACATTTCCTTAGCAGTCACATCATATCATTTCTCTGTTCACAATCTTAAGTAGCCCTTAGAAGCCCCAAATTCACAACTGTCTACAATGGAAATAATTTTTTAGTCATATCTTTGATTACCCACCAGAAAGCAAATTTTATGTAGGCAAAATCTTTTCTGTCTTATGCCAGAGCAATCGTTGGCACATAGTTGGCACTTAATAGATATTATTAACGTTATCAATGAATGAATGAGCTACACTCCTAATTATGTAGTAAGCTCCAGTCAATATGACCTACTCACTCTACACTGGACATTTTTTTCACACTTTTCTTCTCCTTTACCTTTGTTCATGCATTGCACACTTACACGAATGATCATAGTGTCTATGCTCAGGAAATTCCTTCCAATCTCTGACACCTGATCTCAAATGCTATCACAATTCTTCAGGTTTCTCATAGTTTCCCCAATTAGATGTTCTCCTTCTTTGAATTTTTATCATTGTATCCTTCTATTTTGTGAGACTTGAATCCATTTAGCTTTCTCATATAAACATTTTTATTTTTAAGAATTGCACATTTATTGAGATCAGATCTTACAAAAATAAGCAATAGCTGTGTATGCATTGCACATGGTAGATGCTTCAATAACTATTGACCATAATACATAGAAAATTATATTTAAAGCTTTCAATGAAATGAATGTACTGATCAGTGTGTCTTATATATACGTATGCACACTTTAATATGTAATTGCAATATAAATGTACTGTGATATGATCTCTTGAAAAATCATCTGATATATCTGACTATATTTCATCTGTAGGGTTTAGATTTTTTAGCATCATAATGTAGATCATAACCAGACTTTCATTATGGCTAACCCACGATTTTGAGTTCAAAAATAGTCACAAATTCATAGAAAAATAGATTTGGAAGGGCTCTAGGTCAGAATATATTTCAATCTCTTATTTTATAAATGAAGAAATTGAGAAGCAAGAGGTTTTTCGTGTTTCTTTCCTCTCTTTAACTTTTACACAAGGTATTCATTATCTCTCCAAGACTTCACTTACCTTAAACTTGTTTCTTTAACCTTAACCTTTTGTCATTAATTTCTTTGCTAGACCCTGCCCCACCCCAATGCGCATTTTCTCTCACACTTGTGGTCTGTTATAGATAATTTAGATAGAATAATTCATTGGTCCACCTATAATTTAAGGGAGGGAAGTATTGATTAGGCCACCCTTGATTTTATAGTTAAGAAGATCCGTGCAGTTACAGAACTTGTTTAAGTTCCCGCTGCAATGAATTGATGTTGTTCCCGGACCAAACTGAGGGTCGAGATGCTTATTCTCATGGCCCAATAACCAGATGCAGATAAACTGAGAGAGAAGGGAGTTTTTATTTCTGTAACCGATTACAGGGAGAAGGTCTGGAGATTATTGCCAGATCGACTCAAAATCACAGTTTTTCCAGAGCTTATACACCTTCTAAGCTACATGTCTACATGTAAGTGCGAATTTATCTCAAGGCATAAGTGATTAACTTCTTTTAATCTATAACTAAGATCTGAGTCCTGAAGACGTTCCTTTGCAGTCTCAGTAAATTTACTTAATCTAAATGGGTCCCGGTGCTTGGGTGATTATCCTTGTCTCTTGCTAAATCATGGAGGTTTAGGGAGTTCCTTCAGACCCCCAATAAACTTGTTTGTGAAGGCCTGAGGGCTTTCTTTCAGACCCCCAATAAAGCTTGTTTAATCTTAAATGGGTCCTGTTAAGAATGCCTTCCTTATCTTGTCATGCTTCAAGGCCCAGGAAAGGCCTAGCCAAAACTCTTGGTAGGCCTTTGTTACATTCCAGCCTTTGTATAAGGGCACTGCCTCTATGAACTTTTAATATCTAAATTAACCACTCAGTCAGTGCTGAAACAGTTGTTATGGAGGCCTGTGTTAGCAATACCTGCCTGACACAATGGCACTGCAATTAAGGCACTTTTCACCTGACTCCAAAGTTCAGTAAATTTATTATGTATCTCAGAAAATTTTGCCTGAGGAAATGCTATAAAAGTAATTTTGCCAATAAAAAGTGCTAGCCTTATGTAATAAATGAACAGTACAAAATCCATAGTATTAAAATCTAATGCTGCTGGAGCTAGAGTGATGATAATACTACTAAAATATTAACCTATTGTTTGATTTGATTGATACTACACTTTGGTCAATATCTAGTTTCCTCAAAATGGACAATGAGCAGCGTGTCTTCAGAAGGGAGTTAGTGGATGTTCAGGGGATTCCCCTTTTCTAGAGCATTGCTGAAGAGTGGTTTCAAGTAGAATTGTTTGAGGCCTGACCAGATGATATTCTGATCTCTACCTATCCCAAATCTGGAAGACATTTTCATTTGTTTGTACTCAATGATTTGATAGTGATCCATATGTGTAAACCCACTGATTTACAGATTATTAGTCAGGTCTAACTTGAAATTATTAAACATTTTTTGAGGAAACCCTGTGGTGGTTGCTGTGAGAGTGTCATCTTAAGTTAGACTAATTTACTTCCTATTCTGAAAGGTTACCAATTGAATAAAGAATATATCTGAGAGAAAAATTAATGTCGTTTTCTTGTTTTTCTTTTTAAATTCAAATAGAAATTATTAAAACTGTATATATATATGTTTTGGATACATTAGAATATGTATATTCCATTATATACACACACATATCAGATATATTGGAATATACATATTCTATACATTTTGATATTTAAATATTTTGTTTGTATATTTAAACAACTGCTGATTTCAGTATACAATCTCAGAAAAACTTAAGATGACTTATTAAGAATCAACAATTTTTATTTCTCCATATCTGCTATGACAGAATCTTCTGATTTACCCAGTGATAGTCGTGCAGAGATATATCACAGATGAGGCTCTTTCTAGCCTTTTGTTCAGTTAAATTAATTTAGTCCACAATTAATCAACTGTCCCATAATTACCAAACCCCCTAAAGGCAAATTTCCTTTATATTCCTATTTAATTTCTTAAAGAAATACATTTCAAGTAAACATATTGTGTACTGATTATTTTATATTATGTATATCAAAATTATCAAAAATATCAAAATTATTTTAAAGTAATGTGTAACAAGTCTCAGGAGGAAAGCCCTGAATTTGAGGGATGTTAATCTGCCAAAATTGTGAACCTGTATGAGAACAAAGAGCTTCTTCTAGGAAGTAAACAATGCACAATACAGATTTTGGTACATGTAAAAAACTAACTTGTTTTGACAAAGCATCTTTATTTTCTTACTACTTACCTTGCTTTCTGAGTAGTTCACCAAACCCAAATTGTTTAAGACTAAAACCGCATTTCATTTCATTGTTGAAATAAGTGTTTAGAGAAGGGAAGTCAGTTACTGAGAATGTACACGTCCTTTTGTTTTTGCTATTTTTGGATATATTCAAAAGAAGAAAACCATTAAGATAATCTTTGAAAGGTACCATTATACAAATAGTTCATCTACAAGATACTCATTGAAGCTAAACTTTTTCTAGTATAGTAAAAGCTAAAATGGCTACACATAGTTTATTTTTTATTTTTATTTTATTTTTCTCTGTGAACTCTGCAGAGAAGTATACACATAGTTTAACATTCTTTTTCGTAGGTTTTTGTCATTGTTTCCTTTACACATGGGTGTGAACATGTCTTAAAGTTTTAAAATTATTAATATATTAGTGCCTTATTAACATTGTTACAAAAGGTACAAGTTAACTATCTCCTTAGGTGAGCTAAACCATGTGCTATTTTTTTTCTCTACAAAGTCCACAGACTTTTTCATTACAAAGCATACAAAACAGCTAAATTGGTATTTCTTTCAGTCAGACTTCAAGGGCCGCAATTTAAAACTTTCCCCAATAAGAGATAAAATGAGTTACATTGTACTTTGAAATTTAGGTCTCTCTCCTTCTCTCTCTTTTAACTCATGAATCGTTGCTTAAGCCTAAACCAGATCAAGCAGCAAAATGTTCAACGTTGGTACTGATTTGGCTCATCTGTTTTTTAGTACTAAATCTGTGATAGGATTGGGGAGATTGCCTAGTACAGGTACTCATGATTTGGGGACAAGAAGGAGGAAGAGTTGACCACAAGAAAAGACCAAAAAGGGGGCCTAATGTGCTGTAGTATCTGGGTGCAATCCAAATGTGTATCTACATATAGATCATTATTTAAAAATGTTGTCGTGTGCATGGCTTAATCAAATGATTAACTAATTAACTTAATATTTTAGTTACTGCCTCCTATTATTTAATTTATCATTATACCTTTGGTAAAGAGGAAGAAAATGGGAACAGTTAAGGAGATACTTATTTCCTATGTCTTATATTTCTTTTTTTTTAGCAGTGCCTCAATAATCTGACTGTTGAATGTACAATTAAGTATACCATAGGCACATATGATTTAGATACATTTCTCAAATAACTGGTGAGACACAATATCATAATGGTCAGAGTATCTTGATCCACTCTACTCAATCAGAATCTATTGTCTTTTTTTTGTGAGTGGCACACTGGTCACTGCATGGAAAATTGCCAAGATTTTTTCTTTTCCTTCTTTACCCTTTCACCAAATCTAGAACATTTTTACCTGAAATGCAATTCAATTCTAATAAACTTTTTGATATTAGTAGGAAATTTACAAACTGATAGACATTGAAGTTGGCCACTTCCTCCACCCATTTTACCCCAGAGAGTACGTTATCATTACTCACAACCTGTCTGTTTAATACTTCCTCTTTTACCTCCTTTTTGGGTCTTATTTGTATGATATTTTAATCACATTTTACACACACACAAAAATTATATGTATGTTCAAGATAAATAAGAGCCTGGACAACACAGTGAGGCCCCTTTCCTACAAACAATTAAAAAGTTTACCTGGGAGTGATGGTGCACAACTTAGTCCCAACTACTCAGAAAGCTGAGATGGGAGAATTGCTTGAGTCCAGGAGGCCAAGGCTACAGTGAGCCATGATTCTGCCACTGCACTCCAGCCTGGGCAACAGAGTGAGACCCTATGTCAAAAAACAAAAACAAAAGATAGATAAGGATGGTTCCTAGGAAAGGGGAGAAGAAAGGGAGTGGAAATAAAGAATACATTTTTGTTTTAGATATTGTTACACAACTTCTCTACAGCCACTGATTATCTTATACTCTTTTTGACAGAAAAGTTTAAAGTTTTGTTAATATTTTCTTTCCTTAGGGATGACCTGGATCAGTGAAATATTGGATTTGATCTTTAACAATGGGGATGCAGAGAAATGTAAACGTGATGCAATATACAAGCGAGTGACTTTCATGGAACTTATAATTCCTGGACTCACAAATGGTATTTTTTTAAATGTCTCTTTTCACTACAAGAGTAAATTCCCCCCCCTTTTTTTTTAAGATATCTGGAGGAGTCATGACAGAAAATGACAAGCTTGGACAATTGAATCATAAGCATCTGTAATAGAGGAGTCAGAATCTGACTGTGCCAATAATCATATTATATTCTTCCTCCATCCAAGGGTAATATATGCATAAGAGAAGATTTTAATGTATGTAGCATGTTTTCTTTCAAAGACAGATGGAAGTTTTAAATGTTTAATTATTAGGTAATCATTATATAGACAAACTTCAATATTTGATTCAATATAGAATCATGTATACTACAAGTTATCTCATATTTACAAACTCAAGGAAAAGAGATATGGATATACGATCTTGCATTATTAAATTAAAAAAATAGCCATAAGCTTCATGGCCTAGTTCAATCTTAGAATTCAAATATGGGAGAGCTGGAAAGGGATTTTGAAATCCTCTAGTGCAATTTTCTCATATCATAAATGATAAACAGAAGAATATAAATGAAGAAAAATTCTAGACATTATGATTCTTGACCTGTAGCTCTTTCTACCTCATCAAGGTGTTCTATCTGAGGATTTTATAGCCACTTATGAAGATGATAGTCTTATGTTGCTCATAGGCATAAAAGAGTCTTCTCAGAGTTTATCTTTTTTAATCTCAGTGTAGATTTTAAGAGTATATGAAGTCATATAGCCATTTTAAGCCATATAGTGGGGTTTAGAAAATCTTAGATTATATTGTAAATCATATTTATAATTCTATGTTTACATGGTAGTTTGTTAATTTTTTGTGATTGTAGGTGTTGAGCAGTTGCAAAACATGCAGTCTCCTCAATTAGTGAAAACACACCTGCCTGTTCAACTTCTCCCTTCTTCATTTTGGAAGAATAACTGTAAGATAGCAAATTTTAAAGAGATATAATTCTTATTTGTGTTGTAAATTTTTTTTACCAATTATGCAGAAACACAAGGTGAGGGGTTGCAACCTCTAGATAAGTAATTGCAAAATAATAATGTGGCTCCTATATCCCACAGATCAAAGTAACACCAGTGGACACCAATGTTGTAGCTAGGGGTTACACTCAATGCCCAAGCACTGAGAACCTATCAACTTTTCTCAACATGCCTGTCATTCTCTAAATCCTTTGAGTCATTGTCAGTTGCTTTTAAACAATGGATATTCAAATAACTCCTGAACTGCTTCTTCATTATTTAGCATAATTGTAGTTTACAAATATGCATTTATAATTGGGTACAGGCTACAAGTAATATAAGATTTTATATTTAAAAATTTATTTTAAATTTTTAAAATAAATATTTTAATTCAAGTGTAGTATTTAGATAGAAAAGTCCATAAATCCTATGTATGCAGCTTGATGTATTTTAACAAAGTGAGTGTACCCATGAAATCAGCACCCAGATAAAAAATATAGAACATTGCTAGCACCCCAAAAGCTTTGTTCCTGCATACTTCTAGTCAGTAACCCTTATCTTCAAAGATAACCACTATCCTGAATGTTTTCATGCATTACTTTGCCTTTTTTTGTCTGTAATTGTAGAGTATATACTCTTGAATATTTGACTTCTTCCATTCAACATAATATCTGTGAGATCTATCACTGTTGTGCTTGCTATTTTATTTTTGTTTTGTTTCCTTTGATGAAGCCTGTTGGATCCCAAGATGGGAGCAAAAAGCTGCTAGTTAGATATGCAAAATCTTGTTCCCCATTCAGACCTACTGAACCAAATATTATGGAGATAGGACTCAGAAATCTGAGTTTTAACAGGACCCCCATGTGAAATTGATTCATTCTAACATTTGAAAACCTATGATTGACTGAAACCATTCCATTATGTGTATGTGAATATTCCACAAGTTACTTATCCATGTGTATTAGTCTGTTTTCATGCTGCTCATAAAGACATACTACAGACTGGGTAATTTACATAGAAAAAGAGGTTTAATGGACTCACAGTTCCACGTGGCTGGGGATGCCTCACAATTATGGTGGAAGGTAAAAGACACATCTTACATGGTGGTAGACAAGAGAGAATGAGAGAGCTTGTGTAGGGAATCTCCCCTTTATAAAACCAACAGATCTTGTGAGATTTAGTCACTATCATGAAAACAGCATGAGAAAGACATGTCCCCATGATTCAATTACCCCCCACTAGGTCCCTCCCATAGCATGTGAGAATTATGGGAGCTACAATTCAAGATGAGCTTTGGATGGGGACACTCTCCCCAGAGCCAAATCACATCATTCTGCCCCAGCCTCTCCCAAATCTCATGTCCTCACATTTCAAAACTGATTATGCCTTCCTAACAGTTCCCCAAAGTCTTAACTCATTTCAGCATTTACTTAAATGTCCACAGTCCAAAGTCTGATCTGAGACAAGGAAAGGCCCTTTCACCTATGAGCCTGTAAAATCAAAAGCAAGTTAGTTACTTCTTACATACAATGGGGGTACAGGCATTGGGTAAATACAGCTGTCCCAAATGGGAGAAATTGACTAAACAAATAGGCTACAGGCCCCATTCAAGTACAAAATTTAGTGGGGCAGTCAAATCTTAAAGCTTCAAAATTATCTCCTTTAACTCCATGTCACGTATCCAGGTAACAGTGATGCAAGAGGTGGGTTCCCATGGTCTTGGGCAGCTCTGTCTCTGGGTTTGCAGGATAGAGCCTCCCTCTCAGCTGCTTTCATAGTCTGGCTAGGGAGTTTCTGTGGCTTTTACAGGTACAAGGTGCAATCTGTCTGTGGATCTATCATTCTGGGATCTGGAGGATGGTGGCCCTCTTCTCACAGATCCATTAGGTAGTGCCCCAGTGGGGACTCAGTGTGGGGGCTTCCACCCCACATTTCCCTTCCTCACTGCCCTAGCAGAGGTTCTCCATGAGGGACCTTCCCCTGCAGCAAACTTATTTCTGGACCCACTCAAGCATTTCCATACATCCTCTGAAACCCAGGCGAAGGTTTCCAAAACTCAATTCTTGACTTTTGTGCATCCACAGGCTCAATACCACATGGAGGCTGCCAAAGCTTGGGGCTTGCACCCACTGAAGCTACAGCCCAAGCTGTACCTTGACCCTTTTTAGCTATGGCTAGAGCAGCTAGGATGCAGGGCACCAAGTCCCTAGCCTGCACACAGTAGGGGGGCCTGGCCTGGCCCATGAAACCATTTTTTCCTCCTATGCATCTGGGCCTATGATGGAAGGGACTTCCACAAAAGTCTCTGACATGCTCTGGAGACATTTTTCCCATTGTCTTGATGATTAACATTTGGCTCCTCATTACTTATGCAAATTTCTGCATCTGGCTTGAATTTCTCCTTAGAAAATGTGTTTTTCTTTTTTCTAGTGCATCATCAGGCTGCAAATTTTTCAAACTTTTATGCTGTGTTTGCTTTTAAAACTAAATGCTTTTAACAGCATCCAAGTCACTTCTTGATGCTTTACTGCTTAGAAATTTCTTCCCCCAGATACCCTAAATCATCTTTCTGAAGTTCAAAGTTACAAATTTCTAGGGCAGGGGAAAAATGCCAGCAGTCTATTTGCTAAAATGTAGGATGTGTCACCTTTATTCCAGCTCCCAATAAGTTTCTCATCTCCATCTGAGACCACCTTAGCCTGGATTTCATTGTCATTGTGTATATCATTGTCAGCATTTTCGTCAATGCCATTCAACAAGTCTCTAGGAAGTTCCAAACTTTCACCCATTTTCCTGTCTTCTTCTAGGCCCTCCAAACTTTTCCAATTTCTCCCTCTTACCCAGTTCCAAAGTCGCCTCCACATTTTTGGGTATCTTTATAGCAGCACCCCACTCTACTGGTACCAATTTACTGTATTAATCTGTTTTCTCACTGCTCATAAAGACATATCCAGGACTGGGTAATTTATAAGGAAAAAGAGGTTTAATGGACTCACAATGCCATGTGACTGGAGAGTCCTCACGATCATGTCAGAAGGTTAAAGACACATCTTACATGGCAGCAGACAAGAGAGAATGAGAGAGCTTGTGTAGGGAAACTCCCATTTATAAAACCATCAGATCTTGTGAGACTTATTCACTATCATGAGAACAGCATGGGAAAGACCCACTTCCGTAATTCAATTACCTCCCACAGGGTCTCTCCCACAACACAGGGGCATTATGGGAGCTACAATTCAAGATGAGATTCAGGTGAGGACACAGCCAAACCATATCATCATGGTACTATTGATGTGAAGTTGGAATGTTGCTAGTTTTCAGTAATTAAAACAGTGTTGCTATTCTCATTTTTATACAAGTCTTTTATTTCACATATACTCACAGATTTCTCTTGGTTATATATCTTGGGATAAAACTGCTGGATCTTAAGTTATGCATTTATCCAAATTAGGAGATATTTCCAAATGTTTTTCAAAACGTATGCACCAGTTTTCACTTTGATCAGCATTGTATAACATTTGAAGTTATGCCACATCCTGGCCAACACAGAATATAGCTATAATATTTAATTTTAGCCATACTAGTAAATGTCTGGTGGCATTGCACTGTTGCTTTACTTTGTATTTCCCTAATGACTTATTAGATGAAGCCCCTTTACATGGCTTATTGACCATCCAGATGTCTTTTTTGAGATACCTATTTAAATCTTTTGCCTCTTTTCCTGTAGGAGGTACCTTCTCTTTATTATTAAGCGAGAAGTTCTCTATATATTCTGGATGTGAGAAGTTCTCTATATATTCTGGATGCAAATTCTTTGATGAGAAGATTATATTTCTTATATCTTAACTTACTGTTTTATTTTTGTATTTTCACTTTTCTTTTTGTGATCGATACATATGGTTTTTCCTTTATGGTTAGGGCTTTTTATTTGTTTTTAAAAATGCCTACCCCAAATCATGAGATATTCTCCCTTCTGTTTACGTCTAGAGGCTTTATTGTTTTAGTTATTACCTTTAGAGCCAAATATCTGTACTTACAAGGAATGACAGTCTTTTTAAAAATTTCTAACAAAATAGTAATTCTCTGTCCCACTCTTTCTCCCTTGTACACACGCACAAGTCCATGTGTTATTTTCCAAATGTTTTCTGCTAGTGTAAAAGAAAAAATCTGAGACAAGTTAAATTTAACAGATTTTAATTGAGCAGAACAAATTTTATGAACCAGATAGAATTCGGGATCAAAAGTGGTTCAGAGGCTATATCCCACAAAGTGAGCAGACAATATTTATAACCAAACCAATGGAAATGGGATACAGAAACAGCTTAATAGGCTGCAGTTTGGCAGTTGCCTTATTTGATCATAGTTTGCAGCTTTCAGCCTATGATTGGCTAACATTTGGTTGCTATGACTGGTTGAAATTCAGCAACTTGTTAGGAGAGTATACACTCAGGTTAGGTTGCAGGGTGTTTATGCATTAAGTGAGGTTACTGTTTGCTATGCATGGAGGTAGCTTTAGTTCAAGCTTAGTTCAATTTCACAATAATACATAGACATAAAAGTAATATTTACAATTTGATATTTTCTTCTAAAATCTTGCTAAACTTATTTAATAAATCTAATAGCTTTTTAATAAATTCCATTTAATTTTGTATATATACGCTCCTGCTGTCAGCAAATTCCTTTTGCCTAATCTGGGTACATTTCACTCTTTTTCTTGCCTTAATAAACTGGATACAATGTCTACTATAATGTCAAATAGGAGTAGTGAGGGCAGACATCTTGTCTTACTCTTGATTTTATGAAAAGTGCATGCAATAGTTCACTGTTAAGTATGATGGTATTACCTGTTTTATTTTTGTAGATACTTTTATTTGGCTGAGGAAATTCCTTTCCAAGGTTTTTATTAGTCATGCATCCTGGATTCAGTCTAATACTTTCTTGGTGTCCATTAAGATCCATCATACAGTTTACCGTCATTTTTTTCTTTTAATGTGATGAATTACATTAACTGATTTTTTTTTTTTTTTTGAGATGGAGTCTCGTTCTGGAGTCCAGGCTGCACTCCAGGCAGCCTCCTGAGTAGCTGGGAATACAGGTGCATGCCATCATGTCTGGCTAACTTTTGTATTTTTTAATAGAGACAGGGTTTCACCATATTGGTCAGGCTGGTCTCGAACTCCTAACCTCAGGTGATCCATCCGCCTCTGCCTCCCAAAGTGCTGGGATTACAGGCATGAACCACCGCACTCAGTCAGATTTTTCAATGTTAAAACAACCTTGTATATGTTGAATTTTGTCTAATGCTTTTTCTCCATTAAGATCTATCATATGACTTTCCATTATTTTAGTCAATTAATATGATAAATTTCATTGGTTGATTTCCAAATGTTAAAATGACTTTGCATACCTTGTTTTTAGTTATGTGTATTATTATATTTTAATATATTCTTTGATTTGGTTATCTAGTTTAAAAATGCACTTTTGATCATGAATGATATTGATCCATAGTTCTATTTTTCTGTGATGTCTTTGTCATTGGCTGCAATGGCTTTGATATTAAGGTAGTTCTGGCCTCAGGAGTTGGAAAATATTTAAGTATTTGCTCTTCTTCAGTTTTTCAGAAGTGTTTGGTTAAATCATTGTCATTTTAGTCTTAAATAATTTGTACCATTGAAGCCAGCTGAACCTGAAATTTTCTTTGTCTGAAAGGCTTTTTTGTTTGTTTGTTTGTTTGTTTTTCTACGAAGTCACTGTAGTTAACAGAAATAGGAGCATTCTGCTTATGTTCCTTTCCTGACTTAATGTTTGGTATTTTGTGTCTTTCAAAAAA
This sequence comes from Homo sapiens, assembly GCF_000001405.40. Lineage (NCBI taxonomy): Eukaryota > Metazoa > Chordata > Mammalia > Primates > Hominidae > Homo > Homo sapiens. The sequence goes on along the minus strand of NC_000004.12, from coordinate 69,803,959 downwards.
ATTGATCTATTTTGTTTAAATTGTCAAATTTTTGTAATAAAATTGTTTGCAATATTCCTTTAATATTTGTAAAATCTGTCCAGATGTCACCTTTCTCACTCTTCATGTATTTTTTAATTTTCTTTTAGAGATAAAATATCACTCTGTCACCCAGACTGGAGTATAGTAATATAAGCATAGCTCACTGCAGCCTCAAACTCCTGGGCTCATGTGATCCTTCAGCCTCAGCCTCCTGAGTAGCCGGAACCACAGTCATGTGCCACCACATCTGGATAATTTTTTTAAAAATTTTATGTAGAGATGGGGTTTTACCGTGTTGCCCAGGTTGGTATTGAACCCCTGGCCTCAAGCAATCCTTCTGACTCCATCTCCCAAAATGCCAGGATTATGGACATGAGCCACTCCATTGCCGGCCCACTTTCTCAATAATATTTTATCAGTTGCTTGGAGAAGTGTATTGAAATTTGACTATAAATTCTTTATTTCTCCTTTCAACTCTGTCTGTTTCCGTTTTTATAAGCAAAATCAGTCAATAAGCATTTAATCAGTAATCATATATGGAAATGTTACTGTGTATCTACCAAATATTGTGACTGGTATTATAAATACAAACATAAATAATACATTATCTGCCATCTAATTGAATTTTACTTAATTTCTACAAATACCATCAAGCTTCTTCTGCATGCCAGTCACTTCCCTGTACTCTACTGGGCAATGGTTAAAAAAGTCTGTGACCTTTGTCCTGTTTAGCATGCAGTCCTGTGGAATACCTTAAGTAGTATGAAAAAAACAGATCTATTTGAAGAATAATTACCTATCAGTAAGATAAAATAACTATCGGTAAGAAAAATAATTACCTATCAGTAAGAAAAATAATTCCTATCAGCAAGATATATTTGAAAAATAATTACCTATCAATAAGATACATTCTTTCTTATCTACCATTTCTTAATGTATTAGAAAATATTCTAAAACATTATGTAAAAAAGATTCTATTTGGCAAAGAAGTCTCATAGAGAAAAAAAATTGGTCAGCATCCTGAAGAAAGAGTAGGGACATTTTCACATATACAGGACATTTCACGGAGAGGAAACTGTGTATGCATAAGTTAAGAGATGTGAAACAGCAAGAGATATGTTAGAGATCTACAAATGGTTAAGTACAATGTGTAAAATGTAAAGTGGTGAAAATGAATATGGGAAGTAGACAATCACTAAGTCCCTACATTTGACGGAGATGTTTAGAGTACATCTTTACCCCAGCACCTTTAATAGAAAGAGGAAAATAGCTGTTCTTTTTCATTTGAAAACCTGATATTTTCATCGTTATTATACAAAAAGTTTTTATACTTGTGATTATGTGTGACTTTCTTTTTTCCTTTCGAAGTCCAATTAAAAACAAGAGAGATAAGGGAGTAGACATGTAATTTATTATCTTAATTCCAGTATTAAAAATCTATAGAAGCCCCAGGAACCCATGGCTTGCTTTTAGGAAAACTGAAAGATATCTTAATTTTTTTTTCTTTTGAGAAATGGGGTCTTGCTTTGTCTATCACTCAGGCTGGAATGCTGTGGCATGATCATATTCACTGCAGCCTCAACTCCTGGGCTCAAATGATCATCCAGCCTCACCCCCCGGAGTAGCTGGGACTACAGGTGTCCCACACCATGCCTGGCTAATTTATTTTATTTGAAGAGACAATGTCATACTACGTTGGCCAGACTGGTCTGCACCTCCTGGCATCAAGTTATCTTCCTGCCTTGGCCTCCCAAAGTTCTGGGATTACAGGTATGAGCCACGGTGCCTGAGCAAGCACTGGAGGATATCTTTGAATAGTCTTCTTTTTACACTGAGGCTAGCAGAAACAGTTCCTAAGAAAGTTACAGGTGAGGATGATAGGTAAACAGTTGGCTTATTATCATAGTCTCTCGGAATTGAAATAAGAAGTAACTGGAAATGTTTGTAGGTTTACTATTTTCTCAAGAAGTTATGCCAGCAACAGTCTCAACTCTTAGAGTTATATACTCAAGCTGTTGAAAAACCCTTTTTCAGCCACTCCCTTTTAATCCAAATCCTTGTCTCAGACTATGAGAACTATTAACAGTAACTTGGGAATATAAAGTTTCCTATTTTCTTTGCCCATCACTTGGGGACGAAGGAAGTTAGATGGAAGATGTTAGATGGAAGATGGCTTCTTCCTGAATGCACACTCCCTTAGGAATATATTTATTTCATGGGTGGCTGAGTCCTCAGTATTATTAGGTGTGCTTCAAGTGAGAAGTAGGTTTAATAGATTTTTGCCTGAGAACCGAACCTAATTACCAATGAGACATAACAATATCATTTTTGCCTTCAAGAAGACTTGAGGCCACATATGTAAATTAAATTATAATCTCACACCAGTAATTACAAGTATCAATGATTGTTATGTAACCACAATCATGGGTAGAATAAAGAAGTTTTAATCTTTTGTGACTCTGAGTTTATCCAAGTAATAATTTATTTTCAATAAAATATTGGACATTTTTTCATCTTTTAAAAATTGCTTATCCTTTTTATTAGTAGTTTTAATAAATGATGCAGAAAAATATTCTGAATTTAAGCATAATATTAACTAAGTTTTTATTAATTTAATACTTATTATAATTCTTAGATTTGATTTTTCATGTTTCAAGAGATGCTCTTGCTGGGGTGGTGACACATGCCTGTAATCCTGCTATGGTGAGGCGTAGGCATAGGTAGGATAATTGCTCAAGCCCAGGAGTTTGAGGTCAGCTTCTGCATTATAAAGAGACCTCCCACTTAAAACATCAACAACAACAACAAAAAACAAAAACAAGATAGAGAGATGTTCTTTTCTTTTCTTTTTGAGAGATAAAGAAAAAGTAAGCATGTGAGAGATGAGAACTCTTCATGTTAAAACAACATACAATTGTTGAGTATCCTACATCAGGATATAGATATAAATGCCAAAATCAGGAAATAGAAAACAAGCATTCTGTTAAAGTGAGCAAAAGCTTAAAAACTATTAGACAATAGAAACAAAGTCCTGCTTTTTCAAATCTCTCCACAGATGATCTACATGGCATGGAATGCCAAAGATGTGGCTGTGTCTTATTATTATTTCCGCCAGATGGCAAAAATGCACCCAGATCCTGGAACTTGGGAGGAGTTCCTGGAAAAATTCATGACTGGAAAGTGTGAGTCCTGTTCATCATTTAATCATGCAGCTCTGTAATGAAAAGCCTTCTTTTGCAAAGAGATATAAATTTTAAATATGTTTTGTGTTTATTATAAACCAATTATGTACCCAGCACTCTATTAATGCATTAGGAAGACTACAGAGGAAGCAGAATATATTATTGTCTCTTTCCTTAAAGGACTTTTGGGTTATAAGTGACAGACAGATACTTCAGTCCCTGATCTCATCATTTTATTCATGATTAGTGACTATTGGCAATTTATTTAAGCATTTTCCTCTTGCTATCCATGACACTGCACAAGTAAATTTTATACATATTTTAAAATTCTTTCTTATCTACCATTTCTTTATTTTTATTATATAAAATGAGTTAAAGGTTTTTTTTTCTCAAGAGTTTGTTCTTCTATCTCTGTATTCTCTTCCTCAGGGAAACATATTCACATCCACAGTAATAACTCTACCTTTAATTCTCATTTAATATTCTGTATAAACTTTATCTTTCAGGCAGATACATATCAATAATATCTTTCATAGATTTACTCATGCCATTCCTTGGACTAATTTTTTTGTCCATAGAATGTGATCCTTATTTTTATTATCAAAGTTCAACTCTTTATTTTAAATTCAAATGCACTCATTTTCCTCCACATCCTTTTCTTTCTTTTTTTTTTTTTTTTTTTTTGCTTAATAATTTCTTCATTATGATTTCAATCTCTCTGTCAAATTTCTTGTTCTGGTTACTCATTATTTTCCTTATTTCTTTACATTCTCTGTATTTTATGGAATTCCTTGAACTTTCTTAAAAGAGCTATTTTGAAGTCTTTGTAAGACAATTCATATATGTCCATTTCTTTAGGGTCAGTCACTGGCAGATTATTTTGTCTGTTTGGTGATATCATGTTTTCCTGATTGTTCTTGATCCTTGCTGTCATGCAACAATATCATGCAACAATGTCTACACATTTGAACAGGTAGGTGCTTACTATAGTCTTTTCACACTGTCTTTATTGCTAAGCCTGTTCAGAGATTTTGGATGGGCCATCTGGCATGGACCCTAAGTACCAGTTGTTGCAGCATTAGTGAGTCCTAGTGTTGCAGTTATTATTTTAGCCAAGCACCATGCTTGGCTAAAAGAAGCATGTGCTACAGTTGTTTCAGCACTAGGGGTAAACTCTAAGCCTGGGGCCACGGTGCTGCAATTGTTGCAGCACTATGGGCGACCTCTAAGCCTGGGACCACTGTGGCTGGCATGGTGCTTGGCTAAAATTCTGCGGCCACTAAGGCTAGCACAGCACTGAGGCATGTCCAAAACACCATGCCCACTGAGGTCTTCCCACCACTAAGGGCTATCCAGAGCCCAAGGCAGCTGTAGTTGGCTGGTGGTGATAAAGACTGAAGATTAAGTCTACCTCACAGGGGATACAGGTTCCAACCTGGTGTGGGGGCAGGTCTGGAGGCTCAGTCTGCAGGCACTGGCCTGGAGTCTGAGCCCCTAGGGTTCTACCTAGTGCTTTATTTTACTGTGACATCCAAGACAAAGTCCTATACTTACTTGCTTCTCTTTCACCCAAGTACACTGTATCTCTCTCCATTTTGTGTTGCCTGGAGGGGGAAAAGGAATGACACGGATAATGCAAAACTTTTATTTCTACTCTCGTCAATGTATCTTTTATTATTATTGTGCTATAATTAGGTAATGTGATCTCTCACCTGACTTTATTAGCTCTTGTGGAGGTACTTTTGTGTGTAAAGAGTTGTTCAAATTGATATTTCTGCAAGGGCATGATCACCAAATAGTCCTATGCTACCATCTTGCTCCACCCTCCTCTGAAGCCAATGCTTTCTTCTTTAATTGGTCTCTCTTGACTTGCGGTTAGGAGAAACCAGGCTGAACATCGAATATTTTGTTTAGAAATCTCCTCAGCTAAATATCTAAGTTTATTACTTACAAGTTACACTTCCCACAAAACACTAGAACACAATTTGGCCAACTTATTTTCCACTTTATAACAATTAATGACTTTCCTCCAATTTCCAATAGTATGCTCCTCATTTGTCTGAAACCTCATCAGAGTATCTTTAACTTTTAAAGTATTTTGTTCAACATATTTCTACTAATATTCTGCTCATGATGACAGTTGTATCATGAGAGAAGTTTTCTTTATAAAATTCTTCTTTTGTTTTATAAGCCCTTATCATAATCATTCATAGCATCTATATTTCTACCAACCATCTCTTCAAGGCAATCTAGGATTTTTTTTTCTAATATGTAACTCAAAGCTCTTCAACTTCTATTCATTATCTGATTCCAAAGCCCCTTCCACATTTTAGGTATTTATTACAAAAAAGTACCCCATTTCCCAGGATCAAAATCTATATTATTTTGATAAGGCTGTCATAACAAATTTCCACAGACTGGACTGGATCTGATGTTTTAAACAATAGCAATGTATTTTCTCACAGCTCTGAAGGGTAGAAGTCCAAGATCAGTATTTCATTAGAATTAGTTTCTTCTGAGGCTTTTCTTTTTGGCTTGTATATAACTGTTTTTCCCCCTATTTTCAAATGGTTGGTGAGTGTCTGTGTCCTAATTTTCTCATCCTGTAGAAACAATTGGATTAGGACCCATCTAATGCCTTAATTTTCACTTAATTATCTATTTAAAGACCCATCTCCAACTACAGTCACATTCTGAGGTACTGGGATTTAGGACTTTATCATATGAATTTTGAGAGAACAGAATTCATCTTATTATATAAGAATTTTGTTCCTTCCAAGGAGATTTTAAATTCATTGAGAATAGTGGTTATCTCATATACTTCTCTTATGCTTATCCCTTTCTTGAACTAATAGCTAATCAGTGTGTAAGCATTGATAATGATGATTTGGAATAACATATAACCATTATTTATTTTATGTATAGTGTAATTTTGCAAAAAAAAATTTCAATTTAGTGTGTTTTGGTTCCTGGTATGACCATGTGAAGGGCTGGTGGGAAAAGAAGAAAGATTATCGTATCCTTTACCTATTTTATGAAGACATGAAAGAGGTAAGAAGTAACTGCATTTTATTATTTGTTTTTGAAAGAAAGAAAAGATTCATCTTCTTTGCATAATACTTTTGTTTCCTCTATGTCTGTAAATATGACTAACTTACCATTCTTTCAATTGCAGCTTGAAAATGGATGTTTTATGCATCCACATCTTTCTAGCACCACTGCCTCCCCTCTACTTTAGACATCTAAATTTCTTTGGACAACCTCATCTTTCATTATCCATCCATAAAGAATAATATTTTAAAATTGTAAATCCTAATATGCCACTCCATGCTTCAAATCTCTTAATGGCTTTGGTCCCTACCTAAAATATAAAATAATAATTAAGAGCATACATAGAGTGACATTCTTTCATCCCCATCTATTTCTACAACCTCTTCTTATGCCACCTTTCCTTAACTCACTGAGTGTACCTGAAAAAATTTATTTACTAATTTTCATTTAACCTTTTTTTATTCTTAAGATCTTTGTCATGTGAACTTTGTGAGTCATACTTGCATTCAAAACTGAAGTCTCTGTCAGGTAAAACTGTTACTGTAGTCTACCTTCCTTAATTTGCTTAAGGTCCAGCAGCCCTCACTCAGTCTCATCTTGGTCCCTTAGATTTCTCTAAATTCCTTTAAGATAGCTGTTACTCTCATTTATCTCTAATTTGATAAATCTGTTGTACATCTCAAGAGAAACCACCTGACTCAGCTAAGATATCTGCCTCTGGCAGGTTCCTTAGTCAAATTTTCATCATCTTCTGCATCCTGCTTAAACTACTTTGTACCTGTCACTCTGAATGACAGTGAGATACTGTATTGGTCAGTTTTTGCATCATGATAAATACCTGTGGCTGGGTAATTTATAAAGAAAAGAGGTTTAATTAGCTCGTGGTTTTGCAGGCTGTACAGAAAGCATGCTGCTGGCAGCCTGCCTCTAGTGAGGGCCTTAGGAAACTTACAATTATGGCTGAAGAGGATGAAGACCCAGCATGTCACATGATGAAAGTGGGAGCAAGAGAGAGAGTGGGGAGGTACCACACACTTTTAAACAACTAGATCATGGGAGAACACACTCAATATTTTGAGGACAGAACCAAACCATTCATGAAGCATCTGTTCCCATGATCCCAAACACCTTCCACCAGGCCCCACCTTCAACATTGGGGATTACATTTCAACATGAGATTCGGAAGAGACAAGTATCCAAACTATGATATATCAGATGTTATTCTATTTATGGGTCAAGAAGCAACAAGAGGCCAGGCGCGGTGGCTCACGTCTGTAATCCCAGCACTTTGGGAGGCCGAGGTGGGTAGATCAGGAGGTCAGGAGATCCAGACCATCCTGGCTAACACGATGAAACCCTGTCTCTACTAAAAATATAAAAAAAAATTAGCCGGGCGTGGTGGTGGGCGCATGTAGTCCTAGCCACTCCGGAGGTTGAGGCAGGAGAATGGCGTGAACCCGGGAGGCAGAGCTTGCAGTGAGCTGAGATCGCGCAACTGCACTCCAGCCTGGGAGACAGAGAGAGACTCCGTCTCAAAAAAAAAAAAAAAAAAAAAGCAACAAGAAGTGTCTGGGTCTATAAGAGGGTAAGAATTATATTGAAAGAAAACTTTTCTACGTTGGGCCATTATAAGGTCTTCAAGCAAAGGAATTTTAGTCTCCTCAAATATGAGAAGGGAATCTACATGTGCTACATGTGCTGGAAGAGAACTTCATAATTACTCAAGGGTTTATGATTCTCTGTGTCATCAAATCAACAAATATTCACATTCTGAGCTTGAGCATTCCATCCTTCATCATTCTTAAATTTAACTTTCACATGTTAGACTTGGAACAACTGTGAATTCAACTTCTACAAATTAAGGTTTGTGTCTAATTTTCAACAATTGCAGCTCTGTGACTACAAGAAACAGATTTTTTAGGGCCATTCATAGAAACTCTCTGGTTCTGTTTCATTGAATTGACATGAGTCACTCAGGAAAGCTAAGTCTCAGGTTGTCTTTCTGCTTGATCTTGCTAGGTAATTAAGGTTATGGCTTTATGCCTCAGTTTGATTTGAAACACTGAGAAGAACACCCACCTGACAGGTAGCAGGGCACAAACTCTGTCTAGAATGTCATGCTTCATTGTATCTAATATGCCTTCCTATGTCCAGTCTGAAGCACAGAGAAGGGAAACCTTAAGAAATACATCAAATAAATATCTCTTATTCCTTGCTGTCTTTATCTTCCCCGCCATTCTTTAGGTTAGAAAATCGTCACACCAGTTAGAATGGCGATCATTAAAAAGTCAGGAAACAACAGGTGCTGGAGAGGATGTGGAGAAATAGGAACAACTGTAAACTGGTTCAACCAATGTGGAAGACAGTGTGGCAATTCCTCAAGGATCTAGAACTAGAAATACCATTTGACCTAGCCATCCCATTACTGGGTATATACCCAAAGGATTATAAATCATGCTGCTATAAAGACACGTGCACACGTATGTTTATTGCGGCACTATTCACAATAGGAAAGACTTGGAACCAACCCAAATGTCCATCAATGATAGACTGGATTAAGAAAATGTGGGGGAGGGGGGAGGGATAGCATTAGGAGATATACCTAATGTAAACGACGAGTTAATGGGTACAGCACATCAACATGGCACATGTATACATATGTAACAAACCTGCATGTTGTGTACATGTACCCTAGAACTTAAAGTATAATAAAAAAGGTAAAGAGATTTTCAAATATAAAATTTCAAATATATATAAAAAAAGAAAATGGACAATACTTTATTTTACTTTCCATCTTATATACTCATACTATCAAATAATCTATGTAGGTATGAGAGGTAGAGAATCTTCTTTCCACTATAAGAGAATTCTTGAGATAGGTATCAATTCTTGATGTTAAATTTGCTTAATAAAGTAGATTAACAGATCTTAAAAATTATACCTAATGATAATAACAGGTTGCTCTGTTACCATTGGTTATTCTAAAGGTGAATTCTATTTTTGAATTTGAAAGTTTGGGTATTAACCTAATCTTTTTCTTTGCAGTTTAAATATTTCTTTTAGCAGATGGTTTGCTTGGTATAATCAAGAATAGAATATGTACTTAGAAAAGCAAAATTTAAAATGCACATAAAAATCTAAAATTATTTTATCTATTACTTTGTCATATGTAGAACCTTGGTAAATGCATTCTCTGCTTCATGACCAAATCTGCCTGAAATGATTATTTTTCTCTATAATTTCTTTATAATCCTAAGTGTGAAATTCAGAAGGTGTTAAAGTTTCTGGAGAAAGACAAGCCAGAAACAATTGTGGATAAAATCCTCCATCACAGCTCTTTTGATGTGATGAAGCAGAACTCTTGTACAAATTATACTACTATGGGAAAGAATGAGATGGACCATTATGTGTTTCCCTTCATAAGGAAGGGTGAGGCCATCATATACTGGTTTCTGTACAGCTTGCTATTGTGATCATGGAGAGAGTAGATAACAGCAATATTGTAGGAAATGGAAAGAAATTTGGTATACTTGGGAGAGAAAAATGGAAAACTAAACAAAACAAAAAAATTTTAGAGGAAATAATCTGTGGCAAAGAAATTCTTTTTTCTCAGGAAGTCTAACATGTAAGACAAGCCTTCTAATGAGAAATATTTACTAAAAAGCATGTGTATCAATAAGCATGAGTGTTGGCACCCATTTCTATGTCAGAAGAATGCCCTTTGTCTGAATCATCTAGATACCCTCTACATTCCTTAAAAATTTTACTGTGTTAGGTAGCTAGCTTAAATAATGTTAGGCATACTAAATTAATAAAAGAGTGTCCACTCCTTGAATTTGTTGCTATGACTATGGTAAATTATTCATTCCTCATTAAAGAATCTCAGTGGCATAAAACCACACATTTCATTTCTCATTTCAGTAACATGTTGGTGGATACTAGTCACCTATGGCCACTGCACTGAGCTCTCCTGGGCTCAGCTTCCTGGATCTTCTCTTTCTGAAACCCAGGCTGAAATTGCTGCCCATATGTGGATTATGCCCAATATCATGATAGAGAGAAAGAGCAAGAGAGTCAATGAAACTTATAATATCTTTTGAAACTTCTTTTCAGATGTGGTGTATGTCACATATATTCAAAGTTCATTGGCCAAAGCATATTAGAAATCCAAGCTAAGTTAAGGAGGCAAGGAGGAATTGCCTAACACATGATGGTGAACAGGGATGTAAAATCTTCTTATGGTAAAGAAGGGAGTAAATAATTGTTTGCAGTAAAAAAATTTAAGACATTTTTTGAGAGACAGGTGTTTTGGCTATAGGCTATAAAGTGTAATGGTAATTATAATGTGTTTTCATAGGTCTCGATTTTTTTTCATTTTAATTAGGAAGTATGCCATGGGTAAGTATTGCTGGGAATATCTGGATCTCGGCCAGGTACAATTTTGTCTTTCAGGAGATGTTTGGCAACTTCTGTAGACATTTTTGATTGTCACAACTAGGAGGAGACTGTTGGCATTGCATAGAGGCTAGGAAAGCTGCTAAACATCCTACAATGCCCAAGTCAGTTCTCCCTTCCCCCAGCAAAGAATTGTCTGGCTCCAACTTTCAACAGTGAATATTTAAATCAATTAAGTAAAATGCCAAAGTTGAGAAACCCTGAGCCAGACTGACATAGATATTTAGACATTTTTCCCTGTTTTTTCCTACAACCAGGCTTCCAACTATATCTCTGCATTACCCTGCGAGATATTCTATGAAAATGGCATTAATTTTTCTTATCAGATATTTATTGTAAATGCTATGTCCTATATCCTTCCTGTAAGGTTTTTGATAAGGATAACATTTTGAAGACTGGGAAATTCTGTGGTTAAAAAAAAAAGTTTAATTGCATTTAACCCAGCAATGTCCAATCTTACTTGACCATAAAACTTTTTTTCATAAATTATCATTTGACATGGGGAAACATGTATATATATATATATATATATATATGCTTATATGTATTTATACATATATTTATATATATTTATATACATTTATATATTTATATATGTGTGTGTGTGTATATATATATATATTTATTTATTTATTTTGAAACAGAGTCTCGCTCTGTCCCCCAGACTGGAGTGCAGTGGTGTGATCTTGACTCACTGCAGCCTCCACTCTTGGGTTCAAGTGATTCTTCTTCCTCAGCCTCCCAAGTAATTGGGATTTAGGCACATGCCACCACACCTGGCTGATTTTTGTATTTTTATTAGAGATGGGGTTTCACCATGTTGACCAGGCTGGTCTCGAACTCCTGGCCTCATATGATCTGCCGCCTCGGCCTCCCAAAGTGCTTGGATTACAGGTGTGAGCCACCACGCCCAGCCAGAAAACATAATTTTAAAAGGACTAAAAAGTCCTTTATATCTTTTGTTAAGAAAATTCTTGAAGCCAAAGAATCGAGATTTTGAGATGTGTTTTTTTCCCAGTGACATTTCTATAAGCTATTTAAGGGATTGTTTATTTACACAGGATACTGAAAAAATCTGTGGGAATTTTTTGAAGATTAACAAGGTCTAGAAGTATGGGAGTGGAAGTTTAGGATGAGAGATATGGCACCGATATGATGTCCAAAAGTTAAAGGGGTAAAAATAAAGGGTATAGTAATTTAAATTAAAACTTGTTTCAGAAGAAACATTTTACAGTAGTCTCAAATGTGTTATTTTATATTTCTTTTTAGGTGTTTCAGGAGACTGGAAGAATCAATTCACTGTAGCCCAGTATGAGAAATTTGAAGATTATGAAAAAAAAATGAAAGAGTCCACACTGCAGTTTCGATCAGAAATCTAAGAAGCACCTGCTTTTTCTCAATCTCCTTTAGTTAGCACTTAATTTATAAGAAAAAAATCTTTCCTGTGTTTGGTAAAGGAAAATTCAGTAGTGATGTATTTCTTATTTACCCACATTGTTTGTAATGGAATAATAAAAAAATTGCAAAGTCTACATAGGAAAACCCAATAATATCTCTATGATTTTAATTTCTTTCCACTCTGTTTTGGCTAGCCTTACAAATGAAAGTATAAAATGAAGTTTAAAATCTACAAAGTTACCCTATTTTTCAAATCTAATTCTGAATTGCTAGACTTGCCAAGAAGACATTTAGGCCAGTTTTCAAGATTAATGGATCAGAACAAAAAAAGGCTTAATTTCTCTCTGTTCTATGCTGAGAGTAATCCCAGCGTAATATAAGTTTGACAACATCTTTGTACAAGAAATTCACTGAAATTTATTGCCCTAGAATGGTTTACTATAGATTAAATTTTGAATAGTTTATTATTCATAGTATTTTACTGTCATATTTTATATGTTAATGATCTAAAATAACACCAAACAAGTAATCGGAAAATGTGTTGAATGAAGTATTGTTTGCATAGTAATGTGTTATCTACTGACAGAGAGAAAAATCAGTTAGTTATAATGATATTAAAGTGATTAAAATGTATTAAATACCTCTTGTGCAGTAACCCTGAATGCAAAGAACTTTAAGTCAGGTGAGAGACAAAAAGACAACGTGGGGAAACTTTGTCCCTTCTGCTAAATTTTGCTGTGAACCTAAAACTGCTTTAAAAAAATAAGAGTCTCTCAAAAAAAAAAAAAAAAAAAACAAAATAAAAATGTATACACAGAGAAATAATTATGAGAGCTTACAAAACAGCCACAATACTAGCAGCTGACATTTACTGAGTACTTAAATTGTGCCGCAAACTATGCTATACAATTTACATAGCTTTAGTTCAACTGACATCCATTCAAGTCTTTAACATATATATTTTAATTTTTCCTAATTTTACTGAAAGTAAACTGACAGAGAGGGTAATAAATACCCAAGCACACACGTAAAATATTCAGTAAAAGCATGGAGAAAGAATAGTTTGATTTTTTATTTTATTTTTTTAAGAGACAAGGTCTCACTATGTTGCCCAAGCTGGAGTGCAGTGGCTATTCACAGGCATGATAATTTTGCCACTGCGCCTGGCCTTTCTTCATAATGGGTTAAGAGTCTCAGTTTCTCACTCTTATTCCCCTAAACCCTTAGTAGGTATCCTGTCTCTTTTATGTTCTCATATATCTGCCATTGCAGGTTAATCAGATCTTCTAATTTATAGCTAATTCAGATGTGACTACATTTACAAAGACAGCTGAAAATCCTTCCTGACATGAAAATAGCAGATCTCATATCTTCTATGGGACTGTTTACTGCTCTAATCTAGCAATCTCCCAATCTTCTGAATTATTCACCATTGCAATAAAAAGTTTTGAGTACTCTCCAAAAATATACACACATTCATTTCTTGGAAATTACACATATGTATGTTGTATGAATATATTAATCATATTGCGGAATGCACATAAATAAAAATAAAAAGAACATAAAAAAAGAATAATCTAGAATATATTTTTATTAACTATAAAAAGTACATTTATTCTCACTAAAATATTTTAATTGTTATACTTTAGAATGAGAAAAATGTGATTAAAATGTCTTTATTAATTTAAAAAATCTTGGTTTGACACCTTGATTTGGAATTATGGTTCTAAATTCAAATTATTTCAGCACTTTGTTGCAGTGAATATAAAAATAAAAAAAGGCATAAATGAAAGAATTGCAAATTTTCCTATGCCTACTAAAACTTATTTGCCTTTTCAGAAAAGGTTTTTGCTGAAATATGGTAAATTCCTTTCTATCTTTGTTCTGTCTTTATGCAACATATCATTCATGTTGCGTTTTTTTTTTTTGTTTCTAACAAGGAAGATCAAAACCTACTGAAAGTCCATGAACATTTCTAAATGAGTTAAATAACTATGTTGTTTTCCAGTTTTTGGAAATGCATTTATATTAGTATTTTTAAATAATACATTTACATTATTTTCACCATCAATTTCCAAAATTTTCAAAAGTCCTTCTCCTTAGTTCACTTTTGAGTTATGTTTTAGGAAGTCCTTATTATCCTATTCATTGTTAATATTAAATTTCTCTGAAATCATAAAACTGACAAGCAGTTTTTATCGTAAAGAGCAATTTGAAAGGACATTTTTAAGGATACATTTTAAAAATGGCAAAACTTTTGTGCTTAAATATTTGTATGATTTATCTTCATCTTTTTAAAAGGTAAAATTTGTTCTTCCTTTAGAGCATTGTGTTTATAAAATTAGTTATATATATGATAACCAATTTTCTGCAAACAGTCACCCACTTCAGTGGCTGAAAGTAAAACAAGACAAAACAGTTGAAAATGCCACTGTCAATTCTTCTGTCTTCTTGGAACTCCCTTTTTTTAGAATATTGGTGGTACTACTGCACATACTTCATAATCATCTGACATAGGGAACAAATGAGGATTCTAGTGTGAATGTGCAAATTGTATTGGAATAAATATCAATTTCTTTCTTATTTTTGTCATTACATATCATTATATATTATCACTATATATGTATAATTATATATAATCACTATATATGCATAATTATATATAATCATTACATATATGTATAATTACATATAATCATATAAACTGGGGACTGTCTGTATGCATATATGTGTGTGTGTGTGTGTGTGTGTGTGTAAACAGATGGTCCCCAAGTTATGAGGGTTTGACTTAACGATTTTTCCACTTTACGATGGGTTTATCATGATATGGTCCCATTGTAAGTTTAGAGTTCTTTAAAAATTACAATGGAATTGCAGTTGCTATTGAATGAATAACACATTCTGCATCATAATAAAATTGAAAAATTGTAAGTCAAACCATTGTAAATTGGGGACTATCTGCTCTTTGCCAGAATTCAGTGCATTTTCAACTTACAATATTTTTTATTTATGATGGGTATATCAGGATGTAGCCTCATCATAAGTAGAGAAGTATTTGTACATGAATAAAATATATATCTATGCACATGTATTTATAGAAAAATCAATTAACATTTTCTTCTTGAACCACATTTTATGAACCTAGGTACTCTTTGGAGTGTATGTATGATACTTTAAAGAACAATCCTGTAAATCACAGATAATTCTTTACTTGTTATCTGCCTTTCAGGAACATTTATCAACTAGTTTTCTCTTCAATTCTTTACTGCCAACATATTATTTTCAAAGGTTCCACATTAAACTACCTTTTAGTGACTAAAAGTTTCCCATTACTTTTTACTCAGTCTCTCATGGTCTTAGAACCTAGGTTTCTGAAGGTTGTTGTCTCTGGCATTTAGATTACCACCTAGACAGAACTTACATTAAATAAACTCAAATTAACTCTTTAACTTAATCTGGTGTTATTTTATATCTTAAGATATCATGACTGACATAGGAAATATAATCAAGCTGATGATGTCAAACTATCTCATTTCCCCTTTATGGCTAGCTCAGATACATTAAATGTTAAAAGAATGAGCCAACACAACTAATTCTGTAGCATCTAAAGCAAGGAAAGTTAGGGTAATCTAATCATTTGTGTTCTTCATGACACATATTGAAGCTATTGTAAAATTCAACTGCTGTGTCTGGTGATATTTGTTCAAGATATTCCCATCAATGACTACCTTTTTGTTCACAACATTTGAATCAGATTTGAATCACCTCTGTCAGGGTCTCCATATACAATGAATCACATTTCAGTCAGACCTCTTCTCTTCTTCATTTGGCTTCCAGCCCACATCAGGGTGCTTCTGCTATATATCATTGCTCCCTCTGGCATTAAATAGCACTAGTTGAGATACAAATCCTTCTATCCAAGATTCACTATTGAGGACTAAAAATTATTGATACACAAAACAACTTGAATGGATATCAACGGAATTACCCTGAATGAAAAAAAAAGCTAATCTCAAAAGGTAAAATACTGTATGATTTTATTTATATAACATTCTTGAAATGGAGAACCAATTACTGGTTGCCAGAATTTATGAAAAGGTTAGAAGGGAAGTAGATATAATTATAAAGGAGCAACCTGAGGGATACTGTAGTGATAGAAATAGTCACATATTAACTGTATACATATTCTGGTTTTGATATTGTACTACAGTTTTGCAACATGTTACCACTGGAGAAAACTGGGTAAAGAGCATTTGTGATTTTGTGTAATTTTTAAAACTTCATGTAAACCTACAATTATCTTAAAATTTTATTAAAAAAAAACCCAGGCTGGGTGTGGTGCTGACACCTGTAATCCCAGCACTTTTCATGGCGGAGGCAGGGGGATTGCTTGACAGCAGGAGTTTGAAACCAGATTGGGTAACATAGCAAGGCCCTATCTCTACAATAAATCAAAAAAACAGAATTAGCTGCGGGTGGTTGTGTGCACTTGTCATCTTAGATACTCAAGAGGCTGAAGTGAAAGGATTGTTTGAGCCCAGGAGTTTGAGGCCACAGCGAGAGGTGATTACACCACTGTACTCCAGCTTGGGTGGCACAGTAAGACCGTATCTCTAAAATATTATACAATAAAATGAAAATAAATAAAGAACAATTTTAAGCAAGTGATGGTAATTATAGCCTAAAATAAAGCCTAGTGAAAGAAAACTACTTATGGTAGCATTTAAGAGGGTTCTAAACCTTGGTAAAGGACATCTTTAGGGCTTAGAAAGCCCTAAAGTGAAACACATCTGCTAGTTACTGGGTATTTGGTTAGCTGAGCACAGGGTTCAGCTGGCTCTCAGCCCTGGGGATACAGAAATGAATATGCTGTACTTTTAAAATATTAACTTTAAAGTATTAAAAAGATTAAGTTTCCAACACATGAACTCTGAGGGACATATTCAAACCTTAGCACTTGCTGAAGAATGTTCTTGATTGACACAGCAGAAATCTATCTTTTAATGTGCGTTTTATTTGGCTTCCTGACTAGGAATATTCTACTATTCTACTCTGAGCCCAGAGAAGTAGATGACAGGGTCTGAATCTATAATGTGGAAAAAGAGAAAATAATAGTCCATGAACACTAAGCTGTCACTCATATTCTGGGGAATGTAGACATTAGATATTCCCAAAGCTAATCATATAGTTACTATAGAAACCAAATAGTTCCTAAATTGTATAAAGGGGACTTTTCATAGCAAAGACCTTACTGCAAAGAATGAATCCTGATACCTTCTAAATTTCATTAGCATTATATTGGCTATAACCCAAGAACTCTGCACTTCCCATGGTGAAATTTTTATATTAAAAAGACAAATTTCTCTTAAGTCTGACAGTGACCTAAAATTAGATCAATGATCAGATAATTCCATGTGATTATCAAGTGCTAACTAGCTTAACTTCATCTATACCCTGAAATATTTAATTCCTTTAGAAAGCTTGACCATATTCAGTGCCTCACTCCAACGTACTAACTGATTTATAACTTTAGAAATTATGGAAAGCTTCTCATATGTTAGTACCACACAACTGAAGGAGTCAACATTCTTGCCTACTTGCTTGCACCTGCTATTAGATATTTTTATTATCCCTACTTGTTTTTGGTTTGCATGCTTCCCATCCATGCCTTTCTTTTAGTGTGTGGCTCAGCTTTGGCTTCTAACAGATAATTCTGATCCATGGCTTTGCCCCTCAGAATTTGAATAGGACTGTACACTACATTACTTGTGTTCTATTGACTTGTCCATAATGACTATATGTGGCAGCTTTTTGCCCCCAGGTCAATCTTATTATTATTTTATCTGGTCATTCAAGCGTCATCTATTTCAGGACCCACTCACTGTTTTGTGTCTGAATTGCTTTCACTCCATGGATGTAAACCTGAAGACTATACAAGATTTTATTGTATTTAGCGCCCAATGAATAAAGAGTATTCTAGGTTTGGTGAGAGATTAAGAAAAAAGCTACTGTTAAAAAAGAATAATAAATCATAGGCACAAAATATGTGACATAAAATAAGTAGAAAAAAGAAAGGGAATGTAACTATTATTAGTATCATACCAGGAGTATCACAAAGATGTCATTTGGTCAATAGATATTCTGTACATGGCAAAATCCTCTCTGCCTTCCACTGAATATGTGCATAGAACTCTTTCAGCTAAAAATAAAAATAATCTTTACTTCCAGCACTTCTAGGCTCTTCCCATACTACATACTCTCAAGAAAGAGACTCCCTACTTATTTGGAGAATCGCTGGTTTCAGGGATGAGGAAATTTCCCAGATATATAAAAATAATTTTTCTTACAATAGAGATTAGCATTTAGCTTTGCTTATTGGGTTTGGTTTCTTTTGTCTCTTTGGCCCAAAAGCTGCTCTCACTACAAAGACTTTGGGCAAGGATCCAGGCAGCCTCTTTTTACCTCATGACCCAGTATTCCCTGAGTGTGGAAAAACAGCCACACAACTATACAGTCTCTTCAGAATGGAACATAGAGAGGTGAGAGGGATTAGGGAGTAATCATTTTGCCACAAATCCACAAAACCAAGGCATGCATTTAGGATGTTCTTGTTGCTTTGCAATAATTATGCTTCCCATCATAGTTGGGGAGAAAAGGAAGTCAGGGTGCAGGGAGTTAGTCATCCCAGAAAAAGAAAGCAAAATTGACCCTTCAAAAATGATATAAAATAAAATCCAGTTTAAGTGATCACATTCATGGTTGTGAATCCTGTGCCTCTCTCATATTTTACATATTTTACATACGACTTGACTCTCTAATTATACCAGGGTTCAATACATGATTTCTGTGAAGATTGCCTCTGTATGTATGTGAAGAATTCTTGATTTAATATCCTGTATCTGACATAAGGTTAGGCCAAATATTCTTCTCGGTAGTTTGACATTTCCATTATTGTTTTTGGCATAGCAAATTCAGGAAAATAATACCTGTTAGCGCTATGGTGGCCTTACAATAATGTTCTCACATTATTCAGTTACATATAAAGTAGTGAGTGAATGATTTATCATTAATCCCTCATAAAAAGGAGAATTAATGTAAGCTGATTAAAGAGATTGAGTTCCCAGGGAGAAAAAAAAATCTGTACTCAGGTTGTTCCAAAAGGAAAAGGAATATATCCCTGTTGAGGTATAAAGACTTTGTCTTTTAAGCCAGAGGGGGTAAATCTTTTCCTTATTTCCTAAGGCAAGGTTCATTGCCTTTTTGTTCTTCTTAATTACCTTTTTACGTCTCCTTGATTACACCTTTTCCATCCTTAGAGCAACGCTTCTCAGTGCATTCTCCAATGTAAAATCAAATGTCCTACCTATTTTGAAAGTGCTGCTTTGCATCAATTCTAAAACTTCTACTGTATGTTAAGTATGAAATTCTAAAAATTATTCAGACTTTCTCTGTTCATAGCTTAGAATATTACATAGTTGCCTGCCTGGCTTAGAAATGTAATTACTTCCTGCCTGCCTTAGAAATACAATTACTTCCAACAAATTTTCTCATTATTTTAGATTTTTTTAACTGTGTTCCTCTAATCAAGTGAAACATGCAAACAGGAAATTTATTCTTCCTAGGTTAAAAAAAAATACGTATTTTGAAATGGGAAAGCTATCCACAATGTGGCAAGCAAGGGGCATGTTTCAGCCCTGTTTGTGTTACAGCACTTCTTTTAGACTTGCCATTCAGTGGGTCCTGAGTTACTGTCCTGTAACCAGGAAGAATGAGGTATGCAGACAAATGGAGAATGAGCAAGATGAAGAGGAGCTTTATTGAGCAATAGAACAGCTCAGAGAAGACCCACAGTGGGAAGCTTCTCTTTGTAGCCAAGTTGTCCCGACAAGTGTTCAGCTCCTAGCAGAGAAGGTAGCTCTTCTCTGCAGGCAAGCATCCCAACAAGTTTCAGCTATCAGCAGAGAGCTTAGCTTCTCTCTCTGCAGCTGGTCATCCCATCCTCTCTCCATCCTCTCCTCTGCTCTGGCTGAGCCTGGGGGTTTTATGGGCCTCAGTGGGGGAGAAAGTGTGCATTGACTGATCCATGGGCAGCCATGGGCAGGCCTGGAAAAGGCACCACAAGTCCCTACTTTAGTTTGAGCAACTACCAGCCCAGCTCTGTTGGCTTGAAGTTGGGCCTCACTGGGGACTGGTCCCCTTCCACCCAGGAGCCAATCTGTTTCCTGCTGCTGTCCATGGCATCCAGGCTGCTTGTGCCAAGGGGCATCTGCAGGCCAGCGCCAAGCAACCCTCTGTCCCACCAATCTGGTTCCCCTTCACCCCCCAAGACACACACCTGCCCAAGGTGGCAGGGCCTGAGGGTGCATACACCCAGCCAGGCTGTGACAGTGACTGGGCTTGGCCCCAACTCTGCTTCAAGATCAGAGTGGGCACTGGGAGTGCAGAGAGGCCAGCCAGTAGGAGCAGGCACTTCTGAGCCAGCAAGGGAAGGATGGTGCCTTCCTGGACCCATAAGAGCACACAGAGGCCCGGTTCTACAACCCTGACTGGAAGGGCAGGGCTGCGGCCTGCTCCCAGCTCCTACTGGCTCCACGGAGCATGCATTCTGGCTGTGCCCCTGTGCAGCCTGGGCCGGGAGCTCCATATCCTCACTGGAGCAGGGCCTGCATTCGGGGCATGGGCAACATTGCCAAGAGCTTCCCCTATTTCCCGGGTGCTCCCAGGTGGCCCAGGATGGAGCAGATCGTGGGCTGCAGGCCCTGGGCCCAGCCATCGGGGGTGTCAGGCTCAGCAGTCACCCATGGCAGGGCAGAACCCAGGGATGTGACTCCACACAGAGCCTCCTCTACAGGCACAGGAACCAGGCACCCTTGGAAGGGTGGGTGCAGTTGCTGCGCCACTGGCCATGTCCCGTAAGCAGTCACTGCTCCCAGTTCCCACCCCTGGTCCCAGAAGCATGGCCCCAGCTCCACACCCCAGGCTTCGCCCCCGTGGTCCATGTGCAAGTGCCGCACAGCCCCAGGCCCAGCTCCGCCTTCGGGCCCCTCTCTTCCTGACTGCACTGCTCCCCCATCAGAGGTCAGCCCAGCCCAGCCCCATTGAAGCGGCCCCAAGGGCTGTGGGCTGTGGGATGGCTGGCCACCTCCTTCCCATGACCTCCCTGCAGTGGCCAAAGTGATGGCAGCAGCTGCTCCAGATGGCCCTGGCTGCCATCATTTTGAATATACCAATATGTTATTTTTTTGGCTTAAAATATGCTAGATTTCAGACTTTTTTTTGTACAATAACAGTGGGACATCAAACACTTAAAATTGATAGAAAATACAATCGTCTTTCAACTGTGAACAAAATATGAATCACATTCTACATTATTGCTGTGAAGTACGGCTCTTCACACGGCTTTCCTCACACGGCGGTCCTCACAAGGGGCACCGGTTGAGGTATTGCTCTTCACACTTCCTTCGCAGCTTGCCCCACGAGGGGCTCTATCTGCGGGGAGTCTGTTTCTGCAGACCCCTAACGTTCCTCACACGGTTCCTCACATGGTTCCTCACACGGGGCACCAGTTGAGGTGGCACTCCTCACACTTGAGGGCATCAGCTGCGGGAGTCTGCCCGCAGACCCTGACCCAAACGACGGATGAATAAAACATACACTGACACACAGATGTTCTGCTTTGCCAGTCCTGTTTAGTGTCCGGCCGCCTACACACCAAGAGAGGTTTGTCACTGCGGCCGAACCTGAGCAGTTCACAATTCAGGCATTTATTTAGTATACAATTAACAACAGAAGCTTTGAAGTCAACACACTTGTGGATAAGTAATGGTTAAGAGAGTATTTCTAAGAGCGATTAAAGCTCAGGTGTCCGCGGTCTAAGGTAAATACCATTAGGGGGCAATATGCCTAGTAGACCTCCCCCCAGAGGGCCATCTGGCTCAAAGGTTAGTTAATGGAGGTAGGGTAAACAGACTTAACTGAGGGAGCCTCTATTGTCCCTAGTATTTACCCTATGACCTAATGCTTTAAGGTAAGAACCGGCTACCTTCAGCCTGTTCAATTATTACAAGCTATGTAACCTTTTGGCCCTCCAAAATGTTTGTGACTGTTCCCTATAACTTTCCCTCATATTTCCCCTTAATATTTCTGCCACCATCCTGAGTGAATCCCAACATAGCTGCGCTATAAACACAGCATCCACAGTAAAGAAAACAATGCTATGAGCTATAATAACCACACACTCAAAATTTCCCATAATAGCTTTCATTTCAGATATTTTTTTTCTTTCCCTCATATGTATGTGAGTAGGTTTTAGGCTATGTCACCAGTATTTTGATTCAGAAAACAATGGCACTGCACTTACAATTCTTAGACTTAGAAGAAAAATAACACTGTAGGCATTAAAATATTCAGTATTGTCCATTTACATCACTCAGTTGGAATGGAAGTGTTCAAATGGTTTTATCTGAAATGTACATTTAATGTAAAACATTTGATATACAAATGATGTGAAGGGACTTTTATTGATAAATACAGTAATCTATGATTTTAATATTTAAGTCCTTTTTAAATCTCAACTATTCTAAAGTTAGAAAAATCATCAAGAGCTCTAATTTAAGATGAAGGAATTTTAATTGACTGGAATTAGCAGAATTAGTGGTTGAGTCATTGAGCTTGGCATGATCCTGATCTCTACTAAAAAATGAGATAGTTTTGCTTTGAGTATCTCACAATCAACTAAGACAAATAATAAGACAGTTACTCTGATATCATTCTAAGTACAGCCACATGATGCTTCTAAAGGTAAAATGAGAATATAAGGAATAGATATTTAAGGTTAAGATTGTAAGTGATTGCTCAAAGTAATTGTCCTACTGTGTTGCAATGAATGGTATATAATCATTTTAATTGTGATATTAATTAATTCAGCAAACTAATAACCTACTGCTACGTAATTTTAAATAGGCACTCTCCAGTTGATAACTTGATAACTATAAAGTGTGCAACATGTTCCATAAATTCAATGATCATAAAAGATTAATACGTGTGTGTGTGTGCACAAGTACACACACAAAGTAAAGTAACTTCAGGCAATATCTTGTGATATTTATTGCCTATGCGGAATCCAAAGAAAGTAAATCAAAAACTAATGTTACTGCTAAGAAATAAAAACAGGAATAAAATATGTATGATATAATTTCATAATATTTTATCCAAAATAGCAATATTTACCAAAATTAAAGCTATGTAAATAAAGAGAATTCTGAAGGAATCATTGTCAGGAATTTTTCTCTAACGCATATTTTTCTATTTTTGATTTTCACTTCTTTCCATCAATCAGTTAATGAACATGGTGTCTATATTTTTATCGCTTTATTAGTCATTGTTAAAAGAACAAAAAAATGCAGAGCACATGACTTGTTTTTCTTTGGGGAGCTTACAAATGAATGCATCAAAATGAACTGTGAGACTACATATTAAATGTTCACTTGTGTTGTTCAAACATTACATATCTCAGGAATTCTGATATGTTATTTATTTCAGCTGTAAGAGACAGAGTGCATATTGTACACTGACACCCCTTTTGCCTCTAGAAAGAGAATGAGAAGAGTATTTTAATTTAGAATTTTAAAAAATTAATGTGTTCTAAACAGTTAAACTCTGCTTTGTATGTGGAAAGACAGGGACTAAGAAGATGTGGGGAGAATTACTAGAATCAGAACAATAGCTAGGTTAAAATAATATATATAAAATATTACATTCTAAAAGAGGAATCTATTTTTAAAATAATTGTAAAGAATTTGTGTGTGTGTGTATGTGTGTGGTGTGTGTGTGTGAGGGAGAGAGGGTGAGAGAGAGAGACAAAGAGACAGAGCATGCCGTGTTTTACACAGGGTCTCCCACAAGACTACTGCATGAAAACTGAGAAAGATAAATTTATCTTTCATTCCTTCCATTTCTTTACCTTCCATAGGGAGATAAAATTTATCAATAATAGAAACTAGCATTTGTCTGTTAGATCATTTTTAACAAGCATAGAATTACGCATAATTTATTGAACAATTTAAACCAAAAATTACTAACCTTATGAATCCTACACATTAGTATGGTCTGGGGGTTCTAATTTTTCAAAGCGAAAAAAAACATGTGAGATACTCTGTCAAAGAAAGTGGAAAGCATCTTACATTTAAAAAAATCTTAACCATGACCTTTAAGAAGTACCATATTTATGTAAATATGAGGTTTTATAACTTCAACTAAAAGTTATGGAGGTTCCTTAAATAATTTTAAGAAATTTGATCATGGCCAGATTCACTTTTTTCAAAGATAAGTTTAGTTACTATGGCTTATAAGTTAACATACCTGGTTATATTGGGAAAATTAGAAGATTACTGTAATGATATTAATCAAAATTGCGATGACTTATCTAAACAAACTGACAAAAGACTCATATAAAGGAAAAGATGGAAATAATAATGAATAATTGGAAATTCATTTTATTACCAGTATTCATGTTACCTTGATAATAGAAATTCACTCATTAATTTAGATCTTCTTAGTATCTTTACAGTTTCATATTTTCTCCATATTTCACATGATGTTATATTTATTTTTATTTTAATAATTTTGTAGATTATCAATATTTTAAACATAATCTATGTTTTGTTGATAGTGTGAAAATACAATTTCTTTTTGGTATGTTGTTCTTTAGACAACAAACTTGCCGAAGCATCTTAGTCATCTAATAATTGGTCAGTGTCATCTTTTTAGCTTTCCAATGATAGCATCTTCCAATGATAAAATTTTATTTTTTCATTCCAATTTATATGCATTATGATTTGTTTTCTTCTCTTATTTTAGCAGCAGAGACCTTTCACTATAGTATCATATGGCATGGTTTTATTGCCCTAAAAATCCTCTGTGTTCTGCCCCTTCATCCCTCCCTTCCCCTTAGCCCTTGGCAATTACTGACATTTTTACCATCTCCATAGTTTTGCCTTTTCCAGAATATTATATAGTTGGAATCATAGAGTATATAGCCTTTTCAGATTGACTTCTTTCACTTATTAATATACATTTAAGTTTTCTACATTTTTAATGGCTTGTTAGCTGATTTCTTTTAAGCATTGAATAATATTCCATTGTCTGGATGTACCATAATTTATTAATTCACCTACTGAAGGACATGTTGTTTGCCTGCAAGTTTTGTCAACTACGAATAAAGTCGCAATAAATACCTGTGTACAGGTTTTTGAGAGGAAATATTTTCAACTACCTTGGGTAAATAAAGAGCTAGATTTCTGGATCACGTGGTAAGCATATTTCTAGTTTTATAACGAATTGTCTTCCAAAATGTCTGTACAATTTTGCATTTCCACCAGCAATGAACTCAAGTTCTTATTGCTTTTCATCCTCTTAAGCATTAGGTGTTGCCATTCTAATATCTGTGTAGTGGTATATGCATTTCCATGATGACTAATATCTTTTCCTATGCCTGTTTCCCATCTGTATATCCTATTTGGTGAGGTGTATGTTAAGGTCTTTGGCCCATTTTTCATCAAGTTATTTGTTTTCTTATTCTTGAGCTTTAGGAATTCTTTGTACATTTTGTATAATAGTCTTGTATCAGCTATATATTTTTTGAAAATATATTTTTCCCATTCCATAGTTTGTCTGTTCATCTCTTGACAGTATTTTTAATAGGACAGAAACTTTTAATTCTAAAGAAGTCTAGCTTATTAATTATTTCTTTCAGGGATCATGCCTTTGGTGTCATATCCAAAAAATGTCACCATACTCAAGGTCATTTAGATTTTCTCCTATGTTATCTTCTAGGAGTTTTATAGTTTTACGTTTTACATTTAGATCTGTGATTCATTTTTGTTAAGTTTGGTGAAAGGTGTAGTAATGTCTGTGTCTAGTAGCCTACAATTTTAGAATGATCATAGCTTTCTAGTGAGTTGAAATATACATATATATATATATCACTATATGACCTGCTTTTCCATCGAAATTGTGTGTGTTCTTATTTTACCTGATGTTAATATGGCTAACATAATTTATCTTTGATTAGTATTTTGCAAGTATCATAACAGTCTTGAACTTTTAGTCTGTTTTTATGTTACAGGTATTTTACTCTAAAATACTTTTATTGTATTTTTTGATGTAATAGTCTATATTTTAGGTGGTAAAATTAAATCCTTTTAAATATTTTTCAAAAACATATACATTTGAATTTATTTCTACCATTTTATTTTATACTTTCTATTTGTTCTTATTTTATTCAACTCGTCTCCATCGTCTTCCTCTTTCTCCATTATTTCTTTATTCTTTTGAATTATTTTTTCTCTAATCTTATTTCTACCTCTACTTGTTTGGAAGTTATATGGTTTCTTTTTTTAATTTTTTTTTGTTTCAGTAGCTTCTCTCAAAATTATCCGTGTACAATTAACAAAGTTAAAAAATAATCATGGCACACGTTTACCTATGTAACATACCTACACATCCTGCACATGTACCCCGGAACTTAAAGTACAAGTTGAAGAAAAATAAACAAATAAATAAAAATAATCAAACTCTTTAAATTTTGCTTCTGAATAATAGAATAAAATTATAATTTGTCTTAACATGCTACATATCCCTTCAATTAACATTTTGGTGCACACAATTTGAATTTCACAGATATTTTCTCACAGTCCTAGAAATATGTTACTCTATACCTTCTGGCCTCTATTGTTCAATAGACAGCACTATGTTCTGAATGACTACTATGGTCTGAATATTTGTGATGATTTCTATTGCAAGCAACACTCCCAAAAGTGTACCCATGAGACCAGACTCCATTAGTGTTCAGCCAGAGCAATATTGGGAAAAGAAAAGATACAGCTTCATATTAAGGAAGTTCTAGTAATTATGAAGCGATATGTTTGACTTCACTCTCAACTCATAAACACTCCTCATTTTCAGACAGTGTCAGAGAAGGATAACATCTGTTCCTGCATGTTTCTGACAATCAGTTTGCATGATATCTGTGCCCTATTCACATCCCCTTGTTAGATAGCCGCTAAAGATTATAACAGGAAGCCTAACAAATCAAAACCGTAGCTTACCTCAGAAATTCATGGTATAGTTTTCTTTGAAAAGCAAATACATTTTTAATAAAATATAAGCCACAATTTCTAGAGGATATACAGGGTCCACAGTAAGAGCTTCTACATCTGAGGCACTGTGATGGCTTCAAAATTCCCGAGAGTAAATTTAGTAAGAACAAATATGAACAGTGCAGGGAATAACAGAGGCTGTGGATGTTTATGGTATATGAGTTTTTGAGTTGAGGTGTTATGAGAAAAGTGGAAGAATAGTAAGAAAACCGGAGAAAGTGAAGGAAGTGCACACACAATGAAATTTTATCTGTACATGTAGGTATATAGTAGTAGCATGAATGGAGTGCTAGCATGAATGGAGTTTTCTAGCACAATGCAGTGAAAAAACCAAATGTGTTCTAAGAACAGACCTCTAAAGAAGAGTAGCTGTAGCACAGTTGAGGAGGAAGCCAGTCACAGTGACATTCTCATAGAGATACAGTCCCTACTGTCATGAACAATGTTCTTTGTGAGCATGACTATATCTGGGTCATTAAAAGTTCTACTAAATAGCCTATTTTGCCTCATAACCCACTGCTCAGAAGCCATCTTCATTGTTCTGGCTTCTCCTGTTACTTAATGAGAAAGTGAATGCAAAAATAATAATTACAAAATACTATACTTGCATAATACTGACCATCAGTGATAGTACTAAGTGCTTCACAAGCATTATCTTTGAAAATATGCGCACCATCTCTGTGTATTAGGTATAGTATCATCCCCATTAATATATAATAAAATGATTTATTTCAGTTTTAGTAAAATTAAGGTGATATTATGTAGTACAGCTGTTGAGCTTTCCAAGTTTACATTAAATAACTTAAGATACATGAGACCTTTTAGGTTTCTGTATATTTTTAAAGAAATAAAGAGGTGGGTCTAGAGTTAATTTTGTGTCACCTGGCTATACAATGTTTAACTGACATAGGTGGTTTAATATATACCCTGTACCTATCATAGTGTACTCATAAAATAATAAACTTTAACCAGTAAATAAACACAGAATAGTGATTCAGACTTCTAGCATAGCTAGCCCATTTTTAATCTTTCCTGAAGAGCTGTAACTTCATGGCCAGTATCTCCAAAGGTGAAGAGTTAACAGAGGGAGGAGTAATGGGGTAAAGGTTGGAGATATTAAAGCGCAAATTACATGTTAATACAAATATAATTTTTATGTTTTACTGAAGCCACCTAAGAGATCTCAGGGTAAAAACACACTCTTTTAAGAGAGCTTTTGTTGTTTCTTTTTCGTGAAATGGAAACCACAGGCAGATATATGGGCAATAGAGGCAGCTGCTCACCTTTCCTAAGGCTATGAAAAGAATAAAAGGGCCATCTGTGTCTCCCCTTGCTTCTTCCTAACCTTGGCATAAAAAGGAGAGGTAGTCCTGCAACTCAATCCCTTTTATGGTAAACAAGAAGCAGGTGAGCCTCCCTGTATTTTTGTGAGTTAGAGTGTGAATGTTGGTCTGATTCCCAAGAAAGTAGTAACTCTCTTATCCTCTTTTTTTCTGCTGAGAAAAGGATTGTGAGTGTATGTGTGCTGTAGGTAGAACTGCGTGTGTATAAGTGGGGAAAAAGAACATATGTATAAATGGGCATAAGGTAACGAGCTTTGTTATTTCCTTCTCCAGGGGCAAGAAACAGGCCAGAAGTAAATAGAAAAATTATAGCCCTCAAACAGGTCTTCTTTCTTTGGCAGCTAAGAAAGTAAGCACTCATGTAATTCCCAAGATTACTACAATTTTGGTACTGAGACATTCATTGTCTAGTGTTCTGTAGACTCATTTTTATTAACAATGAGAAAGAAAGAAAAAAATACATACCCATTTGCTTAGCCCCAAGAACCTTGTCTGGCCTAACCAGATACCTCTCCCTTTCTTGAGAAAGAAGTGAATATATTGGTTGGTGGCAGTTGTGTATGAGAATTTACTTTTGTGCTCATTTTGGTTTCAATTGTGTTTACACAACAAGCAACAAGTAGGTTGGAGAATCTTGATCTGAACTCAAGTCTGTCTTTCTGATACTGGAGTTCATGATCTCACCACTGTACTGTTTCCATTGAAGGTTGATTAGTTGGTTTGGGGTGAAATAAATAATTAGAGATAAAACAATTGTGATAACAATTACATGATTGTATTTACCAGGTACAATTGGCTCAATAAAATTAATCTGTTTTCTATACCTAGGACTAAAAACTCCTATTATATGTCACATAACTCTGTGATTATTAACATATTCCTAACAGCCTTTCATTTAGAAATACCTTTACTGAGTACATTCTAAAGGCTAGGATCAGTCTTAGTCTATAGTACCAGTGTTACAGAAAAGGGGTCCCAATCCAGATCCCAAGAGAGGGTTCTTGGCTCTCACACAAGAAAGAATTCAGGCCTAGTCCACAGCACAAAGCAAAAGCAAGTTTATTAATAAAGTAAAGGAGGCTGGGCTTTGGTGGCTCACACCTCTAATCCCAGCACTTTGAGAGGCCGAGGAGGGTGGCTCACTTGAGGTCAGGAGTTTGAGACCAGCCTGGCCAACATGGTGAAATCCTATCTCTACTAGAAACACAAAAAATTATCCAAGCGTGGTGGTGCTTGCTTGTAATCCTGTTACTTGGGAGGTTGAGGCAGGAGAATCGCTTGAACCCAGGAGACAGAGTTTGCTGTGAGCTGAGATCATACCACTACACTCCAGCCTGGATGACCAAAAAAACAGAAAAAAAAGAAAAGTTTTTTTAAAAAAAGAAAGTGAAGGAATAAAAGAATGGCTACTCCACAGCCAGAGCAGCCCTGGGGGCTGCTGGTTGCCCATTTTTCATTTTTGTAGTTATTTCTTGATGATATGCTGAACAAGGGGTGGATTATTCATGCCTCACATTTTCAGACCATATAGGGTAACATCCTGACATTGCCACGGCATTTGTAAACTGTCATAGCACTGGTAGGAGCATAGCAGTGAGGATAACCAGAGGTCACTCTCGTCACCATCTTGGCTTTGGTGAGTTTTAGCCGGCTTCTTTACTGCAACCTGTTTATCAGCAAGGTCTTTATGAACTGTGTCTTGTGCCAACTTCTTATCTTTTCCTGTAAGTTAGAATGCCTTAACTGTCTGGGAATGCAGCCTGGTAGGTATCAGTCTCATTTTACCTAGCTCTTATTTAAGCTGGAGTTGCTCCAGTTCACATGCCTCTGACATTTACCCCCTCCCTTTTATAGGAGAACCCTTTATCCTAAGAGAGCAGAGGGATGAAGATCCATCTTCTGTAACTTTTTCTGCTGAATAAAGGTGATGATATTCCTGCCTAACCATGAGGGTCTCTTGTGTTTAGAATAGAGAGGAGCTCAGTCAGAAAGTGTTGGTATGGCTAGTGCCATATATAACTCCGAATTCTGACAAAAGGTGATTACTGGAAGATTAATAAGTTTTCAATATAATACAACATTCAACATTGTCCTGAATACCTATGCAAAGACTAAAACAGCAATATATTCCACAACAGTAAAGCAAAATAAGTAAAATTATCCCAAGTAAATTAATTAGTGGGCTTTCCATGAACTGGGCAATTGTTGGAACCAAGCTGATATGGGTTTGCTAGGTGACTCCAGTATATGCCCGGTATAAGAATACTGATTCAGATTTTTACATAACTGATTCCTCTTTTTTTTTCTGAGCCGCAGTTAGAGATCACTGGTTTGTTCACAGGAATATGCAGGATTACCATAAATTGCAGAAACATATTTAAAAACAACTGAGGAGACTAGAATCTAAGAGCAAATATACCATAGTTCTTCAAACATAATATTTCTCTCTCCAGTTTCCTATTTTTACTAAAGACAAATCGTGGTGAGACTGATTTGCCTTATTATATTTTGCCTGATTATTTGTATAAAGTGCAGCAAGAATAATTAATTTTCACATAGGCTTCTCAAAATTGGTTTTGATGAAACCCTATTCTATAGAAAGAATCTCAGATAAGATATTTTTGAAGTTGAGTCCTGCTATTTGTACCCTCAAATACCTAAGAGTTGGGTAAATTCCTCTCCCCTTGGGGCCTCAAGATAACCTGTGGCTCTTGGACCTGTTCAAAAGTGAGATTCTTGGTCAGGCATGTTGGCTCATGCCTGTAATCCCAGCATTTTGGGAGGCCAAAGTGGGCAGATCACCTGAGGTCAGGAGTTCGAGACCAGCCTGCCCAACATGGCAAAACCCCGTCTCTACTAAAAATACAAAAAATTAGCTGGGCATGGTGGTGTATGCTTATAATCCCAGCTACTCAGGAGGCAGGAGAATTGCTTGAATCTGGGAGGTGGAGGTTGCAGTGAGCCGACATTGTGCCACTGCACTCCAGCCTGGGCGACAAGAGTGAAAATCCATCTAAAAAAAAAAAAAAACAAAAGTGACATCCTTTAATTACCACAGGTCAGAGACCCTGTACAGGGACTGTGTAGGGAGTCCAGTTCCCCAAAGGGCTTTTACTGACTTTACAACTCAAGTTTGATTCCTTAAAGGAAAGCACACCATTCCAGTCAAAGCCTTGATAAAATAATTTCTCTGTGTCTTGTTGAAAAAAAAAACAGATTCTTATTGCACTTATGCAAATAATTATAGTGCCATAAATTAAGATAAAAATAGTTTCCAAATTCTGGAGAAATCAGGTAGAGAGAAACAAATATACACCAAATTTTGTTTACAGAAGTACACTTTACTCAATTTCTACAAGCTGTAAATAGCTCAAAGGTTTCCTTGACTCTGAAGAAACGAAACAAAAGATCAGCAATATTTTAAGCAGAAAGAGTTAAAAAGTTTACTTCAGTTTTCTATTGGTTCAGTTAATTCAGTTTACTCTTATTCTGCTTGATATTCATAAACATTTCAGCTTTCCTTGAGTATTGAAAGTTTTCCCCTCTATTCTAATGTCATAATTACCAGTTATCAGAAACCTGCATTCAAGAACACCTGCTAGAGTTCTATAGCTGATTATAAACCCAGCTTCTAAAGAGGGTTAAAACAACAATTGTTTGTAGATGACAAAACATCTTAGGACAGCCACTATTAAAGTCACAATTGATAAGGAAATTTGGTTACTTCTGTGGCACGTAACAATTTTACATAATAATTATAACTATTAATAATGTACCCTAAGTCATATTAGAATTATAGGAGTTTCCCAATATTATGGAACATATACCAATAACATATTTATACAAATATAGCCCAAAGAAAGCCAAACATCATTTCATATTTGACAATGCTTCTTGTATGATTTTTACACAAAATAAGCCAAATTTCACTGTTCTATTAGTGCATTATGTATGTCAAACTCAATTCTTAATAAAACTTTATAGATAAATCTGTCCAATCTTAAACAGCTTGACCATAAGGTAAGACTCTCGTAAACTTTTTACAACCCTTTACAATTTTGTTAAAGAGCAGATCATAAGCAGGTTTTTGCTCTCAGAAAAACCTGTTATGCTTTTATTTCAATGTTCAGTTTACAGAAAAACTGAATAATATCCCTTTAACTTTAGCCAGTATGTTCACAGAGTTTCTTTTACAATTATTTTCTTTCATAAACCTTCCACAACTTGTGCAAACCTTTAGCTTTATTCTATTTAACCTAAAACCATCCTTTAACCCTTGAATTTAGGCAGGAAATCCATTCTCATGCCTTCTTATAATCTTTTACCAAAAACACACTTCACTTTCCTTACATGCCTTGCATGCAGAACTGTTTCTTCAGTAGTCTTAATTACATGTTACACTGTTAACTCTTAGGGACTTTTACTTTTAGTGAAAAGTTGTTAAGTCCAGGATTTTAATTATGTAGTATGTATGGAGCCTAGGGCAGCATCCGGAAGTACAGATAAGGCCTACTTTTTCTAGCATTTAACTCCATGTGTCCCAGGCCTTACCTAGCTGTAAAGCAGGCAGGTTGTACAACTAAGAGTCATAGTGGCATTTAATTAAACATTTAGGAGGTTTAATCACCTTTAAATTGTACAACATTTCTTGCATAAATTCCCTTCTTTTAAACAAACAGTTACTTTAAGACAAGAATGTGCCATACAAGATCCTTTCTTATATAAAATCTCTTTACTTTACAAACTTCTTTGCATAGCTAGGAGGCATGGCTTATTCCATATGTCCCCAAACCTTATCTAGAATATAATGGTCTGAAATAAACTGAACAATTTTCAAGAGTCAAAGAAGCAGTTTATGACTTTAAAGCATTTAGCAAACTTAATATCTGAACTGCCTGATTTAAATCAAAAGTTTATATTTTTGAAGATACTTCTATTTTACCAATAATCTTTAAAGGTATCATTATTTCCCAAATATTAATTAAGGCGCATGAACTAAATAAAAGGCATTACACTTTTTACTTTTCTGACAAAATATTTGATTTAAGCTTTTATTATTATTAAACCAATTAAAGCTTGTTCATATATAAACATCACACACATAATACATATAAATACATAGACAGAAGCAAAGGATCCTCCCCTAAGCTGGGAATTGAACCCTGAACCAGAGGGAAACCACATCCAGTTTGCACACACACACACGCACACACACATGCCAGAAGTCTGTCTGGTAAGAAATTCTTCCCCTTTGGTCAGCATGCCAGCCTTCAGTGTTCCCCTTCTCTGACCCTTCTGGGGTCTTACTGACCCTACTGACCCTTCTGGCTGCACCACAGCCCTGGGGACTGAGCCGCAACATAAAGGAAAATTATCTCTTTCCTTTCTGGCTGAAGTAAGATACCTGTGACAAAACATATATATTAGCCACTCTTCTTAGCACCCAATATCAAGCTGGCAAGGCTCAAATTTGTCCCTAGTTGGGCCCCATCATTATTAATCCAACCTCGGACCAGGAGCTTCAACATGTGATCTCTGGGAAAGAAGGTTACCCCAAGTAGTAGAAAAGAAAAGAAAGGGAAAGGAGAGAGAGTAAAGCTTTGCCTGTGGCAGGGTGGGGTAGGCGAAGCACTCAGGGAGCCCAGAGAAAGACCTAGTCATTGCAGTGATACTTTAATTTCAGCCGGCTGCTTCTTGGTCACAGAGGGATCTTTTCCAGCATTCTCATCAGCTCTCAAGTTTTCCCCTTTAGGGAGGCAAAAATTCCCCCATGTCCCACAATCCTGTACATGCCTAATCCTGTCACTCATAGCCATCAGCGAAGAGTGCAAGGCAGATCAATCCAGAGAGAACAGCAGTTAACATCCCAGACTGCCAAACCCATTCTTAGCTGAAACTTTACAGAGAGGGAGTTTACCAAGAGGGTCCTCTAACCCCTGAAATTTTTGAAGGGACTCTAACCCTCCTAAGTTGGGCCTCTAACCCAAGGTTGGTCAAGCTTCCTTGCCTTTTATTGAAAGGAGCCTTTAACCCACTCTGTCTTAGGAGACACTCTAATTCCCTTAAGTTGGGCCTTTAACCCAATCCCATCCTTTACCCAGGTATATGCACCCCACTTATCCAAAGTCGTTTAATCAGTTCTGCAGTTGGTGGGTTTTAGTCAGCTTCTTTACTTCAACCTGTTTTGTCAGCAAGGTCTTTATGACCTGTATCTTGTACCAACCTCCTATCTTCTTTCCTTTGGGTCGGGGTCTCCTCAGTATTGTCCCTTCAAGGCTTGCCAGAAAGATGTTACTGGACCCCACCATGTACTCAAAGTTAGCCTTTGGGTCAGGGGTTTCTTTAGTATTGTCCTTTCCAAAGATGTTACAGGATAGGGGTCCCAATCCAGACCCTGAGAAAGGGTCCTTAGATCTCATGCAAGAAAGAATTCAGGGCAAGTCCATAAAGTAAAGTGAAAGGAAATTTATAAGGAAAGTAAAGGAATAAGAGAATAATACTCCATAGGCAGAGCAGCCCCGAGGGCTGCTGGTTGCCCATTGTTATGGTTATTTCTTGATGACATGCTAAACAAGGGGTGGATTATTCGTGCCTCCCCTTTTTAGACCATATAGGGCAACTTCCTGACGTTGCTACAGCATTTGTAAACTGTCATGGTGCTGTTGGGAGCATAGCAGTGAGGAAGACCAGAAGTCACTCTGGTCACCATCTTGATTTCAGTGGGTTTTAGTCAGCTTCTTTACTTCAACCTGTTTTGTCAGCAAGGTCTTTATGACCTGTATCTTGTGCCAACCTCCTATCTTATCCTGTAAGTTAGAATGCCTTAACTGTCTGGGAATGCAGCCCCGGAGATCTCAGCCTTATTTTACCTAGCTCCTATTTAAGATGGAGTAGTTCTGGTTCACAAGCCTCTGACACCAGCACTTATGATTGTGCATATTGTGCACTTCACAGTTCCAGGTAGTAAATTTCATATCACAGCACACAACATGGTGTCCCTAAGTGGGATCTTGAAAACAGTGAGTTTATGAAGAGGAAAAAGTCAGAGGTGTTGCCATGAAAGGACACTGAGCTAGTGTTGAGCAAATAGATTCCTTTTCTTCTGATTGTATCTAAAGAAGGAAGATCCAAATTCTATGAGCCTACTTTTGAATATTTCACTTATTTCCTAATGTCAAAATTTTGTTTATTCTGGATATTACTTTATCTAATAATGTCCCTTTACTGTTACCATCCTTCTTCCTCATTAAAGATAAGTCAGGCGTACAGGGAGATCAATATTCAGATGAGAGACTTCAATTCTGCAAAAGGAAGTGAGAAAAAGCATTCTAGTGACACCTGTCAGTGGAACACACCTTCAGAGAGAAAAGTAGATTCATCTTCATTCTAATCCCTGACTTCTCAAGTGGATGAGCTATGATGAAACAAGGGAGGTCAAGGATGTGAATCTTACCATTGTTTCTATCACAAGAGAAAAACGATAACCCTGTGCACAGGAATTTATATGGGTGCAAATAACTGCAAAAAAACTGGCTGCTTCTTTGAACTCACACTTTCAAAAGAAGGGTAGCTGAAAAAAATGCATGTAGAATTTGCTGGTAAATGAACCAATAAATTTGGAAAATTTACACATTCTAATATTAAAATGCATGTCTCTAGATGAGAAAAGTAAAACAAATGTCCTCAAATTATAAAGTAAACTAGGGAACACATACTTTCTCATTTTTAGCTAACTCTAAATAGATTTTTTAAAAATTCTTAGAAATTTAGTGATGTTGAAAGAATCCAAACTTCTTAAATACTTCTGTGTAGCCTGGATGATATGCATTCAGGACCAACTGTAGAGGAAAAAAATGCATTCCCTGTGAGTCTTTAAGTCTTTAAAAAATCTCTCTTCTATCTC
Organism: Homo sapiens; assembly: GCF_000001405.40. Lineage (NCBI taxonomy): Eukaryota > Metazoa > Chordata > Mammalia > Primates > Hominidae > Homo > Homo sapiens. The sequence goes on along the minus strand of NC_000004.12, from coordinate 69,767,448 downwards.
TATTATTTTATTTGTTAAAGCTACATGACTTACTTAGAAGTCGCAAGTAGTTTTCTGAGCCTGACTTTTTACCTAATACTTATAAGATCTTAACCAAATCACTTAGAATCTCTGAATATGTTTCCTCATAGGTAAAATTTGAGCTAGTAACAAATTGAGAATGCCATCAATAAATTATTATTTATGAGTTGAGGGACAAACCCAACGCTTTTTTTTCCTAGTGTAGTATCTTGGAGCTGATAAATTTGGTAACTGAATGAACAAATACATGAAAGAATGATTCATGAATGAATTAACCATAGAAATCTTTAAAGCAAGAGTGATTTTTCATTTGTGTTTCTAAGTATGGTCCTCAAACTGGTAGCTCACCATCATTTAGGAGCATGCTTGAATTGCAGATTTTCAGACTCTTGCCTAGACCAACTGAATCAAAAACACTGAGTGTCGGGGAGGAAGCAGAATTTGTATTTTATCAAGCCCTTCAAGGTCATTCTGAAGCATTCTAAAATTTAAGAATCTCTTCTCTAGGTTGTTTTTCAATATTGATTTGGAGTTTAATTAGTTAATTAATAACGTGGTTTCCAGGTAACCTATGTACATTTAAGTAGAATTTTTATGTAACTAATACCTTATGTCAAAGTTTGCAAATTGCATCTCGTCATGTGCCATACAAAAGTGTTTGTCTGGTGCATGTGTTTGGTTATCAATACTTAAACACTTACTGTATGCACCCTTCTCATGAAGAATCTAAATCTTTAAAATGTTGCCTTGTTGTTCTTCATAACAAGAATATGCTGGACCTTAGCCTCTCCAGTGTTATCACCGTATTATTCTCCCAAAACAGAGACCATGTATCGGTTTATTGTTTTGCTTGAGCTATTACTTTTCTTAATCTCAAACTGTTTCATGAATGTTCCATGAATGTATGGGTAACCCATCCTCCAGGTTTGTCTGAGGCCCAGTTTACATCTTTTGTCACCACATAATTATTCATAGCCTCTCTTTTATTCCCCAAAATATCTGGTTTGGATGATAACTGATGGGTCACCCTATTCATAAGCATGTGTTTTTGCAATTCCAGACTTAATGTCAGCCCTGTTCAAAGTTAATATTGAAGATACTCTCTCTAATTAGAGATGAAAGTAAATATGCCCGTAGGCACGAGGAAAGGAAAGAAGAAAAGTTAAGGGGCATAGCTCAAATGATCTGTTCAAGAATAATATTTTTTGAAATATTATATATTTTCTTTAAATCTATGTAATATTTCCTTCTGTATTATTATATTTACTCTAAAATTAAAAGACCACCTTTAAAATGAGAAACATAAAGGGAAATATGTCTTTAAACTGTTTCAATCAGTTAAGGAAATGCCTTTGCACTAAGTATATTTTAGGAATTTGGCATGAATTGAATAATAATAAACATCAGATTAAACTCCCAAATAATTTCACTTCCTTTCTTTGTCAGCACAATATCTTGAGAACTCTGGCTTTTATGAATATATAGATTAAAAATTCAATATTGTTTTCACTGGTTCATTTGTCATAAGAAGCCCTAAATATAAATGTTCACAATTTTGACAATTTTGTCAAAGACTATGCGTAGCTACCAGGTGGAGTCCTTTTGGGTAGTTTCCTGATGTTGCTGAAAGGTTGTACATAAATCAGTTTGTTAATTTTTTTTAGATATATTTATAATATTTTTCCAGGGTGGGAACATTGTTGATAATAACATTGTTTAAGTGACACTGTAAATCTAATTTTGAGCTTCTTATAGTTTCCACAGTCAACTCTCTTCTTTCAAATCTCTTAATTTGTTCTGAAGTTATGTTCTTATATAAATAAAACCATGTAGGTTTGCATTGCAGTAGTTGATTGAAATTTTATTTTTTAATGAAAGCTCAATATGTATATTTTCTAAAGAGAAATTAATTTGTTTCCGAGAGTGTCTGATGGAAGATTATTTTTCTTCATGAATAAATGCGACAATTCCACACAAATAAACTTATTAAGCTAACATCAGTGTAGTACAGTAAGTGTTCAATGTTAATCTCATTAAAAAGAAAACAACAACAACAACCAGGATTTATGTTCCTTTTTATAATGTGTTGCTTGATTTTAACACATGTGTGCACATGTACACACACACACAGATACTACTTTTACATTTTAAATGAAAACAAATAAGTGAACAAGAATAACAAAAGCCTAATTATTGTATGAGAAATTTCTTCATTAGGGCTTTATTTTTGCTCTATATAGTTGAGATATGCAGTTGACCTAATTACTAGTGTCCTTGCATAACGACACATCTTCCTTTTCTGCCCAGACATCATGGTCGATATCTGCAGCATGAAGCCTCACCATTTTCTTCCCTATGACTCTATGATGTAACAATTCATCTTCCAAGATGATTTTAAATTTCACACCAAGTAATAATTAAGTAATTTAAATATATTTTTATTAGAATTTGCTTTTCCTTAAATTCATTCTAAACTTGATTCTCTCTTCTGGGTTGCAAAAGATTATTACACATTGTATGCATGTATTAAAACATCATAGATACTCTATAAATAGTAACATATAATCTAGTATAGACCCATGAAAATTAAATATACTTTTTAAAACTTCTGCTGTTTCCTTTAAGCTTTGTAGATTGTATCTCATATGCTGCTGCTAGAATAATCATATATAGGGCTTTCTCACAAGACAGATGCTAAGGTTTCAGCTCATTTGTATCTCTGTAACAATAAACACTACATTTTAAACAAACATTTTAATTATAATGACTAAATTTCTTTGAAAGAATGTGATGGATAGGATATGTTCTAAGCACAATATTTATATTAACTCATTTAATAATCAAACCAAGTATGTAGACAAATGGGAAGTGTTGTGCATTGTTGGTGGGAATGTAAAATGATATAGACAAGTAAAACAGTATGGTGGTTTCTTTAAAAAGTTAAAAACGTAATTACCAGCAATCCCACTTCTTGGCACACATCCAAAGGAAATGAAAGCAAGATCTCATAAAAAAATTTGCATACTCTTGTTCACAGCAGCATTATTCACAATAACTAAAAGGTAGAAGCTACCCAAGTATCCATTTTATTTTTATTACTTTAAAAAAATTATGGTATCTGTAAAATATTTAGCCTTAAAAAGAAAAAAGCAATCTTACACAAGCTACGACACGAATGTACCTTAAGAACATTATGTTACATGAAATAAGCCAGTTACAAAAGAACAAATACAGTCTGATTACACGTTTATGAGGTATTTTGAGGAATCAAATTTATAGAAACAGAAGTACAATGGTGGTTAACAGGGATCAGAGGGAGGATAAGTTGTTCTTTAATGGGTATGGAGTTTCAGTTTTGCAAGATGAAAAAGTTCTGGAGATTGATTACATTACAGTGTGAATATACTTAACACTACTGAAGTATACTTAAAACTCATTAAGATGGTAAATTTTATATTATATGTATTTTCCCACACTCAAAAAAAGGAGAAAACTGAAACAACTGCATAAAGAAGATGCTATTATTCCCAGTGGGGCAATGGAGGCACAGAGAGGCTAAATTTCCTGTCCCTCTCACAAGGCTGGTTAATGATTGTGTTTGGGATTTAAAGCCCAGGACTTGTGCTATAGCCCACCCTCTTGCTCACTAGTCCTCTCCCACTGCCTTCAGTGTGTTTTCCTAGCTTCACAAGTTGTGTCTAGGTTAGAATAATCACATTTTTTCACTGATAAATTTACTTAAGGAAGCCTGAGGTACAATTCCACAGGTTTCCAAAATTTGTCAGATTTCAGGCTGTCCGAATGTATTATATTATCTTGCCTATTGAATTGGTTTTAAACTTACACTATAAAATAATTTTCAATAGCAGATTTGTATACACAATTGAAAATATAATTTGTTCAGCTTTTGTTTTCAGTAGTTCACTACTGCAGAAAGTTGACCTATACAGACTCTATGTCTATGGAATGTGTCAGTTGACTGCATGAAGGTTGGTAGGAAGTGGAGGTGGTCTGTGGGAGCCAATGGCTCTATGCGTCATCAAAAGGAGAAAAGAAAATCATAGCTTATAAAATCACAAAATCACATTTAGAAAATAAACAAGTTAGCCTAGAAAGCTAACTTTCTAAGCTAGGGAATCTCAGAAAATTCAAACATTTCAGGTTCTCAATCAAAGAGAGACAGATTGACATACGACTGTCTCAATGCCCTCTATGTGCCTGTTCCTGATTCATTTGGAAGCCTAATGCTTCCCCATAAGGGCAACAAAATACAACTATAATAGGTGCACATAAACCCCTTTTGTCTGTATTCTCTCTTTAATACTCTTCCACCCTCTTTACAAAATGAAAATAAAACAACCCTGACTGGCAAAGATTAGGAATCTGTTGGCAGCATCTTTTTTTTTTTTTTTTTTGTAGTTCTTATTTTATTTTTTTTTTTTCATTGATCATTCTTGGGTGTTTCTCGCAGAGGGGGATTTGGCAGGGTCACAGGACAATAGTGGAGGGAAGGTCAGCAGATAAACAAGTGAACAAAGGTCTCTGGTTTTCCTAGGCAGAGGACCCTGCGGCCTTCCGCAGTGTTTGTGTCCCTGGGTACTTGAGATTAGGGAGTGGTGATGACTCTCAATGAGCATGCTGCCTTCAAGCGTCTGTTTAACAAAGCACATCTTGCACCGCCCTTAATCCATTCAACCCTGAGTGGACACAGCACATGTTTCAGAGAGCACAGGGTTGGGGGTAAGGTCACAGATCAACAGGATCCCAAGGCAGAAGAATTTTTCTTAGTACAGAACAAAATGAAAAGTCTCCCATGTCTACCTCTTTCTACACAGACACGGCAACCATCCGATTTCTCAATCCTTTCCCCACCTTTCCCCCCTTTCTATTCCACAAAACTGCCATTGTCATCATGGCCCGTTCTCAATGAGCTGTTGGGTACACCTCCCAGACGGGGTGGTGGCCGGGCAGAGGGGCTCCTCACTTCCCAGTAGGGGCGGCCGGGCAGAGGCGCCCCTCACCTCCCGGACGGGGTGGCTGGCCGGGCGGGGGGCTGACCCCCCCCCTCCCTCCCGGATGGGGCGGCTGGCCAGGCGGGGGGCTGACCCCCCCCACCTCCCTCCTGGATGGGGCGGCTGGCCGGGCAGAGGGGCTCCTCACTTCCCAGTAGGGGCGGCCGGGCAGAGGCGCCCCTCACCTCCCGGACGGGGCGGCTGGCCAGGCGGGGGGCTGACCCCCCCACCTCCCTCCCGGACGGGGTGGCTGCCGGGCGGAGGGGCTCCTCACTTCTCAGACGGGGCGGCTGCTGGGCGGAGGGGCTCCTCACTTCTCAGACAGGGCGGTTGCCAGGCAGAGGGTCTCCTCACTTCTCAGACGGGGCGGCCGGGCAGAGACGCTCCTCACATCCCGGACAGGGCGACAGGGCAGAGGCGCTCCCCACATCTCAGACGATGGGCAGCCGGGCAGAGACGCTCCTCACTTCCTAGATGAGATGGTGGCCGGGAAGAGGCGCTCCTCACTTCCTAGATGGGATGGCGGCTGGGCAGAGATGCTCCTCACTTTCCAGACTGGGCAGCCAGGCAGAGGGGCTCCTCACATCCCAGACGATGGGCGGCCAGGCAGAGACGCTTCTCACTTCCCAGACGGGGTGGCGGCCGGGCAGAGGCTGCAATCTCGGCACTTTGGGAGGCCAAGGCAGGCTGCTGGGAGGTGGATGTTGTAGCGAGCCGAGATCACGCCACTGCACTCCAGCCTGGGCACCATTGAGCACTGAGTGAAGGAGACTCCGTCTGCAATCCCGGCACCTCGGGAGGCCGAGGCTGGCGGATCACTCGCGGTTAGGAGCTGGAGACCAGCCCGGCCAACACAGCGAAACCCCGTCTCCACCCAAAAAATACGAAAACCAGTCAGGCGTGGCGGCGCGCCTGCAATCGCAGGCACTCGGTAGGCTGAGGCAGGAGAATCAGGCAGGGAGGTTGCAGTGAGCCGAGATGGCAGCAGTACAGTCCAGCTTCGGCTCGGCATCAGAGGGAGACCGTGGAAAGAGGAGAGGGAGAGGGAGAGGGAGAGGGAGAGGGAGAGCGGCAGCATCTTTTAAGAAGAAAATATGCTTTACATTTCTTTAATACATTTATAAGTTAAACTGATGGTCTAAAGGAATGTGCTAGTTTCCCTCTGGTCTTCCTGACTTTCCCAGGCCTTCATAGGTATAACTCAGGGGCAAGAGCTTGGTGGTTGTAGTTGTGTGTAAGTTTGAGACGAGTGCTCTTAAAAAATGGATTGATTTCCACTCATTTCTTGTTTATGTGATTCTGCATACCAAAAGAAGAAAAAACCAAGAGTTGTGGAAATGATTAGAGTATTTGTGTTTCTGATGCCAAAGTAATTAATCATTTCATCTTTAATATGTTTGACATTTAATGATATTAGAAACTCACGTTTATTCCAGATGGAAACATACTGACACATGCACAAACACACACAAAACCAATTTTTATTTCTGTTATGACCAAAATTGTTAGAAGACATTCTTATAAGATATAGAGAAGCAACAATTTTGATCCACTAACCCTTCATGTTCTTTCCCTCTGCATTTCTCAGACACTTTGAAGCTTGCAGAGAGCTTAAAATCTAAACAGCCTGTGCTTGTGCTGACTTATGGCCACCACCCTGAACCACTTCCTGGCTTCCTGGCTTTGCTAGCTGTTGAAACAGTGGAACTTGCCTCATGTGTGTGTATGTGTGTGTGTGTGATTGTGGGTGTGGGTAGTTTAACCTTTTTATATCTTAGCTGCCTGTAAACTCAGTGATTGCTACGTTCAGATCAAACCTTGAACTTTTTTTTTTCTGGTGCCAGGAGCCTTCCTGTGCTCCCCATTGCCTGCCAGAACCACCACCGTTTCCCATGGTTACTCTACAGCAGCTTCACTGCCTGAAAATGAAAACTGAACAAAGGGATTAAATTGTGAGGTAAAATTTGCTTTTCAATTTCTTTCCTTGAAGTTTTGTCCTATCCCCGCAGAATATTGTGTGCCTCAGAACAATTTCTGTTTTGAACATATTTTATAATTAGAAAGTCTTTTGCATAATTCCAATTTTCTTATAGGAAACTTTCATTGTTTATGCTGTCTAAAATCTCTCAAGCTTTCAATGTTCAATTTTATTTTTCTACATTTAGTGGAACTGAAGCATGCAAGGAATGGAGGTCTTCTCAAGAAACTGTAAGCCACTTAAAGAAAAAGAAATCTTTTTCAAGTTTTCGTTTCTCTGCTCCCATCCTTCATCCAGTCCTACTCACATGCATTCATGCACACATATGCACATACACACACCTTTAAGGTGCACTCCAGAATATAAAATATGTCGTTTACCACATTTATTTAAGTAGCTTGATTTGATGTGTATCAGATAGAGCTAAACTTTGTCAGAGTATGACAAATGAAAGAAATTGTTTTTTCTAATTGATGGAAAAATATAGTTTTAATGTAAAATGACTCAGTTTCTTCTAAAACAGGCATTGTTTTTTATTTTTCTCTTTTGTTCCATTAATATTCCTTAAAGTCAATTTTAGACATTTTAATTTTCAGCCTATGGCTCATCTTAAATAGGAAGTCTTGAGATCCCATGTATAATTTACAACTACTTTAAATAGCCTGTTCCTTTCCAATAGGGTTTAAAATATTTTATGAACTAATTTTTAGATTTTAAAGTAAATGTCATTCATAAATCATCTTTCAGCATATCTAGTTTAATTATATTAATTATTTGACATCTTCCAGTCCTCCTCTCCATACTCTTCTCCCCATATAATTCAGAACTCATCATTTATCCACTGGTCATGACGAGGTAATGCTGTTTGATGCCTAATACCCTGTAGCTTCCTGAATTGGACACACCCACTTCCCAGAGGTGACTAGCATATATTCACAAACAGCTGCCTTATTTTCATCTTCCTACTCATTCCATCCTTCTCCGGCAACAATTTTACAGCATGAAGTGCCTGACCTTTTTGTCACGGGGGATTTTCATTGTCAAAGCAAAAATCCCTTCCAATTTGTAAATACTCTTGTTTGAATGAGATAAATCACGGACATTTTTGACTCTGGGTTGGGCCTACGGTAAATTTTCAGTATGATCACATGAACAGAGCTGGGCAAACTAAAGTCCATTCCTGGGTTGCCACTCCCTTTCTGTGTTTCTTTGAGCAGACGCTCTGAAGATCTGTTTCCTAATCTTATCCACAAAATGCAAGTAAGACTTATCATTTCAGGGTAGGTAATGATTAGAGATCATATACATGAAGCACAATCAGTACAATTTGTTTTAAAAGACCCTGAATTCATTTTGATTAAATCATTTACTTACACCCTGTATCATTAGATAATTAAAGGTAGTTTAAAGTCATTTGCTCAAGTTTTAAGTGCAAACAAATTAGTTGAGGATCTTACTAAAATGTAGATTCTGATTCTGGGTTGAAACCTGAGATTCCACATTTCCAACAAGCTCTCCGTTAAGGCCAATAACACATGGGGCTTGTACATGGACTGTAATTTGAATAGAAACTGTAAATCAATTTTATGCATATAAAAGAATAGTACAAATTAAATTAAGATGAATAAATAAAGAAAAGGCAAAGGATGAACCAAGACATGAAATGGAACCAGAAATGATGCTATAAATATATAATATAAGCTACTTGCTACATGGGGAATCAATTTGTCTATATAATTTTAGCAGACAGTATGAAAAGGGTATCAGCTCCCTCAATATTCATTCACTTTTGCATAATATGTGTGCATTATAGGAGTTGGTAAGTAAAGTTATACTGCTACTAAACATTACATTCTGGAGCCGATGAATAGAGACTCATTTATTTTTCTCAATTAATTCAGAATAGACAATTTTTGAAATGAGGTGTGCCATTGATATTTCCCTTTAGATAATTTGGGAAGAAACAACTTGCTAAGAAGTTAATAAAATAAAATGTTTCAGAAAGAGCTATTTCATTCATCATGTGGAAATCAAGTCTAACATCTGAATGTACTATGTTGACTTCTGTGGACTCTGATTCCTTTATATCCAAACTGAGAAGGGGCACTATTCTCAAGATATCAAAAGATTCTGGGTGAGAAGTGGAAATCTCATCATTCATTCATTTCTTCATTCAATTTATTCAATACCAACTTCATCCCAAGTACACTGCTTACAGACTTACTTTCTTTTCTTTCAACTTCCTCCTTCTGCTGACTTCTTGACCATCCACATTAATTGTTCCTTTCTTGAGCTGCTAACATGTTCCACAGTATTTCATGCTGGAGAATCTTTTCTACAAGACTATCTCCACTAACAAAGTATTGCAAAGACTACCTGACATTTTACTGGAAATGGAGGATAACTGAGAAGCATATAGAAGATAAATATTGAATATAATTTTCCTAAAATGCTCCATTCACTCAGCTGTCATTGGCATCCTTGCCCCAGGGTCTCACATGCTCTAAACTTGATTGTGTCTAATCTATTTTGAGACTGCTTCTCCATTAATATCCTCTATTTCAGGTTTTTGAGGCCTGCAACTCCATTACTCAATAAACAGTATGAAAATGCAAAATTCAACTTATTTTATTAATTTTCACTCTATTTGTAGCATAAGATGCTACATGTTTCAGGACAAACGTATTGTTGAATAATGACTTTTACTGGAAAAACAAAATGACACAGCATTTTTCTGTAAAACCCATGAATGATAACATATAAAAATATGTTACGTAATACACATCTTACAATATAAAATGAAAAAATATTTGCCCAAATTTCTCCCTCCTAGATTTTGTGTGTGTGTGTGTAGATGGGGGTAGTGATGGTGGAGGAGTTGGCTTTGAGATACAAGGCTGTTATACTAACATGTTTTTCCTAGTCAAAAGCATACCTCTTTCTATACAAATTAACATTAGGTAAACTAGTTTAAGCTCCAGCTAGCTGTTAAATTATTGATTTTTGTTTGTGGGTCCACAAATTACTTACAAAATATTTACCAGAAACTATTATACTTAATCAATTAAGAACCTCTGATTGGCAATCTTTAAAGTTATTTTACTAGAAGCAATGCGATTTCATCTAAGATATTATGCAATTTATGCTGCAATTAGTTCAAATTCTATCTATACAATAGTAAACATGTTATATGTTATTAAATTAACAGATCTTAAGAAATAAATGGAACATCGATTATGAAGGAATCTATAAATTGTAAAATAAATAAAGTTGATGTAAAATGAAAAAACATTATTAAAAGCAAGGCTATGGTTTTACTTACAAAGTTCAGTGGAAATAGTGGAAAAAATAAATAATAAGTAGCTCTTTGTGATGCCAATTTTATGTGTCCAATTGATGGGGCCACAGGAAACCCAGATGTCTGATGAAAAATTACTTTGTGTGTGTGTGTGTGTGTCTGTGTGTGTGTGTGTGTGTCTGTGAGGGTGTTTTCAGATGAGATTAAAATTTAAATTGGCAGATTGAGTACAGCAGATTGCCTTCCCTAATGTGAATGGGACTCACGCAATCAGTTGAAGGCCTGAATAGAACCAAAAGGGTGACTCTCCTGGAAGTAAAGAGGAATTCTTCCTGTCTGACTGCCTTTGAACACATACATATATGACATTATTTTAGAGGCAGGTATGCAGGCATATTCCAGGATATGTAGGGTGACCTGGAAAACTGGAGACCCAGTAGAGCTGATGGTTTAGCTCTAGTCAAAAGGCTGGCAGGCTGGAGATCCAGGAAGAGCAATGCTTCAGTTTGAGTCTGCAGGCAGGAATAAAGAAACAAACAAAAAACAACGATGTTTTGATTAAAGCTCAAAGGCAATTAGGTAGAAGGAATACTCCTAGGAGCATCACCCTTTTTGTTCTACTCAGACTTCAACTAATTGGCTGAAGATCACCCACTTAGGCAGGACAATCACTCAGTCTACCAATTTAAATATTAATCTAGTCCTAAAACACCAATACAGAAACACTCTGAGTAGTGTTTGGCCAAATGTCTGGGGACTCCTTGGCACAGTCAGGTTGACACAAAAAATTATCAATGACAGCTTCTAATCAAGAAGAAGTTAACAGGAACACCAAGCATCCAATAAAAAATTATCAGACATGTAAACAAGGAGAAAAAGCCTACCATAATGAGAAAAAAATCAATCAATTGAAAACAACATAGAATTACCCAGATGTTAAACAAAGAAAAAAATCATTATAACCGTACTTAGTATGCTTAAAAAGTTGAGAACAAAAAAATAAACATATTGAAATTGAACAGCCAGAGATTAAAACTACAAAGCCAGAGATAAAAATACACTGGATAGGAGTAAAGACAGATTAAACATTGCAGAAGAAAAGGTTAGTAATTACAAAGACATAGCAATAGAGAATATCCCAAATGAAACACACACAGAGAAAAGCTTTTTAAAAAACTAAATAGATAATCTCTCAGCTGTGGGCAACTTCATATGGCCTAATATACATGTAATTATAGTCTCAGAAGGAGAGAGAGATGGAAAAAATATTTGAAGAAATAATGGCTGAAAATTATCCAAATTTGATGGAAACCGTAAACTCACAATTTCAAGAAGCTCAATAAAGCTAAAATGTATACGCGCGTGCACACACACACACATGAAAATAACCACACCTAGGAACATTATAATCTACTTGCTCAAAATAAGTGATAAAGAAAGAAACCTTAGAAGCACACAAAGAAAAAGGATGAATTACAAACTGAAAATCAAAGGTCAGAATGACAGCAAATTTTCTGTAAGGAAAAATGACGTGTAGCTGAAGTCTTAATAATGAGCAGTGGATTTATTTTGCCTTAAGTCAGATTGTTCAGATTGTTTTTGCCATATTTCTGTGAAACACGCTTTTTAATTCAAAGAGAGATATGCAGTTTCATTTCTTTCCAAAACTTCCACTAGAGACCTTTGTCCTGCTTGTCACAGAGCCAGTTACTGCTCTTGCAATCTACTGCACCTAATGCCCACAAAATATGCCCTTTGTACTTAGATCTCCATGTGCGCAGAATGTTAAAGGCCAATTTTACTTTGTGACAAATTGCAGTGTCTTAAGACCAACATTAGTTACTCAGATTCTGATTTTTATTCTCTATATTTCTCCAGAACAACTGTCAATCTATTATATATTTGTACAATCTGGTATTAAAATGCTTTCCCCAAAAGATATTCTGCGAAAAGATCTGAAGTTGGTCCATGGTTATCCCATGACCTGTGCTTTTGCAAGCAACTGGGAAAAAATTGAACAGTTCCATAGCAGACCAGATGACATTGTGATAGCCACTTATCCTAAATCAGGTGAGTTCTGTGGCCTGACAAATTCAAGTCCGACCTCATTTTTTGTTTCCTGGAAATCAACTTGTCCATAAAATCATTACCATTCTAAATAAAGTTAATATTCATTTTGTGCAGCCATCTATTTTAGTATATTAAAATTGGCATTTGGTGCATAGAAAGGGGAATTAAGTTTGTAATAGAATGTGTTAAGATGGTAGTGTTTCCAATAAATTCTTCTCCCTCTCCCGTGCAATTTGGGTAATTATTTTGAAAATGTTGCCTTTTGTCACAGGTACTACTTGGGTTAGTGAAATTATAGACATGATTCTAAATGATGGAGATATTGAAAAATGTAAGCGAGGTTTTATTACTGAAAAAGTTCCAATGTTGGAAATGACTCTCCCTGGATTAAGAACATCAGGTAAATTTAACCCACTTGGAATTATTATTTTGTAATATTATTTAGACAGCATATGCATTATTGTATGTGTGACTTTCACTGAAACCGGAGTAGATTTGGTGACATAAAATGGAAGGTGGCAAACAATATAAAACTGAAGAATAAGAAGAAACTTTATTTTTATCTGTTGTACATCCAGGTATGATATCAAAGATGAAAGAGTCTTACTGTACAAAACAATTAAAAATTTGATTGATAAAATAAACAATATTTTTAAGACTTTTATTTGGTAGAATTTGTCTGATTAGATTAGTAAGTTCCTAATTTAGGACTTTGTTGTAATTAATAAATAAGAAGCAACTTTTCTTAAAACATAAAATTCACTAATACTATTAATTTTTCTTCCACAAAATATTTATGGAATGCTTGTAAAGAATTATTCACTGTGCTATGGTATAGATATATAAGATTAGAAATTGTATATTGTATCACAGGGAGCTTACAGCAATATTGTGACGTCAAAAAGTAAATAACAATATGTCAATGTTCATAGTCTTACATAGTCAAATAATAGGGTTCTGTGGAAGCGAACAATAGGAAAGCTTACTTTAAGTGGGTAATAAAGGAAAAAAACTTAGACAAATTAAATGAGTTTAATTGAGCAAAGGACAATTCACAAATCAGGCAGCCTCTTGAGCCAAAATAGCCTCAGAGATTCCAGAATAGCTACATGGTTTATGGAAGGAAGGAATGTGACATACAGAGAACAGACTTGAGATATAGAAACAGCTGGTTTAGTTAAAGTTTAGTGTCTGACTTATTTGAACACAGTCTGAAGAGCTGGCCACCTTTGATTGGCCAAAACTTGGTGATTCGCACAAGGGTAGAATGTAATATGTTTACACATCCAGTTAGGTTACAATTCACTATGTATAGAGAAACCTTTAAGCCAAACTTAAAATGTGTAAGATGACAGCTTTAGTCTAAACTTAATTTAACAAGGGGTATCTACTCCAAATTGAGATTAAAAAGTTGTACATACTTGGGGAAAGAATATCCCAGGATACAGTCCTGGAAAGCATATTCCAGGAAGATCTTGATATAGTCCGGAGACTAAAATGATCCATGAAAGAAGGAAAAAGTGGGATGCAAAACAATTGGAAATTAGGCTAGGATAGACCATGTAGGACTTGTAATTCTTAAAACATTTTCTCATTTTATTCCAAGAACATTGAGGAAGATATTGAAGGGTTTTATGCAAAGAAAAATTATATAGAGTTTTTGTTTTTTGTTGTTGTTTTAAATACAAAGACTCCACAGGTTGCTTGGTAGAGGTGGAATTGAGGATGCTAGATAAGACATATTTGTGACTTGTTGATGGACTGTAAAAGAAATATGAAGAAAATGAAAGAAAAATGACAGTTTTATTTTTCATCAAGCAAGTGGACTATGGAACCATTCGCTTGCAAGGAAAAGTACTTGGAGAGGAACACATTTGGGTGTAGGGTTATTAATAATTCAATTGTGAAATGTTAGCTTTGTGACATTGGAGAAAATTATAATGAATTAAAATGATGGTATTTGGAGCTTGTAAAAATATATTCATTAGGCAATGCTCAGCATAATTGGACATTGGAATCAATGTGACTGCCCAAGGAAAGCCTGTGGAGCTATATGAGAAGAGAAGCAATGAGCTGTGAAAAACATCAACATGCAGAAGTTAGGTGAGAAAGAGAAGCTAGCAAAGGAAACTGAAAAAAAATGAGCTAACAGGGAATGCAAGAGTATGGTGTTCTGTAAGTAAATGAGAGGGGTATTCAAGAAGTGAAGCTTGACTTTCAAATGCTGCTGGAATCCTGGGAAACAAATAAGTAGTAGGATAGTGATAGACCTGTATGCCAATGTGAAGAGAAATATCCAAATCCTCTTCTATAATGGAGGTGCCCCTCAGCAGGCTGACTGAACTAGTTACTTCCGTAGGCAGAGACGGATCAACTGGCAAGATGTCAGTCCTTCTATGTCATTGCCAGAATTCAGACAGCAAATGCCAATTTTTGTTTTGTTTTGTTTAAAAAATATATTCAATTTTTCAAAGTTACAAATATAAAATCCCAGTTGTTTCCTAAGCCATTAAGTTCAGCTTATAAATATTATTATTTTACTTATATAACAAAAGGAGTTTAATATTCAATCCAAGTTTTATTTAATTAAGCTCCTTTAAACACTTAAGTGGCATTTATATATTAATATATTTCATTTCCTTGAGTACTTAATTTATCTGACCAAGACAAACCTTCCCAAGTACTTATAGTCCAATAAATTAAGCTCATAAATACAGCAAATCTTAGCCATTTTAAATGTTCCAAAACTACATAGAAACTTAGCAATGATTCCACCACTGTACTCCAGCCTGGGCGAAAGAGCAAGACTCTGTCTCTAAACAAATTTAAAAAAGAAAATTAGACACTTAGCAAGATTTCAACTTAAAATTCAAGTATAAATACTCAACATTTTTTACTTAGCATTACAAAGCAAATCTGTTACTCTCACAAAGTTGTTAATCTTACATTTGTCAAGGACTTAAAATGCAAACTGCAAAGTTTCTTAAAACAAATGGTTATGATAAGATGTTCTTAAACATGACTATGTTATGTCTTGATGTTCTTAAACATGCCTATCCTTGGAAAGCTTGGAACTGAGGGATTATGCTGGGGCAAGGAACCAAAATGAGTTCAAGAGGGAGGCAAGACTTCAGAACCATAGAAAGTATGAAATGAAAAAGTGACAGAACCAAAGTAATCAGAGACATGGGAGTCAGGGATAACAGATGGAAGGCAGGATTGGGGATAGAGAGGGAGGATATGCAGCATTGCCTGACAGTGAATGGCTGAAGTTCATCAGGTAGATGAGGGTAAACTGCAGCATTTAAATCTACTCTAGGCCGGGCGCGGTGGCTCACGCCTGTAATCCCAGCACTTTGGGAGGTCGAGGCGGGTGGATCACGAGGTCAGGAGATCGAGACAGTCCTGGCTAACACGGTGAAACCCCGTCTCTACTAAAATATACAAAAAATTAGCCGGGCGTGGTGGCGGGCGCCGGTAGTCTCAACTACTCGGGAGGCTGAGGCAGGAGAATGGCGTGAACCCGGGAGGCAGAGCTTGCAGTGAACTGAGATCGCGCCACTGCACTCCAGCCTGGGCGACAGAGTGAGACTCCGTCTCAAATAAACAAACAAACAAACTCCAGAGCCTGAATGTGGATAATTTTGTTGTCTTTATACATTGCTAACACTCATACTTGTGGATATAAAGGGTTCATTAAAAGACTCACTTGGCAAAATGATTGCAAAATAGGGGAAATTGAGAAATCTTTCAGGGAAGCTGAATGCGGAACAAGGAACAACAGATGTGAGAAAAACTTCTTAAAAGAAACAGACATAAGTTCATCTAATGGACATTAAGTAATAACGAGTTGTGGAGGATTACAATTTCTCATTTTTATATGCTGGGTAAAGTGACTGTAGCTGCTAGATCAGTAGAGGCATAGTAAAATCCCTGATGGAGTTGTATAGTAATTTATGTTTACAGTCATTTATATTGGCAAATAAAATACAGGACAATTAATTAATTTCAAATTCAGATAAATAACCATTTTATTAAGTATGTAAGTACTTTCCAAATGTTGTAAGGGAAATATTCTTGCTAAAAACAACCTATTTATCTGATAATTCAAATTTAACTTGGATTTTCACATTTTTTAATTTCCTGTATGCCAAACCTGTGTCTACTGACATTAAATAGGCTTCTTCATATTAACCATGTGCTAGTCACGGTTCTCGATGGACATTTATTTATGAACAAAACAAGTTACATCTCTGTTCTTATGAAATCTCCATTTTAGTCTAAGTTTAGGAGTGAGGTTGGGGAAGGGACATGGGGACATACAGTAAGCAAACAAATAAGTAAATAAACTATGAAGTCAAAATGTGTTTCATAGAACATTAAGAGAAAAATGTAATAGGCTGAATGACTTCTTAGCATATGCAGTGAATTACTGTGAACATTTAAAACAAAGCATTGTTTTCAATGAGTGAGTCAGATGCAATTTTGTGTGGGTTTGCCTTTCTATTCAGAGATGGCAAGATTATGTAAGATTATCAGGTATTCTAGAGTTTAGACTGTATATAAGTAATACTGTGGAACATAAAAGAATGCATAAGAAGTTTATGTATCATCTATCTTAAGACCTTAATTTGAAATCAAGTTCTACCACATATTTGTTGTATGACTTTAGAGAGTTAAGCTAATATCTAAAGATTACACATTTTTACTGTCTATACATATATGGAGAGACATATGACACATATAGGATATAATGAAAATATAGATAAAACAGCTGATATTATATACAAAGTTAACATCATCTATGCTACAGTACCTAATACAACACGATAGCCAGTTTTAGACTTACTAGTTATTGATACCTCTTTGGCATGAAGAAAACATTTAAATAGTCATTTATAGCAATGCACAGGTATAATAAAACTCCAAATTATTAAAGAGGGTATTATTATCTCTCCTTTTGGAGATGGAGAAAGTGAAGTACAGAGATTCTGAGATACTTTCAAAGTGTCTCACAATGCTTAAGTGATAGAGTTAGCATTTGAACTCAGGGTGGCTAACCTCAGAATGTGTATCCTTGAATGTTACACAATACTGACTCTAGTAATGTGGTGAAATGCCTGTGATTGTTTCAGAATTTATCTGCATTACATAATGCTCAAAAATGTCTTGAAAAACTGGTTGGCAAAATAAGGAAACGTAGCCTTTCTGGAGACTCTAATATTTCCCTATACTTAACTAAATTTCTCAGGTATAGAACAATTGGAGAAGAATCCATCACCCCGGATTGTGAAAACACATCTACCGACTGATCTTCTTCCTAAATCTTTCTGGGAAAACAATTGCAAGGTATACTCCAGACTCCATGTCAGTTTTTTAGTATGGCCCTATCCCTTTACCCACTCACATAGTTTATTTTTTAAAATATTTTTTGTTTCTTTAACCATATACTTGCAACAATCTATACTATACCCACTCACGTTGTACGTAAATCTTCAAAAGCCATTAAGTTTTAGTCTGAGTTTATATACTCAAGTTTTCCAAACTTGAGCAGCAACAGAATCCAAACCTCAGCACAATATTACTACTTTTTTTTCCAACTCTCCCTAGATCTTCAGGCCTTCTGTAAAAACTGAACTTAAGGACGTTAGTCCTTATTTGAAGATTTGGTATAATTCTTTGTTGTAACATTTGTTCCTGCTTATCTGCTTTTGGGGAAATTTTATACTTCAAATTCTATTTATTTAATAGCTACAGTGCTATGTAGATTATGTGTTTTTTTCTTATCTGACTTTTGACAATTTGTGATGTGTGAGAAACTTTTCTAAGTTGTTGACTTTATGAATGAAAAGTTGTTAATATTATACTCATTATTATTTTAACGGCTGCAGGATTTGTTCTGATACCCTGTTTTGTTCCTGATCTCAGTTATTTGTGCCTTCTCCTTCTTTTTTGTCCCTCTTAAGTATATTAATTTTATTGATATTATTAAAGCTAGTTTTTCGTTTTATCAATTATTTCTGTTGTTTATCTGTTTTTAGTATCATAGATTTCTGCTTTTTTTCTCTATCGTTTCTCTCCATCTACTTACTTTGGATTTATTTTACTCTTCTTTTTCTAATCTCTTTAAGTAGGAACTGATATTATTGATTTGTTTCTTTCCTATTTTCTAAAATAAGCCTTTAGTGTTGTAAATATGTTTCCTCAGTAAAGCTTTAGTTGCATCCCACACATTTTGATATGTCATGCTTTCAATTGCACTCAATGCTATGCACATTTTTATTTTATCTGAAATTTCCTCATTTACTGCAAGATTTTGAAGTGTATGATTTAACTTCTAAGTGTTTGAGGATTTTTATGTTTTCATTCTGTTATTGATTTCTAATTTTATTCCGTTTTAGTCAAAGATCATACTCTACATAATTGCAATTCTTTTAAATTTCTTATGGTTCATCTTGTTCTATCTTGTTAAATGTTTTCTGAGCTCTTGAGCAGGTTGCATATTCTTCTTTGTAGGTGGATGTATTCCCTATATTTTTATTACATCCTCTTGACCAATAATGTTGTTCAGTTCTTTTATATCCTTTCTTGTTTTATGTCTAGCAGTTCTATCAATTGCCTGACAGTGGATTGTAAACATGCTCAACTATGACTAATGATGTGTCTATTCTTACTTCAGCTTTACTGGTTTTCATTTCATGTATTTTGAAGTTCTGCTGTTTGCTGTTTGGAATTCAGAATTGCTTTATCTTCTTAACAGATTAGTCCTTTTGTCATTATGTAATGTGCCTTGTAATTTTTTTTCCACTGACGTCTATCTTGTCTTGTATTGATATAGCCACTCCTAGTTTTTACTGATTAATGTTTGCATTACATATATTTTTTGCTACCCTTTTACTCTCAACGTATCATTGTCATTTTGTTTGAAGTGTGTCTTTTGAACAGCATACAGCTAAGTTCTGTTTTCATACACTCTGCCAATTTTTGTCTTTAGATTCATGTGTGTATATTATATACATTTAAAGTAGTTATGGGATAGAGCCAAGATGGTTGACTAGATGAATTCTGGAAGAGCTTCTCCCCCTGAAAAAGACCAGAATATCAAGCAGGCTGGCATACTCCAAAAAAATCTTTGGATAAAAGGCATTAAGGGTGAATAGAGGGAGAATGCAGACCCTGGAGCTAAAAGGGGAGGAAGCTAGGAATCCTGCATAGGTTTGCTGAGCACCATGACTCATTCCTGGCCCCGCACAGCTCCTAGAGAAGGAGTGAGTGAAACAGACATGGAACAGCCCACTCTTACCATGGACCTCCAGGATCCTAGCTGCAGGAGACTCCTTGATGCCCAGAGACATTTTAGCTGGCAGGGAGAACTTCCCAGAGAATTGGCAGAGACAGTACTCTACGCTGTGTGGAGTCCAGAGGGTTTGGTGCAGGAATAGCTGCAGTGGAACATGGCCATAGATGCCCATCCCCCAAGGCTCTCCATATTTCTTTAGGTGGCTTTAGCTTTTGCTAGCTCCCAGGTCTGGAGAAAGCAGGCCTGTTTTGCACATAGGCCTGGGCCAGTCTGATCTGACCATTCCTCTCTGTGCTGGCTTCTACTAGGGCCCCTGCATAGCCACACTGGCTTAGTGCACAGCCTCAGCTGCCCTGCCGAAGCACTTGCCAGCAGCCGCTGTCATAGTTCTTCAGCCAGCAGCCCCTAACTTCCAGTTTTTTGCCCAGTTTTTTGCTTTTGCATATGGATCCCTACTGGTGCAGATTCACTTTCAGTCTTCTCCCACCAGTGCTCAGTAACCTGCAGCCTACCCCTGCTACCCTGTGATCAAGTGTTTGCCCGTGACTGCTCCATCGCTACATAAGTGCCTCTGGCTCCCTGCTTCCATGTTGGATTACACTCTCCCATGTCATCTCCAATGCTCCGCTGAAGCACTTTTGCCAGCATCCCTGATTGGAATGTTGTTGCCAGTAGATTGGGAACACATCAGCACCTCTGGTAGAGCAGGTGCTTGACCTCAAGGGGCCAGAGAACAAAGCAAAGGTTCTCGCTCTAGCCCCGTAGAGACAGAGCACATAGCCCTGGAGTGCTGAATTAAGCCTTGGTCCCCTAAAAGCATCCAAAAAGGAAAACAATCTAATAAACCCAAATTTACACTACAGTCAAAACCTCAAGGGCAACAAAGAATATAAAAGCAAAAAGCACCATCCAAAGAAAAGGAATTTTAAAGATTAAAGAAACATTAGCTGCCACAGATGAGAAAGAAACAGCTCAAGAATTCTGGCAACTCTAAAAGCCAGAGTGTCTTTTTGCCTGCAAATGACCTAACTAGCTTGCCAGCAATGGTTGTTAGCCAGATTGAAATTGTTGAAATGACAGACATAAAATTCAGAACCTAGATGTCAAGGAAACTCAATGAAATATAGAAAAAGGTTGAAACCCAATCCAAGGAATACAGTAAAACTGATAAAGAGCAGAAAGAAAACATAGACACGTTGAGAAAGAACAAAACTGAACTTCTGGAAATAAAAAATGCACTAAAGGAACTTCATAATACAATGGGAAACATTAATAATAGAATAGACCAAGCTGAGAAAAGAATATCAGAGATGGAAGACTGTTCCTTTGAATCAACACAGGCAGACAAAAATTTTAAAAAGGATATAAAAAATGAACAAAACCTCCAAGAAATATGGGATTATATAGACACCAAACCTGTGACTCACTGGAATTTCTAAAAGAGATAGAGAGAGGCAATTAACTTGGAAAACATATCTGAGGATATTGTCAATAAAAATTTTCTCAACCTTGATGGAGAAGTCAACATGCAAATTCAGAAAATTCAGAGAACCCCAAAAAGATATTACATAAGACAACAATTCCCAAAATATAGAGTGAAAGAGGATCGCCGAGGTCAATGTGAAATAAGAAACCTTAAAGACAGCTAGCGAAAGGGGCAGGTCATGTACAAAGGAAACCTCACCAGGCTAGCAGTGGACTATTCAGCAGAAATCTTACAAGTTGGAAGAGATTGAGGGCCCATATTCTGTATTCCTAAAGAAAGGAAATTCCAACCAAGAATGTCATATCCAGTCAAACTGCTTCATAAGTGATGAACAAATGAAATCCTTTACAGAAAAGGAAATACTAAAGGAATTCATTCTCATCAGACTTGCCTTCCTAGAGGTCCTTAAGGGAGTGCTAAACATGGAAGCAAAAGACATACCAACTACCACAAAAACATACCTAAATACACAGAACATTAACACTATAAATCAATTACATAATCAAGTCTACATAATAACCATCTGACAGCACAATTACAGGATCAAATCTTCACATATGAATTTTGATCTGGAATACAAATGGGCTAAATGAGCAACTTAAAAGGCACAGACTGGCAAGTTGGATAAAGAAGCAAGACCCAACTCTGCTGCCTTCAAACTTCAAGAGACTCATCTCACATGCAACAACACCCATAGTCTCAAAGTAAAGGGATGGAGAAATATATATCAAGCAAATAGAGAACAACAACAACAACAAAGCAGGAGTTGCTATTTTTTTCAGACAAAAGAGACTTTAAACCAACAATCAAAAGGACAAAGAATAATATTATACAATGATAAAAGATTCAATTCAACAAGAAGGTGTAACTGTTCTAAATACATATGCATCCAACTTTAGAGCATCTAAATTCATAAAACTGGTTCTTATAGACCTACAAAGATACTTACATAACCACATAATATTAGTGAAAGACTTCAACACCACACTGACAGTGTCAGATCATCAAGGCAAGACACTCAGGACTTAAACTCAACACTTGACTAAATGTACCTAACAGACATCTACCCAACAACAAAATATACATTCTTCTCATCTGCAGATGGCACATATTGTATGATTGACCACATGCTTTACTCAGCCATAAAGCAATTCTCAATAAATACAAGAAAACCAAAATCATACCAACCATACTCTCGGGCCACAGCATAATAGAAATATAAATTAATGCCAAAAAGCCCTATCAAAACCCTACAATTACACAGAAGTTAAATGACCTGCCCCTGAAACAATGTAAATAATGAAATTAAGGCAGAAAATTTTAAAAAAGTCTTTGAAACAAATGAAAACAGAGATACAAAGACACAACATATCAGAATCTTTGAGACATAGCTAAAGCAGTACTAAGAAGGTTTATAGTGCTAAATACCTACATCAAGAAGTTAGAAAGGTCTCACATTAACAACCTAACATTGCACCTCAAGGAACCAGGAAAATAAGAGCAAACCAATATCAAAAGTAGCAGAAGAAAAGAAATAACGAAAATCAGAGCAGAACTGAATGAAACTGAGATGTGAAAATCCAGACAAAAAAATCAACAAAAACAAAAGTTTGTTTTTTGAAAGAATAAATAAGATATACCACTAGCTAGATTCACAAAGAAAAAAAGAGAGAAGATCCAAATAAACACAAGCAAGAATAACCACCAACACCACAAAAATACAAGGAACCTGCAGAGACTGCTAGGAACACCTTTATAGTCCAGAGTGGCTGCTGCCATCACATCGGCTGCAGTGGGGAGACATGGGTGGTGGTGGCAGGAGCGGCTGCAGGAACAGCAAAGGCGGCAGTGGGACCCCTGTGCCCCATGACCCCATAGCAGCCTACTGCACCACCCTTACCTTTGCATGGCCGGGCAGGACCCACTTCCAGGTCCAGAGCCTCCACTGTGTCGGGTTCCTTTGTACAAAGTTGGCCAGGGCCGCTGCGCCTCCGCTGAGGGGAAACACAGAGAGGAGACAGTCAGTCCCTAGAGTCCACCCCTGGCACTCCCCCGAGAGCCTGCTGCCCTGGTATCACCCTGCTACCGCAATGAGGCCGCACCCAGTCACCCGCCAATGGGGGAGCAGCGTGGTTAGACATGGAGGGAAGGGCATAGAGGGGTTCCAAGGCAGAGCTGGGCCCAGGGTAGTGCCCTGCTCCACGAAGCCAGCGGAAGCAGGGAGCAGGCAGGAGCCCCACCCTCCTGGGCACAGTTACAGCAGCGCAAGTAATGGCTATGGACCCAGGGCTCCCTGTGCTTTTGGGGGCCAGGAGCAGGCAGGAGCACTGCCTTCCTGGGAACATCTGCAGCCACCCATGCGCAGCTGTTGACCCAGGCATTTCTGCAATCTAGGAGGCCAAGGAAGGCCCCCACCTTGTTCCCACAGGCTCAGAGGTGTCTGCTCCCACTATCTGGCCACTACCCGCTCGCGGAACACACTCCAATCTCGGATCATGGTTGACACCAAGCCCGGGTGCTGTCATAGCCCAGTTGGATGTGTGCACACTTGGGACAGCTCTGACACACCAGCCCCCTGGGTCCCCTCTGGACTTTGGGCACCCAGAACACAGGAGGAAAGCCGAGGGACTGCTGAGGGCAGGTCGAAGCTGGCCTGCAGGCAACCCTTGGCAGTAACAGCCTTGGTGCTATGAAGTGTGGTAGGTGGTAGACAGGCTCCTGGGCAGAAGGGGGTGGGTCCCGGGTGAAGCCCCACCTTCAAGCTGGGGAGGGCCTGAAGCCTGGGAGCTGGGCTGCTGGTCCTGTGGACCAGAATGGGAACTTGTGGTGCTTTTTCTGGGCCCACCCATGGCTGCCCATGGACCAATGGGACTGCACTTCTTCCCCTCTGAGGCCCATAAAACGTCCTAGACTCAGACCAGAAGAGATGACGGGAGGACCAGCTACAGAGAGAAGCTACTCACTCCAGGGTGCCCTCTTTGCTGAGGGCTAAACACTCATCCAGAAACCCTGACTACCATGCTCAATAAAGCTCCTCTTCATCTTGCTCACCCTCTATTTGTTTGTATACCTCAGTCTTCCTGAATGCAGGACAAGAACTTGAGACCCGCTGCATGGCAGAACTGAAAGGGCTGTAACACAAACAGGCCTGAAACACACACCTTGCTCACCACCTTGTGTGTGACAAGAAAGACAGAAGAGAGAAAGAGAGAAGACCTGTGGCCCTTCAAGGAGCCCAAACCTAGGAGCTCCCTGAGCCAGGGTTGTGACACCCTCTTTAGGGCTCTGTGGTTCCTGGTGTCTCCAAGCTTCTGGGTGCCACTGTGTTCCTCGGTATCAGCTGTGGAAGTTGTTTATGGTGTGCCTGGTCCAGCTGCAGCCTTGCAGAGAGCTGAGGCCATGAGGCTGGGGCCATGCTGGTGCCTGGAGCTGCCCACCGCACCGCAGCTGGCAGGCCGGGCTCTGCGCAATGGCCAGACTACAGGCTTGCTCACACACCCATTGCTGCTCCACACATGGCTCACCCTCGGCAGGCATGAGATCCAGGCTGGTAGCATGAGCCAAGTGCAGCCTGCAAGGCTGAGTGATCGGAGCAAGCCCAGAGGGCCAGAGCAAACCTTGGACAAAGGCGCCACTGGCCACAGAGGTTTCCGGCTGGTGAAGCAAAACCCCAAGGATCTCATAACACTAGGATTGAAACCCCCATAAATTTAAATCATGAACAGACCAGTAGCCAGTCCTGAAAATGAATTAGTAATAACAAACCTACTAATCTATCAAACCCCTGGGCCAGACAGATTCACAGCTGAATTCTATCAGATGTACAAAAAAAGAACTAATACCAATCCTACTAAAATTATTTCAAAAAGTCAAGGAAGAAGGACTCCTCACAACTCATTCTATGAGGACATCATCATTCTCATACCAAAACCTGGAAGAGGCACAACAAAAAAGAAAACTTCAGGACAATATTCCTCATTGACATAGATGCTAAAATCCTCAACAAAATACTAGCAAACTGAATCCAGGAGTACATCAAAAATCTAATCCATCATAATCAAGTATGCTTTATTCCCAGAATGCAAAGTTAGCTCAATACATGCAAATTAATAGGTGTGATTCATACAGAAAGTACTAAAAACAAAAACCACAAAATCATTTCAACAAATTAGAAAAAGGCTTTTGATAAAACTTCACATCCCTTCATATTAAAAACCTTCAGTAAACTAGGTATTGAAGGACCATACCTCAAAATAATAAGAGCAGTCTATGACAAACCAACACACTGAACAGGAAAAAGTTAAAAGCATTCCCCATGAGAACTGGAACAAAACAAGGATGCCCACTTTCATCACTCTTTCTCAACATAGTACAGGAAGATCTAGCTGAAGCAATCAGACAAAAGAAAGAAATAAAAGGCATGCAAATAGAAAGAGAGGAAGTCACATTATTTCTCTTCATAGTCAATATGATTTTTTAGCTAGAAAACTCCACAGTTTCTGCCCAAAAGCACCTAAAACTGTTAAGCAACTTCAGCAAACTTTCAGGATACCAAATCAGTGTATAAAAATCAGTAGCATTTATATATGCCAATAACGTCCAACTTGAGAGCCAAATCAAAACGTAATCTCATTCACAATAGTCACAAAAAAATAAAATACTAGGAATATAGCTAATCAAAGAGGTAAAAGATCTCTACAATGAGAATTACAAAACATGGCTAAAACAAACCAGAAATGACAAAAACTAATGGAAGAACATTTCATGCCCATGTATAGGAAGAACCAATATTGTTAAGATGACCATACTGCCCAAAGGAATTTACAGATTCAATGTTATTCCTATCAAATTACTAATTACATTCTTCACACAACTAGAAAAAAAGCTATTTTAAAATTCATATGGAACAAAAAAAGAACCCAAATAGCTAAGGAAACCGTAAGCAAAAAGAACAAAGCCAGTGGCATCACAATATCCAACTTTATACTACAAGGCTGCAGTAACCAACACAGCATGGTACTGGTACAAAAACAGACACATATACCAATGGAACAGGTTAGAGAGCCTAGAAATAAAGATGCACACCTACCTACAACCTGCTGATCTTCAACAAAGTTGACAATAATAAGCAATGAAGAAATAACTCTATTCAATCAATGATGCTGTGATAAATGACTAGTAGGATGAAGAAAATTGAAACTGGAGCCCTTATTACCATATACAAAAAATTAACTGAAGATTGATTAAAGACTTGAATGTATTACCAAAAACTATAAAAACCCAGAAGAAAACTTAGAAAATATCATTCTCGATATAGGCTTTGAAAAAGGTTTCATGATTAAGACTCTAAAGGCAATTGCAACAAAAACCAGAATGTTGAAGAGGGACCTAATTAAATTAAATAGTTTCTGCATAGAAAATGCGAGAAAATATTTACAAACTATACATCTGACAAAGATCTAATATACAGAATTATAAAGAACTTAAATCAATGAGCAGAAAACAACCCAATTAAAAACTGGCAAAAGACATGAACAGCACTTTTCAAAATAAGGCAATTAAAACAGAATTACCATGAATCCCAGCAATCCTATTACTGAGTAGTTACCTGAAGGCATATAAATTGTTCTACCAAGAAGACACATGTATTTGTATGTTCATCATAGCACTAGTCACAGTAGCAAAGGAATCAACCTAGATGCCTAATATGGTTTTGTTCTGTGTCTCTACCCAAATCTCACCTTGAATTGTAATAATCCTCATGTGACAAGGGCAGGACCAGGTGGAGGTAATTGAATCATTGGGTTGGTTTCTCTGTGCTGTTATCATGATAGTGAGTGAGTTCTCACAAGACCTGATAGTTTTATAAGTACCTGGCATTTCCCTTGCTAAAACTCCCTCTGTCCTGCCACCCTATAAAGAAGATACCTGCTTCTCCTTTGCCTTCCACCATGATTGTAAGTTTCCTGGGGCCTTGCAAGCAATAGGAAACTGTGAGTCAACTAAACTTCTTTCCTTTATAAATAATCCATTCTCAGGCAGTTCTTTATAGCAGTGTGAGAATGAACTAATACAGTAAATTGGTACTGAGGTAGTGGGGCACTACTATTAAACATACCAGAAAATCTGGAAGTGACTTTGGAACTGGGTAATGGGCTGAGGTTGGAACAGTTTGAAGGACTCAGAAGACGACAGGAAAATGTGGGAAAGTTTGGAACTTCCTAGAGACTTGGAGGGCTCAGAACACTGGAAGATGTGGAAAAGTTTGGAACTTCCTAGAAAATTATTGAATGGTTTTGACCAAACTGCTGATAGTGATATGTACAATGAAGTCCAGGCTGAGGTGGTCTTAGATGGAGAAGAGGAACTTGTTGGGAACTGGAGTAAAGGTCACTCTTGCTATGCTTTATCAAAGAGACTGGCAGCATTTTGCCTCTGCCCTAGATATCAGTAGAACTTTGAAATTTCTAAGTGGCAAAGCATTCAACAGAAAGCAGAGCATAAAAGTTGGAAAATTTGCAGCCTGATGATGCAGTAGAAAAGAAAAACCTATTTTCTGGGGAGAAATTCAAGCCAGTTGACTGCAGAAATTTGCATAAGTAACAAGAAGCCAAATGCTAATCACCTAGACAATGTGGTAAAGGTCTCCAAGGCATGTCAGAGACCTTTGCAGTAGCCTCTCCCATCACAGGCCCAGAGGCCTAGGAAGAAAAAATGGTTTCACAGGCCAGACCCAGGGCCCTCCTGCTATGTGCAGTCTAGGGACTTGGTGACCTGTGTCCCAGACCTTCCAACTGTGGCTAAAAGGGGCCAATGTACAGCTTGGGCTGTGTGGATTCTGAGGGTGCAAGCCCCAAGCTTTGGCAGCTTCCACATGGTGTTGAGCTTGTGGGTGCACTGAAGTCAAGAATTGATGTTTGGGAACCTCTGCCTAGATTTCAAAGCATATGTGGAAACACCTGGATCTCCAGGCAGAGGTGTGCTTCATGGGCGGAGCTCTCATGGAGAACCTCTGGTAGGGCAGTGCAGAAGGGAAATGTGGGATTGGAGCCCCCACACAGAGTCCCTACTGGGGCATCACCTAGTGGAGCTGTGAGAAGAGGGCCACCATCCCCCAGACCCTAGAATAGTGGATCCACTGAGAGTTGCACTTTGCACTTGGAAAAGCTGTACACACTCAACACCAGCTGTGAAAGCAGCCAGGAGAGGGGCTGTACCTTGCAAAGTCATAGGGGTGGAGCTGACCAAGGTCGTGGGAGTCTACCTCTTACATCAGCCTAATCTGGATGTGAGCCATGGAGTCAAAGGAGATCATTTTGGAACTTTAAGGTTTATTGACTGCCCCATTGGATTTGTCTTGAATGGAGCCTCTAGCCCCTTTTGTTTCAACCATTTTTTTCCCATTTGGAATGGGTGTCTATACCCAATGCCTGTACTCCCACTGTATCTAGTAAGTAATAACTGACTTTCAATTTTACATGCTCACAGGCAGAAGGGACTTGCCTTATTTCAGATGAGACTTTGGACTTGGACTTTTGGGTTAATGCTGGATTAAGTTAAGACTTTGGGGGACTGTTGGAAGCACATAATTGTGTTTTGAAATGTGAGGACATGAGATATGGGAGGGACCATGGAAGAATGATATGGCTTAGCTCTGTGTTCCTACCCAAATCTCATCTTCAATTGTAATAATCCCCATGTGTCATGGGAGGGAACAGGTGGAGGTAATTGGATCATGAGGGCAGTTTCCCCCATGATGTTCTCATGATAGTGAGTGAGTTCTCAGAAGACCTGATGGTTTTATAAGTGTCTGGTGTTTCCCCTGCTTGGACTCACTCCATCCTGTCACCCTGTGAAGAAGGTACCTGCTTCTCTTTTGCTTCTGCCATGATTGTAAGTTTCCTGAGGCTTCTCCAGCAATGCAGAACTGTGAGTCAGTTAATCCTCTTTCCTTTATAAATTATCTAGTCTCACACAGTTCTTTATAGCAGAGTGAAAACTTATTAATACAATACTCATTAATGGTGGAGCACATAAAGAAAATGTGGTGTGTATACACCACGGAATACTACACAGCCATAAGGAAAAGGAAATCATGTTTTCTGCAGCAACATGGATGCAGCTGGAGGCCATTATTCTAAGCAAATTAATTTAGGAGCAGAAAATCAAATACCATATATTCTCACTTATGCATGGAAGGTAAACCTTGAGTATACGTGGACACAAAGATGGGAGCAATAGACACCAGGGTATAATTGAGGGTGAAGGGTGGTAGGAGGGTACAAGTCAAAAAACTGCCTATCAGGTAATATGCTCACTACCTGGGTGACGAAATCATTTGTACACAAAACCCCAGTGACACACAAATATGCAACAAATCTGCACATGCGCCCACTGGACCTAAAAGTTAAAAATTATAAATAAATAAAGACATTATTGGCATTTTAGGACTTATATTTATCACGTTATTTGTTTGTTCTTTCATATCTCGTTTATTTTCTTTTTCTTCCTTTCCTTGGTTGTACCTAAACATTTTGGAGTTCATTTTTATTTATTTATAATATTTTTGAATATATTTTTGTATAGTTTTCTTAGTGATTGCTTTAGCTATTGCCATAAATATACATAATTCATCACAGTCTAATGGTGTCAACATTTTCTCACTTTAAGTGAAGTGTAAATACCTTACTTCCATTTAGGCCCCTTTACTATCTCCGTATTTTCAACATAATGGTCCCAAGTGATCCTGTACATAAACTGAACACCGCATCAGATAATGTAACTTTTGCCTCAATTGTAAAATATGACTTAAGAAATGCATTGGGTGAGTGATTAGCTACTATGTTTACTTCTATTTTTACCCATTCTCTTTTTCTTTTTCTTTTCTAAAGTTTTCATCTTTCTACTGTCATTTTCTTTCTGTTTGGAGAACTTCCCTTAGCTATTTCATAAGATAGGTCTGCTAGCAATTGATTCTCTTAGTTTTCCTTTTTCTGAGAATGTCTTTTTTCCCTTCTTGAGTGAGAACAGTTTTACTGGATACAGGATTTGGAATTGACAATATATTACTTTCTGCACTTGAAAAACTATTGTGCTATTTCCCTTTGGCCTTCATGGTTTTAGATGAGAAACTTGTCATTTGAATTGGTGATTTTTATTATGCAATGTGCTGTATATCTGGCTTTTTTTTCTAAGAGTTTTATTCATCTTTAAATTTTAGAAGTACTTTTATGATGTTTCTTGACATAGTTTTTTTTTTCCTTTTTTTGAGTTCACACAACTTCTTAGATATATTGATTTATTTATTTCAACACTTATGGGAAGTTTTTGGTCACCAATTCTCCAAATACTGTTTCAGTTCCTTACTCTTCCACCTATCATTGTGTAACTCTAAACATACAAATGTTAGGCCTTTTGTTATTGTCCCACAGGTTCCTAAGTTTCTCTTTATTGTCTTTATTCTATTTTCTCTGTGTTGTTAACATTGAGTAAATTCTATTGATATACCTTTATGTTTGCTGATTCTGTCCTCTAACACTGCCATTACACTATTCGGTCCATCTAGTGATTTATTTATTTATTTCAGTTATTATACATTGCAGATCTATAATTTCCATATATTTAACTTTACAAATATAACTCCAATTTCTTTTCTATTTTTTCATTTATTTTAAATTTTTTTTCAATTTTTAACTTTTGTGGGTATACCATATGTATATATATATTTGTGTGAATAGGAGCCTCATAACTCAGACTGGTACCTTATCCCACTGTCGCTGAGCTGGTATCCAAGATGTAAGACGAAGTCCTCTTTGCTCTTCCCTCTCCTCTGCTCAAGTGGAAAGTAGGGATCTCTTTTGAATCCACCAACTGTGCAGCCTGGAGTCTGGGGAAGGGTGGCACAAGCAGTCCCTTAGTCTTGTATGTCTCAGTGTGTCTTGTACCCTCCAAGTCCACTGGCTCTGAGGCCATCTCAGCACTAGAACATGTCTAGAAGTATGTGGTTTAGACTGTCTTTCAAGTTTATTTACAGGTGCAGAGCACTTTAGCCTATGGTGGTGAGGCTTGCTGGAACTCATATTTCTACCACTGGGACGTGTGATTCCCCTCTAGATAGGATTGGTCTATATGCTTCCTTCATGGAAGGCTGTCAGCTGAGTTCAGTCTAGTTTTGCTTTCCACTGTGACAGGGCAGCACTGAGTTCAATGCAATGTCTCATAATTGCTGTGCTCTCCCTCTCCCAAGTGCACAGATTCTCACCATGCCACACGGCTGCTACTAAGGGTTGGGGGAGGCATGGAAATAGCAATTCTAAGACTGTCTTTCCTATCATCTTCAGTGGCTGTTTTAGTGATATGAAGTTAAAACTAGGTACTGTGAGTGCTCACCTGATTTTTGGTTCTCATGAAGGTACTTTCTGTGTGTAGGTAGTTGGCAAATTTGATATTCCTTTTGAGGTGTGGGGGATGATTGGTCCACCCTCCAAGACAACTTGTAATGGAATGTTGACGCTTTTTTATGATAGCTACTTTAAATCTTTGTCAGATAACTTAACATTTGATTCATCTCAGTTTTGTTTTTCTTGCTTATTTGATTTCTGGGGCTGCTGGACATACTGTACCATCCCTGCTGATGCCACATAAAAGGAGTATAAGGTACTTTCCTGGACTTCCCACTCTTGTTAGCTGACTTTTTGAAAATTGGAGAGAAGCCTTCGGGCCTGGGAGAAACAGGGCTTCTCTGATGTCATCACTGTGAATGGGTGGGACTGCTTATAAAGCCCCGTTTATATCGCAGGAGTTTGAATGTCCCAGTACTTCATTGCCATTACTGGCAGTGAGTTAGCTCACCTACAGAGACCCGGGTGTGGAGCAGAGTTTGGAATTCTCCACTATGTCTCTGTTGGGCTTCCTCTTTCCTAATCCTTTGACCAGGGAGAGCAGGTTTTTCTAGATATTTTTTTGTTTCGTGTATGCCTGTAAATGGTTCCAGGTCACAGTCCTTTTTGCTGCCCAATCCAAGAGTATATAGGAGATAAAAAGGACACCTAGGAGGAACTCACCACATTGGCATTACTCAGCTCTTTGTCCAGTATGCTTTTGGAGTTCTTGTATCATTGTAAGTTGAATAATTTCCAGGGCTTTAGTGACATTAAGAATACAAAAGGCCGGGCACGATGGTTCATGCCTGTAATCCCAGCACTTTGGGAGGCCGAGGAGGGCGGATCATGAGCTCAGGAGATCGAGACCATCCTGGCTAACATGGTGAAACCCCGTCTCTACTAAAAATACAAAAAATTAGCCAGGCGTGGTGGCGGGCGCCTGTAGTCACAGCTACTCCGGAGGCTGAGGCAGGAGGATGGCCTGAACCTGGGAGGCGGAGCTTGCAGTGAGCTGAGATCGCACCACTGCACTCCAGCCTGGGCGACAGGGCGTCTCAAAAAAAAAAAAAAAAGAGTAGCGAAGTAGAAAATAGTGAGTCTATACCTTCTAGTTTCTGAACTGGATGCCCCCAAACTTATTTTAATGCCTTTTAATATCTTTACCTTCTTTTCCTTTCTATATATTTTTATCAGCACCTAATATTTTTCTCGGTATTTCACTGGTAGAAGTGAAAAGTGAAAACTTTTATTTTTTTCCCACAATTTTGTTATTTTCAATTTGCTGGTATTCTCTTTAGTCACAGTGTCATTTTCTTGATAATGTGTGTTCTAGGACCTTGCAGATCTTCCAGAAGCCACAGTGGTCTATTAATGCTTCACAGTGTCAAGTGGCCAGAAACTGAAATCTTTTTTTCAAAACGTCTATAGCTCGATGGTTCTAATCTCAAAAATGCATTGCTGTATTGAAAATCACTTGAATTGATTCTATATTTTAGCTGTTAATAGAAGGGCCTCCCTGGCCCACAATTTCTATTTGAAAAAGTACTCTGCTTTTTTACATGCGTATAGGTTAATTTTTTCCTAAACAAAATGTCTTTTATCTTATTTTTTTCTCCTACCCCCACCCCCCACTGCAGATGATTTATCTGGCTCGTAATGCCAAGGATGTTTCAGTCTCATATTACCATTTTGACTTAATGAATAATTTACAGCCTTTTCCTGGTACCTGGGAAGAATATCTGGAGAAATTCTTAACTGGAAAAGGTATGTGGACTTTATCTTAAAATTGATAAGTATTTTTTATTTTAATAATACTATTAACAATAACTTTTATGACTTTCAAAATACTTATTTTTCCAATCTAGTGAAAAGTATGTTCAAATATTATCTAAAAAACTAAATCTAATGCATCTAATATTTTTACTATGACCTTCAATTTATAAAACTAGTATTAATCATTGGCATACAAAAGTATTCTATAATCTGTTCTCAGTTGCTAGAAGTCCATTATCAGTCTCTCCTCACAATAGACATTGTTTAACTTGCTTAAGCAATTAGTTAGATCTGTTAATGCATATGTCATATTTATAGTACTTAGGTAAATAGTTGATATGAGTACTTTGTAAGATAATAGTTTTCTTCTTTATGAGACTAAGTATAACTTTTTGGAGGTCAGTGTATTTTTGTCTGAAATGCTTTCTTTGTACTTGACATTAAAAAATATCTGATGTTTATATATCCATAAATAGCTAATTTTACTTTTTAAGATTGTCCTCATATTCTTACTTCCTTTGGTTACTAAATTCAAAATGTTTTCACAATTTGATTTACTATTCAGACAGAAATATTTAATTTGATGAATGTTTATGAAAATAGACTTTTATCTGGTTTTAGTGGCCTATGGTTCCTGGTTTACTCATGTTAAAAACTGGTGGAAGAAAAAGGAAGAACACCCAATACTTTTTTTGTACTATGAAGATATGAAAGAGGTAAAATGGTAGATATGGATTCTGGATAATTTCCCCACTGCATCATGCTGTAAAAGGGTTGATATTTGCTTTCCAACTTAGTCTATCGAGTCCAAAATGATGATTGCTTTGCCTATCCACCATGTGTTTTTACCCAAATCTTGCTATAATTAATGAGTTTCTAATTGTGAAAAGAATTATTTATTTTTATTCCTCTTATTTCTTAGCCACTGCGTTATATCTGACCACTCTTTCTTCTGCAATTATTTCCTATATTTACCAGGATATCACATGCTTACAGTTATCCTTAGATATCTACTCATTAATATTTTAACATTGTTTTTAAAAATTGTTTGCTATATTCGAGTTACCCCTTCCACGCTTATTGTTTTCACAACTATTTATGTGCTAATCATCCCTTATCTGTGCCTGCATTTTCACTTCTACCTCGATTTTCTAGCCCATGCTTGTATTAAATTTAACATGCTCAAAACTAAACTTATTTTCTTTCTCTCCAACATGTAATATTTTTACTATTTTGTTCTCTTTCAACAATAAAAGTTATTCTTACTGTCTTTGTTTCCTATATTTTGCACATTCAATTGGTTCAGATAGTGTATCTATTGTATCTTTCAAAACATTCCCTCCTTTACTTCCTTACTATCTCACTGTTAGTGTAGAAACTTGTAATCATCTATCTAGTATGAAGTAGTATTAATTAAATACAACTACAAATTTTCATGCCACATTATGGAACTCTTCTACTTAAATTGCCAAATACACACAGACATACACACAACAGGTAAACATGTTGAAATTAGTTCCTTACTTATAAAAGCCTGAACATACAAGTTAGAATACTTTCAGATCTACAATGAAAATTACGAAGTTTGTCTTCTTTGTAACTACATCCCAGTACTTAATACAGTGCATACAACATAAACAGGGGCTCAAGATTACTTGCATGGATCACTGATTGTTTCAATAAATAAATGAGTGAGTGGTAATATCCAAAACTTTAATGGCATTAATCCTACTTTATATAACACAGAAATTTGGCCCCATGTGAAATATTACTTGCTTTAGGTAGTTTTGGGAAACTCCCAGGGGTTTCTCGTATCTTAGCACAAAGAATCCTCTGAGATTTTATTCACTGCCCAAGTATTCATTCTCCATCACAGTTGTCCACATCCCATAAAGAATCTGTGATCTATGTCTTATCATTGTCCCTTTACACAGGGTTTGAGAGTATTAATGTTAATTTGCTCATACCACACAGCTGCAAAACCTTGCATGGTTTATGAAACTACTGTAACAAAGTGATATGTCTCTTGAGAGTTTGTTTAGCCGGAGGTAAGTTATAAATTCCTCATAAGAGAGAAAATTATTCCAGCTCTCTAACAAATAACTCTCTTCATGTTTTGGACAGCAGAGCACCACTTAAAAGCTTTATGAAAAGAACAATTTTAGCTTCTGGCAATAGTCCCTTTTCTCCATAAGACTAAGAAATACATTCTCTCTGTTTGGCTGTTATTCAAATTCCAAATCAACCATTACACTGTTTCCCACATAACATTTGAGACCATTTCTGTCTTTATTTAGCTAAAATGCTTTATTCAAATAAACTTACTCATTTTGATTTATAGTCTAACCGGTTACCTTTTTAAGCATATCCATATATTTACAATTTCCTTCAAACTTGCAACATACATTGCATTAACAGACAATATTTTTCTTCTACCATACAATCATTTGTAGATAATATTATAGAGAAGTTTAATGCAACAACAATAATGGAAGAAAATTATAGAATATACATCAATAATAAAATTTGAAAAAAAGTCCAGTAATTTACAACATGTTTATGAGTATCTACATGCATTCCTAATAAGTGAGGTAAAAGAATAACAGATCAGAGGAAGATTCAGCCAGAGCCAGGACTCTGCTTTAACTTCTACTGGTCTATAGACTAACACAGATGTTCCCAGCATTTTTGGCACCAGGGACGGGATTTGTGGAAGACAATTTTTCCATGAACAGGGTGCAAGGGGGCTGTATATGGATGGTTTCCAGATGAAACTGTTTCATCAGATCATTGGGCATTAGTTAGATTCTCATAAGGAGTGTGCAACTTAGATCCCTCACATACTCAATTCACAATAAGGTTCATGCTCCTATGAGAATCTAATGGCACCACTGATCTAACAGGAGGCAGAGCTCAGGCAGTAGTGCTTGCTCTTCCACCACTCACATCTTCCTGTGTGGCCCAGTTCCTAACAGGCCACTGATTGGTACTGATCTGAAGCC
The DNA here is from genome assembly GCF_000001405.40 of Homo sapiens. Classification (NCBI taxonomy): domain Eukaryota; kingdom Metazoa; phylum Chordata; class Mammalia; order Primates; family Hominidae; genus Homo; species Homo sapiens. The sequence goes on along the minus strand of NC_000004.12, from coordinate 69,731,126 downwards.
AGTGGGTTGGCGATCCCTGGACTACTATCATCATTAATATTTTAGGATTAGCCAAATTATTCTCCAAATATTTTTGACCCCAAAAAGAAAATGTTCTCTATTTGCCTGTCCATCTATATGTTTTCCTAGCACAACTACTATCTTTAATTTTGGGCTTCTCTCTACTATCATCATGTCTGCTCGTTTACTCATTCTAACCACTGACACACCTTAAGTTCTGATCTTATTCTTCTGTCAGAGAGGACTGACACAGAAAATATAACAGATATTCTTGATTTTTAATATTTTATGATTAGTTTATTTAAAAATTGAGAAAAACCCAAACAAATATGGATTTCCTATACTATTCAGAGTCAACATTTAAAAAAACGGATTATAAATGTTTTATAAATATTCACATTGTGTGAGTTACTTGTTTATTGTCTTGGGTTTTACCCACTAATAGAATCCAAAGGAGGAAATCAAGAAGATCATTAGATTTCTAGAGAAGAACCTGAATGATGAGATCTTGGATAGGATCATCCATCACACCTCATTTGAAGTGATGAAGGACAATCCTTTGGTAAATTATACACATCTACCAACTACAGTGATGGATCATAGCAAATCCCCTTTTATGCGTAAAGGTAAATACTTTGCTGGGTTTAATTTCCCTTTCGTACTTTCTTATGAATTATCATGAGCTAAGGATTAGTTCTGTGATCTCTACTAAGTTTCTTAGCCTGTTTAAGCTTTATAGCAAATACCTACCACCAAAAGTTGCTGAGATTCAAAATTATTAAATGAAACAATGCATGTAAAGCTATTACTAGAATACCTTGAATATATGATAAATATTTATTCTTCTATTTACTACTGTGCTAAATGAGAGTGGTTTTGGCAACTCTGATGTGAGCAATTCCAAATTTGTCATTCTTACTCCCTTCAATCTTTGTCTAAGATGGCATAGATAAGCTTCCTTCCTTCTGCTCCTCAGTGAAATACTAATTTCACTTAGTACAGTACCATAGTCTTTAAAGTCCCCATATCACTTAGAAAACCATGGTAATTGTATTAAAAATAATTCACCAAAAGGAGAAACTGCTATTTGACCTTATAAGAAGTTTTAGCCCTCTGCAAATACTGTCTAAACTATTAGTAACATAGAGTCTAAATTTAACTTAGAAGAATATGGCATTTACTGTTGAAATACATTACTTCCATTTAAGTAGTCTGTTTATTGTGGCTTATTACACATAATATATGTCAAAAATGTGTTAATAATAACAATACATTTAACCAATTACTAACTTAAATAACTTTGAGAAGTTATCCACTTAATAATGCCACGATCTGTTTTCAATATCTTTGATTGAATTGGAGGGAGATGGGTAGAATTTCAATTTGTATGCTAGGAAGTGAGCATAGCCTTAGGAATGTATTATGCATATTAACAGATGAAACAAAACCGCCAATTTTGAGTAATATGATTAATTTTTTGAAAAGTTGTTTGTTAACTTATTAAGGTAGCAAATAGTCCTAGTGTTTTCAAATTGTGCTCTTTCTTTTCTAAAAACAATATATTTAACCTATTAAAAATAACTTCTAGAGTAAGAAAGCAGGTATATTTTTCATCAAAAATTGTATGCATTATAAGTTTGAGCAAAGAAGACTGATGTGTATATATCTTATCTGTATGCTTATACACAGATGTAAATGTATGTGTATGGACAGTCATCCCTTGCTATATGTGGGGGATTGGTTCCAGGAACTCTGCCTCTGAATATACTAGAACCTGCCTATATGAAAATTGGCACTCAAAACATGTGGGTGGGTTTCTCATCATGCAAATACTGTATTTTTTATTGCTTTTAGTTGGAAAAAAACTGCATATAAGTGAACCTGGCCAGCGCAAGTCTGTATTGTTCAAGGGTCAGTTGTGTACATGTACATATATATTCTTTTTCCTGGTAGAAGAATCAGAAAATAAATCTTTATTAAACAAGGCAAATTCTCATTGTGATAGATACGTGAATATAATTTCCCAGAAATTTTATCTCAAATCATATGAAAATTGATGCCATTTCATGACATCTAATTATGATGTAGACATAAAGAAGACAAGCTCAATATCTGGATTCTATGGCTTCTCCAACCTCAATAGAAAAAAAGCACTTGCTGTTCTAATATTGAAGGTAGTCTTTATATCCCCTCTCTAGGGGGTTAAGAACATACTTTTGTGGTCAGATTGATCTGAGGTTTATCCAGGCTACACCATTCCCTGAATACATTAATTAACCTGCCAAAGCTCTGATTACATCACTGGCAAAATAGATAATATAATAACACCTGTGGCAAAAGTTTCTGGGGAGGATTATGGTAAATTATATGTAAGCATTTAGGATATTTTCTCACAATAAATAATGCATACAGAAGTAAAAAGCATTATTAGTCTAAATAGTTTGACCTTCCTTCCTTCCTTCCATTCTTCCGTTCTTCCTTCCTTCCTTCCCTGATGTATCCAGTAAACATTTAGAGTACTCATTCGTTAATTTGCATATAGAAAAACTTCTTCATGAATAACTATATACAGCACATATTCTTTAAAAGATTCAAAGGTAAATGATACATATCTTTGACTCAAGAAGCTCACAATGTAGTGCAAGGGGCATGTACATGAATGAATGCTGAAAGAAGTTAAGTATGAACAAATGTGCCAGGCACACTGAATCTTGAAAGATGCCATATTAGATAAATCAATGTTATTATTATGAGGGTGGGATAGATTATGTCCAATGTTTGGTCGTATGTCCTAAATTATAACAAATAGAAAAACCTGGCCTTTGGCCAGCATTTATCAAAAGTTCTTTTTTGAAGTAAATGTGTTTGCGTATATTATAAAATTTATATGCAGATCAGATCACTGGAATGATTTATATATAACTTTTAATTGCTTAAATCTGTGTTCTCCTCTGTTTTTAATGACATCCTTACGGATGCATTAGCCCCAGTATGTTTATGTTGAACCCTTATTCAACCCTATGTTGAATTCCAGAGCTATTGACATCTGGTGAACATAGAACAAAATGTAACAACTAGGGAAAAAAGCATATCTATAGGAATGTTTTTCTTTTAAAAGACTTGGAAGTTTTATCAAACCACTGTGGATTAATATAGCTTGTAATTTAATATGATGTATTACTATTTCATAAAATAGTGAGATGTTTTTCTCTAAAAATATTGGCAGTACATTAAAAGTTTATTCATTTTCCAAACACATATTTATAAATACCCAAGTATGAGAGACTAAATTTAAATTTTTATCCTCAAAGATTTACTTTAAAAAACATGGTTCCAGGATGTTATATATTTGATATTAATGTTATTATTCCCACCTAAATTACAAATAAAGAACAAGCCTAGTGAATTTAGGAAAAACAACTGTCATCTCCATATCATAGCATCCTTGTTTATAAATTCTAGGAAATGATACTTATCAACTTTTTATTTCACAGTTTTGCTGTGCTGATGACTAATTTTTTGTCTAGTTTCCAAAAATTACTTTGTGAAATAAAATATGCCTGACTATTGATCCAAGTGCTCAGTGATAATCTCATGACCTACGACCATTAGAAACAGTAAAATTATCACTCTTGGGAAACTATTGTAAAGCCCAGGAATTTAAACAAGAAAATTAGTCTTTCTCAGAATGCCTCTTCAAATGTCAGACTCTATTTAATTATAAACCACCTTTCCAGATGTAAAAAATTATTCAAATTTTAAAAGCCTGAAAAATTTAAAGGTTAATACAATTTAAAGACTGTTTGAATTCATTCAAATAAAAGGAAGGTCTTTCTTTAGGCCTTCTAATCTTTTCCTTTGGTATATACTGATTTCTTCTTATGGAAATATTTTATTCTTTCCTATGTTTTTTTATTTACCTTTAGGGACGGCTGGTGACTGGAAGAATTACTTCACCGTGGCCCAAAATGAGAAATTTGATGCTATTTATGAGACAGAAATGTCCAAAACTGCACTTCAATTCCGCACAGAGATTTAAAGTGTCTAAATCACACATCTGAAGAAATAAGAGATTGTCTGTAGTTGATTGAAACGAGGGCAGTTATGAATTGATTTGGGCAATCAAATGAATTTATAAAGGAGAATAATATGCTTTTAATATGTTGATTCTTTTCAATGTTATTAATCAGATCCCAGTTTTGTTCCTTTGATTCTGAGTTTCCAAATTCTCTAAGGCTAAAGTTCATTGTTAACTTTTTGTAACAAAGGAACAATGTAACCACAGGCTCTTCCTGCCTTTTTCTACACTAGTACTGATAAGAAAGAAGGGATTTATTTTACTTAATCTCCCATATATTATGATTTAGAATTAAGTTCCCCTCCCTAGTACCATGGTCCAAGAAATGCTGTTTTCATAATGAGACTATATTTCCTAACTCTGCCCCAATTTCCCTTTGCCGAAAATTTGACCCAGGACACTGTGTTCCACTGCTGTCTACCGAGTTTCAAGTTGTTCTCTGAGTCATAGCTCATCTTCCTGCAGTGCCTCTATTTGGATAACAAAGTTCATGTCCCCGATCATGTAGTTCAGATTTTGGAAATCTTTTTTCTATATCATACCTAATGTCTAAGTCTCCGAAAGGCAAACGCCTACAATAGTCTCTGTAGGATTGGTTACCTGGGAACTGGAGCTCTGTTCTGAAAAGCAGCCCTGAGGGCTGTGACCTACTTCTTATGGGGAGTCCTCTTTTTCCCAACAGACCCGTTTGAACTTCAGAGAAATCACCTACTGCTGTGTTCTGGTCACCATTTGGGAACTTCAGTTACTTAATCTTATATTTGGATAGATTTGGATACCTTAATAGCACCTTTAATATCCTAGACATGATCATAACCTCTGCAAAATATTTCCCAATCTGGTGCCCAAGGAAGACTCTCTAGGCTGAATCTCCACTCTGCCCTCTTGACCCAATGTTCCTTCTACTTATTATTACATGCTTATATCTATTTGTGTGGTCTCTGATCTATGTTTTCTTGGAACATTTATATATATATATATATATATATATATATATATATATATATATATATATGTACATTTTATTATTATACTTTAAGTTCCAGGTTACATGTGCACAATGTGCAGGTTTGTTATATATGCATACATGTGCCATGTTGGTGTGCTGCATCCATTAACTCGTCATTTACATTAGGTATACCTCCTAATGCTATCCTTCCCCCCTCCCTCCACCCCACAACAGGCCCCAGTGTGTGATGTTACCTTTCCTGTGTCCAAGTGTTCTCATCGTTCAATTCCCACCAATGACTAAGAACATGAGGTGTTTGGTTTTTTTGTTCTTGCAATAGTTTGCTGAAAAGTATGGTTTCCAGCTTTATCCATGTCCCTACAAAGGACATGAACTCATCATTTTTTATGGCTGCACAGTATTCTATGGTGTATATGTGCCACATTTTCTTAATCCAGTCTATCATTGATGGACATTTGGGTTGGTTCCAAGTCTTTGCTATTGTGAATAGTGCCGCAATAAATATACGTGTGCATGTGTCTTTATAGCAGCATGATTTATAATCCTTTGGGTATATACCCAGTAATGGGATGGCTGGGTCAAATGGTATTTCTAGTTCTAGATCTCTGAGGAATTGCCACACTGTCTTCCACAATGGTTGAACTAGTTTACACTCCCACCAAAAGTGTAAAAGTGTTCCTATTTCTCCACATCCTTTCCAGCACCTGTTGTTTCCTGACTTTTTAATGATTGCCATTCTAACTGGTGTGAGATGGTATCTCATTGTGGTTTTGATTTGCATTTCCCTGATGGCCAGTGATGATGAGCATTTTTTCATGTGTCTGTTGGCTGCATAAATGTCTTCTTTTGAGAAGTATCTGTTCATATTCTTTGCACACTTGTTGATGGGGTTGTTTTTTTTTTCTTGTAAATTTGTTTGAGTTCTTTGTAGATTCTGGATATTAGCCCTTTGTCAGATGAGTAGATTGCAAAAATTTTCTCCCATTCTGTAGGTTGCCTGTTCACGCTGATGGTAGTTTCTTTTGCTGTGCAGAAGCTCTTTAGTTTAATTAGATCCCATTTGTCAATTTTGGCTTTTGTTGCCATTGCTTTTGGTGTTTTAGACATGAAGTCCTTGCCCATGCCTATGTCCTGAATGATATTGCCTAGGTTTTCTTCTAGGGTTTTTATGGTTTTAGGTCTTACATTTAAGTCTTTAATCCATCTTGAATTAATTTTTGTATAAGGTGTAAGGAAGGGATCCAGGTTCTGCTTTCTACATATGGCTAGCCAGTTTTCCCAGCACCATTTATTAAATAGGGAATCCTTTCCCCATTGCTTGTTTTCGTCAGGTTTGTCAAAGATCAGATAATTGTAGATGTGTAGTATTATTTCTGAGGGCTCTGTTCTGTTCCATTGGTCTATATCTCTGTTTTGGTCCAGTACCATGCTGTTTTGGTTACTGTAGCCTTGTAGTATAGTTTGAAGTCAGGTAGTATGATGCTTCCAGCTTTGCTCTTTTGGCTTAGGATTGACTTGGCAATGCGGGCTCTTTTTTGGTTTCTTATGAACTTTAAAGTAGTTTTTTCCAATTCTGTGAAGAAAGTCATTGGTAGCTTAATGGGGATGGCATTGAATCTATAAATGACCTTGGGCAGTATGGCCATTTTCATGATATTGATTCTTCCTATCCATGAGCATGGAATGTTCTTCTATTTGTTTGTATCCTCTTTTATTTCATTGAGCAGTGGTTTGTAGTTCTCCTTGAAGTGATCCTTCACATCCCTTGTAAGTTGGATTCCTAGGTATTTTATTCTCTTTGAAGCAATTGTGAATGGGAGTTCACTCCTGATTTGGCTCTCTGTCTGTTATTGGTGTATAAGAATGCTTGTGATTTTTGTACATTGATTTTGTATCCTGAGACTTTGCTGAAGTTGCTTATCAGCTTAAGGAGATTTTGGGCTGAGACAATGGGGTTTTCTACATATACAATCATGTCATCTGCAAACAGGGACAATTTGACTTCCTCTTCTCCTAATTGAATACCCTTTATTTCTTTCTCCTGCCTGATTGCCCTGGCCAGAACTTCCAACACTATGTTGAATAGGAGTGGTGAGAGACGGCATCCCTGTCTTGTGCCAGTTTTCAAAGGGAATGCTTCCAGGTTTTGCCCATGCAGTATGATATTGGCTGGTGGTTTGTCATAGAGGGCTCTCCTTATTTTGAGATACATTCCATCAATACCTAATTTATTGAGAGTTTTTAGCATGAAGGCTGTTGAATTTTGTCAAAGGCCTTTTCTGCATCTATTGAGATAATCATGTGGTTTTTGTCTTTGGTTCTGTTTATATGCTGGATTACATTTATTGATTTGCATATGTTGAACCAGCCTTGAATCCCAGGGATGAAGCCCACTTGATCATGGTGGATAAGCTTTTTGATGTGCTGCTGGATTCGGTTTGCCAGTATTTTATTGAGGATTTTTGCATCAATGTTCATCAGGGTTATTGGTCTAAAATTCTCTTTTTTTGTTGTGTCTCTGCCAGGCTTTGGTATCAGGATGATGCTGGCCTCATAAAATGAGTTAGGGAGGATTCCCTCCTTTTCTGTTCATTGGAATAGTTTCAGAAGGAATGGTACCAGCTCCTCCTTGGACCTCTGGTAGAATTCAGCTGTGAATCTATCTGGTCCTGGACTTCTTTTGGTTGGTAAGCTATTAATTATTGCCTCTATTTCAGAGCATGTTATTTTTCTATTCAGAGATTCAACTTCTTCCTGGTTTATTCTTGGGAGGGTGTATGTGTCGAGGAATTTATCCATTTCTTCTAGATTTTCTAGTTTATTTGCGTAGAGGTGTTTTTAGTATTCTCTGACGGTAGTTTGTATTTCTGTGGGATCATCGGTGGTGATATCCCCTTTATCTTTTTTTATTGCATCTATTTGATTCTTCTCTCTTTTCTTCTTTATTAGTCTTGCTGGTGGTCTATCAATTTTGTTGATCTTTTCGAAAAACCAGCTCCTGAATTCACTGATTTTTTGAAGGGGTTTTTGTGTCTTTGTCTCCTTCAGTTATGCTCTGATCTTAACTCCAGCTTGGCATTAGAAGTAGTTGTTTATATCCCCATGTGCAGCAAAGTCTTTTTCCTGAGATCATATCACATGTGCCAAGTTATATGCCAAGCCATGGTTCTCAAGCTGAAGGTACAGTACCCTGGGCCCTTACTTGTTCTGAAAGGGGTGGGGGTGGTGGTTTTGGACATACTGTTAGACTTTCTGAGCCACAACTGAGGTAGCTATGGCTTATCGTATTTTGACTTCACAGGTGAATCTCCGCTGTCAGCCAGGAATAGCCAGGAATAGCTAAAATAGCTCCTTAAGCTGTAACATTTCTCTTTTCCAACCCCAGCAAAGGATTGGTCTAGTGGTAACAACAAACCTCATAGAAGTAGTACACCTATTATTCTGGAGATACTTGCTTCTATAGATTTATTACAATATGTTTTATAAAGTATTTTAGAGTATATAATTTGTGTTTATGTTCCACAGAAACATATTTTATAGGAGTTAATCTTGACTATCTAAAGGTATTGTGAACTAGTTCCAGCTTTCTCCAATACCCTTGTCCACGAGAAGTAAACTAAATCATGTATCTATTTCCTCTATTATCTTTATTAAATAATAAGTTAATGTGGCCTGAATATATACGGATTTCTGATACTATGGTCTATTACTGAGGGAAAAAACACCACTAAACTATCCTCTAATCTGTGTAATAGATTAGCTACACTTTCTTCACTAGCAAGATAAAATAATTTCCACATTTTCTAGTTTTACTTTGTAGAAATAACTCTCTGTAATTGGACTGTATTCAACGAAAACTTAGTAAGTTGTAATTATGCCTCAGGTATGTTTCTATGCACTGAGTGAAGAGTGGAGATAAAAATAGAATTTAGATTTTCCTTTACTTTTTAAATAGGTTGTTGCCTCTTATATATTTATTCTATGATGCAAATGTCACTATCCTAATTCCTCAGTTTATGTTTAACAGCACACAGTGGCACTTCTATGATTCAAATACATTTGATACCCTTTGAAATCAATCAGAATACTGCAAAATTAATTTTTCTAAAACAATGCTTTTATCGTTATTTCTCCTGTTGAATCATCAGTACAATTTCCAAATGAAAACACTTAAAATAATCTCATATTACAATCTTTCTCTAACAGAACCATGATGTAAGGACAGTGATAACAAATATCTGACAATGATATGATTATTTCCTCATCCATGGAAATTTTCCTTAATAAACTAAAGGGCTATTTTCTAAAAAGCCAAAGCATTGCTTACAAGAACTTTTCATCATGACATGGATAGACACTCAGATTCATACATTCAAAGGGAAGTGTCATGTATTCCCTTTCAATCCACCCTATTCTATTGTGTTATCTTCCTAAATTATTTTCTATCTACATTCTTCATTCTCTTTCCCATTGACCCTATGTTCTGTGTGATAAAAATTGCGTCATTGGAGGCTTTTGAAGGTTAAGTATTATGCCCCATTTCACCATTAATCAACATACAACCCTTCTCCATATTTTGTAATTCCTTTCATATACAGAAAAAAAGATACTATAATTTCTTCAAAATGCTTGATATTAATGATATATGGGAAAACAATTATTTTGTGCAGCAATCTTCAGATAACTGGGAAAGGCCGGGGAAAAAGAGAGATACTGGTGGTTATCAATGACCCATGTATAAATTGTTTTTATTATGTAAGCTGTCTTCACAAATGTCTTCTTATGTATGATCATTAGAACTGTTTTATATATATATGTAAAATTTCCACATTATCGAGACATTACTTTCAGCAGTGAAGTAATCCTTTTTTAACTGCCACTTAATGAATTCAATAAAATATAATTTATTGTATTTTGCTATAATAAACTATTGATGACTATTTGATGACAATTTGCTTGCCACTATGACATTTAACTGGCTTATATTTTGAAATCTCATTTCTGTTTTCTGTGGCTATTTTAATTTTCCACCCTCAAAATATAGATGAGTATCTTTGTAGTAGGAAAATCATAAAAATTAACAGCTTCTTCCCTAGTTAATAACTCTGCATATTGTTTTTGTGCGTGGAGCAGGGGCTAAATCAGGAGGGGATTTGAGGCAACATTGAAGACCAAGCAGTATAGAATAAAAGATAAGAGCACAAAATCTGTAATTATAAAGCCTTTTTAGAATTAGGTCTTTGCCACTTTCTAACCCTGAAAACTTGAGCAAGTCACAACTTTTCTGCGCTCAATTCCTTATCTGTACAATGTAGACAATGAGTATTTATTGCAAAGATGAAATAATACATAAAACAATTAAAACAGTGCCTAGCATACTTCAGTGTGCTCATTTAATATCAGCTGCCATGAAGGTAATCATTGTGAAAATCTTGAAATTTTATTTATCTAAATGGGATTGAGGCATCGGATTTCTTGTTCCACACTGCTAGCTGGCTTCAAAATGTAGAAATATGTCGCAAATTACTGGGAGGCAAGGAGGTTTCTGGCTTCATTACTGTTACCATTGTTCTTTTGTTGTTTGCTACCAAGTTAAATTTTTCACGTGTGTCAAGTACTCCTGCTTAAGGCATTATTCTCGAGTACTTAATATTTTCAACGTGTGTCAATGATCATCATTCAATAGAAAAGCACAGCAAGGCTATAAAGATTGGAATAACACTGCAAATGATACATAGGTTGTAATAATCCAGCTATTGCAAAAATAAAGATAAGTTAGATACTGTGACATAGGTGGATTGAAATTTCTCAGTGGGAATTTGATTACATGGGGAAGCCTATTTTTTAAATTTTAAATTTTTATTTATGTATTTTTATAGAGCAGGTTCTTGCCATGTCGTCCAGGCTGCTCTCAAACTCATGGCCTCAAGTGATCCTCCAGTCTCGGCCTCCCAAAGCACTGGGATTATAGGCATGAGCCACCATGCCCAGCCATAAAGTCCACACTGTCAAACATAGCATTTGGGTGTCATGTAAATTCACATATATATTCTCTCAGTAATGCTTTGTAATCATTTTGGTAGCAATTGGGAAATGCCGTGTCTCAGCATTTTTTAGAAAATGCCAGTGGACACATAGAAAATGATTTTCAAATGTGCTTGAAAATCTTAAATGCAAATTTTCTTGGCCCTATTAAAATCATAAATTTATTGGTCAGCAATTGGGAAATGGCTAAACACAAATGGGCTCTATCTCTTACTTTATCATCTTACCTAAGGCTGATCACAGCCTTTTCTCATTAGTCTACAAGAAGAAATAATTTTCTTAATAATTATAGAATATGATAATAGAATTGGATATATGCAATTGTGTAACTTAATTCAACATTATTATGATATGTAGAATGATATATAATTAGTATATTTTATATTTTACCATTTTAATTGATAAGTTATTAGATATGAGACAATACTGTAGAAGTATCCATAAATTCCATTTTAAAGCAAGGAAACTGAGACTCAGAACTGGGATTCAAATATAAGTCTGTTTGTCTTCAAAATGTCATTCAACATTACATGATACTTCATAGAATTATATGTAAATAATCACCTTCGGATATTAGATTACCTCTCAAACATGTCATGGAAATAATTAAGTAATGGTGCCTAAACTGACAATGTGAAATTTACAAGTTCTATTCTCTCTTAGAGACCTCATATGGCAAGGACACTGCCTACGAACTTATGAAAATTAGATTTATGAGTGCTTTTTCTCTATAAACTATGTCATAATTGGTGCTTGTTTATAGTCTTAAATAATGATGGCAATACCATAGTTCAAACTCATCTAGGTTAATTTGAGTTTCAAGTGTTGATTTTAAAACTTACTCATTAGAAAGGAATGTCTCTGGTAAAATGCATAGAGTCCCAACAAATGATTAATAAGATAATGCAGCCTATTCATAAGAAGGGCACTAAATGTACCCTGTCCTGTTCTCTTCTATTGAGAGAAAGAGAACAAGATGTCACAAATCTTATGAAAAAGCTTCTCCTGTAACTTCGAATATGGGAAAAAAGGAGAGGGAACAAACTATTTTCTCACAACTTGCATCCTCTATATCCCCTCCCTCCCTTCCTCTAGAACTATTGGCAAGAGTATCAACATTGTTGTGCATAGTAGAAGTTTTTGTAAAAGAAAGATTCTTGTAGCTCTCTCTAGAGATTCTGATTAAGAAAGCCTGGAGTGGGACTCTAATTTACACATTCTATAAAACACCAGAGGTGACTCAATAGCCATATTATATATTGCAATTTCCAAGTGACGAAGATGAACTACTCATTTTGCAAGTAATAGATAGATAGACAGATTTAACAGCTACAAAGTAGCTCCTTTTGTACGAATGAAATTCATATTTAGAAATGCAGAAAAATAAAATAATGAAAACTTAAAACTTAAAGCCAATGGCTAAATATAATTTGAAGGGAAAGAGGAAGTTAAGTGAATCACATAACTTAAAACTGGCCTTTAGCCAAATATGCAGTGTGTTTTAAAATAAATGGGTAACTTTCCTAGTACAGTTTGCTTAGTGTGTAAACTATTCATTCGCTTAAACAATGAGTGTAAATTGGGTTTCATTGAGAACATTTTTTTCTTATTCCCTGGGTAATTATTTCTTCCATTTTTTGAAAGCTAAGTTTCTGAATAGATTAGTACATGATAAAACTATACTCTCTCATTGTTTTGCCTGAGTTGTTCTTACTGTCGTATTTTGGGGTCTTGAGCTTGAACCACACTGGGCCTCTGCAACAAAGCCAAAATGCAAGGGAAGCAAACCAGAAAGGGATAGCAACATACAATAAAAATAAATAGATATAAAGTCTATTCAAAGCAGCCTAGTGGTCAAGGCACATTTTAGGGGTACCAAAATTTCATCTCAATATCTGAATTTTTCATGGTCATTGAAGTTTTACCATTTTTTTAAGTATAGCATACAGATAGAAAACTCCAAAAATCATAGATATACAGAGAAACCTTCCAAATAAACACACCTGTGTAACCAGATTTCATGTCTCTGGTTAATTTGGTTAATGTTTAAGAATTAGAACATTACCAGCATACTGGAGCCTCACTCTTCCAGTCAATGTTACTCCCAATGGAAACCACAAGTCTGATTTCTAACACCATGGATTACTTTTGCCTTTTATTTTGAAAGTTATATTAATGGAATGGTATAGATGGACTCTGTGGACTTTGTGACTTTTTTCACTCAACATTGTATTTTACTGATTTATCCATGTTGTTGCATGTAGTTGTAGTTTTTATTTTTATTATTATATAGCATTCCATTATGAGACTATACCAATGTTTATTTGCTTTTGATAAGCATTTCAAAATTTTCAGTTTGGTTTACTACAAATAGTACTACAGTGAACATGTTATTTACATTTTTGGTATATATATTTTATGTGCATTTTCCTTGAGTGTAGCCTAGGTATTGATTTACTAAATAACGTGATGTGCATACGTTTAAGATATACCACCATATACTTTTCCAACCTGGTTATATTGATTTACAATTACACCAGCTGTACAAAAGCATTCCAGTCCCAGATTTTATACTCATCACCTATTATTTTATGTAATTTTCATTTTAGCCATCTTGGTAAATGTTTATTATGTTCTGGTTATAATTGATATTTCACTGCTGATAAATTTTGAGTAAGTTTTCACATTAATTCATCATATTGATTATTCATTATACCTCTTTTGTGAAGTACCCATTCAACTCTTTTGTCTATTTTTTATGTGTTGCCCTATTTTTTCACTGATTTGAAGAATATGAATATCTATGAGTGTGCATGTGCATATGTTTGCTTACACATATGTACATATTTTTATGTAGGTGTGTATATATATACACCTTAAGATTTTTTGTATCTTTGCTCTTTTCAAAATCTTTCTTATTTTCATATTGTCTATAGAAATATTAGTGATATCCCTATTTCATCCTCAATATTGATGAGTATTCTCTCTCTCTTTTTTAATATGTCTTGCCATGTGGTCGTCAATTTTCTTACTCTTAAGAAACACAAAACTGTTGGCTTTTTTGATATTACATCTGCTATTTCATCTGCTTATTCTATGACTTGAGTTTTTAGTCACTTAACAGTGTCTTTTGGTATTATTAGTCTTAATATTGTTCAATTTATAATTTTTTCTGCAGAGTAAGCATTTTGTATCCCACATAAGAAATATTTGTTTGCAACGAGGTAATAAAGATGCTCTTTTTTTCTACAGGATTTATTGTTTGTCTTTCACATGTAAATCTAAAATATATCTGGAATGAATATTTATATGGTAGGACTCCAGTGGTTTTCCCCACCTAGAGATATCCAGTTGACTTAGCACAATTTACTAAAAAGGCCATTCATTCCTCACTTTACTGCAGTCACATTTGTATTACATCAGTTGTCCTTATAAATGTGGGTCTGTATCTGGACTATTTTATTCCACTGGTCTTTTATAAATGTTTACATGAACACCATATTGCTTTAATTAATATAGCTTAACAATGTAACTGAATGACTGATAGTAGAACTCAATTTCATTTTTCCTCAAGAATGCCTGGTCAAGTATTGGCCTTTTGTTTTTCCATATACATTTTAGAAGAATCTTGACAATTTCCCTTAAAAAAAAACCTGCTATGATCTGTATTAGGATTGCATTTAATCTATTGATCAATTAGTCAAGTAATTACATGATTACAAAAAACTATGCTTTTATTTGGGAATTATTTGCTTACCTCTAATAATTTGTTATTTCAATGTAGAAGTCGTATACTTTTGTTAGATTCAGTTCTCCACATTTGACCTATCTTGATCATTTTAAATGATATTTTCTTTAAAGGCCATTTTATAATTTTTGTTCCTGGTATGTAGAAATGCATTTGATTTTTAGTTTAACCTTTTATCCAGAGACCTTATTAATTTCACTTGTTAATTTTAATAGTCTACAGATTCTATCAAGTCTTTTTACATACAATATAATGTCAGTTATCAATGACAGTTTATAATTCTTCCTTTAAAAACTTTGTATTTTTTTTAGTTCTTCTTGTGCTGCCTAGCACATTTAATAAAATATTTAAAAAATAGTGAATTGAGCACTTAGGCTTTTGTTTTCAGTCTCAGAAGTAAAGCTTTTAATATTTTATCACTAATTCTATTTTTTGTATTTCTTAAATTGAAATTCTTCAATTTGTTAAGAAAATTTTCTCTAATTATGTGTTGCTAGAATTGTATCCTTATGCATATATTGAGATTATTTAATTCTCTTTTATAATTTTTAATAGAGGTGAATGACTATTTTTTGTAAAGTAACGTAAAATCAATATTGCATTTTTGAAATGAACCCACCTGATTGTTGTGGATTATCCTGTTTATCTACTCCTACATTCAATTTACAAATCTTTGAGATATTTTTATTTACATTCATGAGGCTAATACATAATATTTTTTCTTATATTTCCCATGTTAGATTTTATATCAATTTATGGGAGTCTCATAAAGAGAATTGGAAAGTGTTTACTCTACTCCTAGCCTATGAAATGTGTGAATAAGATTGATGATATTTCTCTTTTAAGCTTTGTGAAGCCATTAGTGACTGGGATTTTCTTTGTGGAAAAGTTCTTAATAATACTTTCAGCTCTTTAATGTATACAAAAATATTGTAATTTTCTATTTCTCTGTCAGTTTTGACAACTTGTGCTTTTTGAGTCATTTTTCCATTTCTTTCAAAATTTTAATTTATTCTTTATTATTTTATCTTTATATTTTCTATGGAAATATTAGTGATGTCCACTTTTTCATCCCTAATATTGATGATTGTTCTCTCTCCATTTTTTAATGTTTTGCCAGGTAGTTGTCAATATTATTACTCTTAAAAAATACCAAACTTACTTGGCTTTTTTGATATTACATCTAGGATTTCATTAAATTCTGCCTTTATATTTTTCTTAATTGAGGCTTGTTTTGCGTTGTTTTCAAGTTTCTAGAGATAGAAGCTTTGATCATTAATTTTCAGCTTTTAAAGTTGAAACGACCAGGTGCGGTGGCTCACACCTGTAATCCCAACACTTTGGGAGGCCGAGGCGGTCAGATCACCTGAGGTCAGGAGTTTGAGAGTAACCTGGCCAACATGGTGAAACCCCGTCTCTACTAAAAATGCAAAAATTAGCTAGGCATAGTGGTGGGTGCCTGTAATCTCAGCTACTTGGGAGGCTGAGGCAGGAACATTGCTTGAACCCGGGAGGCGGAGGTTTCAGTGAGCCAGGATCGTGCCACTGCGCTCCAGCTTGGGTGACAGAGCAAGACTCCATCTCGGAAAAAAAAAAAAAAAGTTAATACGTAAGAATTGTACATGTGTATGGAGTACATGTGATATTTTGATATATGCATATAATGTGTAATGATCAAATCAGGGTAATTGAGATTTCCATCACCTCATTTATTATTCGTGTTTAGAACATTCTAAATTTTCTCTTCCAGCCATTTAAAAATATACGGTAAAATATTCATAACCACAGTCACCCTCCTGTGCTGAACACCAGAACATATTTCTCCTAATTTCAAGATTTAAATTTTCTAATATGTGCATATCAATATAATTCACTTGAAACATTTTTTTATCTTCACTCTTCAACTTCTTTGTCTTTGTTTTTTTTGAGACAGGGTGTCGCTCTGTCACCCAGGCTGGAGTGCAGTGGCTCAGTCATGGCTCATTGCGCCTGGAACTCCTGGGCTCAAGTGATCTTTTCACCTCAGCCAACCGTGTAGCTGGGACTATAGATGTGTATCACCATGCTCAGCTAATTTTTACATTTTTTGTAGTGCACAGATCTTGATATGTTACCCAGACCGGTCTCAAACTCCTGGCCTCAAGTGATTCTCTCTCCTCAGCCTCTCAAAGTGCAGAGCCACTGTGGCTTGCCACACTACAACTTTCAAAGTACCAGGTTGTATTAGCATTAAATTCAAACATTTATTTTATTTCCTGTCTTATATTATCCTATTTAAAGGTGAGAATACTGAAGCTCAGTGGGTTAAGTAACTTTCACAAAATTAGAGCTGATACCTCAGAACCAGCATCAAATTCAGCTCCACTGTTTATAGGGACAGTGCTGTTTATACAGGGGCTTTCTGCATGCCGGAAAGTGAGATATTCTGTTGCTGTGACATTGCAATAAGAGCAGGCAAGCAGGCATGCAGTGAGCATCAGCTATGGTAATCATTACACAAGTTATTACACAACTGACACTAGCTACATGATTATTGCATAATGATGACCACAGCTGATGCTCACTGCCAACAGCTGATGCTCACTGCATGATTATCAAATCATCACTTTGTACCCCTTGAATATATACAATTTTCATTTGTTAATCAATTGTATTTTTACATAGAATCAGAGAGCAGGATTCCAGGCTTCGGCTCCTGGGCATCTCACAGCCCTTTCTGTCTCATGGAACCCATCCACCATTGCCTGCTCACATTGCTTTGGAGGTTATTTTCTGAAATCATTGTCTGGGCTTTTGTAAGGGCATTTTCCCATCCCTTTCACCTATGGAAATGAGTGTCCCAGAGGTCAGGTGAAGAGAAATGAAGTAGAGAAATATCCAGGCTCTTTTAACAGGTTGATCACATAAATGCACAAGCAAATAGCTTGAGTAAGAAGGCTCATCCGCCTAACAACACATGACCCAAGGAGGTAGGGACGTGTATTAGTCCATTTTCACACTGCTATAAAGATACTACATGAGACTGGGTAGTTTATAAATAAAAGAGGTTTAATTGACTCACAGTTTCACATGGGTGGGAAGACCTCAGGAAACTTACAATCTTGATGGAAGGTGAAGGAAAAGCAAGCACCTTCTTCACAAGGGAGCAGGGAAAGAGAGCGAGCAAGCAAGCAGGGAAAATGCCAGATGCTTATCACACAACCAGATCTCCTGAGAACTCACTCACTATCAAGACAACAGCATGGGGAAAATCAGACCCATGAGACAATCACTTCCCACCAGGTACCCCCCTCTGCACGTGAGGATTACAATTCGAGATGAGGTTTGGGTGGGGACATTGAGACAAACCATATCAGGGAGGTTGAGGAGTAGGATTTGACCACTCTGAGATGAGGCACAGGTGTATGGTAAATGCACCTGATAGCAATAATTAAGCATATTCTGAGAATGATCCTGCATGGCACATGCACCTGAATGTGTATTATGATCTAGAGCTAGAGAATTTTGGAGTAGCCATCCAGAGATTTGTTTCTAGCCTATGAGGAACTTCTGAGACCCTGGCTTCTCCTATGGAACATGGGACATACAGGAGAGTGAGTTCTGGGTTGCATAAACGTTGTAAGGTGGAAATTATTAGGGAAAGGGTGCTACATGAAAATGCTATACAAACTGCATTCCTTTTGCAAGTGGTTTCAGTCTTCTGCCCAACCCGCCACCACTGGGCTATGTGGTTGGTTCTCCTGTCCAGCCCACTAATACTAGATTTTTAGGCCTGTATGTAAGTCCCCAATAAAACCCAATGTGTCATTTGCTGACTCTGGTCTCTTCTTTGGCCTCTTGAACCTGGTGCCATCCTTACTGGAGTAGACAGGAGTTAGGTGCAACAACAGCTCATCCTGAAACTCTTGGCTAGAAATCTTTCCTCAATAAACTCATCTCTGATGACCTACCTGATTCCATCAGTTCCTTCATTCATTTGAGTTAGATATTGCACTCCATCTAGGTTTTCTTTTTTTAAAAAAAATAATTATTTTATTTCAGTTGTGAGGTAGTGGAGCTGGGATTTGACACCAGGTAGTGTAATACCTGAGCATAGTCTTAACCGCTGTGCTCTCCTTCCTTCTCCTAGACCTCAGTCTCCTCTCGTGAATTCATCTGGGCACATTAGCTGCTTTAGCACCTCTCCTTCCCTGGAATACTGGGAATTCCTCACTCTTCCCTTAACAAATTGGTGTTTCTCTCTACTTTGAAAACTTTATGTACAAAATACATAAAAAGTGTCTTTTACTTACTTTGGATTTCTAATATAATGGCTAGCTTTTGAAAATGAGTTGAATGAGTTGTTGATTATTATCTGCAATGAAAAGGCAAGCTAGAATTTCTTCACTGAAATTTGGCTTTGGAAGTATTCTATTTGGCCAGTAGAATTTTCAGTGTTGTTGTTGGTACTAAGGCATTTTTTTGTCCTTAACTTTTTTAAGAATTTGAATATCTTTACCTGGGGGCATATAATCTCCAGTTCAACATAAGCACCACTATCCTCTCAGTCTCTCTCACATTTATGTGACTTGCCTAGGACATTAAAAGCATTTTAGTTTTTGGCTAGTCCAGAAAAATCTCATCTAGTTCCTTCCCTAAGGTATATAATCCCCTTCAAAGCAATATTTTCTGTCTGCACAATTGGTTTTAGATTTAATCTTTTATTTGAAGCTGAAGTATATTATTAAACCAGCCACATTTTTCCTGTTGTTATCTCACACACAGAGGAACACACACAAACATAAAATAAGTGACAAATAGAAAAACAGCAAGTTGCAAAAGTAAAATGAGCTTAGTTATTTAATTAAAATAAAAAGAGGTTGATTTGGTTTGGCTGTGTTCCCACCCAAATCTCATCTTGAATTGTAACCCCCATAATTCCCACATGTCCTGGGAGGGACCAGGTGGGAGGTAATTGAATCATGAGTGCCAGTCTTTCCCATGTTGTTCTCATGCTATTGAATAAGTCTCAAGATATCTGATAGTTTTAAAAAGGGAAGTTTTCCTGTATAAGCCCACTTGCCTGTTGCCATGTAAGATGTGCCTTTGCTCCTCCTTTACCTTCCACCATGATTTTGAGGCCTCCTCAGCCATGCAGAACTGTGAGTCCATTAAACTTCTTTCCTTTATAAATTACCCAGTTTCAATTATGTCTTTATTAGCAGCATGAAAAGAGATTAATACAGTAAATTGGTGCCAGGTAGTGGGGTGCTGCTGAAATGATACCTGAAAATGTGACTCTGGAACTGGGTAACAGGCAGAGGTTGGAACAGCTTGGAGGGCTCAGAAGAAGAAAGGAAGACGTGAGAAAGCTTGGAACTTCCTAGAGACTTGTTGAATAGCTTTGACTAAAATGCTGATAGTGATATGGACAATAAAATCCGGGCTGAGGTGAACTCAGATGGAGATGAGGAACTTGTTGGAAACTGGAGCAAAGGTGACTTGCTATGTTTTAGCCAAGAGACTGGTGGATTTTTGCCCCTGCCTAAAGATTTGTGGAACTTTGGACTTGAGAGAGATAGTTTAAAGGCATCTGGCTGAAGAAATTTCTAAGCAGCAAAGCATTCAAGAGGTGATTTGGGTATAGTTAAAGGCATTCAGTTTTATGTATTCACATATATATGGTTTGGAATTGGAACTTCTTTTTAAAAGGGAAGCAGAGAATAAACTTTCAGAAAATTTTCTGCCTGACAATGCAATAGAAAAGAAAAATCAATTTTCTGAGGAAAAATTCAAGCCAGCTGCAGAAATTTGCATAAGTAACTAGGAGCTAAGTGTTAATCATCAAGAAAATGGGGACAATGTCTCCGGGACATGTCAGAGGTCTTCATGGCAGGCTCTCCCATCACAAGTCTGGAGGCCTAGGAGGAAAAAATGGTTTCCTGGGCCAGGCCCAGGGCCTTGCTGCTTTGTGCAGTCTCAGGACTTGGTGTCTTGCGTCCTAGCCATGGCTAACAGGGGCCAACATAGAGCACAGTTCTTTGCTTCAGAGTGCAAGCCCCAAGCCTTGGCAGCTTACAGGTGGTGTTGGGTCTGTGGGTGCACACAAGTCAATAATTGAGGTTTGGGAACTTCCACCTAGATATCAGAAGGTGTATGGAAATGCCTGAATGTCCATGCAGATGTGTGCTGCAGGGGCAGAGCCCTCATGGAGAACTTCTGCTAGGGCAGTGTGGAAGAAAAATGTGGGTTGTGAACCCCCACACAGAGCCCTACTTGGGGGCACTGCCTACTGGAGCTGTGAAAAAAGGGCCACTGTCTTCCAGACCCTAGAATGGTATATCCACCAACAGCTTACACTGTACACCAGGAGAAGTCACAGACACTCAATGCCAGCCTATGAAAGCAGCCAGGAGGGGGGCTGTACCCTGCAAAGCCACAGGGACAAGACCATGGGAACCCACCTCTTGCATCTACGTGATCTGAATATGAGACATAGAGTCAAAGGAGATAATTTTGGAGCTTTAAGACGTGACTGCCCCTGGATTTCAGACCTGCATAGAGTGTCTTGTCCCTTCATTTTGACCAATTTATCCCATTTGGAATGAGTGTATTTACCCAATGCCTGTACTCCCATTGTATCTAGGAAGTAACTAACTTGCTTTTGACTTTACAGGCTTATAAGCAAAAGGGACTTGCCTTGTCTCAGATGAAACTTTAGATTTGGACTTTGAGTTAGTGCTGAAATGAGTTAAGACTTTGGGAAACTGTTGGGAAGGCATTATTGGTTTTGAAATGTGAGCACATGAGAGTTGGATGGGGCCAGGGGCCAAATGATATGGTTTGGCTGTCTCCCCACCCAAATCTCATCTTGACTTGTAGCTCCCATAATTCCCACATGTTGTAGGAGGGACCCAGTGTGAGGTAATTGAATAATGGGGGTGGGTCTTTGCCATGCTGTTCTCGTGGTAGTCAGTAAGTCTCATGAGAACTGATGGTTTTAAAAAGGGGGGTTCCCCTGCACACATCTTCTTGCCTGCTGCCATGTAAGACGTGTTTTTGCTACCCCTTTGCCTTTGGCCATGATTGTGAGGCCTCCCCAGCCATGCAGAACTGTGAGTCCATTATACCTCTTTCCTTTATAAATTACCTACTCTGGAGTGTGGTTTTTTTATTAGCAGCATAAGAACAGACTAATACAGAGGTTAACATCTATATGCTCCCAATTACTAGCTTCATAACCTTGGCTTGTTAGTTAGCATGTCTGATTCTATTTCCACATTGCTGAAAAGTATTTCATAGCATTATGAAGAGAATAAAATAAAATGAAATATGCAAAATCTCACATGGAGTACATAAAAACATGTAAAAATGGTAATTACTATTATTATTTGAATTATTTTTGAAATTATATAATGAAATAATACATGAGAGTTGTTAAGAATGTAGGCTTTGCCACTTTCTGGCAGGGTGCTATGGATCAGGTAGCTTAGCCTCTGTTTCAGTTTCCTTCCTTAAAAACGAGCACAATTATAGTGGCTACTAATGAGAGTGTAATGAGGGTAAAATTAGTAAGCATATGTCAAGCCCTTAGAAATTACTCACACATAGTAGGTCTAAAGAAATGTTACTCATCTCATTAGTGAATATCATTTTAGAAAATGAATGTTATCTGTTGGAGACTAGCCTGGCAAAAACTAAACTCTGAAAGCAACATAATTTTTTCTAAAAGCAAGCATGAGACAATTGTCTAAAAATTAGCATGGCAGGATGGGAAAGGCACACACACTCACACAGCAAATATGTCTTGCATAAGTAAATTTTTTCTGGTTTGTAATGGACAGAAATGTATTTTTAACTTTAAAATATAATATCCAAATGAGAGTTTCAATCCTTATCATAAAATTGCATCCAGATGATTCATTTCGAAACAAACAATAGAAACAAATATATCTTAATGGGAGAAACATGTAGAATATTGACTCATAGTCAGTTTTGATGAAATTTGATGAATTTCCATCAAATTCTTCTGTCACATGTATACCATGAAATGTGAAATTAAATATGATTATCTGGTGTAAAGGCACACTTAAAAACACACTCAACAATAACACAAAGAAGTAAAGGAAAGGAAAAGGGAGACAAATTCTGACATGCCTAGAACTGAAAGGCAGTTGTAAACTTCTCCTGCCTTAGGCAACACTTTATTTCATAGCTGTGTTGATTCTGCCCCAGCCAGCTATCACAGGTGTGTTCAGTTCAAAGCATTTATAGAGGAGATTTCCCAGATAGTGAGAACATTCTGACATGAGTAATAATGAGATAGTGTGTGATGTGCCAAAAACATGGTTTTAGCATTGCCAAAAACAATGCTATACAAGCCAGGTTTAAGAAGCTCATGTAGATCCTCTAAAGAGTAAGTGAAACCCAAAGAAATAAACAGGAGTGTAACTTTATGTTTCACAGCTTCTTTATTAGAGACAAAAGAACTCCTGAGTCCTCAAAGCCAATGAGACAATTTTTTTTTCTGAAGTGAAAATAATCTTACAAAATATAGTGTCATTAAAGAGGTATAAATAGTTTTCAAACTAAATTCATGTGTATCTTCTCATTTTGTCCTGATATCCAAAGATCTTGCAAAATTATGTAAAAAGAATACAGCTTAATAAGGGGTTTTGGTAAATATTCTAAAATTAAAAAAAGTCTTCCTTCGCTCTCAAATTTTCTTTCTCCCGCAATATTAGTATATTCTTACTTCTTTTATCTCACTACACATATATTAAAAATAATCCCATTAACTTTATCACATTTTCCAGATAATTTTTAATTTAAAATCAATGCATGAAAATATTACAGGCAATCAGGAAAATCAGTTTTCTTTCTTAAACGAATCATTTATCAATTTTTCAAAATGCATTTTAATGAACCAGCTTCTAAAACTTTAAACTGATAGATTAAGATAAAATACTACTAAGAGCTTCCATTTTGATGGAATTAAAAAAAAATCCTTCAGCATGCAGTTGAGTTAGAAAGTCTGACTGACAAAAAATGAAAAGCATGAATTGAGCAGAAACATTTAGAAGTGAAACTTGATTTCTAATTCTGCTTTAATAGCTGTGTGATCATTAGAAACTCACTTTATTTTTCTTTGCCTAGTTTCTTCTTTCTCAGACCGGGCATAATCACATTTTATCTGAGTATAATTGTCCCAAATCACCAAACCATCCCACTCATTAGAAGTGTTAAAAATCATCAAATGTGATTCTCCCATAAGTAAAGTTTCCTTCTGGGAAAAACACCAAAGTGTCTCCACCGGAAGGAGATACTGGAGATGTTCAAGCAGATGGAGCTGTTCAAGCAGAAGGAGATAGTGGAGATGTTCAAGCAGATGATCTGCAAGGAGGTTAAAAGAAGTAAGTAAGGACCAGGCGCGATGGCTCATGCCTGTAATTCCAGCACTTTGGGAGGCCGAGGTGGGCAGATCACAAGGTCAGGCGATCGAGACCATCCTGGCTAACATGGTGAAACCCGTCTCTACTAAAAATATTAAAAATTAGCCGGGCGTGGTGGCGGGCGCCTGTAGTCCCTGCTACTCGGGAGGCTGAGGCAGGAGAATGGTGTGAATCCGGGAGGTGGAGCTTGCAGTAAGCCGAGATGTGCCACTGCACTCCAGCCTGGGTGACAGAGAGAGACTCCGTCTCAAAAAAAAAAAAAAAAAAAAGAAAGAAAGAAGTAAGTGAGGTTTGGTTTGATTAGACCTCATCTCATAAATATTTTAATGTAGAAAATGTCTAACCATAAAAGCAAAGAAAACGAGCAGAATTGCAGTAGTTTGTTTGCTTTACTTAGGTTATTTTCTTCTAATAATATAATCAGTGGCCAGTAGCAAATGGGAAGTGAGGGAAAAGCAGAAAATAGAGATAAAAATAAATAAAGAAAACGTATAATAAAGAACTCTCCAAGGTATAAAGCTCTAAATCAGATACTGTTGGATTGAAGATTTAAAGTCTTGTAAAGACCCCTGAAGATCTAGATTACCTAAGTAATTTCTGTACAGAATAATAATTGTTTGTTTTATTTCTTTTTATTACAACTTTGAAAGGAAGTTTTGTTTTAAAGAATCTCTATGCTAGTACTTCTCAAACTGCTTAAGATTGAATAATCTCAGTTTCTTCTTCCCCCAGACGTGTATATTATATAATAAATGTTATTTAAAATGCCACGACATTTTTCAAAGTACTCTTTCAAACACTAATAAAATGAACACATAAAAATATGTAATAATTTTAACACTGCTCTACAAATGAATCCACAACTATAGAATTTTAAATGGGAAAAGTCAAGAAAAGTCCATGACACCTGATCCTTTGCAACAAAATATTATACGAAGTGATTCAATTAAAAGTAAACACACAACAAACTGTGTAATTAAATTATAAATAGCTTTATTAGTTTCTGTAATATTTGGGCATTTCTCATCTAACATATTTGTACCTATGTAGAACACACACACGCACACACACACACACACTCACACAATTGTTAAAATGTTTCAGGTTATCTGCTTTTATGCAACAAACTACCCCAAAATATAGTGGTATAAAAACATATTTAAAAATACTGTGGATCAGGAATCCAGACAAGGGACAGAGAGATGGCTTGGCTCCCCTCTATAATGTTGGGGGACTACACTGGGAAGATTCAAATGGCTGGGTGCTGAAATAATTTGGAGGTGTCTTCAATCACAGATTGGAAGCCTGGGCTGTGATAACTTGAAGACTATACTCAACTGGTAATGAATACCAGGGGGCTACCTTCCTTATGGCTTGGGCTCCCACACAGGACAGTGTCCTCTTCTTACATGGCAGCTTAGGGCTCCAAGAGCAAATATTCTGACAAACAAAGGGATAGTTATACAGCATTTTATGATCTAGAATCAAGATTTAAATAGTGTCACTTCGATATACTCTTTTGATTGAAGCCTGTCCACACTCAAGGGGAGGTAACAAAGACCCCTCTCATTAGAAGAGTGTTACAACTTAACATCATTTAAAAATATCACTACAAATAGCATTAATAATTAATACTGATACAAATTTTCTATTACAGTTGAAATGTTCATCGCTTTTTATTTCATTTGTTGGAATACAAATATTATTCAATTGTAATTGCGACTACTTTTTTCCTATCAATTCTATGAAACAGAACAATAGTGCAATCTCTAAGAAGTAGTGTTTATTACTCCTCCCTTGTTTTTTATGTAATATTGAAATCACAGAAAACAATGCCATGAGTTCTTACCTGCCATGCAGGAAAGCTGTAAGACAGCTGATTAGTACTGTAGATTAAAAAAAAAAGCAAAGTCCTGATTAAATGCCTTAGTTGTGCAGGATAAACCCTGAAGCAATAGGGTAACCTCTGTAACTCAAATAGAAAATAAAAATACAAACAGTTAGAGGATGTCATACGTGAAACCTTCCTTCACTGCTAAGCCCACTCTCCTCATCTCCCACCAGCCTGGGCATTTATGGTGCTATTGCTATTTACTTTTTATCTCCTCATATGTTTAGTCCTCCATAATCCTTATCCTATAAGTTAGTCTCATTTTAACTGAGAGAAATGCATCCCTGGCTGTTATCTTCTGAGAGCCACAAGTTTCAGGGGTTCATACTCTGGCCTTTCCCTTGCTGTACCCCTCACGATGGACAAAAAGCCAGGGACTGTCCTTCCATGTAGTCCATGTTTCAGGTGTCCCAAACTCAGAAATTCTCTGCCCATATGGACATGGCCCACTAGCAGACCTATGAGGCTTTCTTCCCAGGTCCTCCTCCCAAGGGCAGGCCTTGTCTGTAAGCATGTATGGCCCTAACTTAAAGGAGGGGCAAATGGTGGTTCTTTGCATGGGAGAAAAGGTGGGGCAGAGCTTTAACTTGAGGTGTGGTTTGTTCAAATATATTTATATGAAACCCTTCTGGAGGAGAGTGGAGTTGGGTGTTACTGTGGGCTAGCCCTTCCACTCATATTCTTGTTTAGACCTCACAAATATTATGAGTGGGTCAGTTCCAGGCTGTGTTTTATTTGGCAAAAACAGAAAGTGGTAAATTATAAAATAACAATTCCTTTCTATTCTCTCCAAATGCTTATAATTTTATTTTTCTGACATTTGAGTCAGTAGAGATTAAAATGTTCATTTATTTCAGCCTATGTGTATTAATATTTGTCTGAATAAAATGTGCAGGGTATACAGTCATCAAGAGGAACTAACAGGAACACCTTCCACCCTTAACACATCAGGATGGAACCCTAAGCACACACTGCAGAAAGATATAGTTGCATGTATATTCTATGTATACTCTATATTAGGGCATATAGAATAGTTTAAATATAACATTTCATGGAGTTAATCATTTATAGAAAATGTGTTCAGGCCAGACTAAGAACTATAAAACAGGCAAAACTAGAAAAATATTTTCTAAAATACGTAATTTACAAATTAGTTTCTTGAGTACTAACAGTGATTTGTTTCTGTTTTTGTTTTGAGACAGAGTCTCACTCTCTCGCCCAGGCTGGAGTGCGGTGGTGCGATCTCGGCTCACTGCAACCTCTGCCTCCGATGTTCAAGCAATTCTTGTACCTCAGCCTCCCAAGTAGTTGGGATTACAGGTGTGTGCTACTACACCCTGCCTACTATCGACTTATAAATGGGCAATTACAATGAAATAAAGAGTAAAAGGCAAGTTCAATATTGGAAATTCTCCCGATTAAAATTGGACCATTTAATATGAATTCATCTATGTATAGGAGTATTTCAGAAGATTACAGTGTAACAATGGAGAATGAAACAGTGCTATTGAGGTAGTGAATCACTTTAGGTCTGTTTTCATGTATCCCTGAGCTCTGTAAGGTTACTCTTTAAGAGATAGAATCCTAAAGGCTGAATACACAGGGCTTTTAAAACTTTTATTGTCACTGCTTGTGTGGTATCTTGTTTTTGAAAAATTGCTGAAAGATTTATCATGGTGTTGTCTTAAATCATATGCTTTCTGAAAAATCCTAAAAGCTGAGTATGAGAAACAAAAGTTTATTGATAAAATACAGTGCCCTCTTAATAAAAGATTAAAAAAGAAAGACGGTACATGTATATTTGGGAAGGCTGCAGACCTATTAGATTAGTTACTTTTCAGGACAATGTTAAAGTGAAAAAGATAGTGCTTTCTCTTTATCTCTATTGAAAGCATTGGGGAAAAAAATACAAACTTCCACCATCGTTATAGAGCACCTGATGTGAAAGTAGTTCTTCCTCTTCCTTCTCATTTTTTTTTTTTTTTTGAAACACTGGTAGTATCTTTCACTTTTATGCTTTATTTTGTTGTCTTAACTAATTCTCTCTAGTACTCTGGAGCTTATTCAGGGGCTCGATGTCTAACTAAGAGTTGTGAAGAGTTACACTGAATAGTCCCCCGACAATTCTGAGTAAACTTGGGCATCCTTACCTGCTACCAGGATGTGTAACTACCTTCACCATAATGTCTAGTGAGTTAAAGAATATTGTTTTTGTCCCATGATGAATAAATGTCTTTCCTCAAAGTGTTGATAAATAACTCCAACATATATAATAATTTTATCACAAGGCCCTCACAAACTTGAACCTCAGTATGTGCTGCACTAAATTATATATTTAATTATCTCACACATGCATGGCTTTCATGGCTCACTATGCTCTGGAAAGCATGGGTTAACAAATTTATCAAAAATGAAGATGAGAAATAGGGACCTAAAAATAAAACACAAAGTAGAGCAAAGAAAAACAGCAAAGGGAATGTGGAATGTTATTTTTTTAGAAGTATAGGAAAATATAGGAAGAGCCGTGGGAGAATGGTCACGCCATGAATTTAAAACGAGACCAGTCACTATAGCAATGTATTTTCTTTAGCCATGTTTGAGTATAGAATGGGTGGAATGTTGAATTTAGACTTGGGATTTCTCAAAACAAGTATGCTGAGAGTTGAGAGAGGCTACAAAGCTGAGTGAATATACAAGAAAGGAATTAGAATAATCTTCATGAAATGTTTACTGAATATAATCTCCCAAATAAGACAATTAAAAATCATAAATATAACAATAATAAATACCATTGAATAATTTATAAGTTCCAAGCACTGAGCTAATCTTGTACCATTGTATTTATTCTTAAAACATTCCTTTCACCACATTTTCTTTATTCAGTCCACTAATGATGAGAATCTACATTGATTCCATGTCTTTGCTATTGTGAATAGTGCTGCAGTGTACATACGAATACATATGTCTTTTTGGTGGAATGATTCATTTTCCTTTGAGTACGTATACACCCGCTAATGACATTATTATGTCAAATGGTAGTTCTGCTCTAAGTTATTTTTAAAAATTTCCACGCAGCTTTCACAGTGGGTGAGCTAATTTACATTCCTACCAACAGTGTATAAGTATTCCCTTTTCTCCACATTCTCACCAGCATCTGTTATTTTTTATCTTTTTAATAATAACCACTCTGACTGGAGTGAGATGGTATCTTGTGGTTTTGATTTGCATTTGTCTAATAATTAGTGATGTTCAACCCTGGCAACATAGTGAGACTCGATCTGTAAAAAAAAGAATCTTTAAAAAATAGCCAGGTGTGGTGTCACATGACTGTAGTCCCAGCTACTCAGAAAGCTGAGGTGAGGGGTGCACTTGAGCTCCAGAGTTTAAGGCTGCAGTGAGCCATGGTCATGCCACTGCACTTCAGCCTAGGCACCAAAGCAAGACTCTGTCTCAAAAAATAAAAATAAAAATAATTAGGAATATTGAGCATTTTTAAATATATTTGTTGGCTGCATGTATGTCTTCTTTTGAGAAGTGTCTATTTATGTCCTTTTCCTATTTTTTTAGTGGAGTTGTTTTTTTGCTCATTGAATTGTTTAAGTTCCTTTTAGATTCTGGATATTAGACCTTTATAAAATACATAATTTGCAAATATTTTTTCCCATTCCGTAGGTTGTCTGTGTACTCTGTTAATAATTTCTTTTACTGTGCAGGAGCTCTTTAGTTTAATTGATCCTATTTGTAAATTTTGGGGGGTTTTGCAATTGCTTTAACAATGTAATTATAAATTTGTTGTCAAGGCTAATTTCCAGAATTGTATTTCCTAGGTTTTCTTCTAAGATTTTTATAGTTTTAGTTCTTACCTTTAAGTCTCCAATTCATCAAGTTAATTTTTGTATATGGTGAAAGATAGGGGTCCAGTTTTAATATTTTACATATGGCTAGTCAGTTATCCCAGCACCACTTACTGAATAGGGATTCCTTTCTTGATTGCTTCTTATTATTGAGCTTGTCAAAGACCAGATGATCGTATTTGTGTGACATTACTTCTGGGCTCTCTATTCTGTTCCATTGTTCTATGTGTCTGTTTTGTACCAGAACAATGCTGTTTGGGTTACTATAGCCTTATATTGTATTTTGATGTCAGGTAGTGTGATTATCTTGAGCTTTGTTCTTTTTGCCTATGATTACTTTGGCTATTCAGGCCCCTTTTTGGTTCCACGTGAAATTTAGAATGGTTTTTTCCAATTCTGTGAAAAATGACATGGCAGTTTGATAAAAATTGTGTTAAATCTGCAGTATACTTTAATCGTATTGATTCTTCCAATTCATAAGCATAAAATGTTTTTATTTATTTGTGTCATCTTTTATTTATTTCAGTAGTGCAGTTTTCCTTGTAGAGATCTTTTCACCTCCTTCATTAAACGTATTCCAAGGTACAATTATAGCTCTATTATATATATGAGGGAGCTAATTAATTAAGTACTCTAAATTACATGATACATTTATTTAATTACTAAGTATAATGTAGTCATAAAACTTATGGAAATAGAACTAGGGTGAAATCAAGAATGCATAAAATTTAAACATAAACAAATATAACAATTAGGGGTTTGAAAGACAGATCTTATTAAAGGAGCAGGAAATAAGAAATGAAGATGACCTGAGGTCAGCAGTTCAGGAACAGCCTGATCAACATGGCAAAACCCCGTCTCTACTAAAAATACAAAAGTTAGCTGGGCATGGTTGTGGCTGCCTGTAATCCAAACTACTCAGGAGGCTGAGGCAAGAGAATCGCTTGAATCCAGGAGGGGGAGGTTTCAGTGAGCCGAGATCGTGCCATTGCACTCCAGCCCGGGTGACAGAGTGATACTCTATCTCAAAAAAAAAAAAAAAAAAAAAAATGAAGATGGCCAGTTAGATGCAGCCAGGAAGAATTGCTCCCACAGAGAGAACAAAATTTTGAGTAAACAAAAATAATTTGAAAAGCTCTTCATAGGGAAAATGCTGAATGTAGATGAAGACACATTGCAAACACTTAAGCTAAAGAAGAAAGCCAGTAGCCCTGTGTGGGGTACCCAAATGCTAGAGCTAGTTTCCACTCTTGAACGACTTCTGGCAAATGAATAAGCGAAGGAAATATGAGACTGCTGGGATTCTAGCTACAGGGGACCCTACTTTCCCCATTGACTTTTGAGCTGACAAAATGCTCCCTAACTCCAAAGGACAGAGCCACACGCTGATCTGGAACCCCACGGATGTGGCATGAAGCTTGGAAATGCTAAGCTGAGTTATGTGGCCATGATTTGAGCAGAAGAGTAGCCCACACTCTTAGAGTGCTGAGCAAAGTGAGATGCTTGTGTTTGTGGGCTGGAGTAGGAGTTGAGTGTGCTTCCATTAAAAAAGCCAGCCTGGAAAGAGTGAGTGAGCCCTGTGGCCTGGAACACCTAATAAAAAGAAATATTGAGTGCAGTGCCAGTAATTGGAGGGGGCTCTGCTAAGGTCCAGGAGTAGACTTGGTGAAGGAGCCATCTCTCTTCCCATTGCATCACAGCACATGGCTACAAATGCAAGGAAATCCAAAGGAGCTATGTGACTAAGTAAGAACTTATCTACTGCCTATTACTCTTAAGCACCATTTACTGAATCACAACCCAAAGTATAACACCAAAGATATTTTACTAATATATCCCCCTGTGAAACCAAGGGGAATAATTCAACTACAAATAAAAACCCTGTACTTAGCCTTGACCCTTTGAAAAGATCTAGAAACGAAGCCAACTGACTATACTCAACTTATACCACAGGTAAAGGGACACCAACTCTCCCAGCTGAGAAGTAATCAGCACAAAAATTTTGGCAATTCAATAAGCCAGAAGGTCCCCTTTCCTCCAAATGAGTCCAATAGCTTCATAGCAGGGGTTCTTAAATAGACTCAAATGACAGACATAGGATTTGCAATCTGGATGGCAAGGAAGTTCATAAGATTCAGGAGAAAGTTGAAACCTAATCCAAGGAATCCAAGAAATCTAATAAAGTGATCCAAAAGTTAAAGACAAAAAGGTCATTTTATGAAAGAACCAAATGAAACTTCTGGAGCTGAAAAATTTATAGTAATTTCATAAAACAATAGAAAGTATTAACAACAGAATAGACCAAGCTAAGAAAAGAATCTCAGAGCTCAGAGGTGAATTATTTGAATCAACTTAGTCAAACAAAAATAAATTTAAAAGAATTTGAAAAATGAACAAAACCTTAGAGAAATATGGGATTATGTAAAGAGACCAAATCTACAACAATATGATGACAAAATCAAAATCTCATATATCAACACTAACCCTGAATGTAAATGAGCTAACCACCCCACCAAAAAGACTTGGGTGTCAAGCTAGATAAAAAGGTAAGACCCAACCATATGCTGCCTTCAAGAAACCCATCTCCATGTAACAGCAGCCACAGGCTCAAACTGGAAATGTGGAGGAAGATCTACCATGTGAATGGGAAACAAAAAGAGTAGGAGCCACTATTCTTATGTCAAATAAAAGAAACTTTAAAACAATCACAATTTAGAAGGGACAAAGATGAGCATTACATAATGATAAAGAGTACAATCCAAAGAAATTAACTATTCGATCTATATGCACTTAACATCAGAGCACCCAGATTCCTAAAATAAGTTTTATTGGCCTATAAAAAGACTTAGACAATGGCACAATAACAGAGGGAGACTTCAATACCCCACTGACAGCATTAGACAGATCATCCAGGCAGAAAACTAACAAAGACACTCTGAATTTAAACTCAATACTTGAATAATTGGAACTGACACCCTGCCCCACAATCACAGAATATACCTTCTTCTCATATGCACATAGAATATATTCTAAGGCTGACTACATGCTTAGTCATTGATATGGTTTGGCTGTATCCCCACCCAAATCTCATCTTCACTTGTAGCTCACATAATTCCCACATGTCATGGAAGGGACATGGTGGGAGGTATTTGAATCATGGAGATGGGTCTTTCTCATGCTGTTCTCATGAAAGGGAATAAGTCTCATGATATCTGATGGTTTTATAAAGGGGGAATTCCCCTGCACATACTTTCTTGCCTGATGCCATGTAAGACATGACTTTGCTCCTCATTTGCTATCTGTCATGATTGGTCATGATTGTGAGGCCTCCCCAGCCATATGGAACTGTGAGTCCATTAAGCCTCTTTCCTGTATAAATTACCCAGTCTCAGGTATGTCTTTATTAGCAGCATGACAATGGACTAATACAGTCATAAAGCAAGTCTCAACACATTTAATAACATCAAAATCATAGAAAGCATACTTTCGAACCACAGTGTGATAAAAATAATGCTTAATCTTGAATTAGTCTGTTTTCAAACTGCTATAAAGAACTACCTGAGACTGAGTAATTTGTAAAAAAAAAAAAAAAAAAAAAAAAGAGGTTTCGTTGACTCACAACTCCACATGGCTGAGAAGGCCTCAGGAAACTTACAATCATGGCACAAGGTGAAGAAAAAGTAAGGAACTTTTTCTCACAGGGCAGCCAGCAAGAGAGAGAAAGAGAGAGGGTTGGGGACTGCAAAACACTTTTAAACCATCAGATCTTGTGATAACTCACTCACTGTCACAAGAACAGCATGTGGGAAACTGCCCCCATGATCCAATCACCTCCCACCAGGTCCTGCCCTCAACAGATGGGGATTATAATTTAAGATGAGATTTGGATGGGGACACAGAGCCAAACCATATCAAATATAAAGAATGGCTCTTAAAACTAAACAAATACATATAAATTAAACAACGTGCTTCTGAATGATTCATGGATGAACAGTGAAATTAAGACAAAAATAAGATAATTCTTTGAAATTAAAGAAAATAGAGACACAACCTCCCCCAAGTGTCTCGGTTTTAGCAAAATCAGTGTTAAGAAGAAAGTTTATACTGCTAAATACCTTCATCCAGAAATTAGAAAGATCTCAAATAGGCTGGATGTGGTGGCTCATGCCTGTCATCTCAGCACTCTGGGAGGCCAAGGTGGGTGGATCACCTGAGGTCAAAAGTACAAATAAACTAGAAAATCTAGAAGAAATGGATAAATTCCTGGACACATACACCCTCCCAAGACTAAGCCAAGAAGAAGTTGAATCCCTGAAAAGACTAATAATAGGCTCTGAAATTGAGGCAATAATTAATAGCTTACCAACTAAAAAACATCCAGGACCAGATGGATTCACAGCCGAATTCTACCAGAGGTACAAGGAGCAGCTGGTACCATTCCTTCTGAAACTATTCCAATCAATAGAAAAAGATGGAATCCTCTCTAAATAATTTTATGAGGCAAGCATCATCCTGATACCAAAGCCTGGCAGAGACACAACAAAAAAAAGAGAATTTTAGACCAATATCCCTGATGAACATCAACGCAAAAATCCTCAATAAAATACTGGCAGACCGAATCCAGCAGCACATTAAAAAGCTTATCCACCACGATCAAGTGGGCTTCGTCCCTGGGATGCAAGGCTGGTTTAACATACACAAATCATTAAACGTAATCCAGCATATGAACAGAACCAAAGACAAAAACCACATGATTATGTCAATAGATGCAGAAAAGGCCTTTGACAAAATTCAACAGCCTTCATGCTAAAAACTCTCAATGAATTCGGTATTGATGGGATGTATCTCAAAATAATAAGAGCTATTTATGACAAACCCACAGCCAATATCATATTGAATGGGCAAAAACTGGAAACATTTCCTTTGAAAACTGGCACAAGACAGGGATGCTCTCTCTGACCACTCCTATTCAACATAGTGTTGGAAGTTCTGGCCAGGGCAATCAGGCAGGAGAAAGAAATAAAGGGTATTCAATTAGGAGAAGAGGAAGTCAAATTGTCCCTGTTTGCAGATGACATGATTGTATATGTAGAAAACCCCCTTGTCTCAGCCCAAAATCTCCTTAAGCTGATAAGCAACTTCAGCAAAGTCTCAGGATACAAAATCAATGTGCAAAAATCACAAGCATTCTTATACACCAATAACACACAAACAGAGAGTCAAATCATGAGTGAATTCCCATTCACAATTGCTTTAAAGAGAATAAAATACCTAGGACTCCAACTTACAAGGGATGTGAAGGACCTCTTCCAGGAGAACTACAAACCACTGCTCAATTAAATAGAAGAGGACACAAAAAATGGAAGAACATTCCATGCTCATGGATAGGAAGAATCAATAGTGTGAAAATGGCCATATGGCCCAAGGTAATTTATAGATTCAATGCCATCCCCATCAAGCTACCAATGACTTTCTTCACAGAATTGGAAAAAACTACTTTAAAGTTCATATGGAATCAAAAAAGAGCCCACATTGCCAAATCAATCCTAAGCCAAAAGAACAAAGCTGGAGGCATCACGCTACCTGACTTCAAACTATACTACAAGGCTACAGTAACCAAAACAGCATGGTACTGGACCAAAACAGAGATATGGACCAATGGAACAGAACAGAGCCCTCAGAAATAATGCCACACATCTACAACTATCTGATCTTTGACAAACCTGACAAAAACAAGCAATGGGGAAAGGATTCCCTATTTGATAAATGGTGCCAGGAAAACTGGCCAGATTTATGTAGAAAGCTGAAACCAGATCCCTTCCTTACACCTTATGCAAAAGTTAATTCAAGATGGATTAAAGTTTTAAATATTAGATCTAAAACCATAAAAACCCTAGAAGAAAACCTAGGCAATACCATTCAGGACATAGGCATGGGCAAGGACTTCATGTCTAAAACACCAAAAGCAATGGCAACAAAAGCCAAAATTGACAAATGGGATCTAATTGAACTAAAGAGCTACTGCACAGCAAAAGAAACTACCATCAGAGTCAACAGGCAACCTAGAGAATGGGAGAAAATTTTTGCAATCTACTCATCTGACAAAGGGCTAATATCCAGAATCTACCAAGAACTCAAACAAATTTACAAGAAAACACCAACCACCCCATCAAAAAGTGGGCAAAAGATATGAACAGACACTTCTCAAGAGAAGCCATTAATGCAGCCAACAGACACATGAAAAAGTGCTCATCATCAGTGACCATCAGAGAAATGCAAATCAAAACCACAATGAGATACCATCTCACACCTGTTAGAATGGCGCTCATTAAAAAGTCGGGAAACAACAGGTGCTAGAGAAGATGTGGAGAAATAGGAACACTTTTACACTGTTGGTGGGACTGTAAACTGGTTCAACCATTGTGGAAGACAGTGAGGCAATTCCTCAGGAGCTAGAACTAGAAATACCGTTTGACCCAGCCATCCCATTACTAGGTATATACCCAGTGGATTATAAATCATGCTGATATAAAGACACATGAACACCTATGTTTACTGCAACACTATTCACAATAGCAAAGTCTTGGAACCAACCCAAATGTCCATCAGTGATAGACTGGATTAAGAAAATGTGGCACATATACACCGTGGAATACTATGCAGCCATATAAAAGGATGAGTTCATGTCCTTTGTAGGGGCATGGAAGAAGCTGGAAACCGTCATTCTCAGCAAACTATCACAGGGACAAAAAACCAAACACCACATGTTCTCACTCACAGGTGGGACTTGAACAGTGAGAACACTTGGACACAGGAAGGGGAGCATCACACACCGGGGCCTGTTGTAGGGTGGAGGGAGGGGGGAGGGATAGCATTAGGAGATATACCTAATATAAATGACCAGTTAATGGGTGCAGCACATCAACATGGCACATGTATACATATATAACAAACCTGCACGTTGTGCACGTGTACCCTAGAACTTAAAGTATAATAAAAGAAAAATAAGTACAAGATCAGCCTGGTCAACATGGTGAAACCACATCTCTACTAAATACATGAAAATTAGCTGGCGTGCTGGTGGGTGCCTGTAATCCCAGCTACTCAGGAGGCTGAGTCAAGAGAATCACTTGAACCCAGGAGGCAGAGATTGCAGTAAGCCAAGATCATGCCGTTGCGCTCCAGCCTGGGCAACAAGAGTGAAACTTCGTCTCAAAAAACATAACAAAACAAACACACAAACAAACAAAAAACAAACACACACCAACAAAATAACTCAAATAAACAATCTAAGTTTGCATCTAAGGGAATAGAAAAAAAAAGAACAAACTTACCCCAAAGCTAGTAGGAGAAAAGAAATGACAAAAGTTAGAGAATAACTGAACAAAATTGAGACATAAAAGTCTATACAATAGATCAATGAAACCAAGTGTTGGCTATTTGAAAAAATAAACAAGATTAATAGACTACTGGTTAGATTAATAAATAAAAAGAGAGAATATCCAAATAAACACATTCAGAAATGACATAGATGACATAACAACTGATCCCACAGAAATAGAAAAGATACTCAGAAAATAATATGTACAAGCGTATGCACACAAATTAGAAAATCTACAGGAAAATGATAATTTCCTGGAAACACACACTCTCCCAGGGTTGAATCAGGAAGAGATTGAAGCCCTGAATAGACAAATATCAAGCTCTCAAATTGACTCTGTAATAAAAAAACCTATCAACCATAAATGCCTTGGACCAGATGGATTCACAGCTAAATTCCACCGGAAGTACAAAGAAAAACTGGTACCTATCCTACTAAAACTATTCCAAAAATATTGAGGAGGAGTGACATTTCCCTAATTCATTCTACCAAGCCTGCATCACTATGATACCAGAATCTTGCTGAAAGACAATGAGAAAAGAAAACTTCAGGCCAATATCCCTGATGAACACAGAAGCAACAATCCTCAACAAAATACTAGCAAACCAAATCCAGCAGCACCTCAAAAAGCTACTTCATCATGATGAAGTAGGCTTTATTCCTGGGATGCAAAGTTGGTTCAACATATACAAATTAATAAATGTGATTCACCCCATAAACAGAATTAAAAGCATAAGCCATATGATCATCTCAGTAGACACAGAAAAAGGCTTTGATAAAACCCAACATCCCTTTATTGTAAAAACCTCAACTAATAGGCATTGAAGGAACATATGTCAAAATAATAAGAGCCATTTATTACAAATCCACAGCCAACCTCAACTGAATGGTAAAAGCTGTAATCATTCCACTTGAGAACTGGAATAAGTTAGGAATGGCCACTCTCATCACTCCTATTCAACATAGTGCTGAAAGTCCTAGCCAGAAAAATCAACCAGATAAAATAATAAAAGGCATCAAAATAGGAAAAGAATAAATCAAACTATCTCTCTTTGTTTTGATATTATTCTTTACCTAGAAAACCTTAAAGACTCCATAAAAATGTTCCAAACTGATAAATGACTTTAGTAAAGATTCAGGATAAAAAACCAATGCACAAAAATCAGCAATTTCTATATACCATTAACCTCCAGGCTGAGAACCAAATCAATAACACAATACCATTTACAATAACCAAAGGAAAATGAAACATCTAAAAATACAGCTAACCAAAAATGGTCAAAAATGTCTACAAGAATAATTACAAAACACCACTGACAGATATCAGAGATGATAGAGATAAATGGGAAACATTCCATGCTCATGAGTTCAAAGAATGAATATCAAAATGGTCACACCACTCAATGCAATTTATGGATTCAATAATATTCTTATAAAACTCCCAAAATCATTCTTCACAGAATTAGAAGAAAGTAAACTATTCTAAAATTCATATGGAACCAAAAAAGAGTGTGAATAGCCAAGGTAATTCTAAGCCAAAGAACTAAGCCAGAGGCACTATACTACCCAACTTCAAACTACATTATAAGGCTACAGTAATCAGAACAACTCGGTACAGTTACAAAAACAGACACATAGACCAATTGAGTAGAAAAGAAACTCACTATTAAAGCCACCCACCCACAAGCATCTGATTTTCAACAAAGGCAGACAAAAACAAGAAATAGGGTAAGAACTCCCTATTCTGTAAATGGTGCTGGTATGACTGATTAGCCACATGCAGAGGAATGAAATTGGACCCATATATTTCACCCTATACAAACATTAACTCAAGATGGATTAAATATTTAAATGGAAGACTTCAAACTATAATAAAAATTTAAATGGAAGACTTCAAACTATAAAAATATTTGAAGAAAACCTAGGATATAATTTCTTGTCAAGGGCCTAGGTAAAATATTTTTGGATAGGTCTCCAAAAGCAATTGCAACAAAAACAAAAATTGGCATGTGGGACATAATTAAATTAAAGAACTTCTGCACCATAAGAGAAACTATCAAGAGATTACACAGACAATGTATGCCAAGTATATACACTGCTGAATTGACAGACTTTTCAATGAATGGTGCTTGGAAAACTGTATATCTGTATGCAGAAAAATGAAACTAGACCCCTATCTCTTGCCATATATAAAAATTAAATAAAGGAGGATTAAATATTTAAATGTAATACCTCAACCATGAAAATACAATAAGAAAATGTTGAGGAAACACTCTAGGACAGTGTTCTGGGAAAATATTTCTTGAGTAAGACCTCAAAAATACAGGTAACCAAAGCAAAAACGGACAATGAAATAGCATCAACCTAAAAAGCTCCTGTACAGTGAAGTAAACAAACAACAAAGTGAAGAGACAGCCCACTGAATCTGAGAAAATATTTGCCAAGTGCCCATCTGACAAAGAATTGATAAGCAGAATCTATAAGGAGCTCAAACAACTCAGTAGGGAAAAAAAATTGTCAATTTTAAAAATGGGTAAAAGATCTGAATGGATATTTCTCAAAAGAAGAATGGCCAACAAGTATATGAAAAAATGCTCAACATCACTAATCATCAGAGGAGTGCAAATAAAATCTATAATGAGATATCTTATCCCAGTTTAAATGTCTTTTACTCAAAAAAGTAGGCAATAACAAATGGCGATGAGGATGTGGAAAAAGGGGAACCCTTGTACACTGTTGCTGAAAAAGTAAATTATTACAACCATTATGGAAAACTGTGTAGTTTCCTCAAAAAACTAAAAATATGACTACCATATGGTTCAGCAATTCTACTGTTTGGTATATATCCAAAGAAAGGAAATCAATATATTTAAGAAATATGTGCACATGCATGTTTAATGCAGGACTATTTACAATAGCCAAGAGGTGAAATCAACATCCATTTCCACCAATGGATAAACGGATAAGGAAATCCTGGTACATAATACACAATGAATTATTATTCAGCCATAAAAATTATGAAATCCTGTCATTTGCAATAACATGGAGTGTCCTCCAGTTACGTTAAATTAAATAAGCCAGGCACAGAAAGAAAAATATTGCATGTTTTCACTCTTATGTTGGAGCTAAAAACAAAAATTAACTCATGGACATACAGAGTAGAAGGATGGTCACCAGAGGCTGGAAAGGGTGGTGAGAATGGGGGGTATAAAGAGGGCGTGGTTAATGGCTACAAAAATCAAGTTAGAATAAATAAGATCCAGTGTTTGGTAGCATAATAAGGTGACTATAGTAAACAGTAAGTTATTGTATATTTTAAAAGAACTAAAAGAGTTGAACTGAAATTTTCCCAACACAAAAAAAGATAAATGCTTGAGGCGATCGGTATCCCAATTACCCTTATTTGATCATTATACACTTTACACTTGCATCCAAAACAACATGTACCCCATAAATATGTGCAACTATTATGTATCCGTAATAATTAAAACTAATCTTTTTATCTTCTAACTAGAATATGCAACAGTTCATTAAGGGAAATAATAAATGGAAAAGTGCAAGCTGTAAATTCTCTGTTTAGCTAGGATTGTAGCTTATCATTACTACACAAATCTAAAACTAATGACACTTTGAAATTTCTTTGCCAAAGATTTTTATTTTTTTGGAATAGTCGTCTTTAAGTTTCATTGTCCCACTTGAAATTACCTTCTGTGTATGTGGCATCTCTAATTAAAGATAGTGGAGTAAAGAAACATATGCATAAGTTTTTGCCCATGCTTTTCTTACTACTGTTTTGTAGTTAAAATGTAAGTGAATAAGAAATATGTAATTGGTGAAAATGGAACATAATTCCAGTTTGCATTTGCCAGGGATTCCTCAACTTCTCTGATTTTGATTTCTTCATCTATAGCATAAAGTTAGGAATAGACAACTTTTGCTAGGGTTCAACATGAAACTGTGTAAAAGCACTTTCGAAACTGTAATATTAAAATCTACATCCTTTAGGATATGCTGCCCTCATGTGGATGATGATTGATAGTGCTGAATAAGTATGATGAGTCCAAATTATTAGGAATTTAATAATTTTGTTGATGGCAAAATGATAAAGTTTCATCTAAATATATATATATATATCCAAAACAGAGATGAACACACACAATATATTTATTAGGAAATTCTGTGGTTATTCTCCAAGCACTAGTTTTTTTTTATATTTATCAAGACTTTTTCAGGTTAGAGTTAGTGCTATTTATAAATTAAAACAAAGATATAAATACATTAAAAGTTTAAGCAGATTTCATTAGCAACATATCGGCTCCATTAATAGGTTTAAAATAATTTTAAACAGTAAAATGACACAATTTTTATTCAATACTATATATTAAAACTTCTAAAACTATTTCCACTAACATCTAATTAATATCCAGGATTATCTGATATAATTTTCAAGATCATTGAATTAAAATATAACTAGGTTTCAAAATAATGCTGGAAAATATTATTGTCTGATCTAAAAATGTTCAATACCTAGTTTCCTGAGGAAGTAACAAAGGTAACACAATAAAAATAACAACAACAACAAAATGATAAACAAGACATTGTAATCCTAGCGTTATTGTGTTTTAATAAGCCGTTTGGAAATCACTCACATTTGATTTTAAATGAGAGATAATTTTACAGGCCTTAAGAATTTATTTGTTCAAAGTCATTCAATGAAAGGTCTAAATAGATTCAAATTACAGAATAACTTGATTGCAGATTTTTATATAGTTTGTATCCATGTTGTATAATCATCATAATTCTATGAGAAAATATCATTTCACAGAAAAATAAGCCTGTGGGAAAATGTGTGTGTGTGTGCCTATGTGTGTGTGTGTGTTGTGTATGTACGTTGAAGGGGGAAGCATGTACTGAATTTGATAGAACTGATTATATTTCACTTGAAAATATTTTTGAGACATCAAATTAAATAGAGTTAGAAATTCCAGGAACTCAAATTCATCAATATAGTTGAGAAATTCTACCAAAGTTTGGCAAAAATATTGTCACATGAGAACAGTTTTAAAAAGCACAAAAATATCTAGGCAAATTCTAATACATTTCTAAGTGTATTGATTCAAATGATCTTTTGCTATTCCTGCTGCCAAAAATAAATTTATTTTAGCCCTGCGGTAGTTGCATGATTATATAAAAATAGAGCACAGTTAAGTGAACACTTTCAAATGTTTCCATTTGCACCCCCAAAAAGGAAAGTATGTAAAGACTAAAACATATTGTCCATTAATTCCTGAAGCCCTTAATGTAGTAAAACCTTCATGCTTTTCAGATTGAGCTTTGAATAAAATTTCTTAAAAAGGTACTTCAAACTTTAATTGACTCTATTAAGCAACAAATGTAGAAAAGTCTTAAATGTAGCCCAATACCCTTATTGATTAAAAAATAGCAGTGAAATTTCTTAATCAGATGAAAAATATGAAACAACAGCTATTAAACAAAAAGAAAAAATAAAACAAGGAAACTACCTTGAGGAAATAATCTACTTAATAATGAATGATTAGAATAATTTTTAAAAATCAGGATCAAGACAAAGATGTTCTTTAACATCTCTCCAATTTAACGTTGAATTTGATGTTTTAATTAATGCAATATACATATTTATGTTTTTCTAAAACAAATTGCTGAATTATTCAAATCAGAAAGTCTATCAGAATTGCTATATATGAAACTAATATACAAAAGTAAATTGCAATCTTACACACAAATAACAATCAGAAATTTTAAAATCACTGAATGAGACACTACAAATAATACAATATACCTATTAATAAATGTAACATAAAAAGATTCTAGTAATTCTAAAACAAATTATCCAATGGTTAATTCTGTGTTTGTATGAACTTTATTTCTAAAATCTGTGAAATAAATAATCGGCTTGATATGGTTTGGCTGTGTCCCCACCCAAACCTCATCTTGAATTGTAGTTCCCATAATCCCCACGTCA
The DNA here is from genome assembly GCF_000001405.40 of Homo sapiens. Taxonomy (NCBI): domain Eukaryota; kingdom Metazoa; phylum Chordata; class Mammalia; order Primates; family Hominidae; genus Homo; species Homo sapiens. The sequence continues at coordinate 69,687,727 of NC_000004.12, read as the reverse complement.
TGGGAGGGACCAGGTGGAGGTAATCGGATCATGGGGGCGGTTTTTGCCATGCTGCTTTCCTGAGAGTGAATGAGTTTCACGAGATCTGATGGTTTTATAAGCACCTGGCATTTCCCCTGCTTGCACTCATTCTCTCTCCTGCCCGCCTGAGAAGAGGTGCCTTCCGCCATGATGGTAAGTTTCTTGAGACGTCCCCAGCCATGTGGAAACTGAGTCAGTTAATACCCTTTCTTTATAAATTACTCAGCCTCGGGTATTTTTTCATAGTAGCGTGATAATGGACTAATACAGGGCTCAAAATAGCCAAAATACATTTTAAGGACAAAGTCATACTCACCTGAACAGCTAATAAGGTAAATAATAAATAATAACACTTAAGTAATAATATAGTGTGGTAACAACACAGGGATGGAAAACTAGCATATAAAGAAAGGTAGAGACCTAATCATATATGTATAGCTAATATGTCACTGCATTTCATACCACTGGGAAATGGGAAAAATTATAGATTGCTTAATTAATGACCTGAAACAATTGTTTAACCACATAGAAACAAAAAGAGAACTGCATTTTTTTGTGCCTAACAAAACCAATTACAAATTTCTTAAAGAAACAGATTTTAGAAAAAAATAATTTTTATTATATATTATCTGTCAAATAGACATATAGTATTTATATAATATATAATATTAATGTATAAATAATATAATATTTATTACATATTAAAATTATATATGTTATATATCATGTTAACAACTCCTGGTATAGAAGCTCGAAGGTGAGAGGGGCATATATTATTTTGTGTGTTATAAACTTTAATTCTATGCATTGTCTCCATGCAAGAGGATGCTTAATTATCTAGCTAGGAGAAGAGAGTCTTCAATTGACCTGTAGGGTTCAGGGGAATATGGAGGTTCAACGTTCTCAAATATATCAATCCAGCTGTCCCAATCCTATGCCTTGGCTTTGGTGTAGGTTATTTGCTGGCTAGGCAAAAAGAATTGCTGTAAACTCAGCATCCTTTGTAATTCTGAGAAGCCAAAGATTAGGTCCTGGTTATGATTTTCAAGACAGTTTGCCCATTTGCTATGGGACTTAAGGGTCTCTTTAAAAACTAAAAACTCTCAATAAATTAGGTATTGATGGGACGTATCTCAAAATAATAACAGCTATCTATGACAAACCCACAGACAATATCATACTGAATGGGCAAAAACTGGAAGCATTGCCGTTGAAAACTGGCACAAGACAGGGATGCCCTCTCTCATCACTCTTATTCAACATAGTGTTGGAAGTTCTGGCCAGGGCAATCAGGCAGGAGAAGGAAATAAAGGATATTCAATTAGGAAAAGAGGAAGTCAGTGTGGTGATTCCTCAGGGATCTAGAACTAGAAATACCATTTGACCCAGCCATCCCATTACTGGGTATATACCCAAAGGATTATAAATCCTGCTGCTAGAAAGACACATGCACACGTATGTTTATTGCGGCACTAGTCACAATAGCAAAGACTTGGAACCAAACCAAATGTCCATCAATGATAGACTGGATTAAGAAAATGTGGCACATATACACCATGGAATACTATGCAGCCATAAGAAAGGATGAGTTCATGTCGTTTGTAGGGACATGGATGAAGCTGGAAACCATCATTCTCAGCAAACTATCGCAAGGACAAAAAACCAAACACCGCATGTTCTCACTCATAGGTGGGAATTGAACAATGAGAACACATGAACACAGGAAGGGGAACATCACACACCAGGGCCTGTTGTGGGGTAGGGGGAGTGGGAAGGGATAGCATTAGGAGATATACCTAATGTAAATGACGAGTTAATGGGTGCAGCACAACAACATGGCACATGTATACACATGTAACAAACCTGCACGTTGTGCACATGTACCCTAAAACTTAAAGTATAATAACATTAAAAAAAACTGTACTGTAAGTACTATACTCTAAACACAGTATAGAGTATATAAGGCTAAAGTAACCAAAATAACTGGCACAAAAACAGACACATAGATCAGTGCAACAGAATAGAGAACCAAGCTCTGCCACTACCATCCGATCTTTGAGAAAGTCAACAAAAACAAGGAATGGGGAAAGAAGTCACTAATCAATACATGATGGAGGAGTAACTGGCTAGCTATATGCAGAAGACTGAAACTGTACCCCTTCTTTCCACCATATACAAAAAACAACTCAAGATGGATTAAAGACTGAATTGTAAAAACCTAAAATCATAAAAACCTTTGAAGATAACCTAGAAAATACCATTCTGGACATAGGAGTTGGCAAAGATTTCATTATGAAGATAAGAAAAGCAATTGCAACAAAAACAAAAATTGACAAATGGGACCTAATTAAACTAAAGAGCTTCTATACTGCAAAAGAAACTATCAACAGAGTAAACAGCCTACAGAATGGTAGAAAATACTTGCAAACTATGCATCTGACAAAAGTCTAGTATCCAGAATCTATATGGCGCTTAAGCTAACAAGCAAAAACAACCCCATTAAGAATTGAACAAAGAACATTAGCAGACAATTTTCAAAAGCACACATACATGCAGCTAATAAGCATATGAAAAACTACTCAAAATCAATAATCATTAAAGAAGTGCAAATCAAAACCACAACAAGATACCATCTCACACAAGTCAGAATTGCTATTATTTAAAAGCCAAAAGATAAACAGACGATGGCGAGGTTGCAAAGAAAAGGGGATGCTTATATATTGCTGGTGGGAATGTAAATTAGTTCAGCCATTGTGAAGCAGTTTGGTGATTTTTCAAAGAACTCAAAGTGGAATTACCATTCAATCCAGCAATCCCATTGTTCGGTATATGCTCAGTCATATAAATCATTTTACCTTAAAGACATAGGCACACGTGTTCATCACAGCACTATTCACAATAGGGGAGACACAGATTCAATCTAAATGCTTATCAATGGTAGACTGAATAAAGAAAATGTGGTATATATACACAATTGAATACTATGCAGTAGGAAAAACAAACAAAAACAAAAACAAAAAAATGAGATCATGTCCTTTGCAGCAACATGGATGGAGCTGGAGGTCATTATCCTATACAAAATAACACTGGAACAGAAAACCAAATACCACATGTTCTCACTTATAAGTGGCAGCTAAACATTGAGTATATATGGACATGAAGAAGGAAACAACAGACTTTGGGGCCCACCTGAGAGTGGAGGGAGGAAGGAGGATGAGGATCAAAAAACTACCTATTGAGTCCTATGCTTATTACCAGGTTGATGAAATAATCTGTACATAAAATACCCAAGCACAAAATTTACCTATGTAACAAACCTTCACATGTATCCCTGAACCTAAAATAAAAGTTTGAGAAAAGAATTACTATGAGAAAAAATAAAACCTGTCATGGATGCCTTCTGCTTTTTATTGTGTCCTGAGATATACATGGCTGAATTGATTCTGTTATCTTCTTTCTACCTTATGTTGTTGAAGGTAATAAACGCAGCTAACAGGTACGTAATCTTATAATCGTTATTGGTCCCATATTTCTTAAGTGTTGATTTTGCACAAGAATAGTCCATCCTCTTCCATCTGTTCCTCATCACAATTCACCAACAATGAAAATAGTAGTAACTGTGATTGTACTGCATGCCAAGTAATATCTACCTCACTTCTACCAGTAATGTAGTTTTTATAGCTGTATGGCCTAGAATCACTACAGTATTACCCTCTGTTTTGAGTTCCTAAAGAAATAGGCTCTCAGGAAAAAATTTGAGTGCAAATAATTTCTGTAAGAAGCATTGCCAGGTAATTCCACAAGAGCAGTGGATAACATTAAATAGGGAAAGGACAAGAGCCAATATAAAGGTATTACTAAGTCACTTACCACTGTCGGAAACTGTGCACACATGTAATAAAAATCAACATAATATTTAACAGAATATTGTGTATTCTGTTATATATTTAAAAATATATAAAATGTTATTTAATAATAAATACAAAAAATCATTACAAAGAACATGAGAATTAAAGAATTGAAGTCACAGATAGAAGGAGCAAACAAGCAGGCAAGATATGTAGAATTGTATTGTAATATTTAATTTCTTTAGATGGCTATCAGATAGATTAGTATTTGTTTTACCTCACTTTATGTGTGAAATTATGTATGACTATGTATAAAAATAGTTCAAATAAAACCTTTGAGATAAAGGTAAAAAATTGAGCTTAATACTTTTTGTAACAGATTTATTTGAAAGTAAATTAAACAAAAATAAAGACATAAGCAAAAGCATTTCAGAAAATAAAAACAACAAGAAAGATAAAGATTTTACAAAATTAATGCAGGTCAAAATGCCCAGAAAAACACCTTAAAAAGGCATGTTGTATATCGTAAAATATAACAAGAACATTTAGTTTTTGCAAATTATTTTTCATGAACAATATGAACTCTATTATTTCTTATTTACTTTCTGTATGCTTATTTTGTCAATTAGTAAATGAAGGCCATCATGATTTCCAAGTATAAATGGGAATCTATTTCTCCTTTAATTTTCATCAATTTGCTTTCTTTACTTTGATGCTGTTAGGTACATATATATTTATGATTGTTATGTCTTCTTGATGAAATGACACCTTTAATTATCAAGTCACCATTTTTCCCTAATAATTTTTCCAAAAATTTACTTTATTTGATATTATTGTAGCCACCCCAGTTTTACTATACTTGTATTACTATAAAATGTGTATTCTCATTTTATTTTTAAACTTTTTCTTTATAAAATGAGTTTCTTCTAGACATCATATAGATGTCTAGAAAAACCAATCTGACAATGTCTAATTTTTAGTGAGGGTAGTGAGACCATTTATATTTATTGTGATTATTCATATGTTTGAGGAGAAATTTATTATTTTGCTATTTGTTTTATAAATTCATCTTATCTCTTCTTTGTTCTTTTTTTCTTTTCTACCTTCATTTGAACTACTAGAATATATTTTTTAATTCTATTTGACATTTTATTGGCCTTTCAGATATTTGTTTTGTTCCTTTTCTTGTAGTTGTATGTTCAGTTTGCAATTAATATCATCTTTCGCATAACAACTTTACAACAGTTTACTTCCTGTACCTCTTCTCAGATTTTCTGCTATTGTTGCCATATATTTTACACCTATGTGTTATAACTTCACAATACAATAAATAACAGTAGTTATTATTTTGGTTTTAAGCAGTCATTTAACCTTTAGTGATATTAAATAAAATTTTTAAACATCTTTTATATTCACACACATATTTACAATTTTTACATCTCTCCATTCAGTTGTCTATGTCCAAATATCCATTAGATATTATTTTTCTTCTGGCTTTAACATTTTTTAAAGAAGTGGTCTTCTAGAGAAGATTAATTTTCTTGTTTCTTGTAGCTATAAAAAATCTTTATTCAGTCTATTTTTAAAATTATATTTGCTATATATTTAATTTTCTGGGCATACATATATTTATCACAAGGATTGTATTTTTTCAGGACTTTTTAGATTTAGCTTTATTGTTTTCTAGCTTGCATTGCTTTTAATGAGAAGTCTATTTCTATATTTTCTTCATTCATTAGGTGATATGTTTTTTAAAACTTTTCTGCAATTTTTAAGGTTTTTTCTTTATCACTGGTGTTCAGTACATTGATTATGATGTGCTCAGGATGATTTTTTTTCTTTTTACCTGGTAAATTGAATTTCTTGGATCTATGTGCATATGGAATTCACCAAATTTGAAAATAATTATTATTTCTTTCCAAATTTGTTTCTGTTGATGTTCCCTCTTTCAGGAAATCTAATTACATGCATGTTGGGATGCTTTGTTTATTTTGTAGGGGGAGTGAAGAGTGGTTTTGTTCATTTTTAGTAGTTTATATTACACTACTTTAAAGTTTATTGTATTTTTCTATAGTATGTCTAATCTATTAACACTATCCTAAGTATTCTTAATTTTAAATATTGTGTATTTCATCTCTGGTAGTTTAATATAGGCTCATGTTTAGATCTTTTATTTTTCTCCTTACATGCTCACTTTTATGTTTTTCGGCCATAGCTATTTTTTTTTCAGGTCTAAACTATATCATTTAAGTAAATTTAAAAGTCACACACAGAAATACAGAGCAACTGCTAAGTATTGTAAAGATGTATCCTTTCAAAAGCTCCAAGCAAGATAACTTGCAAAATCAATAAACAAATATTAAAACTAACTAAAGAGTCTAACAACTAGTCTGATATAATATCAAGTTATAAAATTCAATAGCCTTCCCTAAGCCAGATACAATTAGAAAATATAGCAAAACCTATCCTCGGAGGATTATCTTAGAGAAAGCTCAATAACCATAAGATGTTTATAATAGCTGTTTTCAAGTCTACTAATTCTATCATCAGTGTCATTAGTGTGACTTGGTTTATTAAATAATATGCCATATTTTATATCATATGTGTCACATATTTATGATTTGTTGAATATTTCAGAACTTTTTAACTCTGATTTTACCTTGTTGGTTACTGGACTTCATTTATGTATGTACGCATGTATGTATGTATGTATTTATTTATTTATATTCTTTTAAGTGTTTGGTGGCTTTGATCTGGTAGAGAGAAATTTCTAAATGATCCATTAGAAGCTGGCTTTTAAGTTTATTAAATCATATTCTAACATTTTATTTCAGAGTAAATTTTACCCCACCAATGAGGTAATAGACTTTAAGGAATGTGCTTTGATGTTTGGAGATCTTTTCACCATGGCAGGAATCAATACGAACTAACTAACTAACTCTTCCTGGACCACCTATTGTTTGTAGTGGTTTTATGCCCTATTATAGCAGTTTCCTCACCTGCATGTGCAGATCAGTATTCTGACAAAGGCAATGATTCTTGAAGGGGATTTGATCATTACTATTTTTAATTTTAAGAGGCTCTTTACTGAAACAAAATAGCTCATATTTCTTAGGAAAAAATGAACTTAATTGTTTAGTTTCTAGTGATTATGTTTACTGCAAGTTATTTTATTTTTCTTAACTTCATAGGACACCCTTCTCTCTTAAGCATCTGTCACTCTTTTCATTGCCGTCAAGTTTTTTAACAATTCAAAAAAATTGATTTATTACTTTTTTGGAAAAATATTTTATTCCTAGTGAGCAATTGAATTGTTTTATAACAAGTCTCTACTCTACATTAGAAAATTATAGTGTCCTATCAGGTTATATTGTGGATCAAATTACATCAACCTGTCATATTATATTGTCCTTCCCGGCTGAGACTATAATCACAGATTAATTTTTACTTAAAATTTAATTATTTTTTATCTTAATCAAATGTTCTTATAGAGAGCAGATAAATCATTTAAAAATATATTTACACAGAATATAATTGTCAGATACCAAGAGACTAAATAAATTTTTAAAATTAGGAAAAAAAATTAGTGTCTTTCTTAAAACTTTTGCAAACTGGATCTCTCTCCTTTTTAATGAAAAATATTCTATGTCACTTTAACGTAACAAGAAGCCATGAAGCTAGAAGGGATAACTTTGTTTATTTTGCATCTTTTCCCTAAGATTAATACATTGTCACATCTGTGATTATAGTCAGAGAAGACTCGTGCAATATTTATTACACAATAAATGTATAATTTTAGTAGCAAAGTATGTCTCCAAATGCATTGCATCAAATTTTGTTGTCTTTTAATTAAGATCCTATTTCAATATTTTAGTGCCATGATTTTTATCTCCTTATTCCACATATTTTTTGTGCCAATATTTATTTTATGCTTTTAGAGATGTTTTTCTTGAGTGTGTTTTCTTTGTGTAATTACCTTAAAATTGATATCATGGAGACTAGAGTGGTTCTGTACTTATATACTATTCTGAAGGCAAATATGGTCCCTATTATATTTTTAGCAATTGTAAATTATTCTAGCAAAGTGTCCATATATTAGACTGATTCAGGTATGAGTTACAGAGATCTTATAATATTGTCTTTTCAGCACCTTTGAGTGCTCCATGTGTCTCACTGCTGAAACATACGTTGACTGTTTAGTATCATGCATCCCAACACACTACCTTACCCCCATCCTTAAGTGCCTCACTTCCCAGAGTTATATACATTAAACACAATAAAACAGGAATTTAAAAAATTTTACGGGAGGTGTAGTTGAGGAAATAGATGTATCCTTATGGCACAAAAAGAAAAAAACTAAATGTTATTGTACTGACAAATATATAAGCTTGGGCTTAAGAATAGAGAAAAACAAGAAATGGGGAAAAGATTCCCTATTTAATAAATGGTGCTGGGAAAACTGGCTAGCCATATGTAGAAAGCTGAAACTGGATCCCTTCCTTACACCTTATACAAAAATTAATTCAAGATAGATTAAAGACTTAACTGTTACACCTAAAAACATAAAAACCCTAGAAGAAAACCTAGGCAATACTATTCAGGACATAGGCAAGGGCAAGGACTTCAGGACTAAAACACCAAAAGCAAATGGCAACAAAAGCCAAAAGAGACAAATGGGATCTAATTAAACTAAAGAGCTTCTGCACAGCAAAAGAAACTACCATCAGCGTGAACAGGCAACTTACAGAATGGGAGAAAATTTTTGCAATCTACCCATGTGACAAAGGGCTAATATCCAGAATCTACAAAGAACTTAAACAAATTTACAAGAAAAAAAAAAACATCAAAAAGAGGGCAAAGGATACGAACAAACATTTCTCAAAATAAGACATTTATGCAGCCAACAGACACATGAAAAAAAAGCTCATCATCACTGGTCATCAGAGAAATGCAAATCAAAACCACAATGAGATGCCATCTCATGCCAGTTAGAATGGTGATCATTAAAAAGTCAGGAAACAACAGATGCTGGAGAGGATGTGGAGAAATAGGAACACTTTTACACTGTTGGTGGGAGTGTAAATTAGTTCAAGCATTGTGGAAGACAGTGTGGCAATTCCTCAACAATCTAGAACTAGAAATACCATTTGACCCAGTGATCTCATTACTGGGTATATACCCAAAGGATTATAAATCATGCTACTATAAAGACACATGAACACCTATGTTTATTGTGACACTATTCACAATAGCAAAGACTTGGAACCAACCCAAATGTCCATCAATGATAGACTGGATTAAGAAAATGTGGCACATACACACCGTGGAATACTATGCAGCCATAAAAAAGGATGAGTTCATGTCCTTTGCAGGTACATGGATGCAGCTGGAAACCATCATTCTCAGCAAACTATCACAAGGACAGAAAACCAAACACTGCGTGTTCTCACTCATAGGTAGGAATTTCACAATTAGAACATTTGGACACAGGGAGGGGAACATCACACACTGGGGTTTGTCGGTGTTGGGGGGGGGTTGGGGGAGGGATAGCATTAGGATAAATACCTAATGTAAATGATGAGTTGATGGGTGCAGCAAACCACCATGGCACATGTATACCTATGTAACAAACCTGCACATTGTGCACATGTACCCTAGAACTTAAAGTATAATATTAAAAAAAGAGGGACTGCTCATAAAACTAAATTAAAATTTTAAAAAAATGAATTTTGCTAGCTGGGCATTAATCCTTTCTACATGAAATATTTTAAATCTAGTGAAAATGATTTTAAAGAGAAAGTCAAAAGACACTACTTGTGGTTGAGATTTTAAATACAGTTATATATATATAATGTTCACTTCTATGAACAGATGATTAGGTATTATTATTGATCATTGTACCTAAGATCAAAAAACTAGGGTACTTAATGAAATGTTAAGATTTTGAAGACCCATAGACTTTATGATATAAAGGTAATGTTAATATGATCTTTGGTTATGCATACTGAATTTTGACATGAATACTCTATGTAAAGAAACAACATAAAGTTTTTACAAGATAAATGTGTGCTTTTAGAAAAATAATTGAGTTTCTCTGTGTTATATTTTTACCCACTTGATATTAAAAAATATGCAAAGTCAAAGAAATGCTTTCAAAAGCAACAGAATATGCAAGATGGGCTCTATGGATCTCTAAAATATACTATGGATCTCTAAAATTTTTTTTTAATTTTTAAATTTTTTTTTGAGTACACGGTAGATGTATATATTTATGGGATATATGGTATGCCTTTCATAAAGTCATGCAATGTGAAATAACCAAAATAGCCACCTTATGCAGAATGGGGTATCTGTCTCTTCAAGCATTTATCCTTTGAGTTACAAACAACTCAATTACATCTTTAAGTTATTTTATAATGTACAATTATTATTCACTATAGTCACCCTATTCTGCTATCAACAGTAGGTCTTATTTATTCTTTCTATTTATTTTGTAGACATTAACCATCTCCACCTCCTTCCTCCCTCCAGCCCCTCACTACCATTCTCAGCCTCTGGAAACCATCCTTCTTCTGTATGTCTATGAGTTCAGTTGTTTTGACTTTTGGATTCCACAAATAAGTGAGAACATGTGACGTTAGTCTCTCTGTGCCTGTCTTATTTCACTTAAAATAATTATCTTCAGTTCCACCAATGTTGTTGCAAATGACAGAATCTTATTCTTTCTTATGGCTGAATGGTACTCCATTGTGCATTATGTACCACGTTTTCTTTATCCATTTATCTCTTGATGGACACATACGTTGCTTCCAAATCTTGACTACTGTGAAGAGTGCTACAACAAACAGGAATGCAGATATCTCTTCAATACACTAATTTCCTTTCTTCTCACTATATACCTAGCAGTGAGATTGCTGGATCATATGGTACCTCAATTATTAGTTTTCTGAGGAACCTCCAAACTGTTCTCCATAGTGGTTGTATTAACTTACATTTCCACCATCATTTCCTTTTTCTCCACATCCTCAGCATCATTATTAATGTCTGTCTTTTGGATATAAGCCATTTCAACTGGGGTGAGATGATAGCTCATTGCAGTTTTGATTTACATTTTTCTGATGAACAATGATGTTGAGCACATTTTCATATGCCTGTTTGCCATCTGTATTTCTTCTTTTGAGAAATGCTTACTTCTGCCCATTTTTGACTGGATTATTAGATTTTTTTCCCCTATAGAATTGTTCAAGCTCCTTATATACTCTAGTTATTAAGCCCTTGTCAGATGGGTAGTTTACAGATATTTTCTCCATTTCTTTGGGCTTTCTCCTTACTTTGTGAATTGTATTTTTTTGATGTGCAGAAGCTTTTTAACTTGTGATCCCGTTCTTCTGTCTTTGCTTTGTTTGCCTATGCTTGTAAGGAATTGCTCAATAAATTTTTGCCTAGAACGATGTCTTGGAAATTTTCCCAAATGTTTTCTTGAAGTAGTTTCGTAGATTGAGGTCTTAGATATAAGTCTTTAATTCATTTTAATTTGATTTTGGTAGCTGGTGAGAGATAGGAGCTAGTTTCATTCTTCTGCATATGGATATCCAGTATTCCCAGCACTATTTATTGAAGAGACTGTCTTTTCTTCCAGTGTATATTCTTGGCACCTTTCTCAAAAATGAGTTCACTGTACGTGTGTGGTTTTTGTTTCTGGGTTCTCTATTCTGTTCCATTTGTTTCTGTGTCTGTTTTTATGTGAGTACAATGCTGCTTTGGTTACTATAGCTCTGTCATATAATTTGAAGTCAGGGAATGTGATTACCCCAGTTGTGTCTTTTTCCTTAGGATACCTATGGCTATTTGGGGTCTTTTGTGGTTCCACACACATTTTAGGATTGTTTTTTCTATTTCTGTGAAGAATGTCATTGGTATTTTTATAGGGATTGCATCGAATCTGTAGATTGCTTTGGGTAATATGGACATTTTAACAATATTGATTCTTCCAACGAATGAACATGGAATATCTTTTCATTTTTAATTTTATGTGTAGCTATTGTAAATGCTATTACTTTTTTATTTCTTTTTCATATTGTATGCTGTCAGAATGTAGAAATGTTGCTGATTTTTGTATGTTGATTTTATATCCTGCAACATTACTAAATTTGTTTATCAGGTCTAGTAGTTTTTCAGTGGTGCCCTTAGGTTTTTCCAAATATATTATCATATCATCTGCAAACAAGGATAATTTGACTTCTTCCTTTCCAATTTCCATGTCCTTTATCTTTCTCTTGTTTGATTGCCCCAGCTGGGACTTCAAGTACTATGTTGAATAACAGTGGTGACAGTGGGCATCCTTGTCATGTTCCAGATCTTAGAGGAAAGGCTTTCGGTTATTCCCCATTTAGTATGATACTAGATATGGGTCTGTTGATATTGTTTGGATTCGTGTCCATGCCCAAATCTCATGCCTAATTGTGATTCCCAGTGTTGCAGGAGGGGCCTGTTGGGAGCTGACTGGATCATGGGGGTGGATTTCTTCCTTTCTGTTCTCATGATAGTGAGTGAGTTCGCACTAGATGTAGTTGTTTAAAAGTGTGGAGTACCTCCCGCTTTGCTCTCTCTTCCTCTTGCTCTTGCCATGTGAAGACATGCCTCCTTCCTCTTCACCTTCTGCCATGATTGTAAGTTTCTTGAGGCTTCCCCACCCGTGCTTCCTATGCAGCCTGAAGAACTATGAGCCAATTAAACCTCCTTTCTTTATAAATTACCCAGTCTCAGGTAGTTCTGTATAGAAATGCAAGAATATACTAATATATCTGTCATATATGGCTTTTATTATGTTGAGGATTGTTTCAAGACAGTGTTGGAAGAATGAGCTGAGCACTCAAGTGAGGGGGATGGGAAAACTAAAACTTTATTACTGTGAGCAAATATCACAACAAAAACAGCCTTGTAACAAGAGAAGAAAAAAGTGTAACCAAAGCTCAACAAAATGTAACCAGAAGCTCATCAGACCACAGGAAGAATCATCACCGGAGTCAGAAGGCAGACGCCTAGCATCCTGGAGTAAAAGTTGTAAGCAAATATCACAGCAAAAGCAGCATTAAGTAGGTATAAACGAACCAGCAAAAGAAGACAACATGTAACCATAGCTCACCAGACCACAGGAAGAGTCATCATCAGAGTGGGAAGGCAGACACCTGGGATCCTGCAATTGGCGTTGGTGCTGTTCCCCAGCACACAACAGCCTTCAATCCTCCTTTGTGTAAACTCCCTTTATTAAGTCCAGTTGTTACTTTGGGCACCCTCTTTTGTTTGCTCAGGAGGCCCCTTCCCAAGCAAGCAACACTGAAACAATCATTATGGGAGCAATGTTCTGGGACCCCCTCCCGGACTTTATCATTCTGGGAGCAGTGTCCCGGGACATGTTCCAGGACTTGAAGTAATTTCTGGGCTTTTAGTGAAATCTTACACAAGGTGTTTACCTTTTCACCTTTGGTGCCCCTGCCTCTTATAGATGGAGGCATATTTTAAAATGGTTAGTGTGGCCATTTTTTTCTCTTCCTAACAGGGTGTTTTTCATGAGGGGATGTTGAATTTAGCGAATGCTTTTTCAGCATCAATCGAAATGATCAAATGATTTTTATCCTTCATTCTGTCAATATGATTTATCACATTGTTTGATTTGCATATGTCGAACCATCCTTGCATCTCAGGGGTAAATCCCTCTTCGTTATAATGAATGATATTTCTAATGTGTTGTCGAATTCAGTTTACTGGCATTTTGTTGAGGATTTTTGCATAAATATTAATCAGAGGTATTGGTCTGTAGTTTTCTTTTTTGATATGTTTGTTTCTGGTTTTGTTATCAGAGTTATTCTGGCCTCATAGAATAAGTTTGAAAGTATTCCCTCCCCTAGTTTTCAGAATAAATTGAGTAGGATAGGCATTAGTTCTTCTTTAAATATTTCTTTAAATATCAACAGCAAAGCCATCAGGTCCCGGGCTTTTATTTACTGGGAGAATTTTTCTTACAGCTTCGATGTTATTACTTGTTATTTTTCTGTTCAGGTTTTGCATTTCCTATTGGTTCAGTCCTGGTAGGTTGTATTTCTTCTAGATTTTCCAGTTTATTGGCATATAGTTGCTCATAGCAGCCATTAATGATGCTTTGAATTTCTGCAGTATCATTTGTAATGTCTCTCCTTTCATTTCTGATTTTATTTATTTGGATCTTCTCATTTTTTCTTAGTCTGACTAATGGTTTGTCAATTTTGTTTAACTCTTCAAAAAACCAACTTTTCTTCATTGATCTTTTTATTGTTTATTCATTTCAATTTTATGTATTTCTGCTCTAATCTTTATTATTATATTTTTTCTTCTTCTAATTTTGGGTTTGGTTTGCTTTTGCTTTTCTGGTTCTTTAAGATGTAGCATTAGATTGTTCATTTGACCTTTCTCCTCTTTTATGATGTAGGCACTTATACAAATAAACTTCCCTCAGTATTGTTTTTGCTGTATTTCATAGTTATTGTAATGTATTTTCATTATCATTTGTTTCAGGAATTTTTTCATTTCTCTTCATTTATTCACTGATCCCTGGTCATTCAGGAGCACACTGATTAATTTTGATGTGTTTGTATAGTTTCCAAAACTCTTTTTGCTATTAATTTCTAGTTTCATTCCATTGTGGTCAGAGAAGATGCTTGATATTATTTCAATCTTTTGGCTGTTTTAATACTTGTTTTGTGACCTAACATATGGTCTATCCTTGAAAATGATTCATGTGCGGAGGAAAAGAAAGTGTATTCTGCAGCTCTTGGTTAAAATATTCTGTAAAGTTCTATTAGATTTGTTTGATCTATAGTACAGATTATTTGATCTGTACTTTAGATACATATATAGTACCAGATTATTTGATCTGTACTATAGATCAAACAGGTCTAATAGATCTTTACAGAATATTTCATTTTTTTTATTTTCTCTCTGGAAGATCTGTCCAATGCTGAAAGTGGGGTGTTGAAGTCTCCAGCTATTTCTGTATTGGGGTCTATCTCTCTCTTTAGCTCTAATAATATTTCTTTTGTATATCTGTGTGCTCCAGTGTTGAGTGCATATATATTTAAAATTGTTATATTATCTTGCTGAATTGACCCTTTAATCATTATATAGTGACCTTGTATGTCTATTTTTATAGTTTTTGTCTTGAAATCTATTTTGTCTGATATAAGGTTAGTGACTTCTGCTCTATTTTTGTTTCCATTAGCATGTAATATCTTTTTCTATCCCTTTATTTTCAGACTATGTATGTCTTTATAGGTGAATTGTGTTTCTTATAGGCAACATATAAATGGACCTTGTTTTTTCATCCATTCAACAAGTCTATGATTTTGCCAACTACATCTTTTGATTGAAGAGTTTCATTCATTTATGTTCAATATGATTCTTAATTGATAAGTATGTGCTTATTCCTGCCATTTTGTTATTCATTTTCTGATTGTTTTATGGCCTTCTCTTCCTTCCTTCTTTTCTTCCTGTCTTCCTCTCATGAAGGTTATGTTCTCTGATAAGATTTCGTATCTTGCTTTTTAATTTTTGTGTATTTATTGTATTTTCTTTAGTTTAATTTTACCATGAGGCTTGCAAATACTCTTATAACCCATTATTTTAACCTGATAACCACTTAACACTATCTGCTTTAACAAACAAACAAGCAAGCAAAAATAAAACAAATAAAAACTCTATGCTTTAAATTTGTCTTCTCACTTTTATACTTTTTGTTGTTTCTATTTATATTTTATTGTACTGAGTATGTCTTGAAATGTTTTTGTGGTTATTATTTTTTGTTCGTTTATTTTTTAGTCTTTCTATTTAGTATAAGAGTAGTTTATACACCACAGTTACAGTGTTATAATATTCTGTATTTTTCAATGTACTTACTATTACACGTGATTTTTATACCTTCAGATGATTATTTATTGTTCATTATTGTCATTTTCTTTCTGATTGAATAACTGTCTTTAGCATTTCTTTTAGGACAGGTCTGGTGTTGAAATCCCTCAGCTTTTGTTTTTCTGGGAAAGTCTTTATTTCTCTTTCATGTTTGAAAGGTATTTTCGCTGAATATACTATTTGAGGGTAAAGGTTATTTATTTATTTATTCGTATTTTATTTGTTTTTTCCTTCAGCCTTTTAAATATGGCATGCTACTCTCTCCTGGCCTATAAGGTTTACACTGAATACTCTGATGTCAGGCATATTGGAGCCATATTGTGTGTTGTTTGTTTATTTTCTCTTGCTGATTTTAGGATCCTTATTTTTTTTTTTAATCCTTGACCTTTGGAAGTTTCATTATTAAATACCTTGAGGTGGTCTTATTTGGGTTAAATCTGCTTGGTGTTCAAAACCATCTCATATTTGGATAGGATTTCTTTGTTTAGCTTTGGGTATTCTCTGTTATTATCCCTTTGAATAAACTTTCTACACCTTTCTCTTTCTCTACCTCCACTTTAATGCTGATAACTCTTAGATTTGCCCATTTTGGACTATTGTTTAGATTCTGTAGGCATGCTTCATTGTGTTTTTTTTTCTTTTATATCTTCTGACTGCATATGTTCAAGTAGCCTCTTTTCAAGCTGACTAATTCTTTCTTTTGTTTGATCAATTATGCTATTAAGGGACTCTGATGCCTTCATTATGGAAATTGCATTTTTTCAACTCTAGTATTTCTTGAGAATTCTTTTTAATTACTTCAATCTCTTTGTTACATTTCTCTGGTAAAATTCTTAATTATTTCTCCGTTATCTTGAATTTCTTTGATTTTCTTCAACACAGCTATTTTGAATTCTCTGTCTGAAAGTTCACAAATCTCTGTTTCTCCAAAAACAGAGATACCTGGAGCCTTATTTAGACAAGTCCCTGGTGCCTTATTTAGTTCATTTCAGGAAGCCATGTTTCCCTAGATGGTGTTGATGCTAATAGAGGTTCTTTGGTATTGAGGAGTTAACTATTTATTGTAGTCCTCACTATCTGGAGTTATTAGTAGCTGTACTTTTTTTGAAGGTTTTCCAGATACGTAAAGGAACTTGGGTGTTGTGATCTCAGCTGTATCTTCTTCAGGGAGCACCATAAGCCCAGTAATACTGTAGTTCTTGCAGGCTCATGGAGGTATTGCCTTAATGGTCTTGAACAAGATTTGGATGAATTCTCTGGTTTACCAAGAAGAGAATCTTATTCCCTTCCCTTTTTTTTCTCTCAAACAGAGTCTCTCTCTCTCTGGTCTGAGCCACCTAAATCTGGGAGTAGAGTGACACAAGAACTGTGTGGCCACCACCACTGTGACTGTGCTGGGTCACACATGAAGCCAACACAGCTCTGGGTCTCACCCAAGCCCTGCTGAAACAACTCCCTGGCTACTGTATATTTGCTCAAGGCACTGGGTGCTACAACCAGCAGGTGAAAAAGCCAGCCAGGTCTGTATTTTTCCCTTCAGGATGGCAAGGTCCTTCAGGCACTGGATGGGTCCAGAAGTGCTTTCCAGGATTCAGAGATTAGAGCAAAAAATCTTAGAAATCTATACGATATTCTATTGTATTGAGACTGAGCTGACACTCAAACCACAAGACTCAGTTCCTGCCACTCTTACTTCAACTTTCAAAGGCAAAGGAGCCTTACCCCATAGCCACCTCCACCCCAGCCCACATGGAGTACTGCCACACTGCCACTGATGTTCTCTTAAGGCCCAAGTTCTCTCTGTCTCTATTTCTGTCTCTCTCTCTCTCTTTCTTTCTTTCTTTTTTTTTTTTTTTGACAAAGCCTCGCTGTGTCATCAAGGCTGGAGTACAGTGGCACAGTCTTGGCTCACTGCAACCTCTGCCTCCCAGGATCAAGCAATCCTCCCATCTCAGCCTCCCAAGTAGCTGAAACTACAAGCACATTCCACCACACCAGGCTAATTTTTTGTATTTTTAGTAGAGATGGGTTTTTTTTCCATGTTGCCCAGGCTTGTCTGGAACTCCTGGGCTCAAGTAATCTGCCCACCTCGGTCTCTTACAGTGCTAAAATTATAGCATGAGCCACGGTGCCCAGCCAGCCCAAGGTCTCATAAGTTGGCTTGTGGTGAATGCTACTTTCTCTGGAACTCACCTGTTAGGGAAGTGAGTTCCTCTCTGGCCTAGGGTAGATCCAGAAATTCCGTCCAAGAGTCAAGTCCTTGAACCAGGGACCTTAAGAGCCCAACTGGTGCTCTATACCCTTGTGGTCATGCTGGTACCTAAAGTGTAAGACAAAGTCTCCTTTAAATTTTCCTCTGCTTTTCTCAAAGAGAAGAAGTTTTGAACCACATCCAACAGAGCTGATAATGTTCTGTGTCTCACCTGAAGCTAGCATGTCTCACACATGGCTCTGTATGTAGAACCTGAGTATCACTGCTTGTTATTCAGGGCCCAAGGGCTCTTCAGTTAGCAGGTGATGTTTTCAGGACTGGGTCCTTCCCTTCAAGGCAACAGGTTCCTTTCTGGCCCTGGGTGTGTCTAAAAATGTCATCTGGTAGCTAGAGCCTGGATTAGGGACTTTAAGACTTTGACTAGTGCCCTATCCTACTATGTCTGAGATGGTATCCTAGATTCAAGGTAAAGTGGTCCCCACTCTTCCTTCTCCTCTCAAATGCAAGGAAGGGGTCTCTTTAGGAGCCATAAGCTGTACAGCCTGGGTTTAGAAAAGAGGTGATGCCAGCACTCCCTTGGCTGTCCTAACTTATCTCAATATGTCACACGAGCCCCAGTCCATGGTCTCTGGGCCTGGTACAGCAGTAGGACTCACATAAGTGTTGCAATCCTTATGGCCTAGACTGCCTTTCAAGATTACTTGGAGATACAGAGCACTGTAGTCCTCTGTGGTGAGGTTTGCAGGCACTCAAGTTCTGACCACTGGACTTGGTGGTTCCCCTCTGACCAGGGCTGGTTTAAATGCTCCCTCTGTGAGTGGGTGTTAGCTGAGTTTGGTCTGGGTTTACTTTCTATTCTGAGTTCAATGCCTCACTCTTGCTGTGTTCTCCTCCTCCAGTGCCCAGAAGTGCTCTCCACACCACACTGCTGCTGTGGAGTGAGGAGGGGTAGAATCTGCAATTCATGACTTTTTTTTTTTTAATCTCTTCAATGCCTCTTTCAAAGTTAAAGGCAGGTACTATGTAACTATGATACAAAGTTAAAAGCAGGTACTATGAGTGGTCAACTGATTTTTTTTATAAAGATTTTTTTTCTGCGTAGATATTTGTTAACTTGGTGTCCTTGTGATGTGTGTGTGGAGGAAGATCGATGGAGCTTTCTATTCCACCATCTTGTTCCATCTCTTGTAAAATACACTTAAATGAATACAAAATTTAATGTCTTAAAAAAATGGAGAACCCAATACCAAGGTTTTTTTTTTTTTTTTGGTGTTGTTCGTATTGCATGGTTTGATATCTGCATGGTTGTTTCTAGAGGACATAAGGATAGCAAAGATTAATTTACCAGTTATAAAATCAGCTAGAATTTCCTAAGAAAAAAAGGAAAACATTTACTTGTTATTTTTCCATATGAGAAGGCAGGTTAGCTGTCAAAAGACCATTGTTCTGAACTTCAGCTTTCCTCTTATTTAATATTCTATAGAATTTGACAAAGTTCTAAAACCTCATATATTGGGTAAGTAGAATATAAAAATGCTACCTGATAAACATAGGGATTTTTTCCAGCTGTGCTAAAATAAGTAAAGATATAAATGTCACCCTTAGTTTTTATTTTTTCTTTACCATATTGCATTATCACATATCTCCAAATATTAGGCAGTATTGACAGATTATATTATAAGCAATACTCTTTGAGTGCTCAAAGTACAGAGACTGAAAATGGAAGAGAAAATTAGAAGTTAAAGAAGATTGGAAGAATATCACTAATTTAATTTAATAAAAAGTGACTATTTTGTGTATTTCTAAAGTGTTTAAAATTGTTCCTCATATAGATTTTGTATATGCTTTGTTAAATTTATGCTTAGTTATTTTATCTTTTTAATTAGATTATGAACAACTTATCTTTCTTATTGTATAAAATTCTACACATATCTCAATTTAAACTTTATATCTTATTATTTTGCTCTATATACTCTCTTGAACTTTATAATAGTTTTCCAAATATTCCTCCATATGAACTGCAACTAAAGATAAATTACCTCTCCCTCTCCATTTTTGACATAACTGATTGTCTTCTTTTGCCTAACTTTTCTCATCTATACCTCTAAGCACATGTTTAATTGTAGTAAAGATAATGGCCTTTGTGTCTTAATTTGAATTTAGTGTCAGGATTATGCTGGCCTCATAAAATGAGTTAGGGAGGATTCCCTCTTTTTCTATTGATTGGAATAGTTTCAGAAGGAATGGTACCAGTTCCTCCTTGTACCTCTGATAGAATTCAGCTGTGAATCCATCTGGTCCTGGACTCTTTTTGGTTGGTAAACTATTGATTATTGCCACAATTTCAGCTCCTGTTATTGGTCTATTCAGAGATTCAACTTCTTCCTGGTTTAGTCTTGGGAGAGTGTATGTGTCGAGGAATTTATCCATTTCTTCTAGATTTTCTAGTTTATTTGCGTAGAGGTGTTTGTAGTATTCTCTGATGGTAGTTTGTATTTCTGTGGGATTGGTGGTGATATCCCCTTTATCATTTTTTATTGTGTCTATTTGATTCTTCTCTCTTTTTTTCTTTATTAGTCTTGCTAGCGGTCTATCAATTTTGTTGATCCTTTCAAAAAACCAGCTCCTGGATTCATTAATTTTTTGAAGGGTTTTTTGTGTCTCTATTTCCTTCAGTTCTGTTCTGATTTTAGTTATTTCTTGCCTTCTGCTAGCTTTTGAATGTGTTTGCTCTTGCTTTTCTAGTTCTTTTAATTGTGATGTTAGGGTGTCAATTTTGGATCTTTCCTGCTTTCTCTTGTGGGCATTTAGTGCTATAAATTTCCCTCTACAAACTGCTTTGAATACGTCCCAGAGATTTTGGTATGTTGTGTCTTTGTTCTCGCTGGTTTCAAAGAACATCTTTATTTCTGCCTTCATTTCGTTATGTATCCAG
The DNA here is from genome assembly GCF_000001405.40 of Homo sapiens. Lineage (NCBI taxonomy): Eukaryota > Metazoa > Chordata > Mammalia > Primates > Hominidae > Homo > Homo sapiens. The sequence continues at coordinate 69,666,771 of NC_000004.12, read as the reverse complement.
TAGTCATTCAGGAGCAGGTTGTTCAGTTTCCATGTAGTTGAGCAGTTTTGAGTGAGATTCTTAATCCTGAGTTCTAGTTTGATTGCACTGTGGTCTGAGAGACAGTTTGTTATAATCTCTGTTCTTTTACATTTGCTGAGGAGAGCTTTACTTCCAACTATGTGGTCAATTTTGGAATAGGTGTGGTGTGGTGCTGAAAAAAATGTATATTCTGTTGATTTGAGGTGGAGAGTTCTGTAGATGTCTATTAGGTCCTCTTGGTGCAGAGCTGAGTTCAATTCCTGGGTATCCTTGTTGAGTTTCTGTCTGGTTGATCTGACTAATGTTGACAGTGGGGTGTTAAAGTCTCCCATTATTAATGTGTGGGAGTCTAAGTCTCTTTGTAGGTCACTCAGGACTTGCTTTATGAATCCGGGTGCTCCTGTATTGGGTGCATATATATTTAGGATAGTTAGCTCTTCTTGTTGAATTGATCCCTTTACCATTATGTAATGGCCTTCTTTGTCTCTTTTGATCTTTGTTGGTTTAAAGTCTGTTTTATCAGAGACTAGGATTGCAACCTCTGCCTTTTTTTGTTTTCCATTTGCTTGGTAGATCTTCCTCCATCGTTTTATTCTGAGCCTATGTGTGTCTCTGCACGTGAGATGGGTTTCCTGAATACAGCGCACTGATGGGTCTTGACTCTTTATCCAATTTGCCAGTCTGTGTCTTTTAATTGGAGCATTTAGTCCATTTACATTTAAAGCTAATATTGTTATGTGTGAATTTGATCCTGTCATTATGATGTTAGCTGGTGATTTTGCTCATTAGTTGATGCAGTTTCTTCCTAGTCTCGATGGTCTTTACATTTTGGCATGCTTTTGCAGCGGCTGGTACTGGTTGTTCCTTTCCATGTTTAGCGCTTCCTTCAGGAGCTCTTTTAGGGCAGGCCTGGTGGTGACAAAATCTCTCAGCATTTGCTTGTCTGTAAAGTATTTTATTTCTCCTTCACTTATGAAGCTTAGTTTGGCTGGATATGAAATTCTGGGTTGAAAATTCTTTTCTTTAAGAATGTTGAAAATTGGCCCCACTCTCTTCTGGCTTGTAGAGTTTCTGCCGAGAGATCCGCTGTTAGTCTGATGGGCTTCCCTTTGAGGGTAACCCGACCTTTCTCTCTGGCTGCCGTTAACATTTCTTCCTTCGTTTCAACTTTGGTGAATCTGACAATTATGTGTCTTGGAGTTGCTCTTCTTGAGGAGTATCTTTGTGGCGTTCTCTGTATTTCCTGAATCTGAACGTTGGCCTGCCTTGCTAGATTGTGGAAGTTCTCCTGGATAATACCCTGCAGAGTGTTTTCCAACTTGGTTCCATTCTCCCCATCACTTTCAGGTACACCAATCAGACGTAGATTTGGTCTTTTCACATAGTCCCATATTTCTTGGAGGCTTTGTTCATTTCTTTTTATTCTTTTTTCTCTAAACTTCCCTTCTCGCTTCATTTCATTCATTTCATCTTCCATTGCTGATACCCTTTCTTCCAGTTGATCGCATCAGCTCCTGAGGCTTCTGCATTCTTCACGTAGTTCTCGAGCCTTGGTTTTCAGCTCTATCAGCTCCTTTAAGCACTTCTCTATATTGGTTATTCTAGTTATACATTCTTCTAAATTTTTTTCAAAGTTTTCAACTTATTTGCCTTTGGTTTGAATGTCCTCCCGTAGCTCAGAGTAATTTGATCGTCTGAAGCCTTCTTCTCTCAGCTCGTCAAAGTCATTCTCCATCCAGCTCTGTTCCGTTGCTGGTGAGGAACTGTGTTCCTTTGGAGGAGGAGAGGCGCTCTGCGTTTTAGAGTTTTCAGTTTTTCTGTTCTGTTTTTCCCCATCTTTGTGGTTTTATCTACTTTTGGTCTTTGATGATGGTAATGTACAGATGAGTTTTTGGTGTGGATGTCCTTTCTGTTTGTTAGTTTTCCTTCTAACAGACAGGACCCTCAGCTGCAGGTCTGTTGGAATACCCTGCCGTGTGAGGTGTCAGTGTGCCCCTGCTGGGGGGTGTCTCCCAGTTAGGCTGCTCGGGGGTCAGGGGTCAGGGACCCACTTGAGGAGGCAGTCTGCCCATTCTCAGATCTCCAGCTGCGTGCTGGGAGAACCACTGCTCTCTTCAAAGCTGTCAGACAGGGACATTTAAGTCTGCAGAGGTTACTGCTGTCTTTTTGTTTGTCTGTGCCCTGCCCCCAGAGGTGGAGCCTACAGAAGCAGGCAGGCCTCCTTGAGCTGTGGTGGGCTCCACCCAGTTCGAGCTTCCCAGCTGCTTTGTTTACCTAAGCAAGCCTGGTCAATGGTGGGCGCCCCTCCCCCAGCCTCGCTGCCGCCTTGCAGTTTGATCTCAGACTGCTGTGCTAGCAATCAGCGAGACTCCGTGGGCGTAGGACCCTTCAAGCCAGGTGCGGGATATAATCTCGTGGTGCACCGTTTTTTAAGCTGGTCAGAAAAGCGCAATATTCGGGTGGGAGTGACCCGATTTTCCAGGTGTGTCCGTCACCCCTTTCTTTGACTCGGAAAGGGAACTCCCTGACCCCTTGCACTTCCCGAGTGAGGCAATGCCTTGCCCTGCTTCAGCTCGCGCATGGTGCGCGCACCCACTGACCTGAGCCCACTGTCTGGCACTCCCTAGTGAGATGAACCCGGTACTTCAGATGGAAATGCAGAAATCACCCGTCTTCTGTGTCGCTCACGCTTGGAGCTATAGACCGGAGCTGTTCCTATTCGGCCATCTTGGCTCCTCCCCTCTCATTGATTTTTTGAAGGGGTTTTTGTGTCTCTATCTCCTTCAGTTCTGCTCTGATGTTAGTTATTTCTTGCCTTCTGCTAGCTTTTGAATGTGTTTGCTCTTGTTTCTCTAGTTCTTTTAATTGTGATGTTAGGGTGTCAATTTTAGATCTTTCCTGCTTTCTCTTGTGGGCATTTAGTGCTATAAATTTCTCTCTACACACTGCATTAAATGTGTCCCAGAGATTCTGGTATGTTGTGTCTTTGTTCTCGTTGGTTACAAAGAACATCTTTATTTCTGCCTTCATTTCTTTATGTACCCAGTAGTCATTCAGGAGCAGGTTGTTCAGTTTCCATGTAGTTGTGCAGTTTTTGGTGCATTTCTTAATCCTGTGTTCTAGTTTGATTGCACTGTGGTCTGAGAGACAGTTTATTATAATTTCTGTTCTTTTACATTTGCTGAGGAGTGTTTTACTTCCAACTATGTGGTCAATGTTGGAATAGGTGTGGTGTGGTGCTGAGAAGAATGTATATTCTGTTGATTTGAGGTGGAGAATTCTGTAGATGTGTATTAGGTCCACTTGGTGCAGAGCTGAGTTCAATTCCTGGATATCCTTGTTAACTTTCTGTCTCGTTGATCAGTCTAATGTTGACAGTGGGGTGTTAAACTCTCCCATTATTATTGTGTGGGAGTCTAAGTCTCTTTGTAGGTCTCTAAGGACTTGCTTTATGAATCTGGGTGCTGCTGTATTGAGTGCATACATATTTAGGATAGTTAGCTCTTCTTGTTGAATTGATCCCTTTACTATTATGTAATGGCCTTCTTTGTCTCTTTTGATCTTTGTTGGTTTAAAGTCTGTTTTATCAGAGACTAGGATTGCAACCCCTGCCTTTTTTTGTTTTCCATTTGCTTGGTAGATCTTCCTTCATCCCTTTATTTTGAGCCTATATGTGTCTCTGCACGTGAGATGGGTCTACTGAATACAGCACAGTGATGGGTCTTGACTCTTTATCCAATTTTCCAGTCTGTGTCTTTTAATTGGAGCATTTAGCCCATTTACATTTAAGGTTAATATTATGATGTGTGAATTTGACCCTGTCATTTTGATGTTAGCTTGTTATTTTGCTCATTAGTTGATGCAGTTTCTTCCTAGCATTGATGGTCTTTACAATTTGGCATGTTTTTGCAGTGGCTGGTACTGGTTGTTCCTTTCCATGTTTAGCGCTTCCTTCAGGAGTTCTTTTAGGGCAGGCCTGGTGGTGACAAGGTCTCTCAGCATTTGTTTGTCTGTAAAGGATTTTATTTCTCCTTCACTTATGAAGCTTAGTTTAGCTGGATATGAAATTCTGGGTTGAAAATTATTTTCTTTAAGAATGCTGAATATTTGCCCCCACTATCTTCTGGCTTGTAGAGTTTCTGCCGAGACATCCACTGTTAGTCTGATGGGCTTCCCTTTGTGGGTAACCCGACCTTTCTCTCTGGCTGACCTTAACATTTTTTCCCTCATTCCAACTTTGGTGAACCTGAAAATTATGTGTCTTGGAGTTTCTCTTCTTGAGGAGTATCCTTGTGGCATTCTCTGTATTTCCTGAATTTGAATGTTGGCTTGCCTCGCTACATTGGGGAAGTTCTCCTGGATAATATCCTGCAGAGTGTTTTCCAACTTGGTTCCATTTTCCCCATCACTTTCAGGTACACCAATCAGATGTAGATTTGGTCTTTTCACATAGTTCCATATTTCTTGGAGGCTTTGTTCATTTCTTTTTACTCTTTTTTCTCTAAACTTCTCTTCTCACTTCATTTCATTCATTTGATCTTCAATCACTGATACCCTTTCTTCCACTTGATCGATTCGGCTACTGAAGCTTGTGCATGCATCACCTAGCTCTCATGCCATGGTTTTCAGCTCCATCAGGTCATTTAAGGACTTCTCTACACTGGTTATCCTAGTTAGCCATTCGTCTAATCTTTTTTCAAGGTTTTTATCTTCTTTGTGATGGGTTTGAACATCCTCCTTTAGCTCAGAGAATTTTGTTATTACCGATTGTCTGAAGCCTTCTTCTCTCAACTCATCAAAGTCATTCTCCGTCCAGCTTTGTTCTGTTGCTGGCAAGGAACTGTGTTCCTTTGGAGGAGAAGAGGCGCTCTGATTTTTAGAATTCTCACCTTTTCTGCTCTGGTTTCTCCCCATCTTTGTGGTTTTATCTACCTTTGGTCTTTGATGATGGTGACATACAGATGGGGTTTTGGTGTGGATGTCCTTTCTGTTTGTTAATTTTCCTTCTAACAGTCAGGACCCTCGGCTCCAGTCTGCAGCTCCCAGTGTGAGCAATGCAGAAGATGGGTGATTCCTGCATTTCCAACTGAGGTACTGGGTTGATCTCACTGGTGCTTGTCAGACAGTGAGTGCAGCCCACGGAGCAGGGCAGGGCATCACCTCACCCAGAAAGTGCAAGGGGTTGGGGAATTCCCTTTGCTAACAAAGGGAAGCTGAGACAGACGGTACCTGGAAAATTGGGACACTCCCACCCTAATACTGCTCTTTTCCAACAGCCTTAGCAAATGGCACACCAGCAGATTATATCCTGCACCTGGCTTGGAGGGTCCCCTGCCCACAGATCCTTGCTCACTGCTAGCACAGCAGTCTGACATCAAAGTGCAAGGCAGCAGTGAGGCTGGGAGAGGGGTGTCTGCCATTGCTGAGGCTTGAGTAGGTAAACAAAGCTTCCAGGAAGCTCGAACTGGGTGGAGCCCACAGCAGCTCAAGGAGGCCTGCCTGCCTCTGTAGACTCCACCTCTGGGGGCAGGGCATAGCTGAACAAAAGACAGCAGAAACTTCTGCAGACTTAAACATCCCTGTCTGACAGCTTTGAAGAGAATAGTGGTTCTCCCAGCATGGAGTTAGAGATCTGAGAACGGACAGACTGCCTTCTCAAGTGGGTCCCTGACCCCCAAGTAGCCTAACTGGGAGACACCTCTAAGTAGGGGCTGACTGAGACAGCCAGGTGCCCCTCTGAGACAAAGCTTCCAGAGGAAGGATCAGGCAGCAACATCTGCCATTCTGCAGTATTTGTTGTTCTGTAGCCTCCACTTGTGATATCCAGGCAAACAGGATCTGGAGTGGACCTCCAGCAAACTCCAATTTCAATTTTCTTAAATGTATTGAGGCTTATTTTATGGCCTATCACATGGTTTAACTTGAAGAAAATTCCATGCACTGTTGAATAAAATGTGCATTCTGCAGTTGTTGGATGAAATGTTCTATCTATCTATCTATCTATCTATCTATCTATCTATCTATCTATCTATTAAGTCCATTTGTTCCAAGGTGTAGTTTAAATCCATGGCTTCCTTGGTGACTATCTGTCTTGATGATCTGTCTAGTGCTGTCAGTGGAGTATTGAAGTCCCCCACTATGATTGTGTTGCTCTCTATCTCATTGCTTAGGTCTATTAATAATTGTTTTATAAATTTAGGAGCTCCAGTGTTAAGTGCATATATGTTTAAAATTGTGATATTTTCCTGCTGGTCAAGGCCTTTTGCCATTATATAATGATCCTCTTTGTCCCTTTTAACTTCTCATACTTTAAAGTTTGTTTTGTCTGATATAAGAATAGCTACCCCTGCTTGCTTTTGGTGTCCATTTGCATGAAATGTCTTTTTCTACCACTTTACTTGAAGTTTATATGAGTCCTTATGTGTTAGGTGAGTCTCTTGAAGGCAGGAGATGGTTGGTGAGTTCTTATCCATTCTGAGGTTCTGTATCTTTTAATTGGAGCATTTAGGCCAATTACAGTCAATGTTAGTTTTGAAATGTGAGGTACCATTGCATTCATCATGCTCTTTGTTGCCTGTGTACTTTGGTTATTTTTGTTTTTTTTGTTTTTGCTTTTAAACTTGTATTTTTGTTTTATAGGTTCTGTCTGACTTATGCTTTAAAGATGTTCTGTTTGATGTGATTCCAGGATTTGTTTCAAGATTTACAGCTCCTTTTAGCAGTTCTTACAGTGGCTTGGTAATGGCAAATTCTCAGCATTTGTTTGTCTGAAAATGGCTGAATTTTTCCTTCATATATGATGCTTAGTTTTGCTGGCTACAAAATTGTTGGCTGGTACTTGTTTTGTTTGAGGAAGCTGAAGATAGGGCCCCATCCATTCTAGCTTGTAGGGTTTCTGCTGAAAAATCTGCTGTTAACCTGATAGGTTTTACTTTATAGGTTACCTGGTTTTTCTGTCTCACAGCTCTTAAGATTCTTTCCTTCATCTTAACTTTGGATAACCTGATGACAATGTGTGTAGGTGAAAATCTTTTTGCACTGAATTTCCTGGGTGTTCTTTATGCTTCTTGTATTTGCATGTCTAGGTCTCTAGCAAGGCCAGGGAAGTCTTCCTCAATTATTCCCCCAAACATGTTTTCCAAGCTTTTAGAATTGTCTTCCTCCTCAGGAACACTGATTATTCTTAAGTTTGGTTGTTTAACATAATCCCAGACTTCTTGGAGACTTTGTTCATATTTTCTTATTCTTTTTTTCTTTGTCTTTGTTGGATTGGGTTACTTCAAATACCTTGTCTTTGAGCTCTGAATTTCTTTCTTCTACTTGTTCAGTTCTATTGCTGAGACTCTCCAGAGGATTTCACATTTCTTAAAGTCTGCCAAAAGTTTCCTGAATTTTTGATTGTTTTTTCTTTAAGCTGTCTATTTCCTTGAATATTTCTCCTTCAATTCTTGTATCATATTTTTGGATTTCCTTGCATTGGGCTTCACCTTTCTCTGGTGCCTCCTTGATTAGTTTAATAATTAACCTCCTGAATTCTTTTTCAGGTAAATCAGGAATTTCTTATTGGTTTGGACCCATTGCTGGTGAGCTAGTGTGATTTTTTGGGGGTGTTGAAGAGCCTAGTTTTGTCATATTACCAGGGTTTGTTTTCTGGTTCCTTCTCATTTGTGTAGGCTATGTCAGAGGGAAGGTCTAGGGCCAAAGGTTGCTGTTCAGATTTTTTTGTCCTACAGGGTGTTCTCATGATGTAGTACTCTCCCCCTTTTCCTGTGGATGTGATTTCATGTGAGCCCAACTGCAATGATTGTTAACTCTCTTCTGGGTCTAGCCAGCCAGTGAGTCTACCCAGCTCCGGGCTGGTACTGGGGGTTGTCTGCAGAGTCCTGTGATGTGAACCATCTATGAGTCTCTCAGCTGTGGATACCAGTGCCTGTTCCATTGGAGGTGGCAGAGGTGCATTGGACTCTGTGAGGGTCCTAGCTTTGGTGGTTTAATGATCATTTTTGTGCTGCTTGGCCTGTTGCCAGGAGATGGCACTTTCCAGAAAGCATCAGCTGTAGTAGTGTGAAGAGATACCCACAGTGGATGGGACCCCAGAACTCCCAAGATTAAATGTCCTTTGTCTTCTGCTACCAGAGTGGATAGGGAAGGCCCATCAGGTGGGGGTAGTATAGGTGTGTGCGAGCTCAGCATCTCCTTGGGCGGGTCTTGCTGCAGCTGCTGTTGGAGATGGGAGTGAGACTCCCAGGTCACTGGAGTTGTGTACCTAGCAAGAGGTGACAACGTGCCAGCAGCCCTCACTTGCTCTCGGCACCTCCTCGGCCTTGGCGTCTGCTCTGGCCAAGCTCGAGGAGCCCTTTGGCCCACCACTGTGCTGTGGGGGCCCCCTCTCTGGGGCTGGCTGAGGCCAGAGCTGGCTCCCTCTGCTCACACAGAGGTGTGGAGGGAGAGGAGCAGGCTGGAGCGAGGGCTGCTTGTGGTGCTTGTGGGCCGGCACGGGTTCCCAGTGGGCGTGGACTCCACGGGTGCAGCTGGTCAGAGCCTGCTGGGCTTGATCAGGGAACGAGCTCCCTCTGGGCTGCCAGAGTGCCCGGGCTAGGTGCTGCAAAGTCCCACAGTGAGTGCCATTGAGAGGTGAAGCTGGCTGGGCTTCTGGGTCAGGTGGGGACCTGGAGAACTTTTCTGTCTAGCTAAAGGTTTGTAAATGCACCAATCAGCACTGTGTATCTAGCTAAAGGTTTGTAAATGCACCAATCAGCACTCTGTGTCTAGCTAAAGGTTTGTAAACGCACCAGTCAGCACTCTGTGTCTAGCTAATTTGGTAGGGGACTTGGAGAACTTTTGTGTCTAGCTAAAGGATTGTAAATGCACCAATCAGCGCTCTGTGTCTAGCTAAAGGTTTGTAAATGCACCAATCAGTACTCTGTCAAAATGGACCAATCAGCAGGATGTGGTGTGTGTGTGTGTGTGTGTGTGTGTGTGTATTTGTATTAATATAAACTCTGGATGAATGTTTACCGAAATATTCAGTGATAATTTATACATGGTAGAATTAGAAATAATTTCCAAATTATTTTGCCATCTTTGTGCATTTCTTATTTTAAAATAATAAATGTGATACTTACATAGTCAGAAAAAGAAAAAAAAAAAAGAAATAAAAGCAGGCCATCCGAGCCAGCTGGGGTCCCCTTCCACGCTGTGGAAGCTTTGTTCTTTCACTCTTCACAATAAATCTTGCTGCTGCTCAATCTTTGGGTCTGCGCCGTCTTTAAGAGCTGTAACACTCACTGCAAAGGTCTGTAGCTTCACTCCTGAAGCCAGTGAGACCATGAACCCACCGGAAGGAACTAACAACTCCAAACGCGCTGCCTTGAAGAACAGTAACACTCACCGCGAAGGTCTGCAGTTTCATTCCTGAAGTCAGTGAGACCACGAACCCACCAGAAGGAAGAAACTCCAGACACGTCCGAACATCAGAAGGAACAAACTCCGGACACACCATCTTTAAGAACTGTAACACTCACCGTGAGGGTCCGCGGCTTCATCCTTGAAGACAGCGAGACCAAGAACCCACCAATTCCGGACACACTAGGAGAAGTACGGCTGCCTCTGCTGAGTCATGTAGGTTGTCAGGTAAGTAGGGGAAAGCCAGCAGTCACAGGCCTCACCTAGTTCACATGCTAGCTGAAGGGCCAGTCTCACTCCCACCGTGTCCCCCTCAACAACCTGGAGTCTGTTTCCAGGTGGAGGGTGAGCCCTGCTTGAAAACTTGCCTGAGGCTTTCCACCTCCCGGCTGCCAAAGAAAAGGGCTTTAGTTTTCCCCCCTGCCTGTGAGGTCTGCATGCTGGATTCACACCCTCCTTGAAGTACTGGCCAGGAGGCTTCATGCCCCGTTCAAATTGTTACAGAGTTTAGCTAGAGAATTCCTTCTGCCTGTGGTATTTTACCCCCTACTTCTCTGGCCAACCTCCCAGTGGATCCCTGTGGTGCCAGGCAGGTATGGGCTGCTTGGGGGACCCAGCGAGCTCCCAGGGTCTTTCCGCTACTTCCCCTACCCCTGTATTTCACTTGGCTCAGCTCTCTAACTTGACTCAGCTCCAGGTAAAGTCAGAAACAGCTTCTCCAGTGGGGTGTGTGTTTGGAAGAGAAGGGTCTCCCTTTCCAATTTCTGCAGTTGGGACACCCACAGTATCTGTGGTGTCTCCTTGGTCCTGCAGAAACAGTCTGCTTCCGGCAGAGGATCTGTGGGTCCTCTCAGGATTACCGGTTTGCTCTTGCAGTCGATCTGGAGCTAAAATTCAATGTGCAAGCCTCTGTCTCCTGCTCTGTCTGGAACTGCAATCTAGTCCTGCCTCCTATCTGCCATGATGCCTCAGTCATCACAAATGATATTTTAATAACATTATGACTAAGCATGCATACCCTGTAGTCAGATAGTATACATTTAAGTACTGGTTGTGACATTAAGTCTCTGAGTGTTACTGGGCAAGTTACATAAGCTTTCTATGCCTTGGCATTTTCATCTGAAAATGGGAACAAAATAGTATTACCTACCTCAAAAGGTTGTTGTAAGAATTAAATTAATCTACATAAAATACTTAGAATAGCACATGGCACATTGTAAGAGTACCATAAATGTGAAATTACAAAAAAACTGAAAATGCAATGAGATAAAAATTTATATTGAAGTAATGTGTGTAAAATTAATCACAAGAAGAGAGAATCATTCACAAGAATGTAAAATTTGAGAAGCCATTTGAGAATGTATTGTATGGTGGGCTGTTTGCCATATGGCCCTCAAAATTCTCCCACTATGACCCTAGGCTTGGCCAGGTAACTTGTTTGATCTAATAGAACTCTACAGAAGTAAAATATGACTTCAAGGCATAATCCTTAAGAAACCTTGCAGGTATTATCCTCACTTTTTTGGGACAGTGCCAGGGTGCAGCTAGATGGAGTTTCTTTACATGAGAGTCTAAGAACATTGTTTCAAGAGAGTGACGGCAAGAGTCGATATCCAAAACTTAAGTGAAGCCACCTTAGACAATCTGTCTGAGTGGAGTGTGTTAGGGTTCTCCAGAGAAAGAGAACCAACAGGATGTGTGTGAGAGTGTGTATATATGTATGTGTGTAGAGAGACAGATATGTACATTTATTTTAAGGAAATGCTTCATACAGTCGTGGAAGCTTGGTAAGTCCAAAATATGCAAGGTAGGCCAGCAGGCTTGAGACTCAGGGAAGAGTTGCAATTTGAGTCCAAAAGCAGTCTGCTGGCAGAATTCCTTCTTACTTAGGTCTGATGTCAATTATTGTCTATTAAGGCCTTCAACTAACTGGATGAGGCCCACCCGCATTGTGAAGAATAATCCAGTAAAATATTATCTCATTCCCAAAACACATAGACAGAAATATTTAGAATGACGTTTGACCAAATATCTGGGGACTATCATCCAGCCAAGTCGATACAAAAATTAACCATCACATAGAACCACCAGGATGACTTTTGCTGCATGAGGTATATACAGGGAAATCAGTAGAACTGTCCAACTGAGCCCAGCACAAACTTCTCACCCAAAAAATTGGTAGCAAATAAAATGATTGTTGGTTGAAGCTACTAAATTTGAAGTGACTTTTTTCACAGCAATACACAACTGATACACATAGGAAAAATAACTCAGAAATTAAAATGAAAAGAAAACATTTGACATGAATTTTTCAAAATGCTTTTTAAACATTGATAAAAATTATTATCATACATGGTATGAAATATGGTTGTTTTACAAAGAAGTTTATTGGTTAACCTTGAAGTTGATGATACTTTATTCAGTATTTCTCATTAATTATAAGTGGTGAAAATTGTTGTCATTGAATTGGGTAAAATGAGTCATTTCCAAGAAAAGCTTCACCAATTTAAAATATTTTCTTGTTATAGAGTTAGTCCCATGAAGCCTGTTAGTCTTCATGGGAGGGTGAGTAGAATAACAGTAATCTTTTACACCTAGAAATATATTGGAATCATAGGGAGTCTTCAGGCCTACTGTGTCCAGTGTTCATTATAAATTTTTCTTATTTCGAGTCTCTCTTTTGTCTAGTTGGGAATCATGCTGTTCAATATTTTCAGTTACTGGCTTTGCTCATTCTGTCCTAGATAGAAATTTAACCACCTGTAGCAAGTAAAAATCTTGGACAAGCAAAAAAACTTTTATATTACAGTTAATATATTTGATATAAATTTTACAGTACAGAGAACCAAACAGAAAAGAAGCTTTTTTAAAAAAAAATTAGTTATCAATTATTTGGCTTAAAAGGAATGTGTGTGTGTGTGTGTGTGTGTGTGTGTGTATTTGTGACTGGGATTATAAAAAGATAATAGAGTATGATCAAATAGATTTGAGTGAAAACTACAGGAATTAAAAATATTAATTAACACCCATGCTGTGTTCCAAGTGTGAAGGCAAAAGATATATTACTGCAAGTGTAAAGACTCAGAAAAGTTTCTATTTGAGGGCTCATGTTGAAATATTTGCATGAAGACTCATTTTATTTAGCTGAGAAGTTAATTACATTAGCTATTCAAAATGGAGAAATCATTGTATGAAACACACACATTACTTCTCTTTTATCAAGATTGAACTTGCACTCCATGAATTGATGAATATTTGTAGTCAGATGTATGCAATCCAAGCTGACTTGAACTTAAAGACTTGCTTGGGGCCTCCACTGTTCTTCTTTATTTCCTCTTCAATGTTATCATACAAAGTGTGTCTCTGCCGGACTATGCCATACTTATCAGCTGTATGAAATTTATTTCCACATTTCCATAAGTTTGCTTATCAGCAAAAACAACAAGTGGTGATGTTCTATCTCAGTACTTAGTTATTACTAAATATGACATATTTGGGATGCTATGCCAAAAAACATACTAAGTTATTTTTTGCTACTTCAAAATATTTGCACAAAGAAACAGCAGTAATTTTATTCCCCAAGGATGGTGCATAATGAAGGTGTGCAACTCTAAAAAAGTTATTTCATTATCTAAATTACTATCTTCTTTATTTATGGCAAAGATCAATCAAACCACCCACTTTCATCATCATGAATCAGGAAAATATATATATATAAATAAAAATAAAGACATTTTAATTTTTAAAACTTTTTTCATAATAATATAATAATTGTTTGTTTCATAAGTTTGAGGGATATTAATTGCTCATACTTATTCATAACAATCTCAAGATTACTAATTATTGTCAATCTTATTTTAGATATATCCTGGCATACTTGGTTAGTTGGGGTAGGGGCAGAGACCATGATAGTAAATGCAAAATTCAGGGCAAATAGTTGCTAGGGAACCAACAGAAGGTTACACCTTTGACAAAAGGTTAATCTGCTTCACAGTGTAGTGGGTGGAAAATGTTAAGTATAAACAACTTTACATAATCTTTTTTCCATTTAAGATCATATTACTCATTATATTATGCTTATCCACCTAGGATTTATTTACATTCGGCTTCTTCCTAATGTCAAATGAGTGCTGTTAAAGTTCCTCCAGGAAACTTCAGGTAAGAAACTAGAAAACTTCATGATAATCAATATAAAATGTATATTTTAATTTATTTTCCATTCTCTTCTTAAAGAAATATCAATCTTTAAAACGCTGGTTTACCTTTTGGTTTGTTTCATTGCTTACCCATGAAAGCATTATTAGTTCTACTTTATAATTTGATGGATTTTTCTCCCAGATTTTATACTTCAAAATAATTTTACAGATATCGAGGGAACTGTGTGGACAGAGCAGTAAGTTGAGAGTTTTGTCTAAGTGTGAACTCAAAGTCCTCTTTAGGGATTCTTCTCATGCCTTTTGTTCCTACCAGTGGAGAGTTGTTTGTTCCTTCATTAGATGACACATAAAGTGACAAATAAGAAACTTTATACTGATATATGGTGAAGACAAGAATAATGTACACAAGTGACCACTGTGGTCCTTAAGACAACACATGAATGAGAGGATGTGAGATGTCATCTTTAGTGGGTATTTTATTTTCTTAATATTGTTTAATGGATTTTTAAATATTTATTTTAAAATCTATTTACTTTAAATATAAGTCAAATGTTTTATGCTATAAATCAAATAAGTTTTATGCAAAATCAATTTTATTTATTAAAAAAAGAAAATAATGGCCAGGCGCGGTGGCTCACCCCTGTAATCCCAGCACTTTGGGAGGCCGAGGAGGGTGGATCACCTCTGGTCAGAAGTTCAAGACCAGGTGAAACCCCGTCTCTACTAAATATACAAAAATTAGACAGGTGTGGTGGTGGTCGCCTATAATCCCAGCTACTCGGGAGGCTGAGGCAGGAGAATAGCTTGAACCCGGGAAATGGAGGTTGCAGTGACCCGAGATTATGCCCTTGCACTCCAGCTTGGACAACAAGAGCAAAACTTGGTCTCAAAAAAAAAAAAAAAAAAGGACATAAAGTTTTTCTAAAGAAAATGCTGTTGTAAAAGCAATAACCAATTGTGTTAATGTGAATGCCATGCTAACTCCTTTTGTATGCAGTTGTTAACCAGTAGAAGGCATCTGAGTTATCAGTGGCGAATCCTTACAGGTCTGAAGCAACTTCAATTCTTGCCTCCTCAGAAGTAAGAATTTGACTGGGGGGCATCAGGCAGATGAGACTGACGGGAGTTTCAGAGCAGGAGCGGAAGTTTATTTTAAAGGCTTTAGAACAGGAAAGAAAGGAAAACGTACTTGGAAGAGACTCAAGTGGGCACCTGAAGTGCCCCGTTTAACCTCGATCCTAGGACTTTATAGGCTCGCCTCTTTTCCATGATTCTTCCCTTAGGGTGGGCTGCCCACATGTGCAGTGCCCTTCTTACCCTTGGGAAATGAGCATGCACAGTCTGTTTAGGAAGTTGTATATATGCTCATCTGAGGCTTTCTTCCCTTTTTTGGTAAAGTGTCCTTGGATGGTCACACTTCAACATTTTGTCTCTTAATGCACGTGCCCAGGCAGTCGCTCCTCTCTGGCATCTGCATTCAATTAACACTTTAATGTTAACAGCTGTGGATCATAAAGAGCTTGTCTCTCCCTGGCACTACTGGCTGCAAAATTCTCATTTTTAGAGAGGCAGTGTGATAATCATGGAACTGTCACCTGACATTCCTAATGCCTATCTAATTACCTGTAACACAATTAAGCAAAGTATATATTTTATTATCATTCTCTAAGATGAAAATATTTGAGTATGCTAGCTTCTTCTGAAATACGTTAGTTTTTTTCTCTGAATTCATGAGCTTTCACAAATATAGTAATCATATTACACAGTTTATTTTTATTTTTAATTTTATGTGCACATAGTATATATAGGTATATATTTATGACATATTTGTGATGTTTTGATACAGGCATACAATGTGTTTCTTTCAAAATTTTTCTGGCAAGGGCAGATTAGCTTTTCAGTGATTTTAAGATCAGAGTAATTACAAACACAAATTCAGACCCACATTTTAGGCCAAATCTTTTTACTTAACAACCTCTTTAAGCCTTTTGTTGTGAATATAACTTCATTTAGTTTTCTATTAAATTCGAAAATACAAATCAATCTAAAATTTAACCTCACTAGTGTGAGAAATTTTTTAATACTGATCATATTTCTGAGGTATTTATGCTGTATCAGCACATCACATGTATCACATGAATTTATGCGTCTATTATGTACTCCACAAAAATTAAAATAGAAAACATTTAAAAACACTAAAGTTCATTAGTGGCATAACAGCAATTGCCTTTTTGCGCACTGCTTGTCATGCACATCCAGGTAGCCTATACTTCAGCATGAATATCAAATATCATACCTTTCATGAAGACTTTCCTATCCTCCACCCTACCGTTAATCCCCCCAAAAAGCTGGAAGTAATCTCTACAGATCTCTGAAAACACTTTACCTATGTCATTTCATCTGAAGGCCCTTGTTAATTTCTCTAGGGAAGAGAAAGAGAAGGGATTACATGAAAAAGATAGTATATTTTTAAACGTCACTTTTACTCCAGGTAATATACTTGTTGCTTAATAAATACAATTGTATCTATTTAAATATATAGTTTTCTTATATGTGGTATGTATTATTACATAATAATTTATGGTATTTTTTGTATATTCATTTTTAATTTATTAACAGATATGTTGTTTATTTTATTTTATTACTTTATATTCTCAAACTCAAGTTGTTTTTAATTTTCATTTTATATATGAGAAAATTGAGTCTAATAAATATTAAGCAGCATAATGTGAAGCTAGGATTCTTTGGCCTAATTTATTCTAAAATCTAAATTATGTTTTTAATATCTTGCTGACTATAATGTACTACAGTGATTTTTGTCACAGATATGTATGTATTTTTCTTATCTTCCACTGATAGACTATAAAATTAATATGAGAAAGATCTCCTGGATTCCTCTTCTACCTAGTAGGTACTGCTGTGTGTGAATAGTAGGTACCCAATAAACACATAGTGAAGCAGCCCAGGGTCACTGGAGCAGTCTCCCTATCTGAGGTATTACTCAAGAGTTCTTTGTCTTAGGACCAAGAAAATTAATGAGCGTGGACATCAAAGGTGAGGTTGGAGTGAAAGTTTAATAAGTGAAAGGGGAAAGTTTTCCACAGCAGAGAGGGGGCCCAAGAGGATTGCCATTTCTCAGTTGAATACAAAGGCTTTTATAAACAAGCCAGTGGGGTGGGGTGTTTAATTTTCATATGGCACACAAAAAAAGATTTTTATTTGCAAAGGTGTGAATTTCTCACAACTCCACCCACTCCCTCTCATGCACATGCAGGCCCTTAACCTGAGTTACTCCTTATTACCCTGTTTCCTTACTGCGCATGTGTCAGGAGATGGACTTTTCCATTACAGACATGTCTGGTTCTGTGTAACTAATCTTATCTGTGCACCTCCAGGCATGTTGTAGGCAAGCCCCACTGTGTAAGTTATTTTATCTGATTATGTCCAAAAAAGGAAAGAAACATGCTCACTGAAGCCCACAGCATGTATATGTATATGTATATGTCTTTTGCTGGTTACAAAAGACAAGGGTGTTTTAGGGTCGACCTTGCCTGTTTATCTGTGCTTGAAGGTTGTGCAGCTTCAGGCTGCCCTTTTGTTAAAAAGAATTTTACCAACGGACCTTGTTCTAACTATCTGCCTAACTGGTTTCTTGCTTTCTCCTCTCTCAATAGCACCTGAATAAAATACTATATTTTAGTTGTCTAAAACTGGACCTGATTCCCTGCCAATAAATAAATAGAAGAAAATAACATCAGTGAATCATGACATCCTAGTGAATCATGACAATTATTTTAAAGTTTCTTGCCAAGTCACTATGAACCAGACTGACACCAGAAAGGCAAAAATTTTGTGCACACCATAACATCTTCTGCAGAGAAACTTCAATGGAAATACACTCAAGGAATTTTATGATTACTCTGTTAAACTTTGAACAGTACTTTATAAAAGTAATTGTTTTAATGAAACAGTTGATGTTTCCATACAGATTATCTTTGGTGATGGGAGAGCTTAGAAGAGACATTTTTATGATATTACTAAAAATATAGAATTTATAATTTCAGAAGATTTATTAACATGAAAAGGATCACTCTGCTTATTCACAGACATATGCATACAAACATAATATTTTCACAGAGATCGCTTTACTTGAATTACTTGATCCGATATTATCCAATGTGCGTTACACAATTTTGTATTGTGTTAGCATGCTTTTGGCAGGCTGCTATTCATATGGATTCCTTAGTTGGTAAGGGGACGTGATACATTTTGATGTGGCAATCTATCCCAGTGGTTAATACAATAGGCTGTGGGAGTCAGAGATCCTTAAGACTGCTACCAGCAGTTCCTATCTTTTATTTATTCTTATTTTTATAGATTTAGGGGTTCAAGTGCAGTTGTCCTGTTTGGGTACATTGTGTAGTGGTGAAATCTGAGGTTTTAGTATACCCATCACTCAAGTAGTGTACACTGTATTTCCATTGTACCCAATAAGTAATATTTTCTTATTTTGCTGTAGGAACATGGCAAATTATTCAATCTCTTTGGGCAGTGGTTTCTTTTTCTTTGATGTGGGAGTAATTATAAAAGATCCATAATTGGATAATTTTTAAAATAAGGAAGAAATGAAATTAACGTGTTAAAGAGTTTGCGTAATGTCTGACATAACAAGGACTTAATAAACGCTAGCAGTTGTTGAAGGCTGAATCTAGATGTCAAGTAGCTGTTTTTCATGCAGGCTAGATAGTTTTTGAACAGCACTTTTGGTAGATGTATGCTTGACTTAGTAATTCTCTTAAATAGCTCCTATTCACTACTAGCATTACCTATAATCTCTTGCACATATTTTATTTTATTCATTTATTTATAATATTTTCTTGAGGATTAACAAACTATTTTTGTAAACATATTACTAAAGTAGTAATATAATACTATATGTGTTATACATATTATTTATAAGTATTATTTGAATTTATAAATATTTGAATTTATAAATATTTATAGTAATATATTTATACATATTATTTGACAATCTTATATATTGTAACTGTTATTATAATGTTTAATTGTGATAAATGGAATTATATTCATGCATTAAAAATTTAAAAACTTACAGCATTAACATCTTTAAATTTCTGAATGAGTTTTGGTCCTATCTGAGGTTTCAATACCTAGGCCTGAATGTAGAGTTGAGATGTACAGAAGCTTTATCCAATTTAATAGTAAAAATGTAACAATTATGAAACACACAAAAAAGGGTTGGAGTATCAAGTTCAAAAGGAGGATTAGACAGCAGGAATCATAACTAAAACACTAAAATTAAAACAACAGATTTGAGAAGTAAGACACATTACCCATAAATCTGTAAATATCCTAAAATATGGAGCTACTATGACTAGTATCACTTTCTAGAAAGAAGGCTTTTAAGGATATTAATGGTTTGCCTCAAAATTGAGAAATAATTTTGTCTTTCCTTTTTTTCTTTAAAAGCAGAGAAAAACATTTGCTTCACATCTCATCAAATCTTCTGCATCAAGCCACATCATGTTAAACAACCTTCTGCTGTTCTCCCTTCAGATAAGTCTCATAGGAACCACTCTTGGTGGGAATGTTTTGATTTGGCCAATGGAAGGTAGTCATTGGCTAAATGTTAAGATAATTATAGATGAGCTCATTAAAAAGGAGCATAATGTGACTGTCCTAGTTGCCTCTGGTGCACTTTTCATCACACCAACCTCTAACCCATCTCTGACATTTGAAATATATAAGGTGCCCTTTGGCAAAGAAAGAATAGAAGGAGTAATTAAGGACTTCGTTTTGACATGGCTGGAAAATAGACCATCTCCTTCAACCATTTGGAGATTCTATCAGGAGATGGCCAAAGTAATCAAGGACTTCCACATGGTGTCTCAGGAGATCTGTGATGGCGTTCTTAAAAACCAACAGCTGATGGCAAAGCTAAAGAAAAGCAAGTTTGAAGTCCTGGTGTCTGATCCAGTATTTCCTTGTGGCGATATAGTAGCTTTAAAACTTGGAATTCCATTTATGTACTCCTTGAGGTTTTCTCCAGCCTCAACAGTGGAAAAGCACTGTGGGAAGGTACCATACCCTCCTTCCTATGTTCCTGCTGTTTTATCAGAACTCACCGACCAAATGTCTTTCACTGACAGAATAAGAAATTTCATCTCCTACCACCTACAGGACTACATGTTTGAAACTCTTTGGAAATCATGGGATTCATACTATAGTAAAGCTTTAGGTATGTAACAAATTTTGTTTTTATTACTTGAATTTGAACAAACAGACCTTTGTAGAGCCTCTTCTTTATTTCCCTATGTCTATTCTTTTTTAATTCCAAGTATTGATGTACTATATATTACTATCACTTGATAGCAGAAAAGAAGATAAAAGACATTGTACTTCAGAAGTACAGTGTGTTGTTTTCTAATTGCATGGACTTAAATATATCAATTCAGTTCTTTTATGGATAAAATATAGTGACAAATACTTCAATTTAAAAGTTGGGCTGGATCTCATGTAGATAATTATGCTCAAAATAGAAATTGCCTAGAAACTGCAGTGATGTGTGGAGAAAGCCGGAAAATGTTAAACTTTCCACAAGCTTATTATTAATACAGACATTAATATGCACGTTTAAGAACATACATATATGTGGATAATCTCTGATCATCACTTAATAAATATTAAGGCTCATAAAGAAACAAAATACATTAAGGCTTTATCACCTTTAATTGTAAGGTGTGAACTACAACCATTGATCAGGGTGATTTATCCATGCTAAGCTTATTTAATTTGCTTAAGTGTGATATGGTGTTTACCTGATGAATACAATATAATCAATGGTACTAGAATAAAAGCCTATATTGATCATGTTGATACATTTATACACATATTTGTCTAAAAATCAAACAGGCCTTGCCCATTTTTTATGCTTTTGAATTTTATCATTTATTCTTCATTAATTATAGATTTCTTACTCTTTACTAAGCACTCTTTTAGATAGGAAGACTAAAATAAAGTCCATGGATTCAAGGATTTCACAAACAGATAAATCAGACATTAAAAGGAATATTTATTATGTGAATTATGTAAATATGGAAATATATACAAAATACAAAATGTAGAGGAGTTAGGTATTATGCGACAGACAGAGTGAGTTATTCTGAAAAACTTCAGAGTTCAGATAATGCATAAGGATATTTTAAAATACTGAATGTGAGTTTTTCTGCAAGGTAAGAATGGGGAAGGAAAAGTGTGCTCAAAGTTGAAGACAAAACAGCACAGGTGCGATGGATATTTCTGATAATTTAGTATTTCTGAAGGTTCAAGTGTAAGGTAGGGAGACATGGAGGAAGATGCTAATGACGTCGGAACCGCAAGAATGAGTGAATTAATTCAATGAATATTTCAAAGTCTCCTGTATGTCATTCTAAAAACATTTTAATCTAATAAGCAATTCAGGACCATCTAAAGGGAAATATTATGACCTGATTTTCATTTTACGTAAAACACTTGGACAGATGTGGCAGTAGAGTTGAGAGGTGTGAGACTAGACTAATGTATCACTCTAGGAAAGATGTGGTAGGAGCCTGCCCTACAGAAGTAGCTGATAAATGGAGGAAAATAATGCAGTATGAGACTACCTAGCAACACAATTGGGAGAGCAGGTGCTTACAGGCAACATCCACATAGCAGTCTGTGGCTGGGAAAAGTAATTCAGTCTCCTTGCACCTGAACTTCATTTATCTCATCTCTGACAGGGCTACTAAAAGGACTAAATTAGTTTACATCTGAAAGGATTTTAGAATAGTGTGGCCCAATCAACCCTGATAGCGAATATGGGAGAGTAAAAATTAATATTGCATTGAATTTTGGACATGCTGTGTATGTGATACTTTTGGGAATATTTGGCGAAATCCAGTAAGCAGCTGGATATACGGGATGAGATCTCAGAGGTAATCTCATGGGTTATTAACATTGACACATTAATTTGTGTGCATTCGTTACTGATAACAAAGTAATAATGCACAGACTGCAGAGACTGTAATGTTTGCTAAGCAGAGCTTGTAAGGCCTAGAGATGTTTACTAGCTAATGAATGAACATCCTAAATGCTATTAAAAATAATTTAAAGATGACGAAGTGCACTGTGTAAAACAGTGGGTTGCGTGAATGTTGGCAAAAGAAAAAGTGAGATTTCTGTGTAGTGATACCTACTGACACATTAGCTTCTTTTCTACAGATCTCTGTTCTAAAACAACTGTAAAGTTGATATGTATCAATCAAAATAAATATGCATAGGTTAGTATGTGAATGAGGATGTGAGATACTACAGCCATGTGAATGATTATTATCAAAAGCTGGTAAACCAATTATAATTAGCACTGATAGCAAAAGTCATCACCTCCTCTGGGTATGTTAAGTAATTGGCCCAAAATTCAAAAACAGATCTTTAAATCTTGGGATGTAAAAGAAGAGCTAGCTATTCTGTCATTCAGAGAATACAAGCCTTGCTACAATGATTATAGATAAACCTTCAAGTGTCCTATAAAGATAAAAGTGAATGGGAAACATCTTATGGTTGAAACTAGATCTTAAAAGAAAGCAGAGAAAAAAAATTGAAGTTTTGTGAAGCAATGAAACTGTCAAGATGGCAAAATCTCCTTCATATCCTCAGGTGTATGGTAAACTAAAAGGGACTCTGAATATGTGCAGCATCTCCGTTCATATAAGAGCGGAATGTACATAGACCGTCTCTTGGTCACAATTTGTATTTACATTTTCAATCCTACCACTTCAGTTTTGTCAACTGCTCATCATCAACCTTGGAATTCTAATTTTCATGATTACTATGCTCTTTATTTGTGAAGTTATCCACTAGTTTACTTTACCTAGGCTGGCAGTCTCAGAATCACATGTTCCATTTTATTTTGCCTGTAAGTTAATGCTGGTAATAAAAGCACACTATTCTTTCAGTCTTAAGACATGAGGCTAATCTTTCTTAACAATTTGTTCAGAGGAACATAATAAAGATTTCTAAAGATGTTCTTATCCTCTGATTTTGATATATCATGTTTCTGATCAAATTACCCTCTTCTGACTTAGAATGACTACTTAAGTTTGTCTTTATTAAAACACAATATTCTTACTGATGCCAGGAACATGAACAGTCATATTTAAAAGACCAGGTAAGAAGTAAAGTATTGACATGACAGAGTGACTTATTTTTGTGCAAGTCTTTGTGGATGTAGAATGATAAAGGAGAATGATAAATGGAACTGACTTGTAAAAATAACTCCTTTCCAATTTGTAATTTGAATTGATCTTCTATATTTACTTAAAATTCTTTAATGAAATCATTGCAACAAATTTATATCCACTCAGGCCTCGAACAGCCTCACCTGAGTAAATAAATAGAACAACTCCCTAAGTTTACTTCTCTGCAGTGGAATGCAATAAGAAGGTCAGAGTGAGTCCTTAATCTCTGCTAATTGGTAGAAATTGGGTATTTATAATGTAAAATTACTCATTTTATTTCAGATCATGGGCATTTAGCTCAAACTCATGGATATCATAATAATGATAGCAGTATATATTAATATCTTCCTATGCACTAGCCACTGTGATAAGTGATTTACATATATTTTCTATCAATCCTTGAACTGTTGCAGTTCATTGCAAGAAAAAAGTTGTAACACAGAAAAGAATATTGAGACTTGGAAATATCAAACATGTTAAAATTATGAGAAAATAGTATTCAAATGAAAATCTTTCTCATATCAAAGCTTTGATGTCATATTTCCTTGTTCTAGGAATTGTTTTTCCTTCTTTTTAAATTTCAGGTGCAAATCTATTAACTGTTCAGAATATTTTAGGTTAAATTTTTCTTGAACGCTTTTCTTCTTTTCAATGTGTTTAGCTTTTAAAATCTGCTATTCTATTTCTTGCCTATTTTTGATTTGTCAAATGAATATAATTGGGCCATTGTATCACCAGATAATTTACTATCCATTAAGGAGTAGGTCATCATGTGATTCTGTTGTCTGGGGAGGATTGTCTAGGGATATATTTTTGGCATTAGGAGAGCTTTCTAAGTCACCTCTAACTGAAAGGAAGTAAAGGGTTCCACAGTTTCGAATGTATACCTTCAAAAAATTTTTGAATTTTTATGCATTTCAAAAAATGGAACCAGGTATTTCATTTTTACTTTTATTTAAAAAAAAACACCAAAACTGGGCACATTTAAGGGGAGAAAAATGTAACATTTTTATCATTAAAAATACTTATAATCCATAAGCATTACATATTGTTACCAACAGCACTTTACCCTTTAACCACTGTAAAAACAAGGTTTTTTTGTGAATAATCTCTATATATTAGAGGTATATAATATGTAAAAATACATAACATTATATATGAATAATTAGGTGAATAATCTCTAAGATGAATGCCATCTATAATAACATACTTTAGCAAGTCTAGTAAATAAGAAATCTAGATTTTCAAAAAGAATGATCATAATATCTAGATCTTTGCATGAACTGTGGGCTCACTAAGCATGAGTAATTAATGTAAAATAAAGTGCTAGAAATGAAACACATTCAAGTGTATATCCTTCCATGATTCTTGATTTTCAGTAGTAATTTTAAAGAAGAAAAAATGCACTGGAATCTTTTCCTGTAGAATAATACATTACTACTTAGGTCTTCCTTTTTTTCTTTTTCTCTTTCTTACTAATCATTCCTTTGCTTTCCTCTCTCCTTCCTTCCTTCTTCTTTTTCTGTTTTAATTTACATTGATCTTGATTGGTTAGAATCTTTGAAAAATCTTCTAGTATCATTCCCTTTTCTGCAATGAGCCATAAGCTGAATGACAGCCACCGGCATTACATTGGAGATGTAATTGACATTGGGACATTGGAAATTCTCAGAGATAGTGATCACTCTATCTTTTTCGCTCCCACTCATGAGAGAGTATCAGAACAAAAGGAAATGGAAGTTACAATTTGTGTGGA
The DNA here is from genome assembly GCF_000001405.40 of Homo sapiens. Classification (NCBI taxonomy): domain Eukaryota; kingdom Metazoa; phylum Chordata; class Mammalia; order Primates; family Hominidae; genus Homo; species Homo sapiens. Next base: position 69,642,154 of record NC_000004.12, on the reverse strand, counting down.
TATAATCTTGAGTTTTATATGCATATATTTCTTAAAATAAATAATTTGTAAATTTTGGTACTCTGTGCATTGTTAATAGCCTATCACTTGTGGTCTGCCTAAAGACTGAGAGTGACTGCCTTATGGGGAGACTCTCAGTGTTTGAGAAATTCTGCACCAAACCCTAGATTCCCCAGTCTGTCAGTGTAGGAGGAGGGAAAGAGTAGAGAAGGGTCAAGGTAATGAGATCGGATTAATTTGATCATTTAAAAAATAAGATTCTCTCCCTAAAATATCATAGCTAGCTATTACTTATGGAGCCCAGGTGCTGTTCTGAATCATTTACCTGCATTATGTCACACCATACCCAGAACTATAGGAAATAGGTGCCATTGTTCTCATCATTTGTTAAATGAGGAGGCTAAGTAACTTGCCTAGTTACAATTCAGAAAGTGGTGAATCATTTAATATCAGACTCCACTCTGAGGTAAAAAGCAAAGTGCTAGAATATACTGTTTCTGTTTAGCAAAACAAAGAAAAACTAAAAGTACATCTAAATTTAAGCTTTTAGAGAATTAGGTAAATACAAATCAAGAAACTCAAATAAAACTGAATCACTCATCCCCAAAACAGTATGAAAGCTGGTTTCCAGGCTTTTTTTGGCCTTGGGGAGACAATGAAAAAAGAGCCAGCAGAGTTGAATCCTAGCCATCAGGTGCAATATTCAGGGAGCACTTCGGAAGAGAAGACTTTCAGGCAAGGGCATGTCTTCAGTGGAAAAGAAAATCTTTCATACCAAAATGTTGCTATGAGGATTATCAATTCAGACTAATAGGATTGTATACATTTTACTAAACAAAATGTTGTTTTAAGGATAATCAACTCAAATTAAAAGCGTTATATACATTTTATTGTTCTTCACTAAATTAGGTAAATATTTTATTGCCCTGCAGATATTACGTAAAAGTGGAAGTTGACTAATATCATCATTTTTTCCCTTACTCTGGGTAATTTAGGGATATCTATATGTATTGAGATTTTGGAGCATATTTTGATAAGCTTTTATGTGCTATTGCAGCTACATTTGTGAGTAATCCCTAATTAATTATTATATTTTTCTTACATGTAACTCAATATTTGAACAAATCTAAGTATTTTATAGATAGACTTTTGTTCATGTTTTCTATAATGTTTTGCTTTCTTTACTTTTTATTGAAAGTTTGACAGCAACAGATTTCTTTATGAAGATTTTTAAACCCCTTTTACTGGGCTTATTTTGAAGACCATTAAGATTATTTACACTCTTCTCTGGCTGCCTTGTTTCAAAAATCTAATTAATTTTTAAGGTACTGCCACTATATTCAAATTGAGGCTTATTCTTGAGAGGACACAAATGCAAAAATTCTAAAACCATCACTTCTCTCTCTTGTCTTTCCTGTTCTCTGTCCTCCCAGTTCTTTTGTTACTCAAGGGCCTGAAATTACATAATTTAAGGGCAATTGAGTATAAACTTAAAATCTGTCACTTATTTTCTAATCTTAATTTTTGATTTTTATCCTTTTAATCACTCTATTTGTTCTTATTTCTCTTTTTAATGGTAGCCTGTAATGATTTCAAAACAGCATTGTTACATAATTGCTATTGCTCAGTTTGGGATTCACTAAGAATTGCAACACTATATCCATATCTGATCTCACTATATCCAAGTCTAGCCAGTCATTCTGTAGCTGGCCTACTGATTTCCTAATCAATCTTTGGACAAATTTATTAAACCGCTAACATTACTACGCTCTTACTCTGTACCAAGAAGATTGAAAAGTAGCTTTACAGATACTATTGTTAATCCACAAAGTAATATAACAAATTAATGTCTCACCTCTCATTTTTCTTTGAGAAAACTGAGAATGGGAGGGTCTGAATAATTACCCGGTGTCAGAAATCTTATAAAAGGACAATATTTGAATCTGGGTCTATTGAACTCCAGTGTCTACCTAACTTCTCTGAATAACAAAGTCTGTGATTCTTTGGAGTTCCAGGCCATATCTTCTTGATCTGTGTCATATGGAAGAAACTGAAAAATTCCCTGTAACAAAGGCATAGGAGACAACAATCAGTTGGCTTTATGGAGAAGAAAGCTATTCTATATCAAATGCATAGTATTTTACCCTATAATCCATATAATCTAAAACACCTTGAAATGTTTGAGCAAACTTCCTCTGAAAGTTGTTTATTCAATTTAGTGAAAAATATATTAAAGATGTATTTTATAAATCATAGTTATTATCACAGAATATGTAGATGGTAGGTTTATAACCCCGTGCTTCCTTTTCTTTAAAAAGAACCAGATTTTATTTCTGTTACTGAAATAATGATGTTAGTGCATATAGGAATTTGAATTATATTATTTACCTTTTAATCTAAAGATCAATTGACCTACGACTGAGTGTAACCATCGCACTAAATATTACTTTATTTAAAAATTGACCTAAATATACTTTGAAGATTTTTTTTTCATCTTGAAGGATCTACAGTAGGATGGTTTCCATAAGGGATTTTACCATGCCTAAGAAGTTTGTCCAGATGCTGGTTTTTAATTTGACTCTGACTGAAGTTGTTCTAAGTGGGAATGTGTTAATTTGGCCTACAGATGGTAGCCATTGGTTAAATATTAAGATTATTCTAGAAGAGTTGATTCAAAGAAATCACAATGTGACTGTACTGGCTTCATCAGCAACTCTATTCATCAACTCCAATCCCGATTCTCCTGTGAATTTTGAAGTGATACCTGTTTCCTACAAGAAGAGCAATATAGATTCCTTAATTGAGCATATGATAATGCTGTGGATTGACCATAGACCAACTCCTCTCACAATATGGGCTTTCTACAAAGAACTAGGAAAACTTCTAGACACTTTCTTTCAAATTAACATACAACTCTGTGATGGTGTACTAAAGAACCCAAAGTTGATGGCAAGACTTCAGAAAGGTGGTTTTGATGTGTTGGTAGCAGACCCAGTAACAATCTGTGGTGATCTTGTTGCTCTGAAATTAGGAATTCCATTTATGTACACATTGAGGTTCTCTCCAGCATCAACAGTGGAGAGACACTGTGGGAAAATCCCAGCACCAGTCTCCTATGTACCGGCAGCCTTATCAGAGCTCACTGACCAGATGACCTTTGGTGAAAGGATTAAAAATACCATATCTTATTCTCTGCAAGACTATATATTTCAGTCCTACTGGGGAGAATGGAATTCATACTATAGCAAAATTTTAGGTAAGTCTAAAATTTTCTCTTTTTAATGACTCCACATCCCTTATTTATTCTTATTGTCATATGGCAAACGATTTCCATTCCACTGCATATGCTGAGCTGAAGATAATGGACTTCTTATATCTCTGTACAAACAATTCCCTGATTATTCTCTTTGAATAAATCCTTAACAATGAAATGGTGGTATTAATATGTATGCTATTGTCTCTTAATGCAAACAACTTTGTGTCCATTTAGGTAATAGCTTTTCAATGTATAAATCAATTTCAAAATATAAATGAAAGTGCCCATATTAGGATACATTATAACACTACTGAAAAATACCCTGGCAAATATTTTCGAGGTGATACATGATTTACCATGCCTCCTTTGTCCTTCATTATTTTCTTTGTCTGCAGAAAGCTTTGAAAAGCATAGAATCAGGCAATAGAAAACTGGAGTTTACACTCTACCCTGGTTCTCACTGTCTCTCTATCTTTACACATCTCTGGGTAGTTGGACACCATCTCTCAAATTAATTTCTCTCTATCCTGTGGCCAGCCTCATGTTTCCTTGCATGAAACATTCCTTATGAGAATCAAACACAATAATGTTAACCATCAAGGCCAGTCCTGATTGGTTGTTTATATTACTTATTTTTCCTGGCTTTTATGAGCCTCCCTTTATATTTTTATTTCCTTCTCTCTTGATGATTTTGCCTCCAGATCTCTTAGTACTCGGGACACTAATCAATAGCAGGAATTAACAGATGATGCTACCACTGGTACTTTCTCACAGAGGTAATGTGAAAGACTTTTTTACATACCTTTTGACTTTCTTTCCTTTCTCCCTCACTCCCCTTGGTCGTTCCTTTTTTCCTTCCTTTTTTTCCTTCCTTCTTTCCTTCCTTCCTTCCTTCCTTCCTGCCTGCCTTCCTTCTTGCCTTCCTTTTTTCCTTCCTTTTTTTCCTTCCTTCTTTCCTTCCTTCCTTCCTGCCTGCCTGCCTGCCTGCCTTCCTTCTTGCCTTCCTTCCTTTTTTACTTTTCTTCCTTCATTCTCTCTTGTTTACTTTGTGTAAAAAAAAGTATTTGTTGAATGCCAACCTAGTTCCTACAACTTGTCTAAGTGGTAGGAATACAACAATAAGCAAAACAGATCAAATTCTCTATCTCATGGAACTTACATTCTCATGAGAGGAGACAACCAATAAATAAAATAAATATATAAATTTAGCCTGTGATATATGCTATGTAATAATAAAGTAAGAAGAACAGATAGTTCTTAGAGTGAGTTTGCATATTTAAATAGAGCAGGCAGAGAAAGTATCAAATGAAAGAATGACATCAGGCCAAAGACCTGAGGGAAGTGAAAGTCAGAATCCATAAGATCCCTGGAGGAAAAGCCTTTTAGGAGTAGGTAAGAACAAGTACAAAGACCTGTGGCAAGCCATACACATAAACTAACTTGAATACTCATAAACTAACTTGATCTTACTCTTACCTTTCACAAGGGGTATTTGAATATATCTTTTTTCTTCTCTTGATATTGCAAAACTCTTGCAATAATTTTTTTTATCAAAAAGTTTTCAACTTTTTCTTAGAATTTGTCTAGAGGAAAGATATTAAATATACCACATATAAAACATATGCAAGGTAAATAAAATTTGAGTTTATTTTTGAAGATGCTATAACTAAAATTTTACAAGTATAGTTCTGTATTTTTAAAATTCCTTTAAGGCATAATTTAACCGTAGTTTCTTTTTTTCTGGCTTTCAAATTTTATATGCCTTCAAACCACATTTTTCTTTTAATTTGGGTATAATTCACATGAGTATGTCTCAAGACATTTGAAATGTGTTCTACAATAATTGTAACTACCCAGCTATGTATTGGATAGTGATTATTGCAGCTACTGAATGAGTTAACAATCTATACACCTTAAATAAGAGACATACAAAAAGTAACAAGGTGAAGGGTCCTGAAAAATGCATGTGGCTTCAGGTTCCACTGGCTAACTGGGATCTCAGACAAGTAACTGAAACTTTAGAGTCACAGTGCTTTCTCTTCTTTAAAATAGGGTTAAAAATTTCACTATATTCGTTAGGAGGATCATATGATATCATATGTGGCTATTCCATGTCAACTATAAAGAATTATACTTATATTAAATGTTATTTACACCAAACTACTTAGGAAATCTGCAATGATAAAACCCTTTTTATATTACCACAGGGCTCTGTAAATGGAAAGTAGCCAAAAAAATCTACAAAAAATAAATGGTTTCTGGTATGTACTAAACCTTCCTTCTCAAAGGAAGCCATAACAAATTAGATAAGTGTGAAAAAGGCTTTGTAAAACAGCAAGTTCTCAACTTCTCACCTTTACAAAATAATAATCTAGGTTCAGAAATTCTATCATTTAAGAAATTAAATATCCTATTTACTTAAAACCTTTATGCTTCTCATGTTACTGAACATAATTTGAACAACAAATAACTGCCTTGAATATTTTATTTCAAATTAAGGTATACTGTGAAGAACTGGTAAAACCCCATTTTGTATTTTGTTTGCCATCACAAACAAAAGGATTAAGAACACCTGCTAACTGTAAACTGATATTGAAAGAGGGCAGATACACAATTTTACGTAATTATGTTTGACCGCAGGAGAGCTAACAACATGTCAAATTTTTGTGGCGTTTCCATTACAATAGTTGTTCTTCAGTTCTGTGTAGGAAAAACAGACTTGAGAAATGATATGTTAAATTGTGACAAAGAAGAACTCCAAATGTCTTGAAGGACATCAGAATAAGTACAAGGACATATTTGATTGCACCAGTTAAAAAACTTGTTTTCTATATCAGTGAGGAACTCTTAAATCTTACAGATGAAATGAGTAAAACAATTAACATTTTAAAAATACCTTTAATAGCTAAGGGAACAGGGATATCAGGAATTATGAAAATCACTGCTACTCATATCCAGAAGTGAATCTATTAATAAATTTTGGTCAGGCCAAGTGTTCTGCATGGCACCATCAAATTTAACTGAACCTTATTTCTCTCTCTCTCTCTCTTTTTTTTTTTTTTTTTTTTTTGGTGAGGTGGACTCTTACTCTGTTGCCCAGGCTGGAGTGCAGTGGCGGATCTTGGCTCACTGCAACCTCTGCTTCCCGGGTTCAAGCGATTCTCCCGCCTCAGCCTCCATTGTAGTTGGGATTACAGGCTGCCAGCAGGTCAGGCTAATTTTTGTATTTTTAATAGAGACGAGGTTTCACCATGTTGGCGAGGCTGGTCTCAAGTTCCTGACCTCAAGTTATCCACCCGCCTTGGCCTCACAAATTGCTGGGATTACAGGCTTGAGCCACATCACCCAGCCTCTGAACTTTATTTCTTCCTCAACTTCTAAGAGATCTGCTGTACAGCAAATAGATAGTTCTCACTGTAGAATTTGAGACTAGCCTTTGCTGCAGCAATAGAAAGGTTAAGCCCTTGAACACTGTAGTGAAAATGGTTAGACAGGTAAGGCCACTGGAAACTGGATGGCTCCATTTTGCATGTGTCTTTTGGGTTTCCAGTCTGTCTCTATCCATCCCAGCGCACTGTAGATCGGGAGAGCAGAAAGCCCAGTAATAAGCTATGTGACACTTGGCTGGTAAAATTTAGTTTTAACTGTCAGTACCATGTTGGGCCCTCTTTCCCTGCTGATATATTTTATTTATTCATTTTTATTTTTTGACATTTAATATTTAATTTAAATCTGAACTTTAATCCTTACTCCTCTTTTTAAATTTATTTTTATTTTTATTTTTAAACTTTCTTGTGGGTACATAGTAGTATATATTTAGGGGGTAGATAGGATGTTTTGATACAGACATGCAATGTAAAATAAGCACATCCTGGAGTACGGGGTATCCATCCCCTCAAGCATTTCCTGCTGATAAATTTTAGATGGATTCTTAGAACTAATGTTACCTTATCCCAGCCCATGAAGAAAACAAATCTCTTAACAGTTAATGAGACACTCCAGCACAATATAAGATAAAAATGAGGGTAATGGGCATTTTGTCTCATTCTAGATGTCAGTGGAAAATCATGCATTGTTTACCATTAAGGGTGATGTTTGCTGTAGGCTAATTTTAGATATCTCTTATTAGATTGAGGAATCTCCCTTTTTCTTTTTAATTCAAATAAATTTTCATCATAAAAGGATGATGAATTTTATCAAATGTTTTTCTGCATCTATTCAAATTATTATATTATTCTTCTCTTTGTTCCGCCAATATGGTAAAATATATAAAGTGATTATCAGTTGTTAAATCAACTTTTTATTTTTGGAATAAACCCCAATTAACTTAAGAAAAAAACAGCCTCTTAACCTTCCCCCTCTATCCAACTTGTCTGCAACTAAACTAGATTAATCACAATAATGTATTATTTGTATTTCAACTATAGTTTCTTTTCTGGGCCCAGTGTTGTATTTATTGCTTCTCTCCGTTTCCTATCCCCACTCTAATTCTCATACCCTGCTTCCCACCCTTTCCCTGGAAAACTTGGAGTTTCTGTTAATCTTTCGTCACCTAAGCCTTCCAATTCCTTCTTATATGTAGCTTTCCTGTGATCAGTGTTGTGGGTTTTTGTTGTTGTTGTTGTTTTGTTTTGTTTTGTTTTGTTTGATTTTTGAGATGGAGTCTCGCTCTGTCGCTCAGGCTGGAGTGCAGTGGCGCGATCTCGGCTCACTGCAAGCTCCGCCTCCCGGGTTCACGCCATTCTCCTGCCTCAGCCTCCGGAGTAGCTGGGACTACAGGCGCCGGTCACCAAGCCCGGCTAATTTTTTGTATTTTTAGTAGAGACGGGGTTTCACCATGTTAGCCAGGATGGTCTCGATCTCCTGAGCTCCTGATCCGCCCGCCTCGGCCTCCCAAAGTGCTGAGATTACAGGCGTGAGCCACCGCGCGCGGCCGGGTTTTTAAAATTTTGTATATTCTTTCTGCAAAACATAAATCCTAAACTTTATAGCTCATTGAAGTTTCACGAAGTAACCCCACCCTTGCAACCAGCACTCAAATTAATAAACAAAACATGAATGCAATCCATAACTCCTCTTTCATCCGCTTATCAGTCCCCACAACTCCTATTTAATGGTAAACACTTTCTTGGCTTCTGAAACCATGGATCAATTTTCCTTGACTTTAAACGTTATATAGTTGAATCACACATTATGTACTCCTTTGTATCTTGCTTATTTTGATTAATATTATGTTTTTGAAATTCGTACAAGTTGTTGCATGTAGATATGCTGTGCTCATTCTTATAGCTATATGGAGTCTATTGAATTAATGTATCACATTTTATTTATCCATTCTACTGCTGATGGAAATTTAGGCTATTTTGGTTTTGCCACCTTATGATGAACACTGCTTTGAACATTCTTGTACCTAATATTGGTGAATACATGTATGCCATACTGTTGGATATATTCGTGAGAGTGGAATTGACAGGTCATAGATATCATTAAAATTTAGTTTCCCAAAAGGTTGTGCAAACTAGTAAACCTACTAGCCATATACTAGGGTTCCAGCTCTTCTCCATTGTCATCAACACTTGGTATTGTTCTTTTTGGTATTTATTTTCATTGTAACCATTCTGTTGATCTCTATTGTTTTTATTAAGGTATAATTTTTATGTGATAAAAAGTGCATAAAGTGTACAGTATGATTTCTTTCATCAAATGTGTATGTGTGTAACTAACACATCAATCATTCTCTGGGATTCCTCTCTAACAAGGCCACTACCCAGACCTTTTCAGATACTTAGGCTGAGTAACTCCTACCTCTTACTTCTCATTCTTCATTCTTACTCACTTTTAGTTTTCTTTGGTGGACTTTTTACTACATCCTCTTATCATTTCAACTTTAACATCATGATTAAATTGTCACCCACGTCCGGTTTGTAAGCCATCAAGAATCTCTAGTGCATAACGTATTCCTTGATTAAAAATAAAAGTTGTCTTAAATGTAGTTACTTTTTTTTTTTTTTTTGACCGAGTCTTGCACTGTCGCTCAGGCTGGATTGCAATGGCGCAATCTCGGCTCACTGCAACCCCCGCCTCCTGGGTTCAAGCGATTTTCCTGCCTCTGCGTCCAGAGTAGCTGGGATTACAGGAGCCCTTCACCATGTCTGGCTAATTTTTGTATTTTTAATAGAGACAGGGTTTCATTCTGTTGGCCAGGCAGGTCTCAAACTCTTGACTTTGTGATCTGCCCGCCTCTGCCTCCCAAAGTGCTGGGATTACAGGCCTGAGTCATTGTGCCTGGCCAGTTACTTCTTTATAAAAATATATTCACTAAGGATGATTTCCATATTTACTATTGTCGTGCATAAGAAGTTTGCCACCCTCCTGTTTTTAGTTGGTCATAAATAGAAATTATCCTCCGTGAGATTATGCTCTTTTGGCCTAAATGATGAAGCCATTGGATGTTTCAAAGAAATCATAACGTGGGTGTACTGGCATCATCAGCAACTCAACTTCAATTCTGAAAGGTGCTGTGTGTAAACTAAAAAAGAATTTCCCTACTTGTGGAAAAAAAATTTACCTTATCTTTAATGCAGACCCCTTATTAACCCCAAAACCTAGTCCTTTTGAGCTTTGTAACATTACATGTTATGCCTTCCCTCTTCCTTCATGGTAGCAAATCAAATTATTTTGTAATTTCTGTTATATTTATATCAAAACACCTTGAACCTTTTAAAAATTGCTGTGAATGTAATTATCTTTGAATTCATAGACAATTTTGTTATTGAAAATAAACACATAGGAATAGATCTTTCATTTTCGTGAATCTCTTTCAAAAATAAAGTTAATATACATCACATAAGTGAACAATTTTAGGAATAAAGAAAAACTAATAACTATAATGTGGTATTTATTGGATTTATACAAACTGTGGTGCTTATATTGTCATTTTAATGATATTATTTTGGAATCCATGTTTCTAGATATTTTCTGTCTTTTCTTGACAAAAGTGCCAACTAAAAGTAGTGTGAAGTGGTAGCCTTGTGTTAGAATAGAAATTGAATTCAACCAATCTTTGTTTTTAGCTCAATTGTGATTTCATTAAAGTTGGTATCCCAGCATCAGTGGAGCCTAGTAATATGTCCGTAGTCTTCAAATTCCCAAAATACCCTGATGTAGTGGCTACAGTTGTTCTCTTTTTCAGGTTGTCAGCTGGGATAATTAGTGGACACACCCAGAAATGCCCATGTACACACTCCTCTCCTTGCTTGGCAGGTTTAGATACACAAATATCTGACTACATTGAAGTTATGGCTTCTCATCTCAAATAGTATTCTTCATTCTGTTATATTTTTGTATATTCTGTTATATACCTTGGAAAGATAACTAAACTATTTCTCATTATTGGTGGTTAGGCAGTAAATCTGTTGACAGCCTACTTTCTTGTGCTATAATCTTCAGTTTAGTTTTAAAATTTATGATGATGTAACTCTCCACTGAAGCATTTTTCTAAACATTTGGATTATTATTACTAATTTTCACAATATATTTACAAAATATTATCATTTTAATTTTATGATAAAATAAAAACATAAAAATTAAGTAACTCTCTCTTTGACAAACATCATTTTGAAAAAATATGGGAAGATAGATCTATTTACCTCCAAAGCCCACTTAACTAATTTCACTAAAACAGTATAGGTATCTTTGTGATTCTAGGATTCACTCAAGCCCTAGCTCTCTGCTTTTCTAAAGAAAAGACGTTAATAGGAAGTCAAAAATAAAGCATTTGATATTGAGATAGCTATCACTGATTCTCTTTTTCAAATGAGAAAGTAGTGTTATAGTTTAAGAAAGAGAACAATAGAAAGCTTATGTCGATGATTTCATATCTAGAGAGCTGGGACATCCTATCACAGAGATCACATTCAAGTTATTAATAACATTTAAGTAGTATTGTTAACTCTGCCACTTAGTCGTGTATTCTTTAGCACACACCACAGTGTAATTCTTACATGTATGTATATATATAATATATGTATAATTGATATATAGTATATTTGTGTGTTGTGTGTATGTGGGTGTGCTGGAGACTTGGTAAATCAGGAATTCCTCCAGCGGTAGAATTGCATTCACGGTTTCACCTTTAGGGTCTGTATACCAGTTCGCTAACATAATAAAACATATATAATTTTTATACATCCTTGGCATCTTGGCTATAATAAATGGTTTTTATTTTGTGACCAGTTTGTTGAAAGTACATGTCTCATTTTAACTTGCATTCCTCTGGGGTTTTCTTAGAGGCCTATTTTATAATTCCCTGTTTATGACCCTTTTCTACTTGGAGGAGTATTGATATTCACAGTGATTTGTAGTAGCTTAGAGTACAATGTGTAAATATCATTGAATCTGCAAAATTCAAATGAAGGTGGTTAAAAGGAGAGGGAATAGTGATGGTTGATAAAAACTATGGCTTGTGGTGCTGGGGAAATGACAAAGGTAGCTTTAACATAGTCAGGATAAGAGTGTAACCGGGAAGAGGTGGGAATGGGGAGTTATAAAGAGTAAAGACGCTGCATGGCACATCTGGGAAGAAGGAAATGGCTTAAAGACCCTGTTGCATATGGCCTCACTCCAACTACGTCAAAAATTGCAGGAGAAAAAAATGAATCGTAGCCAACTGCAGATGGAGCTATTACTATTGGTATATCCTCATTAAATCAAAGAGAAAGACAAATGTCTACAAGAATGGAAACTTAGAGCCCTGATCCATATGGCTGTATTTTAGTTATATATTTTAATATAATCTTTTAATATAATCTTAATTACACTATAATGGTGTAATTTAAAGTCACGTTTAAATATGAGAAATAAATTCCAGTAAATTATTTTTCATGTGGTATTTTGGAATTTTAAGTATACTTGTACATTCAAGATTAAGGAAAAAATATTTTACAAAGAAATTTCTATTGCAATGATAATATACATTTTGTTTTACCAAAATATTCATAACTTCTTACTGATTATTCTTATGGATCTACTCTGAGACTCGATGATTCACTAGAAAGACTCACAGGACTCAGAAGCTGCTAGGCTCATGGTTATGGTTCATTATAACAAAATAATACAGATTACAGATTAAAATAAGGAGAGAGAAAAGACCTATGAAGGGTAGCCCAGAAAAGATCAGTTGCAAGCTTGCAGGGGTCCTCTTCCAGTAGAGTTGTACAGGATTTATTTAATATTCCTAGAAATGATATGTGGTGACGGGATGCAGTTTTATCAACTAACTCACCTGAACCTTGATGTCTTGGGTTATTGCTAAGGCTCAATCACATAGATGTCTAGAGCCTGTTTGACTAACCTCAGCTACCCAGACTCCAGACCCTCAGAGCAAAAACTGGTGATCATGGTAAATCACATTGATAACATAAACTATCTAGTCAAACTAATGTGGACCAAGACCTCAGATATACAAAAACACTCTTATTAGGCACTGTATTCCAAAAGATTGGAACTCAGCTCTTAGGAGCCAGGTATGAGCCCCTCTTGAATATAAGAACATGAGTCTTTTTTGGGAATGTACAAGTTGAGAAATCCAGACCTGCAAAGTAAACACTTTGCAGTACACCTCCTGAATGAACGCTATTCATAGTGCTAGGAAGCTACTTTTATTGACTGTATTACCTGGCTCCCTTTCTACCTGGAGGAGTATTAATATTCCCATCATTTGTAGTAGCTCAGAGTAGCATGTGTGAATATCACTGAATCTGCAAAATTCAAGTGAAGGTGGTTAAAAGGAGAGGGAATAGCAATGTTTGAAAAAAGCTATGGCTTGTGGTACTGGGGAAATGACAAAGGTAGCTTTAACATAGTTCAGGAGAAGAGTATAACCATGTATCACCTGATATCACCTGGCTCCCTTTCTCTTTGGTATCAATTTGGGTTCAACAATGAATCCCCTTTGAGACTAATAGCTGAGGGAAATTGAAAGATTATCTCTCTCAGTGTAGACTATAACTTAATAGTGGCTGTAGATTCCTTTGAATTTCAATATAGACCATAATAGTATGTAAAAGTTGTGGCGGTCTTTTTTCTTTTTTTCAGTTTTTAGGCATTTCACGTATTTTATTTTGTAAGCTGAAACTTTACATTTAGTATTAAGTAGAAGTAGGCATTCTAGATCATTCATATATTTGCTTTTAAAGAAAATGCTTTTATTTTTTTCTCCCATTTAAGCTTATGTTAAATATATAACCATTGTATTAATTCAAAAAAGTTCTGTTTTCTAAGTTTTAAGAATTTTTTTCATCAAATTTGAAGAGTGATGGCTTCAGATAAGGCTCCAATTTCCTTCTTTTGCTTGTGGATATTTAGTGTTTCTGGCATCATTTATTGAAGAGACTACTCTTTGTTCATCGTATATTCTTGATATCTTGTTGAAAGACCAGCTGACCATATATGGGTAGGTTTCTTTCTAGACTCTCCATTTTGTTCCCTTGGTCTATACGTGTGCTTTAATACTGTTTGGATTCTTGTCACTTTGTAGTGTATTTTGAAACTAGGGAGTGTGATGTCTGCAGCTTTTCTCTTCTTGCACAAAGTTGCTTTGAATATTTGTTTTTTTGTGGCTCCATATAAATTTTGGTTTTGTTTTTTCTATTTCTTTAAAAAAATGCCAGTGGGATTTTAATATGGATTCATTGAATCTGGATTGTTTTGGGTAACATGGACATTTTGATGCCCTGAGACAAATTAAATATTCAACCTAAGACCTAAAACCACAAAAACCCTGGAAGAAAGCATAGGGAAATGCTTCTTGACATTGACCTTGGCAATAATTTCTTGGATATAACACCAAAAGCAAAAACAGACAAGTGAGATTATATCAACCTAAAATAGCTTCTGGCCAGCAAAAGAGACAATCAACAAACTTAAAAGGCAATCTGTGGAATGGAAGTGAATATTCGTAAGACATATATATGATAAAGGGTCAGTATGCAAAAATTAATAATATTTTAGTATTTTTTATCTCCATTCTCTTTTAACCTGTAATATTGTCTATGACATTTATAAATTTTCTATTTATCCCTCCTTCCATCTTGAGTTAATTTCAATGTGATATTAATATTTTATATTTTCTTGTTCATCATTAATTCCAGTTTGCTCATAATTTGATACAGGGACACTTGCCTTTGTATTCATGAGTGTTTATGAACCTTAAATATATTTGTTCTTCAGTCCTTTTCTGAACAGTTTGAATTGGCCTTAGGAGATTTTCTTTTTTCTTTCTTCTCTTTCTTTCTTTCTTTTCTTTCTTCTTTTTTTCTTTCTCTCTTTCTTTCTCTCTCTCTCTCTCTCTTTCTCTCTCTCTCTTTCTTTCTTTCTTCTTTCTTTCTTTTCCTTCCTTCCTTCCTGCATGCCTGCCTGCCTGCCTGCCTGCCTGCTTGCCTGTCTGCCTATGGAACAAAAAATATTTCTTATTTGGAATTTTGTTATAATCTATGCATAAAATCATATGAATCTATTATGTAGTAATGTAGTATGTGATATGAGTCTAGTAGTACTGTTTTAATGCTGTTAAGAGACTCATTTATAAGACAAATATTTTTCCATAAGCAGTGGATTTGATTTTTTTTATAAATCTCTGAGTAATTCCAAAACAAATTTCACATATTTATTAAGACTTATCAAATAGGTAAACATTGTGTTATTGTGGCAAAGGATTTTTACTGTTAAAAATTATTTAGAAATAGATAATAGAAAATGTTTATGTGTGTGTCAGTATGTGCAAATATATTTTCTCTCTTTGTCCATTGAAAACACATGAAACTCCAGTAACAATGAATATACCTATAATATACATCTTGAGTTTTATATGCCATTATCTAATAAAATAAAATACCGTTCACTGGAGAAGTGTTTAATTTTAAGTTTGAGGCAGCGAAAACAGAAGTCGAGTCTAAACCATCTAGTAATACCAAAAAGTGAAAAGTGCTCAGAAATGATGGAGCCATTTCAAAAGAATACAGGAACTACTGTGAAGAAGGTTCCAAAATCTGGGACAATTTGAGAAGCAAAATAAATAATTAGTATGAATGAATAGAACACATAAAATAAAATTCATTAATATTTTAGTTTATACTGTATAAACAGTTCAATGAACAAGCAATCTCTTAATTCCAATTAATGAATATAAAATGAATAATGAAAATTTTTTAAATGACCAGCTTTCTTTAGTAGTAACATTGTATTTTATTTTTTATCTTCTGCTTTCATTTTAGTTTCCAAGGGTATATGTGCAAATTTGTTATCTGAGTATACTGCGTGTCACTAAGGCTTGATGGATGAATAATCCCATCACCCAGTAGTGAGCATAATACCCAATAAATATCCTCAAGTCTGTTTTGTTTTTTGGAATACTGATCTGCACACGAATGTAAGGAAAATACTGAAACAGGTCATAAAACAACTAGAAATAGTAGGTGGTCCAATAATAGTTACTTCATGTATACATACGTATATAAAAATCATACATATGTATATAGTTTTTTTTTTGCCATGGTTAAAGGTCTCCAAACATCATCCAAATAGAGTCTTTAGATGTGTATGGCCTCTTTGGTGGAATAAAATTTACTCCGAAATAAAATGTTAGAATGTGATCTAATAAACTTAAACGCAAGCTTCTAATGGATGAAATTACAAATATCTCTCTACCAGATCAAAGCGTCCAAATATTTAACAGAATTAAAAAAAAATAGCCCAGTATCCAACAAGGTAAAATCAGAAAAAAAAGTTATGAAGTAGTTAACAAAGCATAAATATATGACTGAGAGCAACAAATAGCATATTATTAAACAGACAAGTTCACAGTCATGACATACATGATAGAATTAGTAGACAAGTACTCTAAAACAGCTATTATAAATAGCTTGTGGTTATTGAGTATCTTTAAGATAACTCTTCGATGATAGTTTGTGTTGCAATTCTAAACATCTTATTTTGTTACATTTTATACTTGTATCTGGGTTAAAGAATGCTATTGAATTTTGTAATTTGATATTATGTTGGACAACTTACAAGACTAATTAATTTTAATATTTGTTTATTGATTTTTTAAGTCTTCCTGCCTGGGGCTTTTGAAAAGATACATCTTTAGACTTTTTAGCAGTTGCTCTGTATTTCTGTATGTAAATTTTAAATTTACATAAGTGCTATAGTGTAGACCTAAAAACAAAAATAGGGTATGGCCAAAAGAACATAAAAGTAAGCATATAATGAGAAAAATAAAATTTCTATAAACAAGCCCACATTAAACTACCAGAGATGAAACACACAATATCTAAAATTAAAAATACATTGGATAGTATTAATAGATTGGACACAGCATAGAAAAAAAGAATTTAAAGATATAGTAATAGAAACTATACAAAATGAAAAATAAAGAGAAATAATCACTTCTCCCTTCCCCACAAAATAAACAAAACATCCTAACATATACTATTTCAATATCCTAAAGGAAGGAGCATCAGCAGAAAAAAATATTAAAATAAATAATGGCCCCAAATTTTTCAAATTTGGTGAATTCCATATACAAATAGATCCAAGAAGTTCAATTAACCAAGTAAAAAGAAAAATAAAATGCCTCTATCACATCATAATCAATATATTGAAGAGTAATAAAAAGAAAATCTGAAAAATGGAAGGAAAATTAAAAAATACTTCATCTAGCAAAGAAAAAAAAAGAATGAAAACAGACTTCTCATTGAAAGCAATGCAAGCTACAAAACAGCAATTACACCTAAAAAGTACTAAAATAAATTAAAATTATCATAATTAATACATATATTCCCAGCAAATTTAATACCCAGCCAATTTAATTTTAAAAATAAAGGCTGATTTTTTTTGTTGCTACAAGAACCAAGAAAATTAATCTTCTATAGACCACCACTTCTTGAAGAAATGTTGAAGGCAGAAGAAAAATGATCTCTAGTAAAAATTTCGATCTAGACGAATGGAGAGACAAAAATTGTAAATAAGTCAATGAATAAAAAAGACTTAAAAAATGTTATTTAATATTACTAAAGGTTAAATGACTGCTTAAAACCAAAATGATAACTACAGATATTTATTGTATTGTGAAGTTGTAATACATAGAAGTAAACTGTATGGCAACAATAACACAAAATCTGGGAAGAGATACAGGAAGTATACTGTCGTAAAGTTGTTATGCTAAAAATGATACTAATTGCAAATTTTACACACAACCACAACAAAGGTAGAGCAAAAAAAGAATATTTAATAAGCTAAAAAAAATCAACTAGGATCATAAAATGTGTTCAACTAATAAACATGAAGATAGGAAAGAAAAAAAGAACAAAAAAGAGATGAGGTAACTTAAAAAAAGTAGCAAAATGATAAATCCCAACTCAAACATGTAGATAATCACATTAAATGTAAAGTTCTCACAACCCTCACCAATAGTTAGACATTGTCAAATTGGATTTTTTTAAAAAAAGCAAGACTAAACTCTGTGCTATCTTAAGAAACTCATAAAGAAAAAGGTGAAAAATAAAATGAGAATATACCTATGATACTAACAGTAAAGTAAAGGTGGAGTGGCTGCATTAATATTAGATAAATTAGACCTTCAGAGAAATGATTATTATGAGAATAAAGGTCATTTTATAAGTAAAGGTGTTAAATTCATCAAGAAGACATAATAATCACAAATATGTGTGTACCTAAGAGGATCAACGTAAAGAAAGTAAATTGATGAAAATTAAAGGAGAAATAGACAGATTCCCATTTATACTTGGAGATTATGATGGTCCTCTCTCAGTAATTGATAATACAAGCACACAGAAAATAAATGAGGAAATAACAGAGTTCATATTTTTCATGGAAAAATAATTTGTGAAAATTACATGTTTTTGTTACATTTCACAATCTATAAGATGCTTTTTTAAGGTGCTTGTCCTGGGCATTCTGGCCAGCATTAATTTTGTAAAATCTTTATCTTTCTTGTTTGTATTTTCTGAAATGCTTTTGCTCAAGTCTTTATTTTTATTTAATTTACTTTCAAATGAATCTGTTTTAAAAAGCATTAAGCTCAATTTTCTACCTTTATCTCAAAGGTTTTATTTAAATTATTTTTATAATGTATTACATATAATTTTACACTAACTTGAGATGAATCCTAATATATTTGATAGCCATCTGAAGAAATTAAATATTACTATAGAATTTTTTATACCTTGGCTGCTCATTTGCTCTTTAAAACTGTGACTTCAATTCTTTGCATCTGTTGTATGTCTTTGTACATTTTGTATCTATCATTAAATAATGTAAAATATTATTTTATATTTTAAAAATATTTATATAAACTATTCTGTTAAATATTATGCTATTTTTTTACATGTATGCACAGTTTCCTGCAGTGGCAAGTGACTTGGTAATGCATTCATATTGGCTTTTGTCTTTTCCCTATCCCATTTTATCCACTGCCTTTGTGGTGTTACTTCGAGATGATTCTCACAAAAATTACTTGTATTCAAATTCTTTTCTCAGCGTCTGTTTCTTGGGGAACTCAAAACAGAGTGTTACATTGTAGTAATCCTAGGCTAGATAGCTGTAGAGACTACATTACTGGTAGAAATGGGGTAGTGGTATCACTTGGCATGCAGTACAATCACAATTACTACGATTTTCATTTTTGATGAATTGTCATGAGGAACAGATGGAAGAGGATGGACTAGCTTGTGCCAAATCAACAATTGAGAAGTGTGGAAGCAATAATAATTGTAAGAATTATGTAGCTGTTATCTGTGTTTATTGCCTTCAGTAACAGAAGGTAGAAAATTTCAATTAATTCAGACATGTATAACTCAGGACACAATATAAAGTAGAACACACCCATGACAATTTTTAAAGAGACCTTTATGACCCATAGCAAGTGGGTGGACTGTGTTGAAAATTATAGCCAAGACCTAATTGTTGGCTTAGCAGAATTATAAATGAGGCTGAATTTTTAGCAATTTTTGTCAGGAAATGTCCTACACCGAAGCCAAGACATAGGATGTGGACCGCTGGATGAATGTGTTTGAGGACCTTGAACGTCTATATTCCTGTTGACCCTATGGGTCATGTGAAGATTTCCTTCTCTTTGCTAGACAATAGCAGCATCACATTGCCTAGACATCAAGTATAGAATTGAAGTTCATAACACATGAAATCCTCAATGCATGCCCCCCTCACCTTTGAGCCTCGAGACCAAGAACTGGCAGTACAATATCCAATGCATATATAATATTAAGATATAATATATTATTCATTCAGTATATTGTATCCATTATATAGATTCCCTGAGTCTATTATATAGATAACACATAAAAACAATTGTTTTCAAATCTATTTATTTAGTGAGTTTGTAATTGGTTTTCTTACACATAAAAATACAGTTCTCTTTTACTTTCTATGTAGTTAAGAATTGTTTCAGATAATTAATTAAATAATTCGTATTTTTTCCCATTTCTCAGTTGTATGAAATACACTGGCATATTAGCTATAAATATGTTTTGATCTCTAACTTTTTGTATGCCAATTTCCCATCTTTGTGGTGTTATACATTATATTATTACTTTGTTATGTATTTTGACATATGTTTTGGTAAGTATTCATAACTTTTTTCTTTCAATTTCTCTTGGCTATTTTAAGCTCATATGTTAAATTTTTTATTTAAAAAAATAAAAACCTTTTGGTTCAGGAGTACATGTGCAGGTTTGTTACACAGGTAATGTGGTACACAGGGGTTGGTTGTACTGACTATTCCATGACCCAGGTATTAAGCCTAGTACTCAATAGTTATATTTTCTCTTCCTCTTCCTCCTTCCACCATCCACCCTCAAGTAGGCCTTACTGTCTCTTGTTCCCCTGTTTGTGTCCATGAGTTCTCATCATTTAGCTCTAACTTGTAAGTGAGAGAATGTGGTATTTGGTGTTCTGTGTCTGCATTAGTTTGCTAAGAATAATGACCCTCCCCCCAGCTCCATCTATGTTCCTGCAAAAAACATGTTCTCTTTCCTTTTTATGGCTGTGTAGTTTTCTATGATGCATATATACCACACATTCTTTATCCAATCTGTCGTTGATAGGCATTTAGGTTGACTTCATGTTTTTGCTATTGTGAATCATGCTGAAATGAACATTCACATGCATGTGTCTTTATGATAGAATGATTTATATTCCTTTCGGTGTATACCCAGGAATGGGATTGCTGGGTTTAATGGTAGTTCTGTTTTTAAGGCTTTGAGGAATCACCACACTGCTTTCCACAATGGGTGAACTAATTTACCCTTCTACCAACCATTTATAGCTGTTTCCTTTTCTCTGCAACCTCGCCAGCATCTGTTATTTTTTTTACTTTTTAATAAAAGCTAATCTGACTGACATAAAATGGTATCTCACTGTGGTTTTGATTTTCATTTCTCCAATAATCAGTGGTATTTAGCTTTTAGCTTTTTAATATACTTGATGGTTGCATGTATGTCTTCTTTTGCAAACTGTCTGTTAATGTCCTTTGCCCACTTTTTAATGAGGTTGTTTCTTTCTTGTAAGTTTGTTTAAATTCCCTGTAAATACTGGATATTAGATCTTTGTCAGATGCATACTTTGCAAATATTTTCTCTCATTCTGTAGATTGTCTGTTTACTGTTGATAGTTTATTTTGCTGTGCAGAAGCTCTTAAGTTTAATTAGATATGATTTGTCAAATTTTGCTTTTGTTGTGATTGCTTTCGGCATCTTTGTCATAAAATATTTCCTTTTTCTATGTCCAGGATAGTATTGACTAAGTTGTCTTCTAGGTTTCTATAGTTTTGGGTTTTACATTTATGTTTTTAATCCATCTTGAGTTGATATTTGTATATGGTGTAAGAAAGGGGTCCAGTTTTGGTATTCTGTATATGGCTAGCCATTTATGCCAGCACCATTTATTGAATAGGGAATCCTTTTCTTATTGCTTGGTTTTGTCGGTTTTGTCAGTTTTGTAGAAGATCTGATGGTTGTTAGGTGTGTAGCCTTATTTATGAGCTCTCTATTCTGTTTCCTTTGTCTATGTTTCTGTTTTTGTACCAGTGCCATACTGTTTTGGTTACTGTAGCCCTGTAGTATAGTTTAAAGTTGGATTGTGTGATGACTCCATCTTCGTTCTTTTTGTTTAGCATTGCCTTGGCTTTTGTGGCTCTTTTTTTTTTTTGGTTCCATATATATATTTTAAAATAGTTTTTTATTTCTAATTCTGTGAAGAATGGTATTAATAGTTTAATATGAATAGCCTTGAATCTCTAAATTGCTTTGAACTATATGGCCATTTTAATGATATCGATTATTCCTATCTATGAGCATGAAATGTTTTTTCATTTGTTTGTGTCATCTCTGATTTCTTTGAGCAGTGTTTTGTAATTTTCATTGTAGAGATCTTTCACCTCCCTGGTTAGCTGTATTCCTAGGCATTTTATTCTTTTTTAGCAATTGTGAATGGGATTGCCTTCCTGATTTGGTTCTCTGCTTCGCTGTTGGTGTATAGGAATGGCAGTGATTTTTGTAGATAGATTTTTTTTCCTGAAACTTTACTGTAGTTTTTTATTAGTGCAGGCAGCTTTGGGGCTGAGACTATGGGGTTTTCTACATATAGAATCATGTTGTGTGTGAACCAGGAAAGTTTGACTTTCTCTCTTCCTATTTGGATGCCTTTTATTTCTTTCTCTTGCCTGATTGCTCTGGAAGGACTTCCAGTACTATGTTGAATAGGAGTAGTGAGAGAGGGCATACTTGTCTTTGCCAGTTTATAAGGAAAATGCTTACAGCTTTTCCCCATTCAGTATGGTGTTGGCTGGGGGTTTGTCATATATGTCTCTTATTATTTTGAGGTATGTTTCTTCAATGCTTAGTTTATTGAGTTTTTGCATAAAGGTATCAAAAGCCTTTTGTGTGCCTATTGAGGTAATCTTGTGGTTTTTGTGTTTCTGTTTACATGATGAACCACATGTATTGATTTGTGTATGTTGAACCAATCTTGCCTTCTGCAGATAAAGCCTATTTGATTGTCATGGATTAGCTTTTAGATATGCTGCTGCATTTGGTTTGAAAGTATTTTGTTGAGGATTTTTGCATCAATATTCATCAAGGTTGTTGGCCTGAATTTTATTTTATTTTTTGTTGTGTTTCTGCCAGATTTTGGTAACAGGATGATTCTGAGTTCATTATTTTTTATCACAGGTTTTAGAATGTGTTTAAGTTTCACACAAATGGAATAATTCACCTGAAAAAGATTATATTCCTTTTATGTTAGATTTATTTCTGGGTATATCATTATTTTTAGAGTCTTCTTTAACGTTATTTTAAAATTTCACTTTTGTTTGTATGGGGTATGTAAGACTGCAATTTACTTTTGTATATTGGCTTTATTTATTTTATTTTATTTTATTTTATGTATTTATGTATGTATGCATTAAGACAAGATTTTGCTCTGTCACCCAGGCTGAAGTACAGTGCCACTGA
This sequence comes from Homo sapiens, assembly GCF_000001405.40. Lineage (NCBI taxonomy): Eukaryota > Metazoa > Chordata > Mammalia > Primates > Hominidae > Homo > Homo sapiens. The sequence goes on along the minus strand of NC_000004.12, from coordinate 69,619,351 downwards.
TGTTGGCTCACTGTAGTCTCAACCTCCCAGGCTCAAGCAATTCTCCCACCTCAGTTCCAAAGTAGCTGGACTACACGCATGCACCACCACACTTGGCTAATTTTTTATTTTTATTTTTATAGAGATATGTCTCCCTGTGTTGCTCAGGCTGATCTCAAACTCCTGGGCTCAAGCAATCCTCCTGTATTGGCTTACCAAAGTACTGGGATTGTAGGCATGAAGCACATCAGGTGGCCTGTATATTAAAATTGTATCTATCAATATTGATAAACTTTTTTCTGATATAAATAAATTCCTACATTTACAAATGTATATACATATATTGTATAATATATAACTTTTTTCCATATATTATTGCATAATTAAATTATAAAATTCAACATTAATTTAAAGTATGTTAAACAACATCTTTGTCTTGATCCTGAGTTTTTAAAAAATTTCTTCTAACCTTTCAATGTTGAGTAGAAAATTTTCCGAAGTTTGGTTTCTTGCTGGTCTTATTTTGTTTGTTTTTTTGTCATTTAATAGTTGTTTCATAATTTTCATCTGTCTAAGAAAGTTCACTTCTATTTTTTAACCAATAAAGGTATTGGAGTATACTTAAGGCTTTTCTACATTGATTGATATAATCATAGAATTGATTGAACTTAGAATTACACTTTTAAAGAAATTTTAACCAAAGTTGAATCTGAAAAGCATAAAGATTTTACTGTATCGAGGGTTTCAGGAATTAATGGTCAATATACAATCTTTGTGTACTTACACATGAAAACTTATTTCAAAATATTATTAATATGGTCTGTTTAAATTCTCATTCAACGGCCACATGGTTAAAATAAATTTATTTTTGGCAGCAGAAATAGACAAAGACCCTTTCAATAAACAAAGTTAGAAATGTGTTAGAATTCACCAAGACATTTTTGTGCTTTTTAAATCTCTTCTCTTGTGACAAAGCCTTTTGCCAACCTGTAGTGGAATCTCCCAATTAGATTGATTAGTATGAGTTCCTGGGGTTACTGGTTGGACTTAATTTAATGCCCCAAAAACATTTTTAAGAGAACTGTAACCAGACTTACCAAATGTAATACATTCTTCCCCCTTCAACACACACATACACACACACACACACAAACATACACACACACACACACACACACACACACATGCTTACTGGCCTATTTATCTGTGAAATAATATTTTCTCATAGAATTATGATGATTACGTACACGGATACTAAATATCTATATAAAAACATGTAATCTAATTTTTATTTAATTTGAATCTATTTAGACTCATAATTAAATGATGTCAAACAAATAAATTCTTAAGGCCTGGAAAATTTTCTCTCATTAAATCCCAAATGTGAATGATTTCCGAAAGACATATTTGAACACAATAATGTTAGGATTGTAAAGTCTTGTTTTTCATTTTTGTTGTTACTGTTACTGTGTCGGTTTTGTTTCTTCCTCAGGAAACTAAGTATTGAAGATTTTTACATAAGACAATTATTGCCCTGTTTTATTTTGAAACCTAGTTATATTTTATTTCAACTATCTTGAAAATTACATCAGAAAATCCTAGATAGTAAGTGTATTATAATGGCAATATTTTTAGAAATGTTAACTCCCAATAATGAATAATAATTTATATTATTTTAGTATTTTAAAGAACGTCTTAATGGACCCTGTATGTTGCTAATGAAATCTACTTAAACTTTTAATGTATTTATATCATTATTTTAACTTATAGATAGCACTAGCCCTAATTTGAAACAGTCTTTCTTCCTGAATATGAAGGAAACTAGTGCTTAGAGAATGGCTACAATATTTCCTATTAAATATGTTGTGTGTGTTCATCTTGGTTTTGTACGTCTACGTATATACGTACACATAATTTGTTTTATAATATACATTTCTTACATGTTATAAACATATATATTATATCTTTGTATAAACATAAGTAGATCTAAATGAACTTTATTTTTACGCCGTCAACAAAATTATTAAACTCCTAATAATTTGGACTCACCATACTTATTCAGCACTATCAACCATCATCCATAGGAGGGCAGCAGATCCTAAAGCTTGATAAACTGCTTGAAGAAAAAGAAAGTCTCAAGTGAGATTTAACTTTAACCTAAGGACTACATTTAGCAACTGCCAAAGGATGCACATTTTTGTTTTATAGTTTTGAAAGTGCTTTTACACATAGTTTATTGTTGAATACTAACAATAGTTCTGTAATTCTAACTTTATTTTACAGATGAAGAAATCAAGATCAGAGAAGTTGAGAATTTCCTGGCAATTGGAAACTGAAATTATATCCTATTTCCACCAGCTACATATTTCTCATTCACCTACATTTTAACTACAAAACAGTAGTGGAAAAAGCATGGGCAGAAACTTATGCAGATATTTCTTTCCTCCATTGTCATTGATTATAGATGCCACATACACAGAGGCAATTTCAAGTGGGAAAATGAAACTTAGAAACCACTATTCAAAAAAAAAAAAAAAAAGAAAAGAAAATGGCAGAGAAATTTAGAAAGTGTCATTAGCTTTTGATTTTTATTATAATGAGAAGCTACAGTTCCAACTAAATGGAGGATTTATAGCTTATACTTTTCCATTTCTTATCTCCCTAAATGAACTATCGCAAATCCTAGTTAGAAGATAAAATTATCAATTTTTTCTGGCTTCATTTCTCTCAAATTAATTGAATGGGTAAGCCAGTGGCTTTACAGGAAATGGTAAACTGGAAGTTGCAAACACTTCAGTTCCTTTTTGTTGGTGGGGTACATGTTATAATTGTTTAAGTTTTCATTTTTAATTATTATGTATACATAATAGTTGTATCGATTTACAGGAAATGTGACATTTTGATGAAAGCTTAAAATGTGTAATGATCAAATCAGGATAATTGGGATATCCATAACCTCAAACATTTATCTTTTCTATGTTAGGAAAATTCCAATTCCACTCTTAGTCATTTTAAAACACACAAATTATTATTAACTATAGTCATCCTATTGTGCTATCAAACACTAGATTTTTTCATTCTAACTATATTTTTGTAGCTATTAATCATGCCCTCTTTATACCCTCCCCACCCCCCAAGACCTTTCCCAGCCTCTGGTAACCATCTCTCTACTCTATATCTTCTCTATATCTTCATTCGTTAATTATTGTTTTTAGCTTCCACATGTGAGTGAAAACACGGCATATTTGTCTTTCCGCGCCTGGCTTATTTCATTTGACTTAACTGGAGGAAACTCTAGATTCATCCAAGTTATTGCAAATGACGGGATTTTCACTTGTCCGTTGATTCACCCATTGATGCACATATAGGTTGATTCCATATCTTGGCTATTGGGAACAGTACTGCAATAAACATGGGTGTACAGATATTTCTTTGATATACTGATTCCTTTATTTGGATATATACCCAGCAGTGTGATTGTCGGATCATATGGTAGTTTTATTTTTAGTTTTTTGAGAAATATCCACACTCTTCTCCATAGTGGCTGCACCAATTTTATATTCCCACCAACAGTGCACAAGGGTTCCCTTTTTCCATATCCTCACCAGCATTTGTTATTGCCTGTTTTTTTGTCTGTCTGTTTGTTTGCTTGTTTGTTTTTGCGGCGGGGTCAGGGTGGTAAAAGCCATTTGAACTGGGCTCAGATGATATCTCATTATAGTTTTTACTTGCATTTCTTTGATGAATAGTGATGTTGACCATTTCTTCACTTGCCTGTTGGTTGTTCTTTTGAGAAACGTCTATTCAGATCTTTTATCCATTTCTTTTTGATTACTCATTCTTTTCTTTTTGAATTGTTTGAGCTGCTGATATATTCTACTTATCAATCCCTTGTCAGATGGGTACATGGAAAATATTTTCTCCCATTTTGTAGACTGTTTCTTCAGTTTGTTGATTGTTTTCTTTAATGTGCAGAAGCTTTTTCGGTTGAGGTTGATGTGATCCCATCTGTCCATTTTTGCTTTGGATGGCTGTGCTTCTGAGGTCTTATTAATCAAATCTGCCCAGAACATTGTCTTAGTGTTTCCTCAAAGTTTCGGGTTTTAAATCAGTGAGATTTAACTTAAAGATTAGAAAGATTAGATTTAAATTAGAGTGATTTAATTTTTCAGGGTGATTTGATTTTTGTGTATGGTGAGAGATAGAGATTGATATGGTTTGTCTCCTGTGTCCTCATCCAAATCTCATGTTGAATTGTAATTCAAAATGTTGGGGGAGGGATCTGTTGAAAGGTGATTGGATCATGAGGTCTGGTTTTCCACTTGCTCTTCTTGTGATAGTGAGTTCTCATGAGATATAGCTGTTTAAAAGTGTGTAGCAATTTCCCCTTATCTCTTTCTCTCTCCTGCCACCATGTGAAGATGTGCTTGCTTCCCCATTGCCCTTCCACCACAATTGTAAGTTGTCTGAGGCCTCCCAACCATGCCTCCTGTACAGCCTGTGGAACTGTGGGTCAATTAAACCTCTTTTCTTTATAAACTACAGTGTCAGATAGTTCTTTATAGTAATGTGAGAACAGACTACTCAGAGGTCCACTTTCATTGTTCTACATATAGATACCTAGCTTCCCAGCACCATTAAGAGTCCATTCCTTTCCCAATGTATGTATTTGGCAGCTTTGTTGAAAGGTAGTTTACTGTAGATGTACAGATTTATTTCTGTGTCCATTATTCTATTCCATTGGTCTATATGTCTTTTTTTATAATAGTGCCATGCTGTTATGGCTACTAGCTTTGAAGTATAATTTGAAGTCAAGTAATGTAGTTCCTCCAACTTTGTTCTTTTTGCTCAGAATAGCTTTGGCTATTCTGGTCTTTTGTGGTTCCATACAAAGTTTAGATATATATATATTTTTTAATTTGTGAAGAATTTTATTGGTCTTTTGATAGGGATTGCAATGAATCTGTAACTTGTTTTGGGTGCTATAGACGTTTTAATGCTTTCGATTCCTCTATTCTATGAACAGAAAACATTTTCATTTTTTTCTGTCCTGTTCAATCTTTTTCATCCATATTTTGTAGTTTTCATTGTAGATATATTTCTCGTATTTGATTCAGTTTATTCTTAGGTATTTTATTTTATTTGTAGCTGTTGCAAATGGGATTACTTCCTTTTTTAACATATGGTTCACTGTTGGCATATAGAAATGCCACTGATATTTGTATGTTGATTTTGTGTCCTGGAACTACTGAATGGGTTTATCAGCTTAAAACAGTTTTTGGTGAGGTTGTTAGGTTTTTCTAGATACAAGATCATATTTTTTGTAAATAAGAATAATTGACTTTATTTTCTTTATAATTTGAATGCCCTTTACTTCTTTCACTCGTCTAATTGCTCTGGCTAGGACTACTACTATGATGTTAAGTAAAAGTTGTGAAAGCACATATCCTACTCTTCTTCCAGATCTTAGAAGAAAGGCTTTCAATTTGTACTCATTCAATATGATGCTACCTGTAGGTTTGCGGTTTATGGCTTTTATAATGTTGAGCTATGTTCCTTCTATACTCAGTTGTTTTGAGAGTTTTTAATCATGAAGAGATGTTAATGTTCTCAAATATTTTTCTCATCATCAAATAAAATAATCATATGGATTTTGTCCTGGTACTGTTGATAAGATGTATCACATTTATTGATTTGCATATGTTGAAAAATTTTTGCATCCATGAGATAAATCACATGTAATAATGATGAATGATCTTTTTAATATGTTGTTGAATTCAGATTGCTAAATTTTTGTTAAGATGTTTGTGTCTATGTTCATCACAGATATTGGCCTGTAGTTGTTGTTGTTGTTACTGTTGTTGTGTCTTTGGTTTTGGTATTCCAAACATAGTTGGAATACTATGTTTTGGAACATATTTCAACCATGTTTTGAATAGTTTCAGTAGAATTGACATTAGTTATTCAAATGTTTGGTAGAATTCAACAGTGAAAGTCTTCAGGTCCTGGGCTTTACTTGGATAGGAGAATTTTTATCACTGCTTTACCTCATTATTTGATAATGCCTCGTTCAGGTTTTGGATTTCTTCACACTTCAGTCTTATGGGCTATATATGTCTAGGTATCTGTTTACTTCTAGTTATTCTATTCCATTGGTCTATATGTCTGTTATATGTCTATATGTCTGTTTTATATATCATTATGATTTTGATTCACATTTCTCTGATGATTAGTGATAATGCACATTTTTTCGTATGCAGGTTGATTGTATGTCTTCTTTTGTGAAGTGTCTATTCATGTCTTTTGCCTGTCTTTTTTAGTGAGGTTATTTGTTTTTTGCTTGTTGACCTGTTTAAATTTTTCATATAATCTGGATATTAGACCTTTATTAAATGAATAGTTTGTAAATATTTTCTCCCATTATGTAGGTTGTCTTTGTACTCTCTGGATAGTTTTTTTTTTTTTCTGCAGAGGTTCTTTATTTAATTATGCCCCACATGTCAATTTTTGTTTCAGTTGCAATTGCTTTTGAGGACTTAGCCAAAAGTTCTTTGCCATGGCTGATGTCAATACATAATATCCTAGGTTTTCTTCAAAGATTTTTATACTTTGAGGTCTTCCATTTAAATCTTTGATCCACATTCCATTAATGTTTTTATAGGGTAAATTGTGACAATCCGGTTTCTTTCTTCTGCATATGGCTAGCCAGTTATCCCAGCACCATTTATTGAATAGGGAGTGGTTTCCCTATTTCTTGTTTTTGTCCATATTGTGAAAAATCAAATGGTTTTGTGTGGCTTTATTAATGAGTTTTGTTTTCTGCTCCATTCGTCTATCTGTCTCTTTTCAAACTGGTACCATGCTTTTTAAATTACTGTAGTCTTATAGTTTGAAGTTGGGTAGTATGGTGCTTTCGGCTTAGTTCTTTACTTTGGCTATTCTCACTTTATTTTGGTTCCATATAAATTTTAGAATAGTTTTTATCTAATTATGTGATGATTTTGGTAGTTTGACATGAATGTCATTGAATGTGTAAATTACTTTGGGCAATTTGGCCATTTTAACGATACTGATTTTTCCAACTCATGAGCTATCTTCCAACTCACGATAGTATATGGAATAATTTTATATTCTATTTCAAATAATTCTAATATTTGAAATAATTATATTAATATTTCTAGTCTCTGTTACTTTTGCTGATTTTCATACATGAAGTCTTGTTTCTCGGTAAACAGGAGCTGCCTATTAACCTTGGAATTTGATCTGTGGGAAGGCTTTGAGGCTAGTGTCAGTTTCTTCCAAGATGCTTTTCTAGCTTGAATTTTAACTGGAACTTCACATGAGTGCTGACTATGTTAATTCTGAGAGAATATATTTTTCTTCCACACAGGGACAAGTCAACAGAGGAAATTTTTCTTGCTATACATTTCCATGTAATGGAATTTATTTGTAAGAGTGAGGGTAGATTTGGGGAGTTGAACTTATGTGAATGCGTATGTGTAATGAGGGAAACTAGGGCAATCCATTAGGCTTTCCTACTTTCCCACCCTAAAACATACTGTGTATCTTCAGAATGAACCATTCAAGTTTTACTAAATTGTGTATTTCAGAATTCATGTTTTTACTTTGTTTTGGCAGTGTGCTGATTTTTATTTTCTTGCTTACTCAAAAGTGATTTGTAAAGGGAACAATTTTATATTTAACCCAGCCTAATGAAAAATAATCCCATAGTTTTAAATTTATGCAATCCCTGTTAGACCTTCGTTTTCTCAAATAAAATAATTTAGAAGTATTTCTATGCTAACACACAGATTTGGAGAAAAAAACTCTGAGCTATATCATGTAGCATTACTCTTCATTTAAAGTATTTCATAATATATTATGAACCTTGTCATAGTGTGTGCATACATTTATTAGTTTTTTTTTCTTATCATTTCTGGGTTATCTTGTAGAAAAGGACTTCCATTCTCTGAGACTATAATGTTACCTCTATTTTCTTAGAGTACTTTTATGACCCTGCTGTATTTTGTTGTTTCTGACTTTTTAAAAATTTGGCAGAAATTAATAGCATTAAGAATAGCTGGACTTGGAGGTGACCTACTGGGAGATTGAGGTAGGAGGATTGCTTGAAGCCAGGAGGTCGAGACTGCAGTGAGCTGTGTTGGTGCCACTGCACTCCAGCTTGAGTGACAGAGCAAGATTCTGTCTCAAAAAATAAAACAAAAACAAAAACCCAAAAAACAGTAGATTTCTTTTTTTACTTCACTGATAACATTTATTCTACCTATTTTAAAATTATTTGCCTATTCTGCTAAATAATGGTTTTGCTTTCTAATTTTTATGTACACAGCTTTCATCTAAATCCATGAACTGAGGTAGACTTCCACTCCAACTATTATCTTTAAGAATCATAAGGAAATGTGAACTAACAAACCAAAGGTTATACTGGGTATGAAAAAGATTAGCTAATTTAACTTCCTAACCAGTGGTGTGTAGCTGTAGCAGTGCTAGCAAACTAATACAAGAACTAATAATAACAAAGGTTTATTTTCTTACAGTTCTGATGGCTAGACGTCCAAAATCAGGGTTTGCCAGGTCTGTTTTTTCTTGAAGTTTTTATGGCCACCATCTTATATTCTCATATAGCTTTTTCTCTGCATATGGGCATTCCTGGTGTCACTTCCTCTTCTTGGAAGGACACTAGTCATAATGGATTAGAGACCCACCCTTGAACTCTTTAAGCTTAATTATCTCTAAAGGCCTTATCTTCAAATACAGTCAGGCTTCATATACAAATTTTAGGGGAGTACAATTCAATTCATAACACTGATTTTTAAAACAGATTATTTAAAGTTTGTGTTTAAAGTTTTAAAGGGTGCATAATATTAATTGGTTCATAAGTCAACTGAAAAAAATATTTGTAATACATAACACAGGAAAAAGGCTTAAATTACCTAAAATGCCCTAACAGTTACAAGTCAAGAAGATAAATGGCCAGATAGAAAATGAAATGATTTGTACCCTGCCCCAGAAAATGTCTGAGGGTAAATGCTAAATGATTAAGCAATTTTAGGGTGCTTCATACTAGAGACATAAGGACAATGAATTCAATGCAACTTTTTTTTTGTAATGGCAGAATTAGAACAATGCAAGATTGACTCATGAACTTTAATTTTTGCACATTTAAAAATATTTTATATATCTTTTAAAATATGCATGTATTTTCCACTTTTAGAAACTATATCAACTTTGCTAATACATGAGTGTAAAGTTTTGCTGCCAGTATTAGAAACATGATTCTTCCAATGGAAACCAGAAGCCTGACTGGTTTTAACATTCTCTTTAAAAACTTTATAGGTCTGCTAGTTATATGTTATTTCCTCAACATTCTATTATTTAGTTTTTTGAAATGTATACAAACACATATGTAGAATTTCTACTTATGCTCAACATTAGTGTAGAGATACAATCATGTATTTCCTTTTTATTTTTCCCCAAGTTCTATGACAGTTTTCCATCAGGTGACTATAGCATGACATTCTGTCAATTGACAATTGACTGTAATTTTTTTGTGGAATGCAGTGAACATTTGCTATGTGTCTCCTGTTCCAGAAGAACAATTGTATTTACAGGATATAAACCATTTATTTTCACCCAATAAGTATAGGTATAGGTATAGGTATAGGTGTGGGTATAGGTATAGAAATATGTATAGGTATAAATAATCTCATCTCAGAGACATTATACTAGTTTATACTTTCACGAGTAGGGTGTTATATTTCCCATTGTTCTGCAAACTATTCAATTCATTTACTGACTTTTATTAACAGTTGTATTGAGATATAATTTACATGCTTTAAAATTTACAGTTTCAGTCTACAACTCAATGATTGCTACACCTGTAATCCCAGCTCTTTAGGAGGCCAAGGTATATCACTTGAGCCCAGGAGTTTGAGGCCAGCCAGGGAAACAGAGAGAGACATCATCTCTACAACACAAACAAACAAAAAATTAAAACTGAAAAATAAAAAATAGTAGAAAAGAAAAGAAAAAAATAGCTAGGTTTGGTGTTGTGCACCTCTGGTCCCAGCTACTGAGAGGCTGAGGTAGGAGGATTTCTTGGGCTCATAAGGTCAAGGCTGCAGTGAGCTGTGTTGGCACCACTGCATTCCAGCCTGGAAGACAGAGAAAAACGCTGTGTCAAAAAAAAAAAAAAATCTTATATATTCTAGATGAGCCTGAGCCAGTTTTATATATTGCAGATATCTTCCTACAGTTTATGATGGTTTTCTCATTATCTTTTAATATCAGATAATGAATCGTAGATTTTAAATTTAATGGAAGTGAATATATTAATCATACTCTTTATAATTTTTCTTTATGTTCCTGAGGAAATCCTTTTCTACTATGAAATTAAAAAAAGGATTTTTATGCTGTCTTAATAGAAGCTATGGTTTTGCTTTTACTTTAAACATATAAATTTGTTTAAAATTATTTATTTTTTACAAAAATTACTGGACATGGTGGCATGTGCCTGTGGTCCCAGCTACTCAGGAGGCTGAGGTGGGAGAATGGCTTGAACCCAGGAGGCAGAGGTTGCAGTGAGCTGAGATGGCGCCACTGCACTCCAGCCTGGGCAACAAGAGTGAAGCTCTGTCTCTAAAAATAATGATAATAAAATAAATTATTTTTTGTGTGTATTTTGCAGAGTTGAGTCCATTTCTTTGCATTTTTTTCATTTTTTCCCTCCTTCCTTCTTCCCTGACTCCCTCTCAGCCTACCTATTTTCTTTTTTTCTTTTTCTTTTTATTATACTTTAAGTTTTAGGGTACATGTACACAACGTGCAGGTTAGTTACATACATGTGCCAGGTTGGTGTGCTGCATCCATTAACTCATCATTTAACATTAGGTATATTTCCCAACGCTATCCTTCCCCCCTCCCCCCACCCCACAACAGGCCCCGGTGTGTGATGTTCCCCTTCCTGTGTCCATATGTTCTCATTGTTCAATTCCCTCCTATGAGTGAGAACATGCAGTGTTTGTTTTTTTGTCCTTGAGATAGTTTGCTGAGAATGATGGTTTCCAGCTTCATCCATGTCCCTGCAAAGGACATGAACTCATCATTTTTTATGGCTGCATAGTATTCCATGGTGTATACGTGCCACATTTTCTTAATCCAGTCTATCATTGTTGGACATTTGGGTTGGTTCCAAGTCTTTGCTATTGTGAATAGCGCTGCAATAAACATACGTGTGCATGGGTCTTTATAGCAGAATGATTTATGATCCTTTGGGTATATACGCAGTAATGGGATGGCTGGATCAAATGGTATTTCTAATTCTAGATCCCTGAGAAATTGCCACACTGACTTCCACAATGATTGAACTAGTTTACAGTCCCACCAACAGTGTAAAAGTGTTCCTATTTCTCGACATCCTCTCCAGCACCTGTTGTTTCCTGACTTTTTAATGATCGCCATTCTAACTGGTGTGAGATGGTATCTCATTGTGGTTTTGTTTTGCATTTCTCTGATGGCCAGTGATGATGAGCATTTTTTCATGTGTCTTTTGGCTGCATAAATGTCTTCTTTTGAGAAGTGTCTGTTCATATCCTTCACCCACTTGTTGATGGGTTTGTTTGTTTGTTTCTTGTAAATTTGTTTGAGTTCATTGTAGATTCTGGATATTAGCCCTTTGTCAGATGAGTAGATTGCAAAAATTTTCTCCCATTCTGTAGGTTGCCTGTTCACTCTGATGGTAGTTTCTTTTCCTGTGCAGAAGCTCTTTAGTTTAATTAGATCCCATTTGTCAATTTTGGCTTTTGTTGCCATTGCTTTTGGTGTTTTAGACATGAAGTCCTTGCCCATGCCTATGTCCTGAATGGTATTGCCTAGGTTTTCTTCTAGGGTTTTTATGGTTTTAGGTCTAACATGTAAGTCTTTAATCCAGCTTGAATTAATTTTTGTATAAGGTGTAAGGAAGGGATCCAGGTTCAGCTTTCTACATATGGCTAGCCAGTTTTCCCAGCACCATTTATTAAATAGGGAATCATTTCCCCATTTCTTGTTTTTGTCAGGTTTGTCAAAGATCAGATGGTTGTAGATACGCAGCATTATTTCTGAGGGCTCTGTTCTGTTCCATTGGTCTTTATCTCTGTTTTGGTACCAGTACCATGCTGTTTTGGTTACTGTAGCCTTGCAGTATAGTTTGAAGTCAGGTAGTGTGATGCCTCCAGCTTTGTTCTTTTGGCTTAGGATTGACTTGGCAATGCGGGCTCTTTTTTGGTTCCATATGAACTTTAAAGTAGTTTTTTCCAATTCTGTGAAGAAAGTCATTGGTAGTTTGATGGGGATGGCATTGAATCTATAAATGACCTTGGGCAGTATGGCCATTTTCTCGATATTGATTCTTCCTACCCATGAGCATGGAATGTTCTTCCATTTGTTTGTATCCTCTTTTATTTCATTGAGCAGTGGTTTGTAGTTCTTGAAGAGGTCCTTACGTCCCTTGTAAGTTGGATTCCTAGGTATTTTATTCTCTTTGAAGCAATTGTGAATGGGAGCTCACTCGTGATTTGGCTCTCTGTTTGTCTGTTATTGGTGTATAAGAATGCTTGTGATTTTTGCACATTGATTTTGTATCCTGAGACTTTGCTGAAGTTGCTTATCAGCTTAAGGAGATTTTGGGCTGAGACGATGGTGTTTTCTAGATATACAATCATGTCAACTGCAAACAGGGACAATTTGACTTCCTCTTTCCTAATTGAATACCCTTTATTTCCTTCTCCTGCCTGATTGCACTGGCCAGAACTTCCAACACTATGTTGAATAGGAGTGGTGAGAGAGGGCATCCCTGTCTTGTGCCAGTTTTCAAAGGGAATACTTCCAGTTTTTGTCCATTCAGTATGATATTGGCTGTGGGTCTGTCATAGATAGCTCTTATTATTTTGAGATACATCCCATCAATACCTAATTTATTGAGAGTTTTTAGCATGAAGCGTTGTTGAATTTTTTCAAGGCCTTTTCTGCATCTATTGAGATAATCATGTGGTTTTTGTCTTTGGTTCTGTTTATATGCTGGATTACGTTTGTTGATTTGCGTATGTTGACCCAGCCTTGCGTCCCAGGGATGAAGCCCACTTGATCATGGTGGGTAAGCTTTTTGATGTGCCGCTGGATTTGGTTTGCCAGTATTTTATTGAGGATTTTTGCCTCGATGTTCATCAGGGATATTGGTCTAAAATTCTCTTTTTTTGTTGTGTCTCTGCCAGGCTTTGATATCAGGATGATGCTGGACTCATAAAATGATTTAAGGAGGATTCCCTCTTTTTCTATTGCTTGGAATAGTTTCAGAAGGAATGGTACCAGCTCCTCCTTGTACTTCTGGTAGAATTCAGCTGTGAATCCATCTGGTCCTGGACTTTTTTTGGTTGCTAAGCTATTAATTATTGCCTCAATTTCAGAGCCTGTTATTGGTCTATTCAGAGATTCAATGTCTTCCTGATTTAGTCTTGGGAGGGTGTACGTGTCAAGGAATTTATTCATTTCTTTTAGATTTTCTAGTTTATTTGTGTAGAGGTGTTTATAGTATTCTCTGATGGTACTTTGTATTTCTGTGGGATCGGTGGTGATATCCCCTTTATCATTTTTTATTGCATCTATTTGATTCTTCTCTCTTTTCTTCTTTATTAGTCTTGCTAGTGGTCTATCAGTTTGGTTGATCTTTTCAAAAAACCAGCTCCTGGATTCATTGATTTTTTAAAGGGTTTTTTGTGTCTCTATTTCCTTCAGTTCTGCTCTGATCTTAGTTTTTTCTTGCCTTCTGCTAGGTCTTGAATGTGTTATGCTCTTGCTTCTCTAGTTCTTTCAATTGTGATGTTGGGGTGTCAATTTTAGATCTTTCCTGCTCTGTTCTGTGGGCATTTAGTGCTATAAATTTCCCTCTACACACTGCTTTGAATGTGTCCCAGAGATTCTGGTATGTTGTGTCTTTGTTGTCGTTAGTTTCAAAGAACATCTTTATTTCTGCCTTCATTTCGTTATGTACCCAGTAGTCATTCAGGAGCAGGTTGTTCAGTTTCCATGTAGTTGAGCGGTTTTGAGTGAATTTCTTAATCCTGAGTTCTAATTTGATTGCTCTGTGGTCTGAGAGACAGTTTGTTATAATTTCTGTTCTTTTACATTTGCTGAGGAGTGCTTTACTTCCAACTATGTGGTCAATTTTGGAATAAGTGCGGTGTGGTGCTGAGAAGAATGTATATTCTGTTGATTTGGGGTGGATAATTCTGTAGATGTGTATTAGGTCTACTTGGTGCAGAGCTGAGTTCAATTCCTGGATATACTTGTTATCTTTCTGTCTCATTGATCTGTCTAACGTTGACAGTGGGGTGTCAAAGTCTCTCATTATTATTGTGTGGGAGTCTAAGTCTCTTTCTAGGTCTCTAAGGACTTGCTTTATGAATCTGGGTGCTCCTGTATTGGGTGCATATATATTTAGGACAGCTAGCTCTTCTTGTTGAATTGATCCTTTTACCATTATGTAATGGCCTTCTTTGTCTCTTTTGATCTTTGGTGCTTTAAGGTCTGTTTTATCAGAGACTAGGATTGCAACCCCTGCCTTTTTTTGTTTTCCATTTGCTTGGTAGATCTTCCTCCATCACTTTATTTTGAGCCTATGTGTGTCTCTTCACGTGAGATGGGTTTCCTGAATACAGCACACTGATGGGTCTTGGCTCTTTATCCAATTTGCCAGTCTGTGTCTTTTAATTGGAGCATTTAGCCCATTTATGTTTAAGGTTAATATTCTTATGTGTGAACTTGATCCTGTCATTATGATGTTAGCTAGTTATTTTGCTCATTAGTTGATGCAGTTTCTTCCTAGCCTCGATGGTCTGTACAATGTGGCATGTTTTTGCAGTGGCTGGTACTGGTTGTTCCTTTCTATGTTTAGTGCTTCCTTCAGGAGCTCTTTTAGGGCGGGCCTGGTGGTGACAAAATCTCTCAGCATTTGCTTGTCTCTAAAGTATTTTATTTCTCCTTCTCCTCTTATGAAGCTTAGTTTGGCTAGATATGAAATTCTGGGTTGAAAATTCTTTTCTTTAAGAATGGTGAATATTGGTCCCCACTGTCTTCTGGCTTGTAGAGTTTCTGCCAAGAGATCAGCTGTTAGTCTGATGGGCTTCCCTTTGTGGGTAACCCGACCTTTCTCTCTGGCTGCCCTTAACATTTTTTCCTTCATTTCTACTTTGGTGAGTCTGACAATTATGTGTCTTGGAGTTGCTCTTCTCGAGGAGTATCTTTGTGGCGTTCTCTGTATTTCCTGAGTTTGAACGTTGGCCTTCCTTGCTAGACTGGGGAGGTTCTACTGGATAATATCCTGCAGAGTGTTTTCCAACTTGGTTCCATTCTCCCCATCACTTTCAGGTACACCAATCAGACGTAGATTTGGTCTTTTCACATAGTCCCATATTTCTTGGAGGCTTTGTTCGTTTCTTTTTATTCTTTTTTCTCTAAACTTCTCTTCTCGCTTCATTTCATTCATTTGATCTTCCATCACTGATACCCTTTCTTCCAGTTGATTGAATCGGCTACTGAGGCTTGTGCATTTGTCACGTAGTTCTTGTGCCTTGGTTTTCAGCTCCATCAGGTCCTTTAAGGGCTTTTCTTCATTGGTGATTCTAGTTAGCCATTCGTCTAATTTTTTTTCAAGGTTTTTAACCTCTTTGCCATGGGTTTGAACTTCTTCCTGTAGCTCGGAGCAGTTTGATCGTTTGAAGCCTTCTTCTCTCAGCTCGTCAAAGTCATTCTCCGTCCAGTTTTGTTCTGTTGCGTGTGAGGAGCTGCTTTCCTTTGGAGGAGGAGAGGCACTCTGATTTTTAGAGTTTCCAGTTTTTCTGCTCTGTTTTTTCCCTATCTTTGTGGTTTTATCTACCTTTGGTCTTTGATGATGGTGATGTAGAGATGGGGTTTTGGGTAAGGAGCTGTCCCATCACTATTTATTGAAAACATTTTTTCCTGCATGCCTGCATCTTTGTCATTCATGAATTTCATTACATAAGTGGTTTTGTTTTTTTTCACTATCTTAACTGCTTTCCTTTATATTAGTTCTTGATATCTGGTAAAATAATATTCCTTCCTCTTGTATCTCTTCATCTGGAGTTCCTTGATTATTTTTGGCTCTTTGCTTTTCCGTATGGATTTTAGAATCACATATAAAGTTCTACAACAATTGTAAAGGTTTATGAAACTTGTGATTTTGAAATTTTAATAAGATTTATTTATTTATTCATTTATTTTTTATTTTTTTTAGATGGAGTCTCTCTCTGTCACCCAGGGTGGATTGCAGTGGCGTGATCTTGGCTCACTGCAACCTCCTCCTCCCGGGTTCAAGCAATTCTCTGCCTCAGCCTCTAGAGTATCTGGGATTACAGGCACCTGCCACCACGCCCGGCTAATTTTTTTGTATTTTTAGTAGAGACGGGGTTTCACCATCTTGGCCACACTGGTCTTGAACTCCTGACCCTTAATAAGATTCATAATTAATCTATAAATTGATTTTAGAGAATGGACATCTTTATGAATTTTGATCTTCTTATCTGTGAACAAGTTAGCTCTATTTACTTTTCTATTGTGGGTTTTAATACAATTTTGCAATTATAAGCATGAATAGATTATGTAACTTTTGTAAAAACTATTCCAAGTTTTTCAGTGGAAATTTAGTTTTTAAATTAAATCTTCGTTTACTTGTGCACAGAAATTTCAGTTGCTATGTTATAGTTTTGCATTCAGCAAAATTAAAACTTCTCTTCCTCATTCTGAAGATTTATCTGTATATTGTTTTGGATTTGTTACATAACATGATATCAGATAGATAGATAGATAGATAGATAGATAGATAGATAGATAGATAAACTCCTAAATCTTTGTTATTCTAAAAATTGTTTTTCTTGTTTAACTGCAGTAAAGTATTGTTGAATTAAAGTTGTCATTAGTACATACCACTGACTTTTTTTCGTCTTGATAAGAATGCTCTTACTATTTTAACATAAAGGTTACATTTGATGAAACTTTTTTGTTTGGAGTGCCTTTGTTGGTGTAAAGAAATTCTTTTCTATTTGTAGTTTACTAATAGAATTTCAAGATTATGAACAACTGTTTTTATTGCTTGAGATGATAGGATTTTCCTCTTTTTACCTTCTAATAAGGTGAACTTATCTACTTTTCAGTTTTAAGCTATCATTTCATTACTATAATGAGTCCAACTTTTTCATATCTTTTGTTAAAATATTACTAGATTTAGTCAGATAATCATTTTAACTGTAACAGCATCTATTTTTGAGTATGATTGACTTTTAATTTGATTTCTATTTCAATAATATACTTTTTCTTGATTATATTAATTATTCAAGTTGTCTTAGTTTTACTCTACCCTTTAATTTCTCAAGTTGCATGGTTGTGGTACAGCCCTCCTTTGCCCAAGAGTAAGAGTCTCTGAGGGCCAGACTACTATGAGTGCTGCTGCTCCTCTAGACCTGGCCACCCAGTAGGGCTGTCACACCCCAGACTGGTGCTAGGGAATGTCTGCAAGGGATCCAGTGATATGACCTGTCCTCTAGTCTCCCATCAGTGGATACCAGCACCAGCTCTGACAGGGGTGGCAGGGGAGTTACATAGACTTTGTGAGATTCCTTGGTTATTGGCCTTAGCAATGTTGACTTTCTCAAATGCCAGCTGTGGTAGTAACGTACTGGCATGTGGACAAACTCAGGACCTCCTGGTTACCCAAAGTGATGCAGGTAATAGTGATAGCTGAGGTCATGCAGAAGTGTTTTCCTTCTTGGGGTTGTGTTATTATGCCTGCAGATGCTGTAATGGACTGTCAGTTGGCCTCTAGCCAAGAGGTGGCACTTGCAAAAGAGCTCCAATTGTAGTGGTAGAAGTGAGTTTTGTGCTTGCCTTATGTTACCCAGGAGTAGTACTCCGGGGGGCGGGGAAGGGCATGGAGCTCCCCAAATTCTCTGTCCTTTCTGTTAAGCCACCAGGGCAGGTGCAGGAGCAAGAACACGAGGCTGGGTCAGTCAAGTCTGTGCTCTGGCTCCCCCTATGTAGGCATGAGTAGTGGTCACAGTGAGGATCAGAGGGAAGCTCTCTGGCTGTTGGGGTAATGTTCCAGGGAGAAGTGCAGCCGCCTCTGCTGCACAGAAGAATCCACATGGGGAGTATGTGTAGCAGCAGGAAGTAAACCTCACCTGGCTCCTACATGCTTGGCAAGGCAGTTCTCACATTTGCAGTATTCCACTAGCATCAGGTAACTGGATTCCAGGCACACTCCTCTCAAAACTCAAAAATGCCCCAGGTCATAAGCCTTCCCCACTGAGATGGTTTAGATCTGTGTCTCTGCCCAAGTCTTATGTCAAATTGTGATCCCCAATGTTGGAAGTGGGGCCTGATTGGAGAGGATTGGATCATGGGGGTAGAGTATTCATGAAAGGTTTAGCGCCATCCTCCCTTGGTACTCTTCTTGTGATAGTGAGTGAGTTATCACGAGATCTGTTTTTTTTTTTAAGTGTATAGCACCTTTGCCCTCACTCTCTCTCTTGCTCCTGCTCCCATCATGCAAAACAACCTGCTGCTCTGTTGCCTTCTGCCATGATTAGATGCTTCCTGAGGCCTCCCCAGAAGCAGAAACCACTATGCTTCCTGTACAGCCTATGGGACCATAAGCCAATTAAACCTCTTTTTAAAAAAATAAATTACTCAGTTTCAAGTATTTCTTTATGGGAATAAGAGAAAGGCCTAACACACCCACTGAGATGGAAACTGTGGCTTTCAGGCCATGCTCCTCTAAAGTAGGGATGTCCATCTCTTGTGCCTGTGGCCATAGCACACTTCCTACTCATTCCTCAATTCTGGCCAAAGGGAGTTTGTCCCCACTCAAAATTGTACTGTGATTCTCAGTTGGGAGCTCTCTCAACCTGTGACCACAACCTGAGTTAGTTGACAGACTTCCGCAAGGTCCCTTGTGATATAGGATTAGGAGTGACTTTTCTCTGTCCCTGCTGGAGTCTGGGAGTGCACACAAACCATGTCCAGATGCTGCTCTTTCTCATGTGTTTCCCACTGCTCACTAAAGCAGCTCCAGTACTGGGTAGGGTTAAGGCATTTCCCCGTGGTCTGGATTGCCAGGTTTCCCAGTGGGTGTATATATCCCAGAGGCAGTTTCTCCCCACTCACACTCTGGGGACTCATGGTTTTTCACCTGGCTCACAGGATAGGCTGCTGCCCACCACTTTTTTCAAAGGGTTTATGGTTACTTTTATTTTTCTGTTAAGTTTCTGTGTTGCTTCTTGTAAACAAATTCACAGTGTGTCTCTCTATTCACTATATTGTCTTTTCAAGTGGGAGAGGCATGCTAGCAATGCCTCTGATTTGCTGTCCTGGGGAAGAAACTTATCTGGCATTTAACTGAAGAGAGAAAATGAATGTTTAATTTGTCAGTAGTTGTAGTTATAGTTTAATTTTGGTTGATTTATTATTGTGAAATTACACTTACACATTACTTCTTTTTCACTAACAAAAAATCCTCCCTCCTTCCTTCCTTTCCCAGGCCCCACTCTACTCCCTCTCTTCTTCCCTTTCTCCTTTTCTCCATCTCTCTCTCTTCCTCTCTCTCTCTCTTTCTTTATTTCTACCTCTTTCTTCCCTTTTTCTCACTTTTCCTTGCTTTCCTCTCTCTCCCTCCCTGCTTGCCTGCCTTCCTCCCTTCCTCCCTTCCTTCCTTCTTTTCTTCCTTCCTCCTTCCTTTCTTCCATCCTCTTTAATTTCTCCTTCTTCTTAATATATAAACATGATAAGTATTCTAGAAGACCTAATTCAGTTTTTTCTTAACAGCTTATCAGGAAATTACTGGTAGCTTTTTTTTCTCCTCAGCAAACATATAAGCTAATTTCCTCCATCCAACTTGTTACATTTTCTCCAGGAAGACCCACTACGTTATGTGAGACTATGGGGAAAGCTGAAATTTGGTTAATCCGAACATATTGGGATTTTGAATTTCCTCGTCCATACTTACCTAATTTTGAGTTTGTTGGAGGATTGCACTGCAAACCTGCCAAACCTTTACCTAAGGTAGGTCTACAACAGTGGAGGATTTTATGCTCTTCATAATAAAATACTTAATTTTCTTTTAAAGTTTATAGCCTCAATAACAAATAAATGCTGCTGGACATTTCAGTTTGCTACTCCACATCTATTTTCCTTGTGATAGAGGTCTCCTACAAGTGATATTAGGTGTTTTGAACTTTACATTGACAATTTAAACTGAAGAATAAAATGATTAAAGCTGTGTGTTACAAATATCAGTGTGTCTACACCTTGATACTGGACTTGGTGGGACAGAAAACCAGATCATAGAAATTACGAAGGATACTGCCCTAGTCTTACCAAGCCACATAGCATTATGAACAGTAATATTTACCAAATTTCTTGAGAGATAAAGATGTCTTCATGAAAACTGTTGGGTGAATTCCATTTAACTTGGTGAGTAAGAGGTCATTATTGAAGAAAGACAATGAAATAAGGCAGGGCTCTTAGGTTTTAATCTTGAGAATTTATTAGACAGTTGTGCCATCTACTGTTAGGAAACAATTGGTTAAAAAAAAAACTCTTTTGAGTTGACAATGGTGAGTTTAGTTTCTGACCTATTTACTGTAAGGAACAAAAAGGAGTTTTGGTAATTTCTAGAAATCATTTAGGTAGTACAAAGTGTAAATTCAAGCAGGAAGCATTAGAAATAGATTCAGATTCATCAGCATAAAGTAGCTATTATAAAACTGAGAGATACAAATGTTGTATTGGTTCTTTATAAATATAGTGTCAGGTTTTATGGCATGAGAAGGAAATTGTATGCTACAATATGAAGTCTTCAGAAAAGAAATGTGGAATATAAGAAATGTTATACAGAAAAAGTGTTGAGAAGCAAAATAGAGTACAGGTACACATGGTAGGAACAATGTATTTAACTATCAATAAGGAGTGAGGAAACAGGCTATTATTTACTTGGTTTATACACAAGCAAATGTAATCTTTTTAGAAAGTTGCAGGTTCCTATAAGAGTACTAAATTTCTGTTTATAGTAACAGACATATTTAAGTTTAAAATTTTATTTCAGGATTCTAAAAATTTTATTTCAGGATTTTCTGGCCAGTCAAGTTATGGCTGCAGGCAAGCTCTAGTGAATGTTTATTATAGGAAATAATGTACCAATATCTAAATAAAGACACAGAAATATTCATGACGTATCCATAGGTCACTGGATAATGACCCATGACACCCTATTATGTTTTTCCTCCCAAACCCACTTTTTACACAAACACACACATATACACATATTCTCACAATTTCACAAAGACAAATCAGCCATGTTTTACAATAGCAGACATTATGCCATTATGTATTCAATCAATATAAATATCGATATAGGCTTTGGGAAATATGAATACCAACCATGGGTTATATTGCTGATGAAATAATTACGCCAATCACTGGGTACACAGAATACAAAAACAACAAGAGACTGTCAAATGAAAAATCCATATCAGTATGATAGATGTGTACGTTTGTGTGTATGTGTATGTTTGTGTGTGTGTGTGTGTGTGTTATTTTAATGAATTAATATCTGTTTGGAAAATAAATCAAAATGGCAAAGCACCAATTCCTGGGACTTCAGAAATATTCTCCTGACATTAACTAAGCCAAAAATAGCAATCTATTTTCACTTAAGATATCACCCTCCCCTAGTTATTTGGCTAGTCATAAAGTGATACATCAGTGATTCCAGTGTGATCCCAACAAATATTTGCACAGGGAATGCAGGATACATCTGTAGAAAGTAGCATTCATATAGATATGATGTGAAAGGCCTTAATCTCAGATTTTGCAGTGTCAAATTTGCAAAACTATAAGTAATTACCTAAGGAATTTTATTGGCAGACAAATTTATATTTTAATTTTGCTTTAAGGCTCAAATTAAGGGCACATAGCTAACATCACACTCATGGCAGCTTATACATCAAGAAGAAAGAGATGCACTGTCTCATACGCATCATTGTGATTACAGTTGGAGATGCACTTTGTTATCCTGTTCTAAAATATGTTACAATTAGATGCCATTTTAAACAAATTTTTTCTTAGACCTATGAATCAAAGGAGGCATACAGTTGAGAAAATGATCTTGAATGCTTAACAGGAACCGATAAATTTATTAATAATTTTATTAGATATAACTGGAATGCTAACAATTTTAAAAGCCTAGCTCAGTATCCTTTGTTGGGCTTCCCTCCAAAAACTGTTTTTATGAGTTTGCAAACAACCCTGTTGATTGGTTAAATTAAGCCTTGGGGGTAACAATTTCAGTTAGCATGAGAAGAGTTGTCCCTTATTTAGTGTTCATTTCTGTAATGGTTTTGCTTTCATGCTTGGACTTGTAATCACTGATTATATATTTAAGTTATACATTTCAGAGACGTGTTTCCTCTTAAGGAGACTATTTCTGACTGGGCACAGTGGCTCATGCCTGTAATTCCAGCACTTTGGGAGACCAAGGCAGGTGGATCACTGGAGGCCAGGAGGTGGAGACCAGCCTGGCCAACATGGTGAAACACCATCTCTACTAAAAATACAAAACTCAGCCAGACACGATGGCATGAGACTATAATCCCAGTTACTCAGGAGGCTGAGGTGTGAGAATCACTTGAACCGGGGAGGTGAGGTTGCAGTGAGCAGAGATCATGCCACTGCGCTCCAGCCTGGGCGACAGAGCGAGACTCTGCCAAAAAAAAATATAGAAACTAGATCTTTCTACATGTCAGAAGACAGACAGTTCAACAGTTTCTCTGACATATATCTTAATTTTACCTACTTAAATGTGTAAGTAAACTTATTTTTTCTTATGATGCTACACCTTTGTAATAGAAAATATATTATGTATGCAGGAAATGGAAGAATTTATCCAGAGCTCAGGTAAAAATGGTGTTGTGGTGTTTTCTCTGGGATCAATGGTCAAAAACCTTACAGAAGAAAAGGCCAATCTTATTGCCTCAGCCCTTGCCCAGATTCCACAGAAGGTCAGTACAGCCTGGAATCCTGGTACACAGCTTTTTACTAATGGGAGAGACAATGCAGCTAGTAATGTTCTTTCCATATGAAAATCAAAACTCATTATACACTGAGTATCACTAGTAACAGTTGTAAGTAACGTTGTGTAATATATTAAAATTGTGTACATTAGCACATTGAATCATTTGCCTACTGAGCCTTGGCATTATTTTAGAAACACATACTTTTTTGAAGTCATTTATTTTTAATGGAATAGAAATGAAAACTTTAAGCCCCTACTGACCTTTTACTATTTGAAATTTTTTGTTCTCCACTGACTACTTTCAAAAGTTTTGAAGTTTGTTAGCTCCATGGTCCAGGAAAAGAGAGTGTAAACACAAAGCAGGGAGAAATTATGCTAAAAATATAATTCGAATGTCTAGGTTTTATTACAACTCTATCAAAGTGTAGTTGGTTTAGAAGTAGAAGCCTCAATTCACTTAGCCTTTCTAAGTTGAATATTCTCTAGCTAAAAACAATTAAAATTCAAATATTATAGTCCAACAACATGCAATTTCTGACTTATGTTATTCAATTAACCTTAATTTTTATCTCTACAATTTTGCATTTCTATTCTTTTTATACTTCTATTCATGACACATCCTAGGACTCTTTATATTTATGTATTGTTTAAAGCACATAACACTCTTCATGATTTTTCCCCTTCATGTTGTGATTGATTAAACTGGTACTGTTTACGTTCTATTTCTTCACTTAAAATCTAACTTCCAAAAGCTTTTAAGTGATAAATATCAAAACAATAATACTATACTTGGTAGACTATTAGTACAAGACTTTACAAAAAGGTACATATAAACAGTCCTACTACGTATCTCAACGTTTGTAAACTACTGCTTATGTAATTCCCGTCTTCCAAGTAGCTGGCTAAATGATTTCTAAATAATTCTCCCAACTTAAAATGTCCTCATTGTGTTTTTCCTTGCAAAATTAAAGCACCATTTTCCACAGGTTTTATGGAGATACAAAGGAAAGAAACCAGCCACATTAGGAAACAATACTCAGCTCTTTGATTGGATACCCCAGAATGATCTTCTTGGTAAGACTGTGGGGAAAGAAAAGCTGTACAGTGGGACAATAGACAAGTTAAGTAACTGTTTAATAGCAAATAAATTCAATACATTTTTAATAATTTAAAATGTTATTTGACACTCAATTTTAAAGCAGATATAATTACATAATTGGCCATTAATTTTATAGACTCAGGCTTCCTCTGGTTCACAAAAGAGCATTTTCAGTTAACATTAATCACACTTCAAGTTTCATTTTCAGTTCAGATATCATCTCCTCAGTAATATATTCCCAGAAAATGCAAATGCTGTTAATTACTGCTTTTCCTGGGATCACAGTTTTCTGACATTCCAATGCCCTATGTGATCTGCTTTTGTAGAAAACGTATCCTTCTTTAGAGAGTTACATTACAGCTTTTTGACCCCTTCTGTCTCTCAAATTCTGCTAATGTGTTATTATTACACACCCACTTCTCACTCCATCCTCAAATTAGGACATCCCAAAACCAAAGCTTTTATCACTCATGGTGGAACTAATGGGATCTACGAAGCTATTTACCACGGAGTCCCTATGGTGGGAGTTCCCATGTTTGCTGATCAGCCTGATAACATTGCTCACATGAAGGCCAAAGGAGCAGCTGTGGAAGTGAACCTAAACACAATGACAAGTGTGGATTTGCTTAGCGCTTTGAGAACAGTCATTAATGAACCTTCGTAAGTACTAAGGCTCCTAAAAACTTGCCTAACTTTAATTACATTATTCATAATACCAGAAAATGTACATTCTTTTATACTTTTGTAATTATTTTCCAATAACAACCATAACCTGACCAATATAAAAACTATTTTATTTGCCAAACTGCTAAAGTGATTTGCTGAAATCAGAAAAATAAGAAAATCCTAAGACTTCAAATATTGGCCGGGCGCAGTGGCTCAAGCTTGTAATCCTAGCACTTTGGGAGGCTGAGGGTGGCAGATCACAAGGTCCGGAGATCGAGACCATCCTGGCTAACACGGTGAAACCCTGTCTCTACTAAAAATACAAAAATTTAGCCGGGTATGATAGTGGGCGCCTGTAGTCCCAGCTACTCAGGAGGCTGAGGCAGGAGAATGGCGTGAACCCGGGAGGTGGAGGTTGCAGTGAGCCAAGATTGTGCCACTGCACTCCAGCCTGGGCAAAAGAGCAAGACTCAGTCTCAAAAAAAAAAACAAACAAAAAAAAAGACTTCAAATATTATTTCAATATTTTTCAAAATAAAGAATGCTATGATTATATAAATTCTCATTTTTTCTGGATAATCTGCTTAATATTATAAACTAATTAGTAAGTATGTACATATTATAAACTAATCAGTAAATACAAAATTGAAATGATAATACGCTCAGTAATAAGCATTCAGAAATAACTATTCACACTGAGTATATACCATTCGATACCTTTAATTAGTATATGTATACACACAGAGAGAAAAGATATAGGGTAGTGGATAATTTTTTAAATATTGATTTGTACTATGTGATATTTTAAATAAAATTTAAGTATAATTTTATCTGATTCAGCTTTTAGATTGAAATGAATCTATAAAATATATTGAGTTATGTATACATAGCTTAGTATATTATATATATAAGTCTATATATATAGCTTAGTAGATAGTGTGTGTGTATATATATTGTGTCTTATTTTTTTCTCTGAAAGATCTCACCAAAGTAATATGATATATGTATATGTAATTTTGAGTCTTTATTTTTGATGATGTGTTTTAATTTTAGCTACTTATAGTTGAACTCCTGCTTTGAAATGTATCTCTATTTCATTCCAAATTTATATTACTTATGTTGTAATTTTACTTTACCAATATTTATGTCATTTTTTTCTCACATTTACTCTGTTTCCTATATTTTAAGGGACTCAGTGTTCACCGTTGAATTAGAGATTATTTATTCCAAAATATTTAGGATTTATTTCTTGACTGATTATCTCACATGGAATTTTCTTTCAATAAAGACTTGGATATTGAATTCTCTGAGATAATGTTTAGCAATATTCACTCACTGCTTTGTTATGAGAATGACTTTTATCTGAATACAATATATTTAGCTCTTGCTTTCTTTCCTTCAGACCTGTGGAAATATTACTTATGGCCTTCCAGTTTAAATTGTGCTATATGATTTCTGAGTCCTGCCTGACTGTTGTATCTTTTTGCTTTCTTTTCAACTTGGAAAAAGAAATAGTTACTTTTTAAAATTCAGAAACTCAGTTATGGTGTATTCTTACAAATTATTTTATATATTTTTCTTCAATTATACTGTGTCTTTACAACAATGTTAATCTAAGATAAAAAATTATCCAGTTTTTCTTTTCAGAAATTAATTTTTTTTGTATTATTTCTTTGAATGCCTTTTATTTCCATTTTTTATCTTTACTTCTGGAGCACCAGTTTAGTCTTCCCTATGATAAAGTATTTTGGTATGTTTTCCTCTCTTATTTCCTGTCTAATTGTTCTAATCAATTTTTACTATTATTAATTCATTGAGATTGCCTCCAATAGTTCACAAATTAGTAAATTTATTATTTTTACCATGAGCATTGCTTGCTGTTTCTAATTTCTTTATTAATTCTTTCAACTGTCATTTTTAACAACTTGTATCATCAGCTCACCTATCTCCTTATCACTTCCTCTTGCTTTGTAAGTCAATTTTGATATCATATTCATTACCCTCCCGCTATTATTGTATTTTGAATCTCCTCTTCTTTGGACTATATGCAATACCTAAATGCATTTTTAGTTTCTCATTTATTTTTCAATATGTGTAAGTGGTTATCAGGCTGTTATTTTTTCTCGGTCTTGGTGTTTGCTCTGAATTTGTGTGGGTGCTTTAAACTTGCTTTATGTTGTATTGGACTTAATTGTTTTCATGTAGAGTCCAAGCTTGAAGAATAGCTTTAATATTTCATTCACTTTTCCTGAAGGCTGAGATTCAGGAGAGGAGAAGGTAAA
The DNA here is from genome assembly GCF_000001405.40 of Homo sapiens. Lineage (NCBI taxonomy): Eukaryota > Metazoa > Chordata > Mammalia > Primates > Hominidae > Homo > Homo sapiens. Next base: position 69,592,188 of record NC_000004.12, on the reverse strand, counting down.
CTCGGATGGAATTTAGTGCTTTTTCTTAACGGAAGTAACCTGCTTAAAAACATCTATTCAGTGACCTTTGCCAGGCATTTTAGACACGAGGGCTAATGTATTCATTTCAAAAAAGAAAGACACTCAACAGTTGGTTTAGATTCATACCAAGACTCAGCCCTGGTTGTCCACTTTTGCTCCCCATCCACATTCCAATTAATTGACTTTTATTAATACGTACATGTTGTATAAGTCATAATTTTAGAAATCATAATTCATGAGCTAAGTGGTGGGTTAGGAGCTTCAGCAAGGCTCAGTATGATCTTTTTTTGACTTTAATGACTAGTCAATTAGACTATTACAAAGTTGTTAGTTGCTGACAATTTTGTTCATTTTATTAATTATCAGTGTAGGTACAGTCTGTGATTCTCTTTAACTCTAATGCTTAAAATGATGGTTAAATTTTATTATTGACTTGAAAACTGTAAACCAAAAATAAAAATTCTAAGCTTCTCACCCAACCATCCAAATGGACTTCCTCCTCAGCCAGAGGAAGTTAAAATTTAACCTGAGAGTCTGTTTCAGGCCATGATGGGAAATGAGGGTCAAATATGCCTTAGTATACCTCTCTGGCATTAGCATCAACACAGACTTTCAGTCTGATAAGAAACGTTTCACAACCTATTCTCTCTGAAGCCTACTACCTGAAGGCTTCCTCTGCAAATAAGGACTTGGATCTCCACAATCCTTTATCTTAACCCAGGCATTCCTTCCCTTTGATCCCAGGTCTTTAGAGAAACTCAACCAATTGTCAACCAGAATATGTTTAAATTTACCTATAGCCTGGATGCACCCCCACTTCAAGTTGTCCCACCTTTCTAAACCAAACCAATGTATTTCTTAAACATATTTGATTAATGTCTTATGCCTTCCTAAAATGTAAAAACCAAGCTGCACCCCAGCCACCTTGGGCACATATACTCAGGACTTCCTGAGGGCTTTATCATGGGCCATGGTCACTCATATTTTGCTACAAATAAATATCTTCAAATATTTTAGATTTTGATTCATTTCATTGACAAAACTATTGATGCAAAAAAATGAGAACTATAAATACTGTTAGAAATTTCTAAATAAATGCCTAAAAATTATTTAATTTAAAGTAACTTCACTTTAACCCTAAACCAAATACCACCTCTGGGAACACAAGGTATAGTGTAGAGTATATATATGGATGTGTTTGTACTCCATTCTGTTATTCATTAAAGCAATTAATAAACATTAACAATTACATTTGAATAGACCATTGTAATTTAATTATTCAGAATATTTTAACATATCAGTCATAAAACATTAGTGTATAATAAAACATGAAATAATAAATTTATGAGCATGGTCTTTGTCCCACATCATTTATAGGAAAACATGCTTTCTTCTTCTTATTTTTTGATTCACATGTACAAATTTATTTATTGCCTAAAGTATATTCGGATGATCCATGTGAAATTACTTACTTATATTCTTTTTCACTAGACAGACAGACACACAAACACACACACACACACACACACTCAACACATGTAAACTACTCCTGCTGCTGAATCTAGTTGTACCATGTTCTCTTGTAAATGATGACCATGTTCCCCATTCCCCAGTCCTAACAATGTCCTGCCAACACCGGGACATCTCTGCACAAACCATTTACCTTCGCTCATCTTCATGAATCCAGGCTGGAACTTTTCTTCCAGACACAAACCAAAATGAAACCTACTAATTTTGGTTTAACAACTAGGGAAACTGCAAGTGAAGACACAGTTTGCCTTTTAAATATGTAGATATCCACCCAATATTGTTTGAGAAGCCATTAGAACTGTTATCTCTGTTACTATCTCTATTGTGATGGCAAGTTGATTTAGAGCTCTAATTCTAGGGAGATGTTTCAATTGAAACATCAAAGTTCATGTACTTGGATATGCCACTTCTTAAATCACCAGAGTATTTTTGTTCAGTCTTCATGTTACAGATACAGACACTGTCCTTTTCGTCACAAACATACAGATGTGTGCCACAGAGTAATTATCACAATGCCTACATCTTAGAACTGTAAAATGACTCACTAATGCTGACTGCCAATTTCCTTTGTCTGTCATATGAACTAGCCAGACACTAGAGGATATGTTTATGTATGTCTTAAATGATTTTTATCCCACAGTATTAGGTTATGTACCATCTTGGTATTGGAACCATCCTACAGTATAGCTCACACAGTATCAAAATTATTTTTGGAAAAATTATGCTAAACATCTATATTTACAACTGGCTTACTCTACTTTTTTATGTCTACATTTGATCATACTGTGTTAAGCATATATTTCATCCATATCTTCCTTTTTGTAACTCTTAAAATCCTATACAACTAACAAAGTTCATGCAAGAATTATATTTTCTCCACGTAACTATGGCCTTAAACTTGTAGAGCAAAAGTGTATCACATATTTATCTTCAATGAAAATAAAAACAAAAATTGTCTAATTTCTGCCTATTTATTTGTCTTCTAGTTATAAAGAGAATGCTATGAGGTTATCAAGAATTCACCATGATCAACCTGTAAAGCCCCTGGATCGAGCAGTCTTCTGGATCGAGTTTGTCATGCGCCACAAAGGAGCCAAGCACCTTCGGGTTGCAGCCCATGACCTCACCTGGTTCCAGTACCACTCTTTGGATGTAATTGGGTTCTTGCTGGTCTGTGTGACAACGGCTATATTTTTGGTCATACAATGTTGTTTGTTTTCCTGTCAAAAATTTGGTAAGATAGGAAAGAAGAAAAAAAGAGAATAGGTCAAGAAAAAGAGGAAATATATATATTTTTAAGTTTGGCAAAATCCTGAGTAGTGTAGTCCTATTAATTCCAGACAAAAGGAGTTTAACAAAAACACGTCTCCCATCCTGTTTCCAAATTTTCTATTTCTCTACCTGCGATAAGCCTACTGATAAAGCCTAGATTTTGGCATGATTATTATTAACTTGTGAGTTATAGTCTTCTATTTTTCCTTTGTCTCTCCCTGCTGACTATACCCTCTTCCTGTCACTTTTCTGACACAAGGATACTACCTAATTTTAAATATGTTCTATTCATAGTATCAAATTATTTTATCGTTAACCTTAATTAATGATTAACAATATGCTGAATCCTGGTAATGCATACAGTGTAGATGGAATTTGATAGGTGTAAGGAAGAGTCAAATTCACAAATTTCCATATACCAAACAAATCAGGGAGCCACCGTAGGAGAGTAGTGTGTTATGAGAAAGGTAATGATTTCCTTTTTTAATAAAAACAAACTCTTCTGCTTGCTCAATGTTTCAGGAGTTAGAGAATGAATTTTAAGTGTGACGTGCGTCCCTATTAAATGTCTACAAAATTTTCATTAAGCATATCTAGAAAATCACGGCATAACTTGCCTGCCTTTCTTCAACATATATTCTTATATAACCTGTAGTGGAAGATTTGGGTACTGTCTTTAATAAATCAATCAATCGACTCTTTTATTTCAAGGAGAAAGTTCTATGTTATATGTTGAAGGTGAACAGATCATATTTAGAGGATATAACAATTAGAAATCTAGAAAATAATTATCATTTTTATAAAATTTTTAGTCAACTGTACAAATAATTACATAAAACATCAATTAATTATGCTTAAAAATCACTAATGTTCATAATATATAATCACTATTTGTAATCAAAAGTTTAATTTTATGCCAAAAAATAAAAAATGCTTACTTGGAATTTGATATCATTGCATTATTTTTGTCTTTATCTTCCACAAATTTTAATTTATCAATTAATTGTTATGCTATGTATATAAAAGACTAAGAGCTTCACCAAGGATATGGCATAATAAATGTTTATCAACGGAAAGCATAGTTGAAGGCAAATACTTTTACTTGATTCAGCCTTGCATTAATTTAATAAATATATTAAAGATTTTGCTTTCTTTACCCTTTATAAATTTAATGACATTTCTAGCTAAAGTGTTAATTTCAATATTTGAAATTGAGAAGATAAATTACATTCGTTGCCTTAGTGATATTTTTGAAATTCTTCTTTCTTTCACTGTTTCTTTTTTCAATTTTATGTTATTTTAAGTTCCAGGATACATGTGCAGGTTTGTTACATAGTAAACGTGTGCCATGGTGGTTTGCTGCACCTATCTGCCCATCACCTAGGTATTAAGCTTAGCATGCATTAGCTATAGGCATATAGCTAGGCATATACTCAATTTTAATAGTTTGTAAAATCTAGAAATATAGCCAAACATAGAGTCAATTGATATTTGACAAGAATGCAAAACTATACAATGGAGAAAAAACAATATCTTTAACAAATACCAGTGGACAAACTGATTATCAGTATTCAAAAGAATAAAATTGAACCCCTTACCTCAAGTCATATATAAAAATGGACTCAAAATAGATTAAAAAAAAACTAAATGTAAGATCAAGAACTATAAAACTCTCAGCAGGAAGAATATGGGTATAGCTTTCTTTCTAACCCTGAATTTTGCAAGGTTTTTAGATATGACACCAAAAGCAGAAGCAATCAAATTAAAATTGATAAATTGGACTTCACTGAAATCAAAATTTTTGTACATCCAAACACCAGCACTAAAGTCTGAAGAGAAACCAGACTTTGGAGGATATAGTTGCAAATTACATACATGGTAAATGACTTGTGTAAGAAATTTATAAAGAAAGCTTACAGCTCAATGATAAAAAAAAAATGACCCAATCCAAAAATGTGCATAAGATCTGAACAGGCATTTCTCTAAGGAATATGTAAATGTCCAATGAGGACAAATGAGCAAATGTAATGTCCAATAAGAACAAATGAAAAAATGCTCTGCATCATTAAGTTCAACATTATTACAGGAAAATTTAAGTAAAAACCACAATGAGATACCACTTCACCCTCACTAACATGGCTATTATCAAAAAGATAAGTAATTAAAAGTGTTGGCAAGGATATGGAGAATTTGGAATCTTCATACTTTGCTTGTGTGTATCAAAAATTATTCAGGCACTTTGAAACAATCTGCCAGTTTATTAAAGTTTAAACAGAGTTACAATATGACCCAGCAATTCTACCTCTAGTAATATACCAGACACAAATGGCAATAGGTCTATACAAAATTAATACATGCATGTTGATAACATCTTAACCAAAACTGGAGAGAAAACTACAGTTCATCACTGATAAATGAATAAACAATATGTTTTAGAATATTATTTGGCAATAAAAATAATAAAGTCTTGATGCATGCTATACCATTAATGAGACTTTTTAAAACATTATACTAAGTATAGATGCCAAACAACAAAGATCCTTCATATAACAATATGTCCCTTCATATGAAATGCTCTTAATAGGAAAATTGATAGAGATAAAAAATAAGTTAGTGTTTGCCTAAAATGCAGGATAAGGAATGGCTAAGGGTACAGTGTTTCTTTTGGTGGGTGATAAAATACTCTAAATCTTGTTGTTGCAGTTGTTGAAAAATTCTATGAATATACGATGAACCACTGAATTGTATATTAAAAACTTTTTTTTTGGAAGACAGGATTGCAATCTCCACCCTTTGCAGCCTCAACCTCCTGGACTCATGCCATCCTCCCACCTCAGCTTCCCAAGTAGCTGGGACTGCATGTGCACACTACCACAGCCAGCTAATTGTTCGTTTTGTTTTTGTTTTTTTTTTGTAGAGACAAGGATTCACTGTGTTGCCCATGTTGATATCAAACCTCTGGGTTTAAGTGACCCACCTTCCTGGGTTTCACAAAGTACTGGGATTACAGACATGAGCCATTGCACCCAGCCATTGAATTGTACACTTTAAATTGATAAATATGTGAATTGTATGTGTACAAATTTTTTACACACAAAAGTATCTTGAACCGTGACATCTAAGAAATGGTAATTCAGCTGTATAATTACTTTATCTCCAGTTCTGTGTCAAGGGGACTGCAGACCAAGAAGTCTCCATTTCTCACTGTACTTGACACTTCACAAACCTCTTATATGACTTAGGTGTCTAGAACACACAAGTTCAACTCTTACTGGGGAGTAAAACACTTGTAATTTTAAAAGACACAGTAACACACACTTGTAAGCATGAGGCCATCTACCTTTTCTTGATCCATTTGTCATCCAGAAACTGTGATTGTTCATATAATGTATTTACTTTGACATTGCTATGGTTGGAATGTGTCCTTTCCAAAATTCAGGTGTTGCCAATGTGACAGATTATGAGGAGGGGCCTCTAAGAGGTGATATTGCCTTCTTCGTGAATGGGATGAAGGTCTTTTTAGCTTCATTCAGCAGGCTTGCTTTTCTGCTACATGAAGATACAGAACTGGTCACTTTTGCCATTCCACTTCTACCATGTGAGAATGCAGCAAGAAGGCTTTCCCTAGATACCAGCATCTTGATCTTTAACTTGCCAGCCTCCAGAACTGTGAGAAAACAATTTCTGTTCTTGGTAAATTGTCCAGTCTCAGGTGTCTTGTTATAACAGCAAGGCTGGGTAAGCCAGATGTGTTGGAGTTTTATTTTAAATTCTTGATGATTTCTCCTTAGTTAGAAGCAACAGATGCATAGAGAAATAAGCATTGCATTTAACTAGACTGTCTATGAAATGAACTTCAGTTTTGCTTCCCCTACAGTTGAGTTGTTACTTTAGGTAGAGGAGTTGTGGAAAGGTGCTGGTAAAATATAGACACTGGATCAATATGAAGTGAATTGAGAACTGGATGAACTCACTTCATATGAAGTGAGTATTGAATAAACTTGTCTAGAGAGGTCATGAGGTGACTGTTCTAGACCTTTGTCTTCCATTTTCCTTGATCTCAGTAGTCTATCTAGTATTAAATTTGAACTTTTTTATACATGTTGCGCTAAAGATGGATTGTAGAATTTTTTGACAGGATAGATCAATGCATAAAAGATGTACCCAAAGATACATTTTGGACAGATATTGCACCACTGCAAAACAATTACAGGGATATTGTGATTGTTATGAAAATCTTTGTAAAAATTTGGTTTTGAACAATAAACTTGAAAACCTACAAAAGTTGAGGTTTGATGTCATTCTTTCACATGCCAGTGGTCTCAGTGGTGAGCTGCTGACTGAGCTACTAAAGCATCCTTTTTTTTCACAGTTTCTGCTTGTTTCCTGACTACATACTGGAGAAGCATAGTGGAGGACTTCAATTACCTCCTTCCTACATGCGTGTTGTTCTGTCATAATTTTTATAATCAAATAACATAAATGGAGAACTGCGTGTGTGTGTGTGTGTGTGTGTGTGTGTGTGTGTGTGTGTGTGTTTTGACTTTTGGTTTCAAACAATCAATAAGAAATGAGATCAGTTTTAAAATGTGCCATCAGAACCTGGTGTGGTGGCCCACGCCTGTGGTCTCAGCACTTTAGGAGGCTGAGGTGGGTGGATCTTTTCAGGTCAAGAGTTTGAGACCAGCCTGGCCAGCAACCTTGTCTCAACTAAAAATGCAAAATTGGCTGGGCGTGGTGGCACATGCCTGTAGTTCCAGCTACTCGGGAGGGCTGCCTCCTCTTGAACCTGGGGGGCAGAGGTTGCAGTGGGCCAGGATCGCGCCACTACACTCCAGCCTGGGCAACAGAGAAAGACTCCATCTCGGAAAAAAAAAAAAGTAAAAATGTGCCATCAAGTTAGAAGTTTTAAATTCATGGTACAAGCATTGCCATAGATGTCCCTGAAAGAAACACACAGATGACTTCTTTTTTGAGACAAGATCTGTGTTGCATAGGCTGGAGTGTGGTGGCATGAGCATAGCTCACTGCAACCTCGACCTCCCAGCCAGTCTCAAGAGATCCACCTGCTTCAGAATTTCATGTGGTTGGGACCACAGGCGTGTGCCACCATGACCAGCTTTTTTTTTTTTTTTTTTTACTTTTGTAGAGAGTAGGGGGAATCTAACTTTGTTGCCAGGTAGGTCTCGAACTCCTGGGCTCAACCGATTTGCCCACCTTGGTGCCCAAAGTGCTGGGGTTACAGGTGTGAGCTTTTTTTTTTTTTTTAAGAGACAGTCTTACTTCATTCTGTCACACAGGCTGGAATGACTTTCTAAAACTGCAGAAAGCAGAACATATTCCTTGCTGTTTATAATACTGTGGTCATACCAAAGGGAAAGAGTATTCCTCCTTAAATAAAATTACAAATAAAAAATTTATGTTTTACTCTTACTCGTAAAAGGTATTGTAGAATACAAAACATTTTTCACACTGGTTTTGTCTTTGGCTTTTATAATCCACACTTCACAAGAAAAAATGCATTTAACTTTTAAGAGTAACTTAGTCAAAAAGTATAACCTTGCTTTGCCTTGCATAACCTCTAGCTATTGCACATGATGTTTTGTTCTTCCCCTTTGTCCAGTATTTTCCACATGGTCAACAGTTTAAATATTTAAGCTTGCACTGAGAAACCTTGCCACATTTCAGAAGTTTTGTTTTGCTTTTGGTGGAGAGCACCTGATCTCGACTTTATAGCCAATGTATTTACTCTAAATTACACTTTTATAGATACAAGGTAAAGTGTAGCTGGGTGAAGGCACTCAGGAACCATAAAATGTGGTCAACTACAATAAATGAAAATATAAGCCAAACAAAGTATTCACACTTTCATTTTTCTAATAAGGAATTTAAGATACATAGTAAAAGTTTAATGCTTGGAAGAGACACAAATTCACGGTGATAAAAATATTAATTAGAAGACACATAACATGCCTCAAGTATATCGACACTTGACTCCACAAACAAGGCATAACCATGAAAACAACACTCTCTTTATTTTGGGCTCCCAAAATCAAAAGTAAGATTAGAACTAATATATTTAATCTATCACAGATATTTAGTATACTCCATGAACTAACATTTTCTTTAAAAAAAAACACTAATATTGTACAATGTTTCTATAGCTGTTGAAAATTTTAGCCTCAATTTGAAACATGACCTGCATGACAGGCTTTAAATTGTCAATAGTTCTGTTTCTTTGGAAAAGTACAGTTGTGACATTTAATCATTTTAGCAGATAGCTAAAAGGGAAAAATAAGGAAAAATATACACTGGACCTGCAGTTAAGTTTTTGACAATGCCAAGGATCAAAGACAGACAAAACAACAGTTGTTGAAGATGAAAAGGTATTGCATTGGTCTTAATAGAGATGTTGCCATCTCTAGGTAAGGATGCTGACTGAGTCTGTTCTGTTTCTTCACCTCTATGTGTTTTCTCTTCTGTGACAGACCTCCAAGAAACAAGATCCATGTAGTCAGCCACACAAGGTCCATTTGACCTTTCTCATTCTTCTCTAGTCTCTTGCCTGTGACTTTTGACAAAAATGCTCAGTTCACAATATTAGCTGCCTGCTTCTGATGGGTAGGAGGTATATAATCAAAATACTCCCACCAAAGCACTCTATGGTCTAGACTTGATACTTAAAATTTAATTTTCAGCTTTCCTCAACAAGGATAGCTTGAGGTAATAGGAGATATTTTGGTAAGTGAAAATGATTCCTGCTTGGAACACAGCTTACTGAACTCAAGATTTCATTTCTTTGAGTATTAGACAGTTCTCAATAAGTTGATGTATACTGAGAAATGATTCTAAAGAAGTTAGTGATATCCTGTTTAGGAATAGATTTAGAAAACTGAAGTTACTTTCCAGCTCTACAATTCTGTATTAGGAACAATAGGGAAATGATAAAGTGCCTCTATATGGCAATCTAGTGAATCTCTGGGGGATGACTGTCTACCTGCATAGTAGTTGAGGAGCAAGACAAACTTCCAAACACACAAAAATCAACTTGAAATAACATCAAATTCAGCCTGGGCAATATATTGAGACCCCATATCTACAAAAAATTAGCCAGGACTGTGGCACACGCCTGTAGTCCCAACTACTTGGGAGGTTGAGGCAGGAGGATCGCTTGAGCCTGAGAGGCCAAGGCTGCAGCCAGGTGCGATCATGCCACTGCACTCCAATCTGGGCAACAGAGAGAGACCCTGTCTCAACAAAATCAAACAAAAGCATCGAATGCATTCCATATTCAGGTTCTGTAACAGTGACATGTCTACTGAATTACTTTTATTTCTTTTAGGAATGTCTATATATATGGATTGTCACTATTAAAAAAAGAACTGTGAGCTTGACAAAGGGAGTAAAATCATACTTTGTTTAAAAAAAAGGAAATGGAATTAGTTTTACAGTGAAGAACTATGTAAGTTTTTAATTGGTATTATGAAGTCCTACCTTTCCTTATGCCTTTTAAGGTAAGTTTATATAAATATAAAATAAAAAAACTGTGTGTTTTATAGGTGAAACGATAAAATTCAAAGATAAAATGATCAATAATCTTACTAATATGGTGGAAAAGCTGCACCGAAAGTTACAGGATCAGCTAGAAACCTGTGGCCATCACTTATACAGGACACTGTAGGAAGTCATACAACTATGAATTAATGAATTGCAAATGTATTTCGGCAATTAGATATACATTTTACCATACATTCATTTTTATCTTATAAAAACCCAGGAGACATCTTCCTAATATCTTGATAAACAAGTACATAGATTTATGAGGCACACATATATTTCTAGCACAGTTGTGTAGCATTGAGGAAATTGCCTTTTCTTGTATAGATCAGTTTCCTTATTTAAAATGAAAAATATTTATTTCATATTACTTAAAGGATGCTTCACAGGTGAGAAATACATTATCTTTTTCTCCAGATGCAAAAAAATCCTATACTTTGAGGTTTTTAATATTTATACATTTCTTTATTAAGTTCTCACAAGTCTGTTTTAAAGACATAAAATCCTGTTAAAGTTTGGACATACATGTAATTAGTCTTTACTTTTTAAAATCTATTTTTCTCCATTTAAAAACTCAGCCAAAACTAAGGGTGAGTACACATCTTCATTTCCATAATTTCTGAAAAAATTCCAACTGATATTTGCAAATATTTCTATAAACAATATTCTTCAGTTATTAACATAACTAAAAGCAGTACATTCACTTGAGACACTTGAGCAGACATTGTCTCAAAAACATCACATTCACTTGAAAAGTCAATGTTCAGGAACCAGTTTGCTAAATAGTAGAAACTAAATAGTAGAAAATAAAATCCTGGGAAACCCGTTTCCATGGATATGTTAAGATTACTTGATTATGCAGCTAAAATAGTTGTTTACATTTATATCTTTAGATAGAAAACAAATGCATATTCAATTTTATAGTGGGTTATTTTAATGACTCGGTGATGTTAGAGACATAGTCTCCCGTCACTTTGCCTTTCATATATATGTGTGTGTATTTGTGTGTATACATATACTATATAACATAAATTATTCACACAAATTATATTATGTCCAAATTAGTATAACTGTTTCATTAATGCACAGACACTGTGTAAAGCATTGCCTGTATTATTCCAACTTATTTTGGAAAATTACACAGTCTATTCACATGACAATTATCTCATTATCCTGTCTTTTACTCAACCAGGGAGACCCACTACATTGTCTAAGACAATGGGGAAACAGAAATATGGCTAATTAGAACCTCATAGTATTTAGTATTTTCTCTCCCAAACTCATCAAGCTTTGATTTTGTTAAAGGACGCTACTGAAAATCTGCTAACCCCCTGTCTAAAATAACTATCATTATATCATTATAGAATAAAGTGAGATGCCTGTAAAACATTAAGAATAGGGTCACTGAAACTAAGGAATTCATTACTCAACACAGAAGCCAGTATAAATCATTTCCTCAAAAACTCTTTATAAAGTGACTAAAATTCACCAGAGGTAAGTGCTGGATTTGCAGAGAAAGAAATTTAGGGACATTTTCTACTCCCATAGACTTTAAAATCTATTTGGAATTGTAGAATAAAAAGCATGTCATAAAATGTGTATAAAATGTTTTAAAAAGAAAGGACCACAATGCTTGGAGAACATTCAGTAGGGATAATAGTAGGTATACCAGCAACACTGATAATAAAACTGAGACCTGAATGATTTGCAGAAATAGGTCAAGTGAGAGGAAGATACAAAATGAAAGCAGGTAGAAGAGTAATGATAGTTCAGTTCCGAAACTCCAAGTTTAGTTTAGCAGGAAGAGGTTGAATAAAGAGGCAGATTTCCTTAGAGAGATAATTTGGAATCAGATAACAGAAATAAATTTGAAATATCTAACAAAGACATTGGGGAGTCAGAGGAAAAAAAATTGAGCTGGGGAAAGATATGATCAGACTTCATTACAAAAAAAAAAATGCCTTAAGATACAGTGCCTGGTTTTAATTGAAGAGGGCCAACACTATGCACAGAAGCATTTAGGAGACTGGTGTAAGAGTTCAGGCAACAGTTGATAAAATTATCAGAGAATATTCTCATCCGAGATGACTATGACTACTCTAATAATAGTACAAATCTTACATTGCATTGTGTGGGAAAAGCAGTTAATAGAGACAAAACTCTTAAAATGTATTTGTTACCTAGTTAGTGATTTGAATTAATGTTGACTGTTAACGTCATTGCTATTTCTTGTTGTTGTTACTAACACTATTAATTTCCTAATATGTGTCAGACACTTCAGATACCATTTCATTCAATAAGGACTGTTATTCCAATAGATTAAGATTATATTCTTAGGTAAATCCGAGAGAAAAGAAATCCTATGTACTTGTTTAAAAGTAAATGTACACATTTTGGCAACACGATGAACAGAATGAAATGCTAAAATTTTAATACAAGAGTTGAGGCACTTTAGCATTATTCTAGCTTAAAATGTACACCATTTTTCAACAGTATAAATGTGTGGCCCCAGCAATATTTGCATCCAAATCCAATGTTTATTGGCTTTCACCCCATGACTAAATCATTCTTTGTTTGAGATCACAGAGTTGTATAACTAAAAGTAAAAAAGAATGATGTTTTATCTTATCAGAGCTGGTATTTTCTGCCTTATGCCATGCCTATAAAACAGCTCAGTAAAGCATCATTGTAAAATTTGCGTCTCAACATCATAGCTGCCTGACAGAAAAAGACAGAGAAAATGTACACTGAGTATATTATAAACATCAAGTAATTTAACCACTTGTATCTGAAAACCATCCTGAAAACTGACTATAAGGAAGAATCAAGAACAGGTGCAGTGGCTCATGCTTAATTCCAGCACTTTGGGCAACCAAGGTGGGAGGATCCGTTGAGCCCAGGAGTTCCAGACCAAACTGGGCTACATAGCAATATCTCATCTCTAAAAACAAGCAAAAAGAAAATTAGCAGGAAATACAGGTACATATCTGTGGTCTTAGCTACTCAGAAGGCTGATTTAGGAGGACTGATTGAGCCCAGGAGTTTGAGGTTTCAGTGAGCTATGATTGCACTTCAGCCTGAGTGATAATGTGAGACCCTATCTCAAATAGTAGAGGAGGAGGAGGAGGAGGAAGAAGATGAAGAAGCAGAAGAAGAAGGAGGAGGAGGAGGAGGAGAAGGAGGAGAAGGAGAAGGAGGAGAAGGAGAAGGAGAAGGAGAAGGAGAAGAGAACAGAACAGAAGAAAAGAAGAGGGAGAGAAAGAAGAGAAGTAGAAGGAGAAGAAGAAGAAAGAAGGAGGAGGAGGAGGAGGAGTCAAGTAGAAGGAAGCCAGGTAGGGAGAGAGGTTCAGATACCCCATAAATTATAGTAATAACTAACTTTCTAATATGTACAATACAGCTTTGATCTAAATATTGTTTTGAATATTTATGAGGTATTCTTTAGTTTTACATCCTATATAGCCTTCCTGTAATCACCTTTACTATTTTTTTGCTGCAAATCTGAAGTTACATTTAATACTTATATAGCAAATATATGTTAAAATGTGTTCATTATACTCTATGAAGATTGTTTGGTAACTCCAAAATCAGTACTTCATTTTGGTATTAGGCATATACCAAATGGCTTAGCTATAGATGACCATAATGATCACTGCTGTCAACGTTTTGTAGTTTGTCACCGAAAAGTTAACAGCAAGTTGAACAAACTTTAGCATCATCACAATTTTGGAAAATTTTCAACTGCCCTATCATTTATGAACTATCAATCAGTCTTTCCTATATTTAAAGAATTTACAATGCTAACAAATATGATAATATTCTGAATATATGTGAAAATGTCACTTGAATTTTTTATGGAAGAAATGCTTAGTAATTTGTAATTAGAAACAAGTTATATGTAATTTCTAAGCAGAATTCATTTAGTTCTCATACATAAATGATTGCATAGATTTGATTTTTTGTAAATCATCAGCTGTCAGACTCTAACTTATGGAATAAGTGAATATAAGTAAATTCTCTCCAATTTAATTGATTTTAAAATAAAAAGCTTAATATTAAATTTGGCAGATGAAAGTGACTATGGTAAATACATTAATTAAAAAGGTGTAGACCATTAGTAATTACTCTGCTTTACATTAGAATTATGACTGCTTAACAATTACTTAAATGCTTGAATTTATCACTTATTATCTTATTTGTCTAAGTCACTATGTGTGAAACATCACGATTGCATTTAACCTAATTTAATGTAAAAATAAATAAAAAATAGGTTGGTGCAAAAGTAATTGAGGTTTTTGACATTACTTTTTAAAAAACTGCAATTACTTTTACACCAACCATTTTATTTATTTATTTATTTATTTATTTATTTATTTATTTATATTTACTTCAGTCTTCTGTAGCTCTGTTACTTAACCTATCCTGTCCTCATATCCTTACCAGCTTTATGGAAGGCATTTATCTCTTTATCATTTTAGAAATCTTACAAATATGCTGTAATTTGAATTTGACTCATATGACAAGGTACTTTTTTTTTTTAAACTTTCACTTTAAGTTCAGGGGTACAAGTGATGGTTTGTTCCACAGGTAAACTTTTGTCATGGGGGTTTGTTGTACAGATTATTTCATCACCCAGGTATTAAGCCTAGTACCCACTAGTTATTTTTCCTGATCCTCTCCCTCCTCACAACTTCCACCCTCTGAAAAGCCCCAGTGTGTGTTGTGGCCCTCTATGTGTCCCTGTCCTATCATCGTTAGAGTCCCTTATCTGTATGGTTCTACGGAAATTTGGTGACAGGAAATCAGATACGTTAGTACCAATACTCAGCTGTACAAGTGGGTATCAGCCAAACAGGATGAAAATGGTTCAACAGAAAACTGTTTCACCATTTATTATTTAAAAACTCAAAATCTAACTTCGTTACATTAATATTCCAGTCCTGGGGAAAAACATGATAAACTACAACAGTTAGCATTTTATCATACACAGTCTGGCCAAGCTTGAGGAGCCCTTCAGCCCACCGCTACACAGTGGGAGCACCTCTCTGGGCTGGCTGAGGCCAGAGCTGGCTCCCTCTGCTTGCGCGGAGGTGTGGAGGGAGAAGTGCGGGTGGGAACCTGGGCTGGGCAGGGCGCTTGTGGGCCAGCGCGAGTTCTTGGTGGGCGCCGGCTCGCGGCCCCACACTTGGAGCTGCTGGTGCCGCCCGCCCTGGGCAGTGAGGGGCTTAGCACCGGGGCCAGCAGCTGTGGAGGGTGCACCAGGTGCCCCAGCACTGCTGGCCTACCCATGCCGTGCTCCAATTGTCACCCTTCAGCCGCCTTCCCACGGGGCAGGGCTCAGGACCTGCAGTCTGCCATGCCTGAGCCCCTCCCCAGGGAGCGCCACCCTCTGCTTCATGGTGCCCGGTCCCATCCATGGCCCAAGGTCTGAGGAGTGTGGGTGCACGGCAGGTACTGGCAGGCAGACCTGCCCCGCGACCTCCCAGCGGGATCCACTAGGCAAAGTCAGCTGGGTTCCTGAGTGGGGTGGGAACTTGGAGAACTTTTATGTCTAGCCGGAGGATTGTAAATACACCAATCGGCCCGCCCTCTTTGTCTAGCTCAGGGTTCGTGGATGCACCAGTCAGCACTCTGTATCTAGCTAATCTGGTGGGAACTTATGGAATTTTTATGTCTAGCTGGAGGATTGTAAATGCACCAATCAGCACTTTGTGTTTAGCTCAAGGTTTGTAAATGCACCAGTCAGTGCTCTGTGTCTAGCTCAAGGTTTATAAATGTACCAATCAGTACTCTGTGTCTAGCTAATCTAGTGGGGACTTGGAGAACTTTTGTGTCTAGCTGAAGGATTGTAAATGTACCAATCAGCACTCTGTGTCTAGCTCAAGGTTTGTAAATGCACCAATCAGTCCTCTGTGTCTAGCTAATCTAGTGGGGACTAGGAGAACTTTTGTGTCTAGCTAAAGGATTGTAAATGCAACAATCAGCCCTCTGTGTCTAGCTCAAGGTTTGTAAACACAACAATCAGCACCCTGTCAAAATGGACCAATCAGCTCTGTGTAAAATGGACCAATCAGCTCTGTGTAAAATGGACCAATCACTGCTCTGTAAAATGGACCAATCAGCAGGATGTCGGTGGGGTCAGATAAGGGCATAAAAGCAGGCTGCTGTAGCCAGCATTGGCAACCTGCTCAGGTCGCCTTCCACCCCGTGGAAGGTTTTTATTTCGCTCTTTGAGATAAATCTTGCTGCTGCTCACTCTTTGGGTCTGTGCCGCCTTTATGAGCTCTAACACTCACTGTGAAGGTCTGCACCTTCACTCCTGAGGCCAGCGAGACCACTAACCCACCCAGAGGGATGAACAGCTCCGGACAGGAGGAACCAACGGATCCAGATGCGCCGCCTGAAGAGCTGTAACACTCACCAGGAAGGTCTGCAGTTTCACTCCTGAAGCCAGCGAGACCATAAACTCCGGACACAGCATCTTTAAGAACTGGTAACACTCACCGCGAGGGTCCGCAGCTTCGTTCTTGAAGTCAGTGAGACCAAGAACCCACAAATTCTGGACACAATATTATTTACGGCCAGAAACAAACTACCTTTATTTCTAGTGTTGTTACATTGCATAGATAATTTTTCAATAATATTCTGGTTTGTCTGTCTCCTACTTTGAATGTTACACCTACCCTTTCTCCTAATATATAAATATTTCAAATACAACTAAAAAAAGCAGCTCTTCTTTTATTATCAGTGACTGTATTTTCTATGGGAATAAATCCCCAGTCTTTATCATAAGGTGTTAATGCATTTTGTGATGGAGTATGGCCTGTCCTTCTATTCAAGCACCACCACCACCCCACTCCCTGCTGCCCTGGACAACATCCCCTATCACACTCAGTGACTTTACTATTTCTCTAAGAGATCATGTTCCAGTATGCATCCTGCTTTTGGGGGGCTGGAGTGGGGTATATGCAGTTTTGTTTATCCACAGTGTGCTCTATTTGTCCACTTGACAATCTTCTATTCATTTCTCAAGCCTCAAGTCACATACCACTTGTGGAGCCTTCACTTAAAGCCCCAGAGGTGCTTCTTCCTCTGAGATCTAAAGCAATTTTAATGCAGTTTTACTGTAACAGTAATTTGTTATCTAGAGAACACTGCCCGTTTCATTGCCTCATATTGTGCATTGCTCGTTTTATTTCTAAGACTTATAATGAGTAATTATTCAAATATTCATCAAATCCTTGATCATCCAAAAACCAAAGCTTTCATAACTCATGGTGGAGCCAACGGCACCTATGAGAGGATCTACCATGGGATCCCTATGTGGAGGGGGCTTCCTTTGTTTGCAGATCAACCTGATAACACTGTTCACATGAAGGCTAGGGGAGAAGCTATCAGACTGGACACAAAAACAATGTCAACTACAGATTTGCTCAATGCATTAAAAGCAGTCATTAAAGATCCTTCATGAATGTACAGGGTTTTTTTAAACTACATAGCATGGATTGATGAGTTCTTACATGAAGACCGAGGGAGCAGCAGTGACTCTGAACATGAACACAATGCTGAGTACATGTATGTATTTTCTAATGCTTGAAGACAATAGTCAATAAACCATTGTGAGTGTCACAATCTGTTTTGTGTGTGTGTATGTGTGGTTTTAGTGGAAACATTTGTCAGAGGTTTTAGGATAGTGCATCAGTTATGAAATAACTGAAAAGTGAAATAAGAGAAATTGCTGATGATGGTAACAGAAGGATTATGAGGAAAATTGAGAACAAACCTGAAGCTGGGAGCCATGAATGTCATGACAGTACTGACTAATTTATGCAGGTCTTTCCGCATTAGAGCTCATCAAATGTTCATTTTAAATAAATTTTATTTTGTATATTGAAGACATACAAAGTGATGTTATGGGATACAAATACATAGTAAAAATTGTACCATAGTGAAGCAAATAAACATACAGGATTTCATATTAGTTACACATTTTCCCTTATGTTTAAAACTCTTTAAAACTAATTCATTTTCATTAAATTAGCATGACATAATCAAACTCTAATTCCCATTATATTTAATGCCTTCCAAAGTTTTTATGCTAACATTTTGTTCCTATCACTGATAAATTGTAAACTACCAGAGCTTTCAAACTTGACTTTTTAAAATTATTATAAAAAGAAGATACTAGTATAAATGTAGCTATATTCTTTGTTTTTATAGCTGTGGTTGCTTTTTTTGAAAAAAAATAAAATCAGAAAATAATTGACTTGAAAGAAATAAGTTGCCAAAATGTCTCAAAACAGAAATATGAGGCTTCTTCTCTATAGCACTTTTTGGTTTTGATATGGTAAGCCAAATACTTACATGTATTCTTATTCTTTGTCTATTAGTCAATAATTATTTCAACAGCAGAAACAAATGGAAGTACAATGCCTCAAAGTAAAATATTGAGCACCACTTAGATTCTACAAACCACAATACAAGAAAAAGAGTAATAATAGCAAGTATTTACTGAGAACCCCTTTATAGTGAGGATAATTCTACCAAGTATTCTAAGATTCAAACTAAATCCAACCAGTTTTATGCTTTTAAACATTAATCCACGGACATAATGTCAATACTAATTCATGGTCAATACCGACTTCTTATTAGCTTTGCCTGGAAGTGTACCTGAACCTTGTCATAGGTTTGTCTCCTACCTCTAGGCTTTGATACTATTTTCAACCATGTATACAACATCCATTAACAATTTTTAAAGCAGATAATTAAACTTCTGTACTCTCAAATGATATATATGTATACATGTATATATATGTACATGTATATATATATACATGTATATATATGTACATGTGTGTATATATACATATATATATATATGTATATATATAAATTTCCTTTTGGCTTTAACTTCTTCCACTCTCTAGGCTGGAAATACTTGTTGTCTCTTAAGTTCCCTCTTCACATCTTGAAATCGTATGCATCCAACAAATTCTAGTCCATAAATCAAAATCTCTATAACCACCTTGAAATAAAATATTTTAGTTTTCATCCATGTTTATGTGGCACTCATTTTAAACTTCTGCAAAAAATTTTTCACATATTTATCTTTTCTAGTTGATTCTATAAGTTGGCGTCTGTTTGATTTTCCTTTAGCTGTAAAGAAAATGTTACATGGCTGTTGATCATTCATTACGTTCAGCCTATGAAGCCCTACGAAGTCTTCTGGATTGAGTTTGTCACACACCAAAAAGCAACCAAGTACCTGTGCCAACTGCCCACAACTTCACCAGGTTCCAGTACTACTCTCTGCATGTGCTGGCCTTCCTTGGCAATTGTTATTCTATTTGTCATAAAATGTTGCTTTTTTGGTTATCAAACGTTTGTTAAGTTCATAAAGAAGGAAAAGAGACTGTAGCACTCTTTGAGATCTAAGGCTGGTAGGCATAACACCGGAGATCATTCAGTTTAATTCCACATCGATGCATTAAGTTGTGGCAAGATTCTCCTCTACATTTCATAAGACCTGTAATTCCTGACTTAACTAAAAATTTTAATATTTATTAAACATTAAGTAGTGTGTAATTATAATTTTAGAAAACCTCAAATAATTCAATTTTTATGCTTACAAGTGTATATTTTTAAAGTAAAATAAACAAGATTCACTGGAATTTCAATCTGTTGATTTGAAATCAGAAAGACTAGGCATTTTACTGTGCATTTTAACAACATCTTCTGTATAAACAAAATACAATCAAATAGAATATATGTGTTTCTGCTAAGAAAATCAAAGCAAGGTCCTTGTTAAAGATTGCAAGACAGATGTTATTCTGACTACTGAAGTAGGGGATAGAGACTATGGTATAAACTGAGCTCAACGCCAACTGAAACAAAGGTACCGAGGTTTCTAAAGAGAAAACTGATATGAATAAAAAGGAAATATGAGGAAATGAAAATAGGGAAAACAAGGGGCTAGTAGGACTATGTGAAAATGGAATATTACATAAAAAGGAAATGGAAATAATTGATAATTGTTCAGGAACATCAGCTAGACAGCAGTTCGACAGGTTCATGCTATTTTCAGCAAAGTCTCAGCATGGAGGCTGGGGTCACTTTTCAGGACAAATCCATCACCTAGTGCACATATAAGCTCAGATAAACTTGGCCAAGGCTCTTAGCATGGTGTTTAGGCAAGTCTTTTGTGTTACATCGAAGTTTAAATTCACATTCTTTATGAAATACACAATATTTCCTCATGAAAATTTTCTTTGTTTCAAAAATGCTAGACGGTCATAATTGGCTTCCTATCTAAAACTATGCAACCTGGTAAACTATTTGTTTAGACGGTCTAAAGGTGTTTTGCTCGTACGGGCTTAAATGTGCTTGATTTGCTATTTTTGCTTTAGTAGTGACCCTTTGTAATTGGATAGTAATACACAAAACAAAAGGAGAGGCTGGTTCCTTTTAGTTAGGAATGACAGATGGAGCCCAGCAAGTTTAGTCCAGTCCCTCTAGATTATAATGTTACAAGATTTCTCTCCTTCACTAAGATCTCACACTTCTTGGCCTTACCTTGTCAAGTCAGATATTTCCAATTACTTTAATACCTGGCATACTGAGGATATACAAACCAGAAATGTATATAATCATTTTACTTACTATCCTCTCGTAACACAAAAAAAATAAATTGTAGATTGAATAAAGAACCAAATATTCTGTACAACAATTTTTAAGGTCTAAGCTGGAGAAAGCATAATAAATGGCAAAAGCTCTCTAAATCTTGCCTTTAAATTTTGGTGATTATAGCTTTTAGATTCAGAACAAGAATTGCAAAGCAAATCACAGAGAAGAAAGAAACCAATTTACGAGCAGTTCTTCTGTCTGACGAGATCTATCTGAACAGTTGAATGAAAAAAAGCATAATAATAATTTATGACACATGGGAAATAATTTTACAACGCTCCTCTATAAATAATATTTTTAACAATAATTGGTGATGAAACTATGATAATGTCTAGAAAAGAAATATACACTGAATATTTTATAAACTGAACATATAGGTATTCCATTAAAAAGAAAAAATAGTAAAATACAAGGAAAGAAAAAAGTAATGCATGAATGCTCTTTAATTATTTTAATGTGTTTTTTTTTAAAGGGGTAAACCTTACATATAAATATTAGCCTAAGTCAATAATGAAGCTCAACATGTACTATGGAAACCAAATACTAGTTTATTTATATTTTCTTAACAAAATATTATCTGGAAATGTATTAATGGCTTTGTCAAAATAGATCTTCTTTGCAATTCTTAGACCACATAGCCAGATACATAAGTCTATATCTATCCACAGGAGATCAAAGAATATTTTTGCTTCGATTGGTTTAATTTTGAAAAGTCTTTTTACATAAAGTGATATATACATATACAGTTAGGAAAATATGTAAACATGAAGGTATACTTGATAGAGAGTCGTAAAAATCCCAAAGTATATTAAATTCAAAAAATTGTAATATTGTGCGTCTGTTTCTTTGATATTGATTCAATAAACTTTTAAATGTCTCAGCCATTAAAAATATGTAAACACATAAATTTTAAGTAATCACATAGAACGACTGAGTTTATGTAACATTCTTCATCTCTGTGATAATCTTTTTCATTTTTATTTTGAATATGATACTTAAAGACAGGAATATGCAAGCAAAACAGGGGTTGAAGACAAAAATCAAATAATTGTGAACTTAGTCTTGAAAATAACATACAAAGCAGGGTCTATCTACGTCAAGGACAAACTGTATATGCAGGAGTTTTCTATATTGATTCCTGAGCAGAATGCTATGTTTCTTAAAAGGTAAAACAAATATGCTAATTGAAAATGGCCTCTTATATTAAGTATATTTTTAAGTACATTCTTTAAAATACATATTGTTAAAATCCAATAATCACCATAAAAATTACTGAATAACAGTAAAGAGTAGGGCCTTGAGAGGGATGTATCTTCCTG
Source organism: Homo sapiens (assembly GCF_000001405.40). Lineage (NCBI taxonomy): Eukaryota > Metazoa > Chordata > Mammalia > Primates > Hominidae > Homo > Homo sapiens. The sequence continues at coordinate 69,569,806 of NC_000004.12, read as the reverse complement.
CCTCCACCACCTCACAGTCATTCCAGTGTCCTCTATTGATGAAGCTTACCATTCAGACAGCTGGCAAATGAGGAATGTTTATAGGGTCCTAGTTCAACATCACAAACCTTTATTTGCACCTGAGGAACAATCAGTTGAAAACTGGTAAACAAATTTCAAATTTCTCATTTGTTAGCATCCCCAAAGTTATTGTACCCTTGGCTATTGAATCTTAGATTCAGATGAGTAAGAGTCATGGCTTTCTTTTGAAAATAATGTTTTTGTAAGTTGGGGCATATAGAAGTTCCAACAAAGGTGAGCTTAGAATTGGCCCACAGAATTTTCAGTCCCACTGGTGGTCAGTTTCCTAATGTGCAAATGTGTAATAAGAATTGAGATACTAGTAGGTTGCAATCTGCTCCTCTGGGCTCCTGTGTACTCCTCACTTATCACCAGTCATGCCCAACAAACTAGCCCTGGAGTCGCCAGTTATTTGGTGCTTTGCCTGTAAATAAGTATTAATTTTATCAATGCAAATATATAAAAATGTATCAGTGATTTTACTGTAAATTTCTAGTTATTAATCTGATTAATCACTTTCTTGGTTTATAATCCGGTCAGAATTTTTTTCATATACTGCCCTTAATTTTTCTTTTTGTGTTTTTTCTATAGATTCTTCTCTAATATAGAGACTTTACAAAAGATAAATTTGTTATTTGAAAGAGATCTACAATCCTGAGTCATCATGACTGTGGTTCAGAGTGACTGGCAAAGATATAAAATTAGCCAAGGTCAGATAAACTAGTAAAAATTAATGAATAATCCTTGGTCAGATAAGGTGATCTTTGCAGTTGAATCGATCAATCATAATGAGGACATGCAAGTTGCAAGAGTTGGGATAGCATGAAATAAAAATGGAAACAAACACATTGAATCAGATCACAAATATTTCAACAAAGCATAGGATGGGTGGTTAAGGCCAAGAAGACAACTAGAAACATGAGAGCTTCAGAAGAAAAACAGGTAATGAGGACAGCTTTAATGTAAGCTGTTAACAACAACAACAACAACAACAACTTATGTTTTCATCAGTTTACTGGCAATTTCTAGAGCATTAGGTGATTCCTCTTGGGGGCAATATTTCATATACTTAGGGAGCCCATTTCTAATTTCAAAAATAAAAATATCTAGTTTTTTTATTTTTTTATTTATTTTTCCATAGGTTATTGGGGTACAGGTGGTGTTTGGTTACATGAGTAAGTTCTTTAGTAGTGATTTGTGATATTTTGTTGCACCCATCACCTAAGCAGTATACACTGCACCCTATTTGTAGTCTTTCATTCCTCACCCCTCCCCCCTCCCACACTTAACCACAAGTCCCCAAAGTCCATTGCATCATTGTTATGCCTTTGCATCCTCATAGCTTAATTCCCACATATCAGTGAGAACATATGATGTGTGATTTTCCATTCCTGAATTACTTCACTTAGAATAATAATTTCCAATCTCATCCATGTTGCTGTGAATGCTGTTAATTCATTCCTTTTTATGGCTGAGTAGTATTCCATCATATATATTTGCATTGGTTCCACGATTTTGCAATTGTGAATTATGCTGCTATAAACAGCATATGCAAGCATCTTTTTTACATAATGACTTCTTTTCCTCTGGATAGATACCCAGTAGTGGGATTGCTGGATCAAATAGTAGTTCTACTTTTAGTTCTTTAGGGAATCTCCACACTGTTTTCCATAGTGTTTGTACTAGTTTACATCCCTACTAGCATTGTAGAAGTTTTCCCTGATCACCACATCCATGCCAATATATTCTGTTTTGTTTTTTTGATTATGGCCATTCTTGCAGGAGTAAGGTGGTATCGCATTATGTTTGCTTGGTTTTTGGAATTCATCCTTCTTATCCCATCCCATCTTTGTCTTATGTTAGTGACTCTTTTTCCTCTGAATATTTGAATCATGCTTATTTACAATTTTTATTCTGTCCAGGTTCAGTGCTACATACCTATAATTCCAAAACTTTGAGAGGTCAAGGTGGAAGGATTGCTTGAGTCCAGGAGCAACATAGCAAGAGCTCATCTCTACAAAAATTTGAAAACATTAGCTGGGTGTGGTGGCATGAATCTGTGGCCCCGGCTGCTCAGGGGGCTGAGGTAAGACAACTCTTGAGCTGGGAAGGTTGAGGCTGCAATGAGCCATGATCAAACCGCTGAAAACATACCACTCTGGGCAGTAGAGCAACATCCTATCTCAAAAATAAAAAATAAAAATAAAACAAACATCTCATTCTGACATTTTTCTCTATCTACAAATCTTGGATGCAAATCTTTCTATTGTGTATGGTTATTTTCTTATATGGCTTTCTTTAGGAAATTTTCAACAGGTATTATTTTATGAACACTCTTCATGTAAGAACATGTCTTCACAATTTTTTTTAATTGACTCTGCTTTAGTCTAGGAAGATTTCTAGTTCCGTTACATTTGTTTTATTTTATTTTATTTTTAAGCAGGAAGTCACTGCACTCTAAATTTTATTCTGTACTTCCAGGGACTATGTCTCATTTGGTTTCCTCCCAAAAGTCACTTTTTCATAGCATTTACAAGGATATAATCATAGAATTCCCTCTAATGTTAACAGTTGGTGGACATAATGTCTTCATTTTCTGCTAGGCTGTGTATGTTTTTCAATGTCATTTTTTCTTCTGGAAGTGTATATTTCTGGAGCAGAGGAAGTGGGAAAAAGTTGAGTCACTTATAATCATTTCAGTATATTACACTGTATGAAACACTGGAATGTATGTATTTGAATAGTGGTGCATTCCTTTTTAATCAATTATTTTTTTAAAAAAAATTGTATTGCACTGTAGTCAGATATGTCTAAAATAAATACTTCAGAATTTGTTGAGATCTCATCTGTGACCTTGCCTGAAGCCAAGGTCAAAGAAATTTATAAAATTGTGTTAGTCAGTTCTCACATTGCTGATGAAAACATACCCCAGACTGGGTAATTTATAAAGAAAAAGAGGTTGAATGGACTCACAGTTCCACATGGCTGGGGAGGCCTCACAATCATGGTGGAAAGCAAAAGGCATGTGGTACATGACATCCTACATGGTGACAGGCAAGAGAGAAATGAATGCCAGCAGAGGAAATGCTACACGCTTATGAAATCGTCAGATCTCATGGAACTCACTCACTATCACAAGAACAGTATGGGGAAAACCGACCCCATGATTCAATTATCCCCCACCAGGTCCCTCCCATAACACTTGGGGATTATTACAATTCAATGAGATTTGCATGGGGACAAAGAGCCAAACCATATTAATACTCTCATATACTCCTTCAGGGTTTGGGAGACAAATAGTGCTACTTAACTTTAATGTACATCCAGAGTCAGGATAACTTTTTCTCCCCTAAAACATAGATTAAAGCATTTCCCAGTAGGATTTATGTGGAATGAGAAAAAATAGCAACACCAATCTGCTTCTTGCTACAAAATTGAGCCATTTAGAGAAGATTTTGTTTTCAGTAACTACTTTTTAGATATGTTGTGACATTCAACATATGTTTGTAAAAGATAGTTTTTTACACTAATAATTATTATTTTTATGTAGCCGTAATTTAGATGAGCATGTCTTATTCCTTCTCTCTTTCCTCAGAAGACTGTTGCTAGACTCTTCTCATAACTATAATATGAAAACACTAAATAATTTGGCATGATTAAAAATAGGATAATAACAATTTTTTAAAAAATCTATTCATGCTGTGGTTAACCATAATCAGTAATAATGCAAAAAATACAAAAATTACAACAATCTTATGGGATAGTCACAGGGATATTCCAGGCCCTTCTGAAAGTTATGAATCAGCAAAGCACTTTAGGATCAAAATTTTTGAGTTAAACAACGACAACAGTTGCCTTTATTAGTAAGAAGACCGCCATTCAAATTGCACAAGAAACATTCTCCAGGCTGAGGTATAAACTTAACTTAAAAACATATTAAAACTATGACGCTAAGAGAACTATAGAGTTTACAATAGAATTTTTAACTCATGTAGATAATTGATATATTTTTAAAGAAAAATAGAACTAATATACTACCATGGTAGATACTTTAAAATTTTTCAAATAAGCCAGAATTATTTTTTTCCAAATCTATCCTACAAAACATGTAACAAAAGTTTGGTCCATTGTACAGTGAAGCTAGTAAAAATTATCAACCAAAATAACAAACAGACCAATATGAATATAGGTGATATATGAACAGGGAGTTCACAGAAGTAAAAAAGACAAACAACATATAAGACAGCAAAAGTCACTGATACTTAGAGAAACAAAGTTTAAGTCAATGAGTTCTTTTTCCAGAGAAGATTTACAATTTATACAAATATAAGAAATTTTTTTTGATGAAGTGTAACTTGGAATAACCTTTCAACATTAAATGTGAATATACTGTTTGGCTCCCTAATTCTACTTTTGACCCCATTTTTCTATTTTTGCTTTGGTTGCCTCTACTTCTGGGGTATTTCTCAAGAAATTTTGCCCAGATCAGTGTCCTGGGGAGTTTCCCCAATGTGTCCCTCTATTAGTTTTATAGATTCAAGTCTTATATTTAAGTCTTTAATCCGTTTTGATTTGATTTTTATGTGAGTAAGAAGTAGGGATTATATCATTATTCTGTAGATAAATATCTGGTTTTCCCAGAACCATTTATTGAAGAGACTGTCTTTTTTGTAATGTATGTTCTTGGCAACTGTCTCAAAAATGAGTTTACGTGTGTGAATTTTTTTCTGGGTTCTCAATTATGTTCCATTGACTTATGTTTGTCTTTTGATGTCATTACCATGCTGTATAATATAATAATGCTGTAGTATAATTTGAAGTCAGATAATGTGATTCTTCCAGTTTTGTTCTTTTTGCTCAAAATATCTTTGATTATTCCGGGTCTTTTGTGACTTCACGTACATTTTAGAGTTTTTTTTCTATATCTGTGAAGAATGTAATTGGTATTCTGATAGGCATTGCATCAAATCTGTAGATTGATTCAGGAAATATGAACATTTTAATAAAATTGCTTCTTCTAATCCACGAAAATTACATATCTTTTTATATTTTGTGTCCTCTTCAATTTTTTTGCACCAGTGTTTTGTAGTTTTTATTGTATATACCTTTCAGTTTATTGGTTAAGGTAAATTTTAGGTATTTAATTTTATTTGTTGCTCTTGTAAATGGAATTATATTTTTATTGCTTTTCTAGATTGTTTACTGTTAGCACATAGAAATGCTACTCATTTTGTATCTGCAACTTCATGAAATTTATTTATCAGTTTTAATTTTTTTTTTGGTGAAGCCTTCAGGTTTTTTGAATTATAAGACATATCATCTGCAAACAAGGATAATTTGACTTCTTCCTCTCAAATTTCAATGTCCTTTATTTCTTTAACTTGTCTTGTTGCTCTACCTACGACTTCCAGGACTATGCTGAACGACAATGGTGACAGTGGGAATCCTTGGTGTGTTCCAGATTTCAGAAGAAATACTTAGCTTTTTCCTGTTCAGTATGATACTAACTGTGGGTCTGTCACAGATGGATTCTATTAAGTTGAGGTATGTTTCTTGTACTCTCATTTTATTGAAGCTTTTATCAGGAAGATATTTTAAGCATTATCAAGTGTGTTTTCAGCATAAATTGAAATGTTCATATGGATTTTGTCCTTCATTCAGTTGATTAGATGTATTGCATTGATTGATTTCCATATACTTAATTTTGCTAACATCATTGAGCTAAATCCCAACTGGTCATAATGATTGATTTTTATTTAATGTGCTGTTGAATTGGATTTCTTAGTATTTTGTTCAGGATTTTTACACCAATATTTATCAGTGATATTAGTCTGTAGTTCTCTTTTAAAAAAAAATGTGTATTTTTCTGGTTTTCTATTTGCCCCATAGAATGAGTTTGGAAGTGTTCCTCTTATTCTATTTTTGCAGAGTTTGAAAGGTATTGATATTAGTTTTTGTTTTTTTTTTTAACTTTTTAATGTTTGGAAGTATTCAACAGTGAAGTGATTGGGTCCTGGGATTTTCTTTCCTAGGGTATGGCTTTGATTTTGTTACTCGTTATTTTTCCGGCCAGGGCAATCAAGCAAGAGAAAGAAATAAAGGGTATTTAAATAGGAAAAGAGGAAGTGAAATTATCTCTGTTTTCAGAAGACATGATTGTGTATTTAGAAAACCCCATCATCTCATCCCCAAATCTCCTTAAGCTGATAAGCAATTTCAGCAATGTCTCAGCATACAAAATAAATGTGCAAAAATTACAAGTATTCCTATACACCAATAACAGACAAATGGAGAGCCAAATCATTAGTGAACTCCCATTCACAATTGCTACAAAGAGAATAAAATACCTGGAAATAAAACTTAAAGGGATGTGAAGGACCTCTTCAAGGAGAACTACAAACCACTGTTCAAGGAAATGAGAGAGGACACAAACAAATGGAAAAACATTCCATGCTCATGGGTAGGAAGAATCAATATCATGAAAATGGCCACACTGCCCAAGGTAATTTATAGATTCAATGCTATCCCCATCAAGCTACCATTGACTTTCTTCACATGATTGGAGAAAACAACTTCAAACTTCATATGGAGCCAAAAAAGAGCCCACATAGCAAAGACAATCCTCAGAAAAAAAGAACAAAGCTGGAGGCATCATGCTACCTGACTTCAGACTATACTGCAAGGTTACAGTAACCAAAACAGCATGGTATTGGTACCAAAACAGGTATATAGTTCAATGGAACAGAACAGAGGCCTCAGAAATAATACCACACATCTACAACCAACTGATCTTTGACAAACCTGACACAAACAAGCAATGGGGAAGGGATTTCCTGTTTAATAAATGGTGTTCAGAAAACTGGCTCGTCATATGCAGAAAACTGAAACTGGACCCCTTCCTTACACGTTATACAAAAATTAACTCAAGATGATTAAGGACTTAAATGTAAGAACTAAATCCATAAAAATCCTAATTCAGGACACAAGCATGGACAGATTTTGGATATTTTTATGGTTCAATCTTGGTAATTGTTTGTGTCTAGGAATTTGTTCATTTCTCCTAGACTTTTGTAAATTTTCAGCATACAGTGGTTCATAGTAGCCACCGATGATCCTTTGCATTTCTGCAGTATCAATTATAATGTCTCCTTTTACATATCTGATTCTATTTATCTATGTTTTCTCTCTTCTTTTTAGTATAGCTAAAGGTTTATCAGTTTTGTTTATCTTCTCAAAAAAACCCAACTTTTTGTTTCATGGATATTTTGCACTTTTATTTTATTTCAAATTCATTTATTTCTGCTCTAATTCTTATCTTTTCTTTCCTTCCACTAATTTTCTGTTCATTTTGCTTTTGCTTTTCTTATTTTTAAAGATGCATTGTTAGGTTACTTATTTGAGGTTTTTCTTTTTTGTTGTCAGCACCTACAGGTATCTTTTTAGTGCTGCTTTCACTGAATCAGTTAGGTTTTGGTATCTTATGATTTTATTATATTTTTTGCAAGAAATTTTTTAAAGTTTAAAAATTTTTTCATTGATCCAATAGTCGTTAAAAAATCTATTGTTTAATTTCTATGTTTTTATATGGTTTTCAAAATTTCTCTTGTTATTGATTTATAGTTTTATTCCAGAGTAGTTAGATAAGATGCTTAATATTATTTCACTTTTTTTCTAAATTTTTAAAAATTTGCTTTGTAACTTAATATATGGTATCTCCTCAAGAATGATCCTTTCTTCAGCCACTGGATGAAATGTTCTGTAAATATTTGTTAGGTTCATTTGGTCTATTGTGCAGATTTAGTCCCATGTTTGTTTGTTAAATTTTTTTCTGAGAGATCTCTCCAGTGCTGAAAGTGGAGCATCAAAGTCTTCCATTCTTATCTTATTGGGGTCCATATCTTTTTTTATCTCTAATAATATTTACTTTATATATCTGGGTGACCCAGTGTTGGGTGCATATATATTTAAAATTGTTATATTGTCTTGCTGAATTGACTACTTTATCATTATTACATAGTGTACTTCATTGTCTTTCCTATTTTGTCTGATAAAAGTGTAATAACTCTTGCTCTTTTTTTGGTTTCCATTGACATGAAATATCTCTTTTCATCTCTTTATTTTCAGTCTATGAGTGTCTTCATAGCTGAAGTGTTTTTCTTGCAGGCAACAGAGAAATGGGTATTGTTTTTTTTCATTCATCCACTCACTCTATGTCTTGTCATTGGAGAGTTTAATCATTTACATTCAATGTTATTATTGATAAGTAGAGACTCCTTCCAATTTGTTATATATTTTATAATTTTTCTGTGGTCTTAGCTTTTTCTTTCTTTCCTCTCTAACTTCCTTTTAGTGAAAGCGATTTTCTCTGTACTATGCTTTAATTTCTTGCTTTTTAATTTATTTTGGTTTCAGTTGTATGTTTTTCTATTTGAGGTTAGCATGAGGTTTACACGTACTATCTTATCCATTATTTTAAACTGATGACAACTTAACACTGATTGCATAAACAAACATGCAAAAAGGAACTAATAAAAACTCTACACATTAATTTTATGTCTCTGATTTTTAACTTTTTATTGTTTCTCTTTATCACGTATCGTACTGTCTTGAAAAGTTGTTGTCGTTATCTTTTTTGATTGGTTTATCATTTACATTTCTACTTACATCAACAGTTTACACACCACAATTTCAGTGTTACACTATCCTGCGTTTTCTGTGTGCTTACTATTACCAATGAGTTTTGTAACTTCAGATGATTTCTTCTTGCTTATTAACACCCTTTTCTTTCAGCTAGAACTCTCTTTAGCATTTCTTATGCTACATATCTGCTGCTGATGAATTCTATAAGCTTTTGTTTGTTTGAGAAGATCTTTATTTCTCTTTCTTGATTAAAGGGTGTTTTTACTAGACATATCATTCTAAAGTAGAAGTTTTATTCTTCAGCTCTTTAAAAATATCGTGCCACTTTCTCCTGGCTTGTAAGGCTTCTACTGAAAAGTGTGCCAGTAGACTCGTTGTAGTTCTATTATATGTTATATTTTCTTTCCTTTTGCTGCCTTTAGGATTCTTTTTTTACCCCTGACCTTTGGGAATTTGATAATATTAAATGCCTTAAAATAGTTTTTTTTTGGGGGGGGGAGGTTGTTAAATCTGTTTGGTGTTCTATAAGCTTCTTGAACTTGAATGTTCATACCTTTCTCTAGGTTTGGGAGATTTTCTGATATCACTTTGAATAAAACTTCTACCTCTGTTTCTTTCCCTACCTCCTCTTTAAGGCAAATAATTTTTTGATTTGCCCTTTTGAGGCTATTCTCTAAATCTTGTAGATCTGCTTTACTGCTTTATTGATCTTTACTCCTTGTTTCTTTTGTCTCCTCTGACTGCGTATTTTCAATTAGCCTATCTTCAAGCTCACCAAAGTTATTATTATTATTATTATCTTGGAGACTGGGTCTCACTTTGTCTCTCAGGCTGCTGTTCAGTGGTTTGATCATAATTCAGCACAACCTTGACCTCCTGGGCTCAAGTAGTGCTCCCACCTCAGCCTCCTGAGTAGTTCAAACTATAGATTCACACCACCTTGCTTGACTAATTATTTTATCTTTTTGTAGAGATGAGGTCTCCCTGTATTGCCTAGGTTTGTTTAAAACTCCTGGACTCAAATGATCCTCCTCCATTGGCTTCCCAAGGGCTGGGGTTACAGACATGAGCCACCATGCTCATCTGTAATTCTTGCATTTGCTGTATCAATTCTGCTATTTGGAGACTCTGATGCATTCTTCATCATGTCAGTTGCATTTTTTCACTCTAGAATGTCTGCTGGATTCTTTTTTATAATTTCAATCTCTTCTTTAAATTTAATAGAATTATGAATTCATTCTCTGTGTTATCTTGAATTTCTTTGAGTTTCCTTAAAACAGTTGATTTGATTTTTTTTTTTTTTTTTGAAAGACTATATATCTCTGTTTCTCAAGGATTGGTCCCTGGTGACTAATTTAATGAGGTTGGTGTTGATGCTTGTAAATGTCCATTGGTGTCTGCAAATTGAAGAGTTAGGTATTTATTGTAGTCTTCACAGTCTGAGTTTGTTTCTGCCTGTCCTTCTTGGAATGGCTTTCCATATATTCTGAGACTTTGGCCCCAAATGCAATAATGCTGTGGTTTTTGCAGACTCATGGAAGTATTGCCTTAGTGATTTTGGATAAGATCTGAAAAAATTCTCTGGATTACCAGGCAGAGAATCTGGCTCTTTTTCACTACTTTCTTCCAAATAAATGGAATTTCTCCCTCTGTGCTGAGCCACCTGGAACTGTCAATGTAGAGATGCCAGCAACCCCGTGGCCATCACCACTGTAAATTTGCTGGATTAGATCTGAAGTCAGTACAGGACTGGGCCTTGCCAAAGCTCATTCCTTTAGGGTTGTCTGTTCACCCTGGCCCCAGGCATGTTCAGAGATGCTGTCTGGGAGCCAGAGATTGGAGTCAAGAACGTTAGAAATTGACTTGATGTTTTATTCTGCTCTAGCTAAGCTGGCACTCAAAGCACAATACAAAGCCTTTTCTGTCTTTCCTCTCCTTTCCACAGGCAAAGGATCCTCTTATGATGGCCACCACCACCAGTTTACAGTGGGGTCTGACAGATCACCACTGATGCTCACTACTGTGCTAAACTTCAAACTAAAAGTGTACAGCTAGTGTCACAATCGCATGGTAATTTGCACATCAGTAAGGCAGAGGAGCTCTTTTGCATTAATGTAAAAACAAGTATCACAGGAGTTTACTTGTGTTATCTTCTATTAAAATATATTACTATGTATTTTTGGCTTATGTCTGTAATCTCAGCACTTTGGGAGTCTAACACAGGGAAATCACCTGAGGTCAGGAGTTCAAGACCAGCCTGGCCAACATGATGAAACCCATCTCTACTAAAAATACAAATATTAGCTGGGTGTAGTGGCACGTCCCTGTAATACCAGCTACTTGGAAGGCTGGGGCAGGAGAGTCACTTAAACCTGGGAAGCAGAGGTTGCAGTGACCTGAGATACTGCCATTGCACTTCAGCCTGGGCAACAAGAGTGAAATTCCACCTAAAGAAAACCAAACAAAAACATAAAACAAATATATTACTGTGTATTTTCCTTCTAATAAATTTCTCCTTAGCACTATTAACAATGGGAGGTATCAACATGAAGAAAATAATACTCAATGCTTGCCTAAGAGAAATGAAGATCATTTTATCAATAATTTTTTATTGTAAATTGGCGTACTGTTTATTTAAAAAGCAAAGAGCTCAGGACTCTCTTGGGCTTCCTTCCAAAGAGTATTTTATTATCTTTGCAAACAGCTTTCTTGGTTGGTTAAATTATGCTGTTCAAGTAACAGTTCCATGCACCATGAGAAGAACTACTCCTTATCATTTACTCATTTTCTAATCCAATTTTGTTTCATGGTTTTACTTGTGATTACTGATAATGCATTTAAGCTGTAAGTATTAGAATCATAATGATTCTTCAGGAAACTAGGCAGCTCTACTTGTCAGAAGAAAGAATCAGCCTAATTATGTCTCTAACACTCCTTTACTGTTTCTAGTTAGAAGTATATGTGAAAAATTTCTTTTCCTCTATGATGCTGCACCTTGGTAATAGAGAGAGTTTTACCTTCACAAGAAAGATAAGATTTTGCACAAAGTTAGGTGAGGATGGAGTTGTTTATTTTCTCCAAGATCAACAGTCAAAAATCTCACAGAAGAAACATCAATTTTATTGCCTGATATGGTTTGGCTGTGTCACCACCCCATCTTAAATTTTAGCTCCCATAATTCCCACGTGTCTCGGAAGAAACCTGCTGGGAGGTTATTGGATCATGGGAGTGGATCTTCCCCTGCCGTTCTCGTGATAGTGAATAAGTCTCATGAGATCTGATGGTTTTATAAAGAGGAGTTCCCTTGCACACCTTATATTGCCTGCCACCATGTAAGACATGCATTTGCTCCTCCTTTGCCTTCAGCCATGACTGTGAGGCCTCCCAAGCCATGTGAAACTGTGAGTCAATCAAATCTCTTTCCTTTATAAATTATGCAGTCTTAGGTATGTCTTTATTAGTAGCATGAAAACAGACTAATACATTTTCTAAGCCCTTGCTCAAATTCACAGAAGATCAGTACTGCAATCCTCATGGCCACTCTACTAATTGGAAAGGTAGATTGACTAACAGTGCCCTTTCCAGATGAAAGTTAAAACATTGTGTAGACTGATGGTAGTTTCTTTTGATGTGCAGAAGCTCCTCAGTTTAATTAGATCCCATTTGTCAATTTTGGCTTTTGCTGCCATGGCTTTTGGTGTTTTAGACATGAAGCCCTTGCCCATGCCTATGTCCTGAATGGTATTGCCTAGGTTTTCTTCTAGGGTTTTTATTGTTTTAGATCTAACATTTAAGTCTTTTATCCAGCTCAAATTAATTTTTGTATAAGGTGTAAGGAAGGGATCCAGTTTCAGCTTTCTACATATGGCTAGCCAGTTTTCCCAGCACCATTTATTAAATAGGGAATCGTTTCCCCATTTCTTGTTTTTGTCAGGTTTGTCAAAGATCAGATGGTCTACCATCAGAGTGAATAAGCAACCTATAGAATGGGAGAAAATGTTTGCAATCTACCCATCTGACAAAGGGCTAATATCCAGAATCTACAAAGAACTTAAACAAATTTAGAAGAAAAAAAATAAAACAACCCCATCAAAAAGTGGGTGAAGGATATGAACAAACACTTCTCAAAAGAAGACATTTATGCAGCCAACAGACACATGAAAAAATGCTCATCATCACTGGCCATCAGAGAAATGCAAATCAAAACCACAATGGGATACTATCTCACACCGGTTAGAATGGTGGTCATTAAAAAGTCAGGAAACAACAGGTGCTGGAGAGGATGTGGAGAAATTGGAACACTTTTACACTGTTGGTGGGACTGGAAACTAGTTCCACCATTTTGGAAGACAGTGTGGTGATTCCTCAAGGATCTAGAACTAGAAATCACATTTGACCCAGCCATCCCATTACTGGGTATATACCCAAAGGATTATAAATCATGCTGCTAGAAAGACACATGCACACGTATGTTTATTGTGGCAATATTCACAATAGCAAAGACTTGGAACCAAACCAAATGCCCATCAATGATAGACTGGATTAAGAAAATGTGGCAAATCTACACCATGGAATACTATTCAGCCATAAAAAAGAACGAGTTCATGTCCTTTGTAGGGACATGGTTGAAGCTGGAAACCATCATTCTCAGCAAACTATCACAAGGACAAAAAACCAAACACCACATGTTCTCACTCATAGGTGGGAATTGAACAATGAGAACAGTTGGCCACAGGAAGGGGAACATCACACACCGGGGCCTGTCTTGGGGTTGGGGGAGGGCATAGGGATAGCATTAGGAGATATACCTAATGTAAATGATGAGTTAATGGGTACAGGACACCAACATGGCACATGTATACATATGTAACAAACCTGCACATTGTACACATGTACCCTAGAACTTAAAGTATAATAATAAAAAAAATAAAATACATTAAAACATACGTATTTTATGTACTATATTACTATAAATCTTATAATACAATATATTAATAAATATTATACTTTATGTTAATAAAAACTTGCATAAAATAAATGCTCAACAAATGGTCATTGAATTTTACTCAATGGATTCTTATAACACTCTACATTCCCTGTTCACTGTATAAAATTTCAGCTATAGCTGCGATGACATTTGGCTACAAACGCTGCCTTGGTGAAATGTGGCCTCATAAGGAATTGAAACAATGGGCACAATTCAGCACTGGGCACTAAGGTTCAGAAGAACGCAACCTCAGAAATGCATACCACTATCAGATCATATAGGGCTTCCTAACTACTTCATTAATGTAGACGCTAAGCATTGCGGAGCAGAAATAAAACCATGGGAGATATATTTTCAAGCAGAAATGAAAAAGAAGATTTTTAAATAGCTGGGTACTAACCTATTGTCTGTTTATTCCCAAAACATACCACTAATCACAGATTTTATTTAAACATATAATATCAAAAATTAATTTCCATTAAGATTATCATATGTTAGTAGTTGAAACTCTGTTCTAGAGGAGGCATTTACATTTGCATGCATTTCAGATATTTTCTCATTCTTATAATGAACTTACAATTATATTTTCTGGACAATAATGAGAAGACATGCATGATAATGAGACTTAATGCCAAAAACTCTACCTGCATATATTAAGTAAAATTTATCAGAGGCAAGATTTAAAAACAAAGCAACCTATTTTTATATTTCAGTATAAAGGGATTGTAATATAAATACCTGTATGCTTAACTTGAATCTTGAAAAAACAATTACAAAAACAATATGCAGCCACCAAAAAAGAAATGAGTTTTTTTGTAAAAGAAATATAATGTAATCCAAAAAAAAAAAAAAAAACGTCGTACACAGAACATAGCTGGGACCAGCTTAAAGTGAAAATTTAAGCTGGACCTTTGCCATAAAATCTTGGCCAATTCCTATGTCCAGAATGATATTTCCTAGGTTATCTTCCCGCCTATTTATAGTTTTTGGTTTTACATTTGTCTTTCTTCCATCTTGAGTTGATGTTTGTATATGGTGAAAGGAAGTGTCCCCATTTCATTCTGCATATAGCTAACCAGCTATCCCAACATCAATTATTTAATAGATAATGTTTTCCCAATTGCTTGCTTTTGTCAGTTTTGTTAAAGATCAGATGGTTGTAGGTGTGCAACATTACTTCTGGGCTGTCTATGCTGATCCATTGGTTTATGTGCCTGCTTTAATACTAGTAGCATGCTGTTTTGGTTACTATAGTCCAGTAGTATAGTCTGAACTAAGGTAATGTGATGCCTCCAGCTTTTTTCTTTTTATTTGGAATTGTCTTGGCTATTTGGGCTCTTTTTGGTTCCATATGAATTTGAAAATAGTTTTTCTTTTTCTAATTCTGGGAAGAATGCCATTGGTAGTTTGACAGAAATAATATTGAATCTGGTAAACTGCTGTGGAGAGTATGGCCATTTTAACAACGCTGATTCTTATCCATAAGCATGAGATGTTTTTCCACTTGTTTGTGTCTTCTCTGATTTCTTTGAGGAGTGTTTTGTGGTTCTCATTGTAAAGATCTTCCACCTACCTGGTTAGCTGTATTCCTAAGTATTTTATTCTTTTTGTGTCAATTTTGAATGGGATTATGTACCTGATTTGGCTCTCAACATGAAGGATGTTGGTGTGTAGAAATTATACTGGTTTTTGAACTTTGGTTTTGTGTCCTGAGACTTTGCTGAAGTTGTTTCTCAGAACAAGAAGCTTTTGGGCAGACTTTGTGGTTTTCTAGACATAGAATCTTGCCATCTGCAGACATGGAGAGTTTGACTTTCCTCTTTCTATTTGGATGCCCTATATTTATTTCCTTTGCCTGATATCTCTAGCCAGGACTTCCAGTACCATGTTAAATAAGAGGGGTGAGAGAGGGCATCCTTGTCTTGTGCCAGTTTTCAAGGGGAATGCTTCCAACTTTTGCCCACTACATATTATGTTGGCAGTCGTTTTGTCATAGATGGCTTTTATTATTTTGAGGTATGTTCCTCCAATGCTTATTTTTACTGAGGGCTTTTAACTTGAAGAGTGTTGAATTTTATTGAAAGTCTTTTCTGCATCTGTTGAAATAATCATTTTTTGTGTTTAGTTCTGTTTATGAGATGAACCATATTTATTGATTTCCATATGTTGAGTCAACCTTGCACCCCATGAATAAAGCTTACTTGATTATGGTGGATTAGCTTTTTGATGTGCTTCTGGATTTAGTTTGCGGGTATTTTTTTAAGGATTTTTGCATCTATGTTCATCAAGGATACTGGGGTGAGGTTTTCATTTTTTGTTGTATCTTTGCTGGTTTTGGTATCAGGATGATGCTGTCTTCATACAGTGAGTTGGGAAGCAATACCTCTTTCTCAAGAAATTGTGGTATCATCTTTTCTAGATACATCTGGTAGAATTTGGCTGTGACTCCACCTGGTCCTGGGCTATTTTTGATGGGAAGACTTTTTATTACTTATTCAGTTTCAGAACTTGCTGTTAGTCTGTTTAGGGATTTAATTTCTTCTGCGTTCAGACTTGGTAGGCTGAATGTGTCTATAAATTTATCTATTTACTCTGGATTTTGTAATTTGTGTGCTTGGAGTATTGTTTTCATTTTAGGCTCTGATTTTTGTTTTGTTTTGTTTTTCTGTGTAGTTGGTGGAAAAATCCCCTCTGTTGTTTGTAATTGTGATTATTTGGATATTCTCTCTTTTCATTTCTTTTTACTCTAGCTAGAAGTGTATTTTTCTTTTTAATTCTTACAAAGAACTAACTTCTGGATTCATTGATTTTTTGTTGTTCATTTGTTTGTTTTTTTGTATCTCAATTTTATTCAGTTCAGCTGTGATTGATGATTTTTTTTCTTCTGATATCTCTGGGATTAGTTTGCTCTTTCTTCCCTAGTTCTTCTAGTTGTGATGCTAGTTTCCTAATTTGAAATATTTTAAAATGTTTCATGTAGGCATTCAACGATATCAACTTCCCTCTAAAACTGTTTAACTGTGTTCTGGAGAATCTGGTATTTTGTATCTTTGTTCTCATAGTTTCAAAGAATTTCTTTATTTCTGCAAAAGTCATTCAGTAGTAGGTTTTTTTTAATTTTACATGTAATTGTATGGTTTTGAGTGATTTTCTTACTATTAATTTCTATTACTATTGTGCTTGGTCTATGAGAATGGTCGATATGATTTTGGTTTTTGTTTGAATTTGCTGATTATTGTATTTTGTCTGATTATGTGGTTAATTTTGAAGTATGAGCCACATGGCTATGAGAAGAATGTATATTCTGTTGTTTTGGGTGAAGACTTCTGTAGATGTCTATTAGGCCCATTTGGTCAAGTTTTGAGTTCAGGTCATGAATATCTTTGTCAATTTTCTGCCTTGATGATCTGTCTAACATTGTCAGTATAGTGTTGAGATCTCCCGCTATTATTGTATAGGAATCTCAGTCTCTTCATAGATTTAAAATAACTTGCTTTATAAATCTGGGTGCTCTATTGTTGGGTGTATACATAATTAAGATAGGTCTTCTTGTTGAATGGGAACTTTTACCATTATATAATAATCTTCTTTATCTTTGTTAAAATCCTTCTGATCTATAATTAGGATTACAGGCCCTCCTTTTTTTTTTTTTGTTTTCTATTTGTTTGGTAGATTTTTCTCCATCCCTTTATTTTGAGCCTATGGATGTCATAGCATGAGAGATGGATCTCTTGAAGATAGCATGACATTGGGTCTTGCTTCTTTATCCAGCTTGTCACTCTGTGCCATTTGAGGGGCCCTTAGCCTATTTATATTGAAGGTTAATATTGCTATGTGTAGATTTGATCCTGTTGTTGTATCATTAGCTCATTATAATGCAGGCTAGTTTGTGTGGTTACTTTATAGTGTCAGTAATCTCAGTACTTAAATGTGTTTTTGTAGTGGTTGGTAACCATCTTCTCTTTCCATATTCATCACTTCTTTCTGGACCTTTTAAAGTGAGGTTTGGTGGTAAATTTGCTCAAAATTTACTTATCTGAAAAGAATCTTATTTCTCCTTCATTATGCATCAATTTGTCTGGAAATCTTGCTTGGAAATTTCCTCCTTGAAGAATTCTGAGTATATGCCCCTAAACTCTTCTGGCTTGTAGATTTTCTGTTTAAAAGTCTGCTGTCAGCCTGAAGAGGTTCCCTTTGTAGGTGAACAGTCTCTTCTCTCTAGCCACCTTTCACATTTTTTTAATTTCATTTAAACCTTGAAGAATCTGATGATTATGTGTTTTGGGGATAGGTGTTTTTTTATGCATAATTGCAGGTGTTCTCTGCATTTGTTGAATTTGAATGTTGGCCTCTCTAGTTAGTTTGGGAAAGTTTTATGGATGATATCCTGAAATATAGTTTCCAAGTTGCTTACTCTCTCCCTATCTCTATCAGTGATGCCAATGAGTCATATATTTTGTCTCTTTACATAATTCCAGATTTCTCAGAGATTATTTATTTTTATTTATTTTTGCCTGACTGAGTTATTTCAAGAGCCTATCATTAAGCTCTAAGATTCTTTCCTCAGCTTAGCGTATTCTGCCCTCAGTATTTGTGATTGCATTATGCAATTTTTGTAGTGTGTTTTTCAGCTCTAACAGATCAGTTTGATTCTTTTATATAATGGCTATTTCATCTTACAGCTCCTGCATTGTTTTATTGTGATTCTTAGCTTTGTTGAATTGGGTTTTGACATTCTCCTGAATCTCAACGATCTTTATGTCTATCCATATCTTAAATTCTATTTCTGTCATTTTAGCCATTTCAGCCTAGTTAATAAACTTTGCTGGAGTACTAGTGCAGTCATTTGGAAAGAAGAAGGCACTCTCACTTTTGAGTTGCCAGACTTGTAGCACTCATTCTTTCTCATTTGTGTGGACTGATATTCCTTTATTATTTGAAGTTGCTGTCCTTTGGATGGAATTGTTTGCTTTTTTCTCCTGTGAGTGAGTATGATATTACGTGGCTTTGGTTGACTGGCTTCAATTCTAGTCCACTCCTGGGTTTGGAATAGTGGATGGTTTGTGTTTTGTCTCCAATTACTATCTCCATATCCTTGTTTCTATTGTTGATTGTTCTGGTCCATGGGGCTTTCTCAGGCAGGGGCCACTGTTGGCAAACAAGCAATATCCTTGACAGGCTAGCCCTAATGTGTTGTCTATATACTTTCTGGAGCAGCCCAGGGTTACACCTGTCAGTAGAATTCAGATGGAAGGGGGGATACTGATTGGAAGCTCTAAACAGGTATGGCCCATCCGACTATTGGAGGTAGCGGTGACTGGAGTTGTCTGCCCTGTAGTCTGGGTGTTTCCAAGGCAGTAGCAGGATATGCTGCCCAGCAAATTCAGCCAGCAGTAGAACTGCTGGGCAGAAAGTTCTAGCAGGTTTGGCTTGCCCGGCTATCAGCAGCAGTAATTGTGGGGGACACCTGCCCTCTTGTATGGGTGCTTCCTGGGACAACAAGAGGCTCTACCTACTACCTGAATTCC
The DNA here is from genome assembly GCF_000001405.40 of Homo sapiens. Lineage (NCBI taxonomy): Eukaryota > Metazoa > Chordata > Mammalia > Primates > Hominidae > Homo > Homo sapiens. The sequence goes on along the minus strand of NC_000004.12, from coordinate 69,550,591 downwards.
CACAGAAGCAGGACCGCTGGGTCAGAAGCTCTAACAGGTATTGCCCACCTGACTACTAGTGATGGAGGTGAGCAACCTCATGAACTCTTTCACCTAGGTGTTTCCCAGACCAATGGAATTCTGCATGCTCTAGCTGAGTACACACAGATGCAGAGCTACTGGGCCAGAAGTTCTAGAGGCATTGCTTACCTGGCTATAATTGGTGTGGTTGAGTGAGGTCACATGCCCTGCCATCTGGGTGTTTCCTGGGACATGAGGAGACTATGCACTCCAGCTGAGTTTACACTAAAATGTGATCAGTGGGCTGGAATCTCGAGTAAGTGTTTCCCACTTGGCTACTAGTAGCTGGGTTGGTAGAGTAGCCAGCCAAGTTTGGGCCAAAGCAGGACAGCTGGGCTGGAAAATGGTGCTAAGCCCCTTCCAGCAAAGGGAACAATCTTACTGCTCCCAGGCACCACAACTGTGTCTTCTATTTTACCTGTGGCATCTTTGCTGGTCTTCTCTTGGGCCTAAAGCTTATAAAATGTCCTTGTAAGTTCACCTGGCAAAATGTTTGAGTGGCTCTATGCCTCAATCAAGAAGCACACTACAGGGGTGCTGGGGAGGGGAGAAGGGAGATTTTCCCATTCCCATTCTTGCACAGGTCCCTATGGACAGCATTAATCCCTCTTGGAGCTGTCACTCACTCTTCCTTTCTCGTGTTGGAGAGGTTCTCCTTGCTCCGTTCTAAGCCTAGACAGGTCAGTGCCCAGGTTTGCTCCTCTCTGCTCTCTGTGTTCCTCTGCTGTTTTGATGGATCCCAACATGGTTTCTCAAATAATTGACTTGCAGGGTCAGGGTCCACTAACCCTTTTGTTTCCTGTTTCTGAGAGCAGCACACATGAGCTGCTTGTAGTTCATCATCTTGGCCCTGCCCTTGAATGAAATCCTTATCTCATTCTCATCCGTTCCACAAAGTAGGTCATCTCAAAAAGAAAGCATTTATCATTTGTGGTGTAAATAATGGGATATATAAAGCTACTTATCATAGGTCTGTATGGTGTGAGTTCCCATATTTGCTCATCAGCCTAATGACATCATTCACATAAAAGTCAAAGGGGCAGCTGTGGATATGAATGTAAACATAATGACAAGAGTGAATTTTCAAAATATCTTAAGAGCAGTCATTAATAAACCTCCAGATAAGTACCATTGTGTATAAAGTCTAACCTATTGATGCAGGATATTTTCTTGACCCCTTTGTGGGACTCACAACAGGGGTGTCTCATTTACTCAGCCTGTCCTTGTATCCCTTGCAGGAGGGAGCATGCAAGCAAACAAGTGTAGGAACCGGGAGTGAGCAAGTGCAGGAACTGGACAACCACTTTTGGACACTGGCTGGAACAAACTCCATTTACTCACCTTGCCTGGCTCAACTCATTGTAGGAAGGAGCACCTAAGCAAGTGAGTATGGGGTCTGGCCAGCTGCTTTTGGGCGCCAGCATGAGCAAACTGTGTGCGGGCCCCATGGCAGAATCTAGGTAGAGATGCCTGTGACCCCCTGAAGCTCCAGAGGGTGTGTTACAGTGCCCTTTCAGCTCAGCCATCTGTGGATGGCTTAGGTGTTAACAGCTAAGTGGGCCCTTTGCCTTGTCATGTGGGGCAGCTGCCCTCCACCAGGAAGAGCAAACGGCCAGTGTGATAGCCATTTTTTGGGGGTTATCCACACTCATGGATTAGTACTATTTGTGGATTTTTAAATAAAATTTTAAATATAATTTTATTTGATTTAGCTGAAAGATATTGAAATGGAACTCTAATCTCTACTGAATTTTAGATATATATCTTTATATAGTTTTTTTCTCTGATAGATGTCTCTAACATTAAGAAATAGTATGATATATGTATGCATAGTTTTAGTCATTATTTTTAACCACGCATTTTAATTTTAGCCATTAGCTAAACTTCTGCTATGGAAGTAATTTCATCTCCAATTTATATCATTTATGTCATAATTATAACTTGTCAATAGTTCTGACACTTATTTGCTTCACATTTCTTTGGTCTTTTTGCTATATTTGAAGGAATTCAATGTTCACCATTGAATCAGAGATTATTCCAGAATATTTTGAATTTTTTCTGGTTTGAACATGTCATACAGAATTTGCTTTCAATAAAGACTCATGGATATTAATTCTCATCAAGTTTGGCAATATTTACTCATTGCATTTATGTGAGAATGACCATAATCTAAATCTTAATATCATATACTTAGCTCTCACGTTCTTCCCTTCGGAACTGCGTAAATAATATTCAGTCTTCCAGCTTTAAATGCTACTAAAGAGTTTTTAAGATCTGTCAAATATTTTTTTTTTAAAGTTTCCATTTTGACTAGAAAAAAATCATTACATTTTAAACTCAGAAGCTTAATTTTAATATATTTTTATATATTTTATACATTTTCCAGGCTAATAGTGTGTCTTTATAACACAGCTAATCCAAGATTTAATATATTCATTTTTTATGCTAGAAATTAATTTTTGTTTGATTATTAGGATAATTTTCAGTTCCATTTTTTCTCTGCTTTTGGGACATCAGATTTCAGTTGTCCCTATGTTAAAATATTTTGACTATCCTCATTCTGTATTATTTTTTGTCTAATTGTTTTAATTAATTTTTACTATTCTTAGCTCATTGAGATTGCCTTAAATAATTTCAATTAGTAAATTCACTTTAATGCCATAAGCCTTGATTTCTGTTTCTAATTTATTTATCAATTCTTTCAAGTGTTATTTCAAATTAATTTAACATCTCACCTATATCTTTTATCATTTTGTTTCCTAATCGGATTTTGGATCTAGTATCTATTACCCTCACATTCTTATTTTATTTCAAATATTCTCTTTTGGAGATTCACATATTGTCTCAACCTACTTTTGCTGTTACAAAAAAATAACAGAGATTCATCAATCTATAGAGAAGAGAAATTTATTTTCACACAATTCTGGAAGCTAAAAAGTCCTAGATCAAGATACCAGCAGTTTTGGCATCTGCTGAAGGCCATAAAAGGTGCCTTCTTGGTGTTCTTACAGGGCAGAAAAGATGGAAGATAAATAGTGGGCCAATGCTGTGTTCTTACATGGCAAAGAGTGGAAGAGAAGAAGCCCATTCTTCCAAACCCTTTTATAAGGCCCCTAATTTCATTCATGAAGGTTCTGCCCTCATGACCTTATCACCTCTTAAAGGCCCACCTCTTAGTACTAACACATTGGCAATTCAGTTTCAATATATGAATTTTAAAGGGCACATTCAGACCATAGCATATGTTATGCTTGATTGCCTTCTTAGTCTGTCATTTAGAAAAAAAATTAATATTAGGTAAATGGTTATCAACTCCTGTTTTTTTTTTTTTAACGTGTTTTCTCAGCATTTGCTCTGAATTTGTATAGGTGCCTTAAACTTTTTCTAGGCTATCTGAGACAATTATTTTATTTAGTGTCCAAACTTGAAGGATAGGTATAGTACTCCATTTATTTTTGAAGTCTGTCATTTGAGAAGTAGGGAAGAAGGCAAACTCAAATGGAATTCTGCGCAGTGTGTTTTTTAGTGGAAATAGTCTACATAAAACTACCTTTTCAAAGCCCTTGTGCCATGATTTCTGGACAAAGGGAACAGTGTGTTCATTTTGAATAGGAATACTCTCAACACTTAGCTTAAATTCAATACTAAAGAGTCAGACTTGGTTGTCTCTTTTCCCCTCTCAATTATTCCAGTCAACTGACTTTTTAAAATATATACATGGATAATAATAATTTACTGGATTATATTGAAATTGTCAGTTTAGGAGCTAGGTAGGTGCTTAGGAGCTTCAGGAAAGTGGGTTAATGAAACACTGTGAGATATGTGGAAGAAGAAAAAAAGAGAGATTTATTTGTTACAAAGAGTTATAATCTGCAGGCTAGGAAACAGAGTCTCCAACTAATACCAAAAGCATATGATTCAGAGACAAAAAAAAGAGGCTGGGCTTTATGCCTAACAGGACCCGACCAGTAATGCATACATATTCAGTAGGATATATAATAATCCTAGGAATATTTATGAAGAAGGCCAAACACATGCATGGTGAACAAACCTGTATGTTCATCCCATGTTCACTTTGGCATGGAGACTTAACATTAAAATGAACTGAAACTTGTCTCTTTACATCAAAAAGTCAATCAGAGGGCGTAAAGGCGCCTTGTGCACAGTCATCGTGGGCTGGTCCAAACCAGTCTGTGGTCAGTCGTTATTGCTTAGGAAAGAATGCTTTGTAAGTCCAGTCAGCTGTCCTAGAGAAACCACAGTAAGGGAGGGGAGTCTAGTCATGATGTTAGACAGTCTGTCAACGTTGGTGGAAAAAATCTTTCAGTCATTTTTTTCAGAAACTGGTGTCTGTTCAATTACTAGAAAATAAAGTCCTGTGGCAGTTATAGGGAAGGGGAGTAATGAGGTGCGACTAACCTCCAGCGTTGCCAAAGCCACTGAATCTGTCTGGGGTCTCCTTGCTGCTAAGTTTGTTTTGTTTTGCCTGAAAGCTGAGGGGCTTTATTTTATTTACAGGTGTATCCCCAGGATAATTCAGCTTTAGGATGTTACTATTCCTAGTAATGTTGACAGAGCTAAGAAAATAAATTAGGAACTGTGACTTACCAAGAGAAGAAACTCTCCATCAACCCTAGGTTGGAAAGGAAAAGTAAAAGAAGTGACATTTTAGAGTTCCTTAAGAAGTGGAACTGTGGAAACAAGATAACATGGTAAGAGATGGGGTTGCAGAGAGACACAGCCACTGAAAGCGAGGCGAGGCCAAGGTAGAAAAAGAGCAGGTAAGATAGGAGCTGCTTTCTCTCCTCCTTCTCTTTGATATTCTGCAGTTATCTCTCTTTGTCTGAATATTATTAGAAGACCAGCTGGCAAAAATTCCTGAGTAATGCAAACTGGATTAGTCAGTGTAACTGCAGGATATACATGGATACACACACACAGACACACATGCACAAACACACACACATACAGAGGCAGAGAGAGAGAGAGAGAGAGAGAGAGAGAGAGAGAGAGAGACTGAGGATCAACTTTCCCTAACAGCTGTTAGAAAAACTATTCAGATGAGTCAAATGTGGAAAGTCTCATCCCTCACACAGCAGACACCAGGTCACATCAGCTGGAGTGCTTTTGCACAGCTCTTATAAGATCATCCTTTAGAGTTAATCAGGAGGCTGAAGTTAGTTGTTTAACTTATTTTGTTCGTAAACATTGCATGTGTCCCTTATTCTCTGGCAGCACTTCCTCTGGTCAAAGTTCTTTAGCTGGTAGAATTATCCAAAATTTCATCAATTTCAAATCAATGTAATAATATGTTTTGTCTTAATGATTTGCCATTACTTTTCACTGAATTTTATTATTGAATACCAAAGCATTAAGATACGTTATTGTAATATGCAGATATTAGCTATAATTTAGACTATACTCAACATATTTTAGCATCCTAGTTTATCTTTGGTATTTTGGATCAATAACCACAGCCAGGAGAGTAATGCTTTCTCTGGCCAAAGTCTAAAACACAGTAGCTCAGAATAATCAAGAGGCACTCTCAGTTTCCAATCTAAGTTAATTGTGGCCAAATCCATAGGTAATATGAATCCCATATTCCCATATTTGGATCCCATATTCCTCTCTTGTGATTGACAATCTTCAAATTGCCTTAAGGTTGCAATGATAAAAAAAATAGTTCAGGAAAAATAATGGAGCATATTTTTGAGAGAATTCATTCCCTTTTTAAATTCCTTAATTCTAGACCCATGTACTTAAACTAAAATATGGAAGATATTTGCTATCAGATTCTAATTTAAAGCACATACTGCATTCTTTAAGACTATAAAATCAGTTTTGTCTCTCAGGTAAAACTTTCAGGATCTTCATTAGATAATGGGGAATTTTATAAAATCAGCACATTTCATAGACATTAGAACTTGTTGCATTTCCTTGGCTGTGAATATATTTCCTGTTCATACTCAATATTGAGATTAATATCATGATTTGACTATGGGTCCTTCATGTTCACAGATTTTGATGTCACCAGAAATAATAAAGAGAAGATGTGGAAAACTCTGAGTTTTTTTAAATCATATGTACTATGAAAAAAAGAATGCATGCTGTATGATGAAAGGTGATGTATGTAATGTACCTGTGGCTGGCTAGAATCTTAGGGACTGATGCCATGCTGAGGAGGGGTCAGGTTGACATCTGCTATTAACATATTGACCATGTAGCAGCTGTAACAGCCAGATCAGCCTTGATGGGGTAAAGTCCATGTCATAAACTTATATATAGTCTCTGTCCTAGACACCATTGCTCCTTTTTAAAAATAAACTTTATGGTCCCCAGAGTGTGATGTTCCCCTTCCTGTGTCCATGTGTTCTCATTGTTCAGTTCCCATCTATGAGTGAGAACATGTGGTGTTTGGTTTTTTGTCCTTGCGATAGTTTACTGAGAATGATGATTTCCAATTTCATCCATGTCCCTACAAAGGACATGAACTCATCCTTTTTTATGGCTGCAGAGTATTCCATGGTGTATATGTGCCACATTTTCTTAATCCAGTCTATCGTTGTTGGACATTTGGGTTGGTTCCAAGTCTTTGCTATTCTGAATAGTGCCGCAATAAACATACGTGTGCATGTGTCTTTATAGCAGCATGATTTATACTCCTTTGGGTATATACCCAGTAATGGGATGGCTGGGTCAAATGGTATTTCTAGTTTTAGACCCCTGAGGAATCGCCACACTGACTTCCACAATGGTTGAACTAGTTTACAGTCCCACCAACAGTGTAAAAGTGTTCCTATTTCTCCACATCCTCTCCAGCACCTGTTGTTTCCTGACTTTTTAATGATCACCATTCTAACTGGTGTGAGATGGTATCTCATTGTGGTTTTGATTTGCATTTCTCTGATGGCCAGTGATGATGAGCATTTTTTCATGTGTCTTTTGGCTGCATAGATGTCTTCTTTTGAGAAGTGTCTGTTCATATCCTTTGCCCACTTTTTGATGGGGTTGTTTTTTTCTTGTAAATTTGTTTGAGTTCATTGTAGATTCTGGATATTAGCCCTTTGTCAGATGAGTAGGTTGCGAAAATTTTCTCCCATTTTGCAGGTTGCCTGTTCACTGTGATGGTGGTTTCTTTTGCTGTGCAGAAGCTCTTTAGTTTAATTAGATCCCATTTGTCAATTTTGGCTTTTGTTGCCATTGCTTTTGGTGTTTTAGACATGAAGTCCTTGCCCATGCCTGTGTCCTGAATGGTAATGCCTAGGTTTTCTTCTAGGGTTTTTATGGTTTTAGGTCTAACGTTTAAGTCTTTAATCCACCTTGAATTAATTTTTGTATAAGGTGTAAGGAAGGGATCCAGTTTCAGCTTTCTACGTATGGCTAGCCAGTTTTCCCAGCACCATTTATTAAATAGGGAATCCTTTCCCCATTGCTTGTTTTTCTCAGGTTTGTCAAAGATCAGATAGTTGTAGATATGTGGCGTTATTTCTGAGGGCTCTGTTCTGTTCCATTGATCTATATCTCTGTTTTGGTACCAGTACCATGCTGTTTTGGTTACTGTAGCCTTGTAGTATAGTTTGAAGTCAGGTAGTGTGATGCCTCCAGCTTTGTTCTTTTGGCTTAGGATTGACTTGGCGATGTGGGCTCTTTTTTGGTTCCATATGAACTTTAAAGTAGTTTTTTTCAATTCTGTGAAGAAAGTCATTGGTAGCTTGACGGGGATGGCATTGAATCTACAAATTACCTTGGGCAGTATGGCCGTTTTCACGATATTGATTCTTCCTACCCCTGAGCATGGAATGTTCTTCCATTTGTTTGTATCCTCTTTTATTTTGTTGAGCAGTGGTTTGTAGTTCTCCTTGAAGAGGTCCTTTATGTCCCTTGTAAGTTGGATTCCTAAGTATTTTATTCTCTTTGAAGCAATTGTGAATGGGAGTTCATTCATGATTTGGCCTCTGTTTGTCTGCTATTGGTGTATAAGAATGCTTGTGATTTTTGTACATTGATTTTGTATCCTGAGACCTTGCTGAAGTTGCTTATCAGCTTAAGGAGATTTCGGGCTGAGACAATGGGGTTTTCTAGATACACAATCATGTCGTCTGCAAACAGGGACAATTTGACTTCCTCTTTTCCTGATTGAATACCCTTTATTTCCTTCCCCTGCCTAATTGCCCTGGCCAGAACTTCCAACACTATGTTGAATAGGAGTGGTGAGAGAGGGCATCCCTGTCTTGTGCCAGTTTTCAAAGGGAATGCCTCTAGTTTTTGCCCATTCAGTATGATATTGGCTGTGGGTTTGTGGGGTGGGAGGAGGGGGGGGGGGATAGCATTAGGAGATATACCTAATGCTAAATGACGAGTTAATGGGTGCAGCTCACCAACATGGCACATGTATACATATGTAACTAACCTGCACATTGTGCACATGTACCCTAAAACTTAAAGTATAATAATAAAAAAAAATTTAAAAAAAGAATAAGAAAAAAAACACACACAAAAAAATAAAAAAAAAATAAAGATACACAAACTTACTAACTATCCACCTAAGAGTGTACACGGATTTGCATCCAACCACAAACTCCTGCTACAGGATATTATTAAGGTTTATTTAAAAATGTAAAGCAATAACACAAATTTTCCTCACTGTTAAAGAAAATAAAATTCATTTGAAATGAAAAAAAAAATAAATAAACTTTACGATCAAATTCTGGATGTCTGGAGGAAAAGACTGATTTCCATAGGACTGCTTATTCAATCCACCTTATTGCTGAGGCAATTCCTAGAGTGCATGCCTTCTAAGTAATTTCTGCCAATTACAAGAGGTAAACCCACATAAGTCTACCTCTAATATTCTTTCCATTAATTTTTCACTAAGATTATTTCCATATCCTTAACAAACTAGTCAATTCATTAGGTACTACCTATGATTCTGTAGATCTGTAACACAGGCCATTCTCTGCTCCTCCCCCTCCCAAAGAAAAGACAGTTATTTACATGTCCTGCTTGATATTCTGCCCTTTAGAAGGATTTTGTTTAATTTTTTCTTTTCTGTTTTTTTTCTTTCTTTCTTTTTTTTTTTTTTTTGAGATGGAGTCTCCCTCTGTCGCCCAGGCTGGAGTGCAGTGGGGCAATCTTGGTTCACTGCAAGCTCCACCTCCTGGGTTCACGCCATTCTCCTGCCTCAGCCTCCCCAGTGGCTGGGACTACAGGTGCCCGCCACCACACCCAGCTAATTTTTGTATTTTTAGCAGAGATGGGGTTTCACCATGTTAGCTAGGATGGTCTTGATCTCCTGAGCTCGTGATCCACCCGCCTCGGCCTCCCAAAGTGCAGGGATTACCAGCGTGAGCCACCGCGCCTGGCCTGTTTAAATATTTTTTTAAGAGACACTCCTGAGTAGGACTGTAACCCTGTGTTTTGTTTTTTAAATTAGAAATTACCCTATGAATCTCTAGGCAGGTTTAGTGAGATTGGTTTAGAAACATTGTTCAGCTCCATGAGAGCCTTATCCATTTGCTAAAGTGATTTACTTGTTTTTCTGAAATTTCTCAGTCCTTTTCTTATATTTGTATGTTCATTAACAGTAGAATATTGCTGTTAATGTTCAGTTATATTTTTTTTGTTGTCACAACAGAATGACCATGTCAGGTAGCACAGGTTCTTGGTGCCCATGGACAAATATTAATAGTAAGTATCCACCAGAACTCGATAGTAAATCAGGGACTGTTTTTCTAATGGAGAAGACATTTCAGGAAAATAGGTGATAGTTTAGCTCCAAAATCCTGAGATTCTCTTACTAGATTTTGTTAAAGTTTTATTTAACTTTAGTATCTACTACCTACATAGGAAGTGAACTTGGAATTTCTGAGTTATAAGATGAATGTCACCAGTTGTCTATAGGCAACCTACTCATCTATCTATGTATCTATGTATCTATCTATGTATCTGTGTATGTATGTATGTATGTATCTAATCTGTCTCTCTATTTATCTATCCATCTATCTATCATCTATCTATCTAATCACACACACACACACGTTCACTACCTGTATAAGATATGTAAGATATGTGTGTGTCTACACATAGGATATCTACTTCATATACTCATAAAAGATGAAGCAATATCATCGTAGGCTGTTCATACATTTTATTCCAAAAAATAATGTGAGCAATTAGGCAATGCCCCAGCTACCTGTAAATTGAAACACTCTACAATTTCCATCCTGCGGCTGGATTTGGTACTTTTCCAAATCAAGTATTTTGTAGTTAATATAACCTAACCAGCCTCTACCATTATGGGTGTCTATTATTTCCACTGAAATTGTGGATCCCAGTTTTGTTGCAGCATCTTTCACTTTCATCTTTACCCTACAGAATAAAAACACAACAGAGATTTTCAAGGATATTGATATACTTAGCACGAATGCATTTTTTTAATGTCACTGAGATGGTGAAATGGATTCTGAGCATATTGCACATAATACATCTCCTCTAACATTCCCATTTCCCTCAGCCTATAGGTTATTTTCATGTAGAATATCAAAAATGTTATCAAATTTCAACTTTATTTACTATAAGGCATGTTACATCCAGGCTTTAATTATCCAACCAAATGCCTGATAATGACATAATTAAGTATTTGGACCAATACATTAACTTCAAAGTTGTGGATAAATGCATCTTTATAAACAGTTGGCCTGATAATATATTATTTTTCATAGTTTTTCCTTAACATGAAAAATGAGCCGCTAGTTCAGTCCATCAAAGTGATAAAACTGTGCCTCATGTTGCTGTATGTGTGAGTGGACTTTGCAATTCTCTTCTTGAAGTGAAGCATTCAGAAGTGGTAGAGTTGGATCTTCTGGGAACCGTAGTTTCCCTTGCTAGAACACTATTCCATGCTAAGTTATTACAAAGTCTTACACAACACAAAATTAGTGTTTTCAGATAGAGAAGGAGGGTATCATTTAGCCCATAAAAGAAGTCCAAGGAGCTTTAGAAGTACAAGTTTCTAAGTTCTCTGTGTCTGCTGAAATATCCCTCTCTAAATCTCAGAGTCCCCCTCATTTCTACTCAGTTTCCTGATGTAACATTAGGCAAATTAGAGACATATATGAGCTTGCACATTGAACAGTTATTGCAATTCACCACTACAATTAGATAATTAGATTTGGGGCCTGATAGTCATGATTTCAATTTGGCTACATGATATTAAGCATTACTTACAACTTCCTTCCATAGAGGTTTTTTTTTTTCTTCTTTCATGAGTTGAAAATTCAAAGCCCTAAACTAATCTTTTATTTTTTATCTATGTATTTTCCAACTTAAAAAAACACTCATTCTTTGTGCCTCTTTGATCAGCATTATAACAAGCAAGTTTCAAATTTGAGCTCACAAAACTTGCCCACAATAAACATGTTAAAACATATTGCAAACAGTGATAATTTGAAGAGTCATGAATACTGCTGCATAAAACATGTAACCAGTGTTCTTATTTTTCATAAAAAGCATCTGTGTATCAATTAAGGATGAGATCAACCTCAGAGTCAGACAAGATTTGAGCCATTTGAAACCTTGTGAGCTTTCCCAGTCTCTGATAACCAGCCTATAATTAAATATTGACCTTTAAGTCTTCTAGAGTCCAGGTAGCCTAAATAAAATCAGTCTCAAACATGAGAAGTCCCAGTATTTATATGATAAAAAATGTTTTATATCAATCTCTATATGTCATTTTGCAATGTGTTCATAATATACTCTATTAGATGACACATCTGGGCAAATAACCTACACTCACCAAATTTATAGACTTTTTGAATTCATTGATGTGATCCTGAGCATGAAAAGAATCAAGAACAAAAATTTCCATACACTGGTTATACCTGAGAAGCATCTGAGCTGAACTTTAAATTATAGGCTACAACTTGAAAATACTGAAATAAAATAATTTTTGCAATAACTTCCTTTAAAGCCATTGAAACATAGACATTCAAAATATGTTTATATAATTCCCATAATTTTCTTCCCAAATTTAACTACTCTGTTCATCTTGTCACTTTTTTATTTAGATATGCATCAATCAATAAAATAAAGATAGCAGAAAGTAGGGACTGATCTCATTTGTCTCCACATTCTTTGTACTTGGTGATGATCTGGGCACAAAGAACAAATTTGATACATATTGACTGAACTAATGAATAAATAAAAACACTCACATTTACTAGATAGAAATAGACTGTCATATCTGATAAAGAAGAGAGAAGTAAAAAATATGAGAAAACTGTGAGACTATGGTGAGTCATAAATCAAAATAAGAATTTTAGTAGATAGAGTAAAATATTATTGAATTCTAGATTGTGTCAATAAAATGACTGAAAATTTTTTTGAAAACTGACTTGAAGACTTTTTTTACTGATTCTGGCATGTTTGCAATTTCAATGAAATGGTAGCAACAGAAAATGAATTACAAAATAGAAAGTAAGGAAAGAAGATGAAATGCATAGACACCTCCCATAAAAGTAAGTTGTGAATGGAAAATAAAAGGAATAACATGAAACTTGAATGGCTCTAAGATCCATGAAACTTAAAGATAAGCCATCAAAAGCAATAGCAGCCTGAAGACATAGCATCAAGATGTGGCATCAAGATCAAGATCCAGTATGTTGTAGTATTGTTTTACGTAAAATGCTTGACGTTATTCTAAGTGCAATGTATTAACTCAATAAATTCTTAAACATTATAAAAAATCACATTAGCTTTAGACAAATTTTACCAATAAGAGAACAGTGACAAGTAGATCATATAATTTTACAATGCTATGTTCATCGGTAGTTATTGGGGAACAATTTACCATAAACTGATGGATTCCAGAGTCAATACTATTTGAAAATAAATTATCTATCTCTGATTTCAAATGGGAAAGAGTTATGATGGAAGGGAAGTTATGGATACAGAAAAAAGGAAGGAGAGGTACTAGATAAGGTGAGGATCTCCAGAAGACTGGCCTTAATAGAAGTGAAACTCAGCATAGAAATTCATTTAATGGAAGAGGAAGAGTAGAAAAGGATGATTATACTTGTAGGTAAGATTGCAGCATTTAGGTTAGAAGTAAGCAGTTTGAGTCCATCTAAAGATAAGGAAGATTCTTATGTGTTTCATGTTTTCTTCAAGTTCTATGCAGGTACTAGTGTTTTAAATTCAAGCTAGGTACTACCTATGCTCTTACTTATATTAAGAAATGTATTATTCATCTTATCTGTCATTACATTCCACCTGAAAGCACTACTAAAAAATTCACAACTTTCTTGTGTACTCTGCTTCTCTTCTTTACTCTGCAGTCACCTCCTCTCTTGTTTTACTATGAGTGTGTCAAAGTTTTGTGAATCATTCCAAATTTCACTTTCTCCAAAAAGGACTGTACTCCTCTTTTTCCATATACAGCTATTCTTGCTTGGTGGTGGAAAATAGTAAATGTGTAGGAGCCCTACAAAACAGTAACATTATTTTAGATTTCCTCCTCCAGATATAAGAACCAAATATTCATGAAAGAAAAAAGAAATACTTTTCACATAATCTTTTCTCTCATCTTATCCTCAAAATATGAATATAATATCATACCCCCTTCAGTGAAAATCTTGAGGTTCCTTGTTAAAACTTAACGCTAAGTTTTAAAAGCTCTAGCACCTTAACTTTTATCTTTCTAACTACATTCTATTCTATGTGTTTTTCTGGTTGTAACTGTTGTTCCTACCAGTTAGTGGTTGGAAAAGTAAATGAAATATTTACACAGACTGTGGAATGATAAGCGCCAATACAAAGAAACTAGAAAGTGGAAGTCTTTATACCTTGCTTTGGAGGTAAGCATTTGTCTGATAAATGTCTACATGTTACTTAAATGGCAGAGATGTGACTCCTGATTCTTTCTCCCATCTCTGGCTAATTATTGAAATCTGTATGTCTTTGCATCTGTGTAAATAAGGCAATAAAGTAATTTAAAAATGTCCTATATCTAACTTCTTCAATGACATCTAATTTATCTACATTTTTACATATCACTGTAGTTTCTTCATTTTTGTACTATAATATCCTATTACATAAATATACAATTAAACCAAATTTATTCATATACCACATAGAAAAAATTCAAAAAAGATTCCAATATCACAGTTTCTTTACCATAACCAAGTAGAGATAATACAAAGACCCACCTAATTTTTTACTTCATACTATATATGGACTTCTCTCCTACATGAGTGTAAGGAAAACTCCCTCATTATTATTGAATCAATGAGAAGGCTTTACCATACAAATGTACCAGGGACAACTTATAGACATATGAGTTATTTTGGTACTATCCATGATAATGTTTGTATTAGGGTTCTCCAGAGGGACAGAACTAATAGGATATATATCTGGGAACCCGCCCCAATAGTCACGTAGGTTCTTTTCTATTTTTCCTAAGCATTGGCTGGTTTGAGAAATAAAGGGACAGAGTACGAAAGAGAGAAATTTAAAGCTGGGCGTCCGGGGGAGACATCACATGTCAGTAGGTTCTGTGATGCCCCACAAACTGCAAAACCAGCAAGTTTTTATTAGGGACTTTTAAAAGGGGAGGGAGTGTACGAATAGGGTGTGGGTCACAAAGATCACGTACTTCACAAGGTAATAGAATATCACAAGGCAAATGGAGGCAGGGCAAGATCACAGGACCACAGGACCGGGGCTAAATTAAAATTGCTAGTGAAGTTTCGGGCACCATTGTCATTGATAACATCTTATCAGGAGACAGGGTTTTGAGAGCAACTGGTCTGACCAAAATTTATTAGGTGGGAATTTCCTCTTCCTAATAAGCCTGGGAGTGCTATGGGAGACTGGGGCTTATTTCATCCCTACAGTTTCCACCAAAGAAGATGGCCACACCGAAGGGGGTTATTTATAGACACACCCTCAGGGGTGCATTCTCTTTCTCAGGGATGTTCCTTGCTAAGAAAAAGAATTCAGTGATAGGCTCTGTTCCACCCAGCTCACCGGTGGTCAGAGTTTAATGTTATCTCTCTTTTTCCCTAAACATTGCTGTTATCCTGTTCTTTTTTCAAGGTGCCCAGATTTCATATTGTTCAAACACACATGCTCTACAATTTGTGCAGTTAATGCAATTATTACAGGGTCCTGAGGCAACATACATCCTCCTCAGCTGACAGGATTAAGAGATTAAAGTAAAGACAGGCGTAGGAAATCACAAGGGTATTGATTGGGGAAGTGATGTGTCCATGAAATCTTCACAATTTATGTTTAGAGATTGCAGTAAAGACAGGCATAAGAAATTATAAAAGTATTAATTTTGGGAACTAATAAATGTCCATGAAATCGTCACAATCCACAATCCACGTTCATCTGCCATGGCTTCAGCTGGTCCCTCTGTTTGGGGTCCCTGACTTCCCACAACAGATATATGTTTATATAACGGTGTTTATTAAAAATAATTGGTTCACACAATCACAAGGTGAAGTCCCATGATAGGGCATCTGCAAGCTGGGTAAGAAAGAAGCTAGTAGTGGCTCAGTCTGAGACCAAAAGCCTTAAACACAGGGAAGCCTGAGAGTGCAGCTTTCAAACCAGTAGTGTTAAGTTTAAGAGTCCAAAGGCCAAAAAACCTGAAGTCTCATGTCCAAAGGCAGGAGGAATAGGTGGAAGCATCTAGCATGAGAGAAAGATAACAGCCAGAAGACCAGCAAGCCAGCTGATTCCACTTTCTTCCTTCTGCTATGGTCTAGCCATGCTGGGAGCTAATGTGATGGTGCTCGCCCACATTGAGGGTGAGTCTTCCTCTCCTAGTCTACTGACTCAAATTTCAATCTCCTCTGGCAATACCCTCACAGACAAACCCAGAAACAGTTCTTTGCCAGCTATCTATGCATGCTTCGATCTAATCAAGTTGGCACCTAATATTTGCTATCACAAGTCCATCCCTTGTCAACATGGCACTAATACACATCTCCTGAAATCATTAATCACCAATACAGAAAATAATAAAATTATATTTACATCTAATATAATATAGCTATTCTTTCTACAACTGGAAGTACATTAATCCTTAACCAAAATGCTATTATGTTAAGTTAAAAACACTTAAATGTTAATATGAAGTAAATAAATCTTATGTTACATGATAAAGAAAAAAGAAAGGAAATAAAATGAAGATATTTTCTTAGTACAAGTGTATACATGCACAAAAGTATTCTTAATAAAATAAGGAGAAAATACTTATGTCAATTACAGTTGTTGTTTCTGCTACTGTTTATGCGGTTGTAGCTAGTGTTAGTAACTACCTTCTACTACCCATTCTGTATTCCCTTTGCCTTCAGCAAGCAAATCAGCTGGTGGTCATTTTTCAGTTGGTGGGCTAACCCAAAACTTTATTTTTGAAGGGTCTGAACCATTTGTAGTCCTGCCTGAATTTAGTTGTTGTGGTTTCCCACTGATCTTAATCAAAGGGCATGGTAATAGTAAGAGATGCCCTAAGGAATCTCCTGTATTCCAGAAATACCGTTCCTTACATCCATTATGGAGTTGTAGTCTAACTTCATTTTAATAATCCAGGTCAATCACTCCAGCCAACATGATAACTTCCTTCTTAGCCTGCTGACTTAAAGAAAGGAGGAGCCCAAAGTGGCCAGGTCGCAATCTTAACTTCTAGTTTAATAAAGTAATTGTTGTGTCTACTTGTGGCAGCATTCCTCCCTCCCTGACAGGAGTGACAGAAGTGGATGGAGAAGGTGGCTGAGTGGTGTCCAAGGAATGGGTCATCCTAACCACTTGATTATTAAAGGCCTCTAGGCCAGTAGAACAAAATGTTTTGAGAACAGGAAGCAAAATTTATTTTTGAGGTAATGGTGAGTGGTGCTACTTCCACTTCCACTGCTTGATTCCTGGACCCATGAACCTTGGCTATGGGAGAAACAGTAGAATATATTGGACAGCGATTCAGAGTATACAGAGGCTTCTGGAAAATTTTGTCCCAGCCCTGCAAAGTATTGTCACCTTGTTGGTGATGTAATTGTGACTTCAAAAGGTCATTCCACCATTCAACAAGCCAGCTGTCTCAGGATGATGCCATGCCTCAGAGAACATTGCAAGACCAGTGAATTCCACGAATATGAGCCCACTGCTGCACTTCTTTATCTGTGAAGTGAGTGCCTTGGTCAGAGGCAATGCTGTGTGGAATATGATGACAGTGGACAAGGTATGCTGCCAGTCCACAAATGAAAGTCTTGGCAAAAGCATTGAGTGCAGGACTGGCAAATTCATATCTGCAGAAAGTGTCTATTTTAGTGAGGACAAACAACTGCCCTTTCCATGAGAAAAAAAGAAAAAGTCCAGTGTAATCAACCTGTCAGCAAGTAGCTAGCTGATTACCCTGAGTAATGGTGCCATATCAAGTGCTCGGTGTTTTTCTCTGCTGCTGGCAGATGGGACATTCAGTCGTAGCTGTAGTAAAGTCAGCCTTGGTGAGTGGAAGTCCCTGTTGCTGAATGCATAACCTCCATTCCTGCCACAATGGCTACTGTGTTCATGAGCTCACTGGGCAATGACAGGAGTGGATGGAGAAGGAGGCTGAGTGGTGTCCACAGAATAGGTCATCCTAACCACTTGATTATTAAAACTCTATGGAGGTCACCTTTTCATGAGTATTCACATGAAACAGAAATACAGTCACAGTGTTTGACCACTCAGAGAGGTCAATCTACATAGTTCTTTTCCAGATTTATTTGTCAAAAAGGTTTCAGTCATGCTTCCTCTAAGTCCCTGACCATCCAGCCAAATCATTGGCTATATAGCCCATGAATCAGTATATAATCACGAATTTGGCCATTTCTCCTTCCAAGCAAAGTGCACAACCAGGTGCATTGCTCAGTGTTATTTATGGGTGTGCTAGAAAGGGGCTGTAGTGGTGCAGCTGTCCACTTTTGGGTGGTGTCTGCTGGATTAATCAGGATTCCCTAGAGGTACAGGACTAATAGGATATATGCATATATGAAAAAGAGTTTATTAGGGAGTATTGACTCACATAATCACAAGGTGAAGTCCCACAACAGGCTGTCTGCGAGCTGAGGAGCAAGGAAGCCAGTCTGCATAACCAAACCTCAAAAGTGGGGAAGCGGACAGTGCAGCTTTCAGTCTGTGGCCAAAGGCCCGAGAGCACCTGGCAAACCACTAGTGTAGGTTCAAGAGTCCAAAAGCTGAACAACTTGGAGTCTGATGTTTATGGGCAGGAAGCACCCAGCATGGGAGAAAGATGGAGGCCAGAAGACTCAGGCCAGTCTAGTCTTTCCACGTTCCTCTACCTGCTTTTTTCCTAGCTGTGCTAGCTAGGATGGTACCCACCCAGATTGAGGGTGAATCTACCTCTCCCAATCCAATCACTCAAATGTTAATCTCCTTTGACAACACCCTCACAGACACACCCAGGAACAATATTTTGCCCCCTTCAATCCAATCAAGTTGACACTCAGTATTAATCATCACACCTCCATACCGAATGCAGAACCACCTGTAAACCAGGTCTCTTCCTCTGTCAACTGCTCATAGGGAACTCCCCACGAGGCCATGGGTGTGGGCTGGGAGAAGGAAAGCAGAGTGACAGGGGTGGGGCCTATGGGAACTTGAGCTACTTTCTTATGTAACTTACTTGTGCCGTCAGAAGCAGCTCGAGCCCAGTCAAATATATACCACTTCCATTTGATGATAGAGCACTGCTGTGCATGTCCAACTTTATGGCTAGATAGGTGAGAAAGCACTCAGGTCATAATAGGTAGTTCAGATGGCATGATAACTTGGTGACTCACATTCAAACATTCAGTTTCTAACAAGACCCAGTAACAGGCCATGAGCTGTCTCTCAAAAGGAGAGTAGTTATCTGCAGAAGATGGCAGGACCTTACTCCAAAATCCTAGAAGCTTCCATGTGATTCCCCTATGGGGGCCTGCTAGAGGCTCCAAACATCATCACCATCTGCCACTGACACATCAATCATGATTGGATATGCTGGGTCATATGGCCTAAGTGGCATATCAACTTGGACAGCAGCCTGGACCTGTTACAGAGCCCTTGCCTGTTCTTGACACCATTCAAAACTGGCAGCCTTTCAGGTCGCACAATAAATAGGCTGGAGTAACACACCCAAATGAGGAATGTGCTTCTTCAAAAATCCAAGTAGTCCCACTAGGTGTTGTGCCTCTATCTTGGTTGAAGGAGGGGCCAAATGTAACAACTTATTCTAACCTTAGAAAAAATATCTTGACAGGCCTTATGTAACTAGACCCTAAGAAACTTCACTGAGGTAGAAGCTCCCTGAGATTTAGTCAGCTTCATTTCCTATAATCTGACATGCAAATGTCTCACCAATAAGTCCAGTGTGGCTGCCACTTCTCACTCACTGGGTCAGTCTAATCAGTATAATGTCGTCAATATAATGGACTAGTGTGATACCTTGTGAAAGAGAAAAGCAATCAAGATCTCTGGGAACAAGATTATGACAAAAAGTCAGAGTTGATATACCCCTGAGGCAGGACTGTGAAGGTATATTGCTGGCCTTGCCAGCTGAAGGCAAATTGCTTCTGGTGCACCATATGCACAGGAATGAAGAAAAAGGCATTTGCCAAATCAATGGATGAATACCAGGTACCAGGAGATGTGTTAATTTGCTCAAGCAATGAAACCACATTTGTTACAGCAGCTGCAATTGGAGCCACCACTTGGTGAAGTTCACAATCATTTACTGTAATTCTTCAAGATCTGTCTGTTTTCTGCATAGGCCAAGTAAGAGAGTTGAAGGGCGGCTGTGGCGGGAATCACCACCCCTGCATCTTGCAAATCCTTGACAGTGGCACTAATCTTTGCAATCCCTCCAGGGATGCAGTATTGTTTTTGATTTACTATTTTTCTAGGTAGAGGCAGTTCTGACAGCTTCCATTTGGTCTTTCCCACCATAAGAGCCCTCACCTTACTGATCAAGGAGCCAATGTGGGGATTCTACCAGCTGCTAAGTATGTCCATTCCAATTATGCATTCTGACACTAGGGGAATGACCACTGGATGAGTCCAGGGACATATTAGGGCCCCTGTAATTTGGACCTGAGCTAAAACTCCATTAATTACCCGACCTCCATAAGCCCCTACTCTAACTGGAGGGCCGCTGTGACATTTTGTGTTCCCTGGAACCAATGTCAGCTCAGAGCCATTGTCCAGTAGGCCCTGAAAATTCTGATCATTCTCCGTTCCCCAATGCACAGTTACCCTGATGAAAGACTGGAGGTCTCCTTAAAGACGGATGGGAGAAAAATTAACAGTATAAGTTTTTGGTCATATAGTGGGGTCCTTCCTCAAGGAAACCTGGCCCTCACATTATTCAAGGAGTTCTGGGTCTATAAACCGCCTCAAGTCTGGAAATCGATTGAAGAGCCATGACTCTCTATTTTTGTAATTCAAATTAGTATTTTGTCCACTTTATCTGGAAATTTGCTGCATTTACAAATTAAGTAAGAATGTAGTAGGCTTCCTATTTATTTCACTTCTAAAAACATAAAAAATAATTTGCCAATGCCAGAGGTCTACACGAGTCAGACTATTCTGATTGCTGCTTTGCCTGTGCTATTATTGTAACTATGCCCACCTCACTTTTGACAATTGAGTGCTACCACTTGGCCCCTGCCACCTTGGGATTCAATTATTCCCATTGCATTTAAGTTTTCCAATTGAGTGACTGTGGTTCCCACTGTAAGATCTGGCATACAGAGAAGAGCAATTGCAGAGGTCTTCAAGGATGAGTGTGCTCCTTTCACAAATCTTTTTTGCAAGGTGTTGATGAAGCATATGTCTTCTGGGCCCTCTCAGTTGGGATGAGTAGGTCTAAAGTCATAAATCCACACTAGCATTTCAATTTCCCTAAGCCTTTGGATCCCTTCCTCTATATTAAACCAGGGGAGATCAGACATTTCCAGCTTGCTCACAGTGGGGGATTTTTTAAGCCATGTTTCAACTAACCAAGCAAATAAACTATTAGAACATTTTTAACTTCCTGAAATGCAACATTAAATAGAGAATCTTGTTTAGTGGATCCATATCAATACATTTATCCTGATCCAACTTTATATTCCTTCTACCATTATCCCACATCCTTTAGATCTATTTCCATGCCTGTTTTCCATATTTCTGCTTATATAAAATAGAAAACTCAAGTAGTTCTTTTGGAATGTAGTACACTTCCTCATGGGTCACACTCTGAACCTCACCTCTAGGGCTCTGCTGGGACGTGAGTCTAGTTACAGATCTAGAAGTGAAGAGGAGTGGTGGGTATGGGTTTTGAGTAGAATCAGCATTGTCTTGCCTGACAACTCCCTTGGGGGAGGCCATAATTATTGCCTCAGCAAGTGTAAATTTAATATCCTCAGAGTTGGAAAGGCTGAATGAATCCTGGGTCGGGGAGGAAATGTTGATGGTGCGGAAGTCAATTTCTCTGGCAAAAATGGCTTATCAGAATTTAGGAGCTCAGTGTCCCCAGCTTCATCAGGACCCTCTCAAACATCCCTATTCCAAGTTACATGGTTCCACTCTTTCCCAATCAATGCCCTCACTTTAAGTTGACACCAGAAGAGGCTAAGCATGCACCTCTCCTTGTAGGTCAGCCAATCTCATGATGAGGGTTTGTGATCTCATTTTCCACAATTTCAACCCTTTGCCTACTGAAGGTAAGATTCTCACCAGGGACAATCTTAGGAGACTTGCAGCTAAGTATGCACTTCTGGAGCCAGAAGATAGAATCACTGAGCTCGTCCTTTCCTTTTATTAGTTTTTCCAGTGAACACAGGAGTGATCAACTAATTTGATTATATTCCTTTGTTCTCCACAAATGGTCAAAGGCATCATGAACTGGGCAACTAAACTCTTTGCCTCTCAAGAGTGGTGAATCAGGATTATCAAATGCATTTATTTTCCATAACTCTCTAAAGAGTTTTTGTTAAGGACTATCAGTGTTCTACATATTATTTGAAGTAGAGTTCTTAGCATTTTGGAGTCTAATCAGATTAAACAGCCAACTCCAGAAACCTCAAAACCAACCCTAAAAATCCATCCTTAAAATTCTGTTCCTCTAGAAACACTCCTGGAACCAGCATTTGTATTACTCAGGGTTTTCCTGAGAGAAAGAACTAATAGGATATATACATATATATACACACAATCACAAGGTGAAGTTTCACAATAGGCCATCTGTGACCTGGGGAAGAAAGAAGACAGTAATAGCTCAGTCTGAGACCAAAAGCCTAAAGACAGGAAAGCTGACAGTGCAGCCTTCAGTCTGTGGCTGAAGGACTGAGAGCCCCTGGCAAACCACTGGTGTAAGTCCAAGAGTCCAAAATCCAAAAAACCTGGAGTCTCATATCCAAGGACAGGAGGAATAGAAGGAAGCATCTGGCGTGACGGAAAGGTGAAAGCCAGAAGACTCAGCATGCCAGTTTATATTGCCTTCTGCTTGCTTTGTTCTAGCTGTGCTGGCAGCTGATTGGATTATGCCCACCCACATTAAGGGTGGGTCTTCTCCTCCCTGTCCAATGACTCAAATGTCAATCTCCTCTGGTAACACCATCACAGACACACCCAGAAACACTACTTTACCAGCTATCTAGGCATTTTTCAATCCAATCAAGTCGACACCTAAAATTAACCATCAGAATGGTTCAGTGAATATTCTTGATGTACATATTGTAACTAAATCTTAGAATATGTTACTGACAATGGAATTTCTGGTTTAAAAATCTAATATTTTTAACATTTATTCATAATGTTTTATTGTGAGAGTCCACATTGATTTTTAACTAATTAAAGCATATTGAAGGGGTGATCCAAAAAGATAAACACCGTTAAATTTCTCAGACTATAAAAATATAGTCATATCCATTTTCCACAACATAGCATATTGTCACAGGTCTTTCTTAAGTTTATTTAAGATTTATTAAGATTTATTAAGTTTATTCATTATTTATTGAGGTATGTTCCCTTACCTAAGTTTTACTTCCCTTAAAACTTTCATCACCTTTGCGTTCATTCTTAATTACTGTAAGCCACCACTACTTTGGAATTAGTAATTATATTCTATAGTCTTTGTACATTCATTCACTGGAGAGTCAAATATTGTATTTTGTCTACCTTTCTGTTCTGCAACTTCATGTTTTGCTTTTTATTTATATAATTTTTATTATGTTGTTACTTACATAATACTATATCATACTGTATCATAATCTTAACTTTACCTTAAGGAGTGCATGTATACCTATTGAAAAGATTCTCTGTTTTCCAGAAATATTTTTCTTAGAATTATCCACGTACAATCTCTAATGTGAAGACTTTACTATCCAGGCATTATGTGCCTATCTTAGTCATCAGTATCTCTTTGTCATTGTGCTCAGTTGAGTGTACAATTTTTAGGTCTAGTGTTTTCCTCTTTATGGTCATTTCTCCTGTGTCTTCTAGTAGCTTTCAGGGAAACAGTACATTCTCAAATTTGTTACATACTGGCAACTTACTCCCAAGAAAAATTTTTTAAAAATTATATTCTGCCACCAGATCATATAAGTATCTGCTTGGCCTCTCTGGATAGGGTCAAGTTTCTAGCATAAGCAAAATTCATCTTTATTTGGCATATATATTGCAAATATAATCTTCCCACAGGACATTTGTCTTTTGCTATTATGAATAAACTTTTTAATCCAATTTGTGTGTTTCATAAAAGTGATACAGCCATACAGTAATCCTAGCATGCCTGAGCTTTGTATACAGCTTGAAAATAATATTTCCTTTCAAAGAGTTTTTAATTCAGTTTCTTCTAAGAAATTTCCTTTATTACTATTTTTTTGCATTTTTTTCTTTTCCTCTGGAGTGCCATTCATTGTCTCAATTGCTACAAGAAACTCTATTACAATCTTGCCTATTTATGAAAGAAAAAATTATCCAACTGCTAATTATAAATCTTCCTCTCAAATAGGTTCTGCTAAATAAATTACCCTGAGACTCTGACACATTTGTTGTATCCAACAAAAACAACAACAAAGAAAAAAAAATTACCAGAAACTATAAAATCTCTGATCCTTTCACCCTCTCTCAAAAATTCCATCAATGACTATATCTCCCAATTTGCTTATGGTTCTCTTCTTAGCAAGGAGAAGCTATTAAAGTTGGTTTGGGTTTTAAATAGCATTCCTTTGACTTTCTAAGCACTTAGAGACATGTCACAGCTGAAGCATAGCTTTATCTGAAAGAATTAAATGTGTTTGGCTTTCTGTACTAAATATTCTTTAAACACTCTTCACTATGGACTATCTCTATTGGAGCCTTTTTTTTTTTTTTTTTTTTTTTTTTTTTTTTTTTTTTTTTGAAACGCAGTCTGGCTCTGTGGCTCTGTTGTCCAGGCTGGAGTGCAGTGGCGCAATCTCAGCTCACTCTAAGCTCCGCCTCCCGGGTTCACGCCATTCTCCTGCCTCAGACTCCGGAGTAGCTGGGACTACAGGCGCCGGCCACCAAGCCTGGCTAATTTTTTGTATTTTTAGTAGAGATGGGGTTTCACCGTGTTAGCCAGGATGGTCTGGATCTCCTGACCTCTTGATCCACCCGCCTTGGCCTCCCAAAGTGCTGGGATTAACGGTGTGAGCCACCTCGCCCAGCCTGGAGCCCTTTCTTTAATATAAACATAAATGTTAGTCAACTTGTTTAAATATAAACATGTGAGCTGCTTGAGCACAGGGACTACATCATAATGTTTTTTGCTCTCTTACATGTCTCATCAACGAATGGATTAGGTAAGTGCTATAAATTGTGCATTGAATGTGTAATGTGAAAAAATGGCAGGTGCATAGATACCTGAGTAGATAATCTATTGTCTAACCCATATCTTGAAACTATATCACGTTGCCCAAAAAATGAGTCTCCAAAAATTTATAATTATTTATATGGAAAATACTTATTAAAAAATTAAGCTCTGAAGGAACACAAATTTCAAATGGTTCATATTTTTTTTCCAAACATGCCATTCATGTTTGGTATCATACTTTACCTAATATCATTATCTGTGTTTTGATCATTCATGTAGAAACCACATCAGTGCCTTTGCTTTTGTGCATTTCTTCTAGTCTCAGATGCAGTCAGTATTCACAAATTTAATCTCTGTTCTTCACATTTACTATTATCAAGACAAGCCCCAGCCCTTATGGTCTCATACTTAGTCTACTAATATACATTTTAATCATTTTTCCT
The DNA here is from genome assembly GCF_000001405.40 of Homo sapiens. NCBI lineage: Eukaryota > Metazoa > Chordata > Mammalia > Primates > Hominidae > Homo > Homo sapiens. Next base: position 69,525,232 of record NC_000004.12, on the reverse strand, counting down.
ACATGTGAGCTCTTGACTTTACTTGTCAATCTGTGTTTGGCAACAAGAGTTGATTGCTTAAAACAAAACATACAAACAAACAAACACTTGACATTTTGACTGGCTTTCTTAAATACTTGGTTATTTTTCCTGTAAATTAAAATAAAACCCCATATGTACTGTACAAAGCTATGTAAGGTCTCCAATTTCAACCAATTTTTAAAAATAATCTCTGGCACACAATTTAATCTAAAATTCATACTTACTGGAATGCTTTCTAAATACCATGACCTTTTCTCATTCTACTCACTGTGAATTCTTTCCGTTAGCCACACTCTGCCTAGATCCTGCCAAAGCTTTTGTCTTACCCTGTATGTTATCTGTCACACCAGCTTTTTCTGATTGCTCCATAGAGGGATAATTATGTTCTCTGGTTTTCTGATGACCCTGCACCAGAAACATGATGCATTATAATATGCTTCATAGGATAAGCATACCTTATTTTATTGCACTTTGTTTTATCATGCTTTGCAGATATTTGGGTTTTTTTTTCTCATAAGTTGAGGGTTTGTGGCAATCTTATAATCAAACAAATCTATTAACATGATTTTTCCAACAGCAAATCATCAATTTATATCTTTGTGACACATTTTGCTAATTTTCATAAAGCTTTAATCTTTTTCATCATTGCTATATTCCTTATGTTGAGCTGTGATCAGTGATTTTTCATATTACTATTGTAATTGTTTGTGGGTGTCACAAATTATGCCCATATAAGATATCAAACTTATTACATATTATTTGTCTACTGAGTGCCCCATGAACCACTTTTTCCCATCTCTCTCCCTCTCCTCTGGCCTATTCCTGAGAAACGACAACGTTAAAATTAAACCAGTTAATAATCTTACAAAGCTCTCTAAGTGTTCAAGTGAAAGAGAGAGTACCACGTGTTTCACTTTAAATCAAAAGTCGGAAATTATTAAGATAAGTGAGGAAGGCATGTTGAAAGCTGAGATAGGCTGAAATCTAGGCCTCTTGCAGCAGTTAACCTAGTTGTGAATACAGAAACAAAAAGTTATTGAAAGAAATTACAAGTATTACTCCAGTGAATGTACAAATGGCAAGAAGTTAATCTGCATTATCGCTGACGTGAAGAAAATTTAATCTAGATAGATCAAAGCAGCCACAAACATTCCTTAAACCAAAGCCTAATCCAGAGAAAGACTCTAGCTCTTTTGAATATGTGAAGCCTGAAATATGTTGAGGAAGCTGCAGAAAAAAAGTTGGAAGCTAGCAGACATTGGCTCATGAAACTTAGTAAAAGAAGCTATCACCATAACAAAAAAGTGCAAAGTAAAGCAGCAGGTGCTGATGTAGAAATTGCAGAAAATTATCCAAACAATCTAGCCAAGATAATTGGTGAAGATTAACACACCAAACCACAGATTTTCAACGTAGACAAAATTGCCCTTTATTGAAAAAATATGTCACTTGAGTCTTTAATAGTGAAAGATAAGAAGTCAATGCCTGGCTTTAAAGCTTTAAAGCACAGGCTGACTCTTTTGTTAGTGTGTAATTCAACTGGTGACTTTAAGTTGAAGACAATGTTTATTTATCAGGAAATCTAACAGCCCTTGAGAATTATGATAAATCTGCTTTGTGTCTGCTGTATAAATAGAATGACAAAGCCTAGATGACAGCACTCCGTTTATAGCATGATTTACTGAATATTTTAAGCCCAGTATTGAGATCTATTGCTCAGAAAATAAAGACTCCTTTCAAAATTTTACCTCTCAATGACAAGGCGCATGCTAATGCAAGAGCTGTGATCAAAATGTACAAGGAGATTAATGTTATTTTCATGCCTGATAACATTACATCTATTTTGCAACCCATGGATCAAGGTATAATTTTGACTTTCAAGTTTTATCATTTAAGAAATACATTTTTTAAGGATATTGCTATCTTAAATTGTAATTCCTGTGATTGATATGGGCTGAGTAAATTGAAAACGTTCTGTAAAGTATTTACCATTTTAGAAGATATTTGAAGTAGTCATAACTTATGAGACCAGGTTAAAATAACATTAAAAGGAGTTTTGAAGAAGTTGATTTATTTATTACAATTCCTATGAATGACTTTGAAGAGTTCAAAACTTCAGTTAAAGAAACAACTGCAGGTGTGGTGAAAATAGCAAAAGTACTAGAACTAGGATTAGAGCCTGAAGATGTAACTGAATTGTTGCAATCTCATGATGAAACTTGAATTGATGAGAATTTGCTTCTGCATTGGAGAAGAAAGTGGTTTCCTGAGATAAAATTTGCTCCTGGTGAAAATGGTCTGAACATTGTTGAGATGACAACAAAGTATTTGGAATGTTACATAAACATGCTTGATCAATCAGCAGCAGAGTTTGAGAGAATGAACTTCAACTCTGAAAGAAGTTCTACTATGGGTAAAATGCTGTCAGACACTATTGCATGCTAAAGAGAACTCTTTCATAAAAGGAAGTGTCAATCAATGTGACAAATGTTATTGCATTAGTTTAAGAAAATGCCACAGCCATCTCAATCTTTAGAAACCACTCTTCTGATTAGTCAGCAGCCATTAATACGGAGGCAAAAATCTTCCAGGAACAAAAAGATTACCACGGGGCTTAAAGATCAGATGATTGTTAGCATTTTTACAATAAATGTTTTCAATTGAGGTGTGTACATTATTTTTTAGATATGTTATTTGCACACTTAATAGACTCTCTAATACTGTAAACATAACTTTTATATGTACTGGGAAACCACACCATTTGTGTGATTGAGTTTATTGCAATGTTCACTATATTGCAATTGTCTGGAACTAAGACCCTAATATCTCTGAAGTTTACCTGTAGATTTTTCATGTTTGTTACCTCCCACCTAACGGATAGTCTACATGAGAAAAATGATTGATAATTCGTATTATTCTTAATTATCAGAAACATTCAAACTTAGGTTGTGTATAATGTGTTTTTGATTGTGTGTATGTGTGTGAAGTAAATATGATTTCTAATTTCTTATTCTCACTAGTAACCTAGATATTAAATGTAAACCTATATTATTTGTTTTAATTTTCATATTCTAGAAGGCTGAAACATTTTTAACAGATATATTTGCATCTTTTTCCATGTCTCAGTAAACATCAGTTAATTACTCACCAACCAATGATGTTTTCCTCAGGAACACATCGTCTCTAAATCTTGGATAAAAAAGGCTATATATGCCCGTTAAATCATCAGTGTTATAGTCTTCTTGCTCAAATCATTAATATACTACACTTGCTGCATCATTTGATATATCAGTTCCTGAAAGAACAGTGACAAAATTTCTGTGATGATGGGTAATTGTTATATTCTGCTTATAATTGAGAAAATTCCTGCTTTATAGAATTTAAGGTGATCATGTTAGCTACCTTCATATAACAAATTATTATAGTTTCCTAGTGTCATGAGATCCTCGGGATATCGCTTCACCAGCCAGAACCCTCTGTGTGTGGTGGCACTTTCTGCCTAACTATTGCTTGCACCTGCTGGACTCATTCTACCCACTTGGCCCAGCAGGCTGCGCTTGGCTCTTGCTACCAGCCTGGATCCCACACCTGCCAACATCAAGCTAGGCATGAAGTACTGAGGCATGTGTAGAAGAATGAGTGCAAGGTCCAGCCACTGTGCACAGCCAGGCATGTTGGCTGTTGCAGAGAGGTGGGCAGCTCCAGGCACCAGCACAGGTACCAGTTCTGTGTGAAGCTGCAGCTGGACCAGACGTACTGCACACAGCTTCTGCTGCAGTCACCCACATCTGGATGAGGGGAATGTGGTGGCACCTGGAAGCTTGGAGACATCAGGAACTGCAGAGCCCCAAAGAGGTTGTCACGTCCCTGGCTGGGGAGACCTTAGGTCTGGGCTCCCCAAAGAGCTACAGCTCTTCTTTCTTGTCACCTGCAATATGACAAGTAGGGAACATGTTTCAGGCTGGTTTGTGTTACAGATGTTTCAGTCCCACCATTAGGTGGTTCCTGAGTTCTTGTCCCATGTCCAGGAAGAATTAGGTACACAGTCAAATGGTGGGTGAGCAAAGCAGAGAAGAGCTTCATTGAGTGACGTAATAGCTCTCAGGAGACCCTAAGTGGGTAGCTCCTTTCCACAGGCTGGTCATCCCAATGTCTGTTAGAGTCTGACTGTATCTGGAGGTTTTTATGGGCTCAGAAGGGAGGAACTGCTTGCCGATTGGTCCATGGGCTGAACATGAGTGGGCATGGAAAAGGCACCATAATTTCTTACTTCCAGCAGCAGCCTTCATCTTCAACTGACATATCAGCCCCTAGGCTTTAGGGTGCCCCTAGCTTGAAGATGGGGCTTCATCAGGGATCTGCCTCTTACCGCCCAGGAGTCTGTCTGTCTCCTGTGCCATGAACAAGTCATCTATGGCACTCAGGCTGTTAATACCGAGGGGCACCTGCAGGATGGTGCTGAGCCATCCTCAGTCCCCATTTAGCTGCCTTCCTGTGTTCGTCTGTGCTCAAAGTCTGGAGGGGGCTGAGGTGTCATGGGGCTGGTGTGTCAGCCTTGCCCCAAGCATGCACATGTCCAGCCACATCACAATAGTGCCCAGGCTTGGACACAACTTTGCTCTACCCCAGACTGGGTTCCGGGAGTAAGGAGAAGCCAGGCAGCGGGAGCTGGCACTTCTGAGCTTTCAGGAGCAGGGGGACTTCCTGAACCCCCATGAATACAGGGATGCCCAAGTCTGTAGCCACAGCTGGGCAGCTGCAGCAGCATCTGGGAGCACGGTGCTACCACCCTGCCAACTCAGAAAAGGATGGGGCTCCTGCCTGTTCCTGTTTCCTACTGAGTCCGTGGAGCATGCAGCCTCAGCAGTACTTCCCAACTCCAGCAGTGGCTGTGTCGTACGGGCTGAGAGCTGTCATCAATAGTGAATTAAATATTTTGTTATTACTTTTCATTACTTTTTAAATTTTTGGTAATGTTTTTGAATTAAAATCAGTCATTTTCTAATGTCTGTAATTGTGTCAAGTATATGTGATATATTGTGATACATATGTGTGTGAAAAATATATGTGATATATTTTTCTTAAGTTTGCTTCAAGTGTTTTCTAATTTAATATTTTACATGTGTGTTTTTGATAGGAAATAAGTAGAGTTTTTAAAAAATCTATTATTATATGTGTAGTTTCTAAACATAAAATTTATAGCTACTTGTGTTTATTTGTGAGATACTATATTTCATTTTTAATATCTTTTAGTAGACCTTACACTTTTCTGATTATAGTTCCTCATCTTTCTTTTGTGAGAGTGGGACAGAGCAATAGTCATTTATGCATTCATCTAGCCAAGTGAATCTGCAGTTTTACACATGTTAATATTGAACGGGCAGAGGAAGCAGTAAGTTACACATTTGTCTCAGGTGAGTAGAGGAATTACTTTGAGTTCTGTCCTTTGTTCCATACCTGTGAAGATTAACTCTCAATTTACATTGCTGGGGTGAAATTCAACAGAACTGTTTTAGGGTGAAGATCTTGGTGCACCCAAAGAAGACCCTAGTGAGAAAATTGTGAAGGAGGTATTTAGAGATGTTATTTTTGTAGCTGTCTTATTTAGGAATAAAACGGGAGGCAGGTTTGCATGACACAGCTCCCAGCTTGGCTGTTCACTTTGACTTAGTGATTTGGGGGCTCTGAAATTTATTTTCCTTTCACAGAAAGATAGATATCTGAGTAGATGGAGGAATGCTACTCATTCCCTATCTTAAAACGCTGCCTTTTTGCCTAACCCTGAGTTTTCTATATTTTTTTTCTGATCTCAGATATAATAAATAATCACAAGTCCCATCAGTTTCTCACATTTACTATAATCAGTTCATGTTTCATCAGGCCATTTGGATGACATACTTAGGTTACTAATGTACATTTTTAATCTTTTTGTCATTTTAAAGTTTTGCTTTTATATGCCAATTCATGGCTGTCTGTTAGAATTACTTGCGAAAAGCTTGAGCTTATGACCGTCCTTTAAAATCTGAGTAAATCTTTTTACCTAAAACTAGAATTCAAATCCATAATTTGTCATTATAGAGACTACGTTCTCCTACTTCAAGTTAGCTTTCTTCTGTAGGCTTCTGCTCTCAACTTTCTCTGTGATCCATACCCACTGGGAAGATTACCAAATATCTTTTCTATTTCTTCTAATTATTATGAAATTCCTTCTTTGGCAACATTGTATAAATCCTACCAAACCTTTCGTCACACCTCATAAGTCAACAGCATTACTAAGGCTTTTCTTAGTTGTTCCATATGAAACTTACTGTATTTTTCCTCTGGAATACTGAACACCCTGTACTAAATATATATAATTTATCAAAATGGTTCTTATAGGTCTTGAAATGTATTTTTATTATTAAATCATTGGGTAGTCAAAGTGAGCAAGTAATGTGAAACAGTATTCCCCTAAGCCATCTGGAACCCTGGACTTATTGGGCAATGGATGTCAATTGGTTTATGTGTGTATGTTTCAGTGTGTAAAACATTAACTCTAAAAGTTATTGTTTAATTTTTCTTAACATCAATCTAGGTAATAAAATTATCTCTATTTTAGGTATTTTATTTCCAAGTTCTAGACAGTTGCTTAAACTTTTCCCTGACATATTGTATTTCTGTTTGATTTCCTCCAAAAATATTAAACTTACAAAAAGCTAGTAATCTTTAATATTTAAAAATTAACTTTTAACTGGTTTGCCTAAATTGTCATTTTAACTCTGCTCAGTAAACACTCAAACTCTGCACAGCAGTGTGTGAGGTAGCTGCCATCATGGTGTCTGAGAAGTGGGTTTTCACAATTCTGCTACCTCAGCTCTGCTGTGCTGGCTGTGGATTCTGTGAGAAGGTACTGGGGCAGCACTGTAACATCAGCCATTGGCTTAATGTCAACAATATTTTGGAGGAACTCATAGAGAGGGGTCACCAGGTAACAGTGTTGACTCACACACACAGGCTTTTTCATTGACTATGGGAAGCCTTCTGCATTGAACTTTGAGGTGGTCCAAGTGCCACATGACAAAGTGAATTTTGACAATGTACATAATGAATTTCTGGACCTAGTCCTGAATGTCTTGTCAAGCTTGACCTCCTGGCAGTCAGCAAAAGAACTGAATAATTTTTCTGAATCTAGAGAAATTTTTAAAACTCTGTGTGAGAGTTTTGCCTACAATCAGACACTCTTGAAGATGCAAGAGGAACCCAACTAAACTGTAGTGCTTATAGACTCTGCCATTCCCTGTGGGGAGTTTATTGCTGAGTTGCTTGCAGTTCCTTTTGTGCTCAAACTTAGAGCTTCTGTAGGTGGCAATATTGAGTGAAGCTCTGGGAAACTTCCACCTCCACCTTCCTATGTATCTGTGCCTATGACAGGACTAACGGACATAAAGACCTTTCTGGAAAGAGTAAAAAATACAATGCTGTCCATCTTTTTTAACTTGTGGCTCCACGATTTTAACTTTTGGATTTTGGAACAGTTTTTGGGACAGTTTTTCAGGAAAGAATTAAGAAACTCTTTATTTTTAACGTAAGTATCACAAAATAGAATAAAAATTGTCATATATAGAACATCACATATATGTTTAGTATAGTAAGTTTTTATTTTAGAAAATGTTGTAGCTCTTCTTGCTTAAGTGAGTATAATGTTTAAGAGTTGAACAGCCAACTTTTCTAATACCAGTAATAAACTGAAATATTCAGCATTAAAACAGAGATTTTATTTGATTCTTTCTTTAATTAGCCTACTGACTACACCACAGATCATTGAAAACTACTGATTGTTAGTCTCAATTTTATTCCATTTCTATTAAAATAAGATGGTCATCATTCTTATATCTGTCATAAATTTTAGAAGAATCTTCAGAAAATCCTTTTTTGATAGTTTTATTATTGCTGGTTATATTGAAATATTTCCCAGGATGCTTTATATTTCTTGGGGGGGAGGGCTAAACAAAAATTTGAGAAAAGATTAGAAAACTCTAAAAGACTTTGGTTCTAGAGGAGCAAAATACAGTAGAATATTTACTTCACTGATGTACACATTTTTCTTCTTTTTAATTATTTTCCATTTCAGCTAAAAATGATTTTGGTTTTCCCAAAAGAACACATACAGAATGGAAGAAAATTTTTGAAACCTATCCATCTGACAAAGGTCTAATAGTCATAATCTACAAGGTATTTAAAGCAATTTTCAAGAAAAACAACTCCAAGGAAATTGGGCAAAGGACATGAACAGATGTTTCTCTAAAGAAGACATACATGCAGCCAACAAAAATATGTAAAAAAAGAAAAAAAAAAAGAAGCCTTTGGGAGCGTAAGGCGGGCAAATCACCTGAGGTCAGGAGTTCGAAACCAGCCTGGCCATCATGGCAAAATCCCATCTCTACTAAAAATACAAAAATTAGCCAGGCGTGGTGGTGGGTGCCTGTACTCCCAGCTACTCCGAGAGACTGAAACATGAGAATCCCCTAAACCTAAGAGGTGGAGGTTGCAGTGAGCCGAGATCACACCACTGCACTCCAGCCTGGGCAACAGAGCAAGACCCCGTCTTAAATAAATAAATACATAAATAACAATGAAATGTCCACATCACTGATCATTACAGAAATGAAAATCAAAACCACAATGAGTCATCATCTCACACCAGTCAGAATGGCAATTATTAAAAAGTCAAAAAACAACAGTTGCTGGCAAGGGTGCAGAGAAAAAGGAACACTTTTATACTGCTGGTGGGAATGTAAATTAGTTCAACTCTTGTGGAAGACAGTGAGGCAATTCCTCAAAGACCTGGAACCAGAAATACCACTTGACTCAGCGTTCCCATTACTGGGTATATACCCAAAGGAATGCATATGATTTTATTACAAAGATACATGCATATGTATGTTCACTGCCGCACTGTTCATAATGGCAAAACATGGATGTTCATCAATGATAGGCTGCCTAAAGAAAATGTAGTACATATACACCATGGAATACCGTGTAGCCATAAACAGGAAGAAGATCATGTCATTTTCAGGGATATGGATGCAGCTGGAAGCCCTTACCCTCAGCAAATTAATGTTGGAACAGAAAACCAAACACCACATTTTCTCATTTATAAATGGGAGCTGAACGATGAGAAGACACAGACATATGACAAGGAACAACACACACTGGGACCTGAAGGAGAAACAGGGGAAGGGAGAGCATCAGAAAAAATAGCTAATGAATGCTAGGCTTAATACCTAGGTGATGGGTTGATCTGTGCAGCAAACCACTATGGTACATGTTTCCCTGTGTAACAAACCTGCACATCCTGCACATGTACCCTGTGTTTTAAATTATCTCCAGTAATAATGCTGTTTTCTTTGTTTGGTTCGTTGGTTTTTAATTTTTTTTAATTCTTTTCTCTTTTCTTCTTTATTAGTCTAGCTAGTGGTGTATCTATTTTATTAGCTTTTTCAAAAAATGAGCTCCTGGATTCATTGAATTTTGAAGTGATTTTTCACGTCTGTATCTCCTTCAGTTAAGTTCTAATCTTGGTTATTTCTTGTCTTTATCTAGCTTTGGGGTTTGCTTGCTTTTGGTTCTCTAGTTCTTTTAGTTGAGATGTTAGGTTATTAACTTGAGATTTTTCCAGCTTTTTGATGTGGGCATCTAGTGCTATAGATTTCCCTAACACTGCTTTAGCTGTGTCCCAGAGATTCTGGTGCATTGTCCCTTTGTTCTCATTAGTTAAAGAACTCATTAACTTCTGCCTTAATTTTATTCTTTGCCAAAAAGTCATTCAGGAGCAGGTTTTTCAATTTCCATATGTTGGTGTGGATTTAGTGAATTTCTTAATCTTTAGTTCTAATTTGTGTGTGCTGTAGTCTAAGAGACTGTTATGAATTCAGTTTTTTGTGTTTGCTGAGGATTGTTTTACTTCCAATTATGTGAACAATTTTAGAGAAAGTGCCATGTGGTGATAAGAATGTATATTCTGTTAAATTTGGGTAAAGAGTTCTGCAGATATCTATCAGGTTCACTTGATCCAAAGTTAAGTTAAGGCCCTTAATACCTTTGTTAATTTTCTGTCTCAATGATCTTCTAATACTGTTAGTAGGGTGTTACAGTGTCCTACTATTATTGTGTGGGAATCTAAGACTCTCTGTAGGTCTCTAACACGTACTTTATTAATCTGGGTGCTCCTGTGTTGGATGCATATGTACTTAGGATAGATAGATCTTCTTGTTGAATTAAACCCTTCCCCATTATGTAATGTCTTTATTTTTCCTTAACGATCTTTGTTGGTTTAAACTAGGACTGCAACCCTTGCTTTTTTCTATTTTCCATTTGTTTCTAGATTTTCTTCCATCCCTTTATTTTAAGCCTATATATGTCTTCACGTGTGAGATGTGTCTGTAAGGGTGGTTCAACATATGCAAATCAATAAATGTGATTCCTCACATAAACAGAAATTAAGACAAAACCACGATTAACTCAATAAACCCAGAAAAGGCCTTTACTAAATTTCAACACTTATTCATATTAAAAATTTTCAATAAAGCAGATATTGAGGGAACCTATCTCAAAATAACAAGAGACATATATGACAAACCCACAGCCAACATCATACTGAATGGGCGAAAACTGGAAGGCTTTCCTTTGAAAACCAGCCCAAGACAAGGATGCCCTCTCTCCCCACTCCTATACAACATAGTATTGGAAGTTCTGCCCATGACAATCAGGGAATAGAAAGAAATAAAAGGTATTCCAATAGGAAGAGAGGAAGTCACATATTTGCACATGACATAATCCGGTATCTATAAAACCCCATCATCTCAGCAAACTATTGCAAGGACGAAAAACCAAACACCGCATGCTCTCACTCATAGGTGGGAATTGAACAATGAGAATACTTGGACACAGGAAGGGGAATATCACACACTGGGGCCTGTCGTGGGTTGTGGGAGTGGGGAGGGATAGCATTAGCAGATATACCTAATGTAAATGACGAGTTAATGGGTGCAGCACACCAACATGGCACATGTATACATATGTAACAAACCTGCACATTGTGCACATGTACCCTAGAACTTAAAGTATAATTTAAAAAAAGCATATGCAAAATTTTAAAGATTTTGACATTTATTCATTTATTCAGATTTCATTCTAGGCATTAGGGATAGTAATAAAAAAAAATTAAAAAAAAATAAAATAAAACCCCATCATCTCAGCCCCAAAGCTTCTTAAGGTGATAAGTAAATTCAGCAAATGCTCAGGATATAAAATCAATATGCAAAAATCACTGGCATTCTTATGCATCAACAGCAGGGAAGCAGAGAGCCAAATTATTAATGAGCTCCCATTCACAATTGCCACAAAAAAGAATAAAATACCTAGTAATATAGTTAATAAGGAGAGTGAAGGAACTCTTCAAGGAGAACTACAAACCACTGCTTCAAATAAATCAGAGAGGACACAAATAGAAAAACTTTCCATGCTCATGGATAGGAAAAATCAGTGTTTTGAAAATGGCCATATTGCCCAAAGTAATTTAGAGATTCAATGCTATTCTTATTAAACTATCACTTGCACTGTACACAGAACTAGAGAAAACTATTTTAAAATTTATATGAAAAGAAAAAAGAGACCAAGGCAATCTTAACCAAAAAGAGCAAAGCTGGAGGTATCACACTACCTGACTTCAAACTATACTACAAGGCTACAGTAACCAAAACAGCATTGTACTGGTACAAGAGCAGACACATAGAGCAATGGAACAGAATAGAGAACTCAGAAATAAGACTGCACACCTACAACCATCTGATCTTCCACAAACTTGACAAAATAAAATAATAAAGAAAGGACTCCCTATTTAATAAATGATGTGGGGAGTGCTGGCTAGCCATATGCAGAAAATTGAGACTGGACACCTTCTTTACATCATTTACAAAAATCAACTCAAGATGGATTAAAGATTTAAATGTAAAACCCCAAACTGCAAAAACTCTAGAAGAAAATCTAGGGAATACTGCTCAAGACATAGGCACATGCAAAGATTTTATGATGAAAACACCCAAATCAATTGCAGCAAAAGCAAAAATTGGCAAATGGAATCTGATTAAACTAAATAGGTTTTGCACAGCAAAAGAAACTACCATCAGCGTGAACACACAACCTACAGAATGGGAGAAATTTTTTGCAATCTATCCACCTGACAAAGTTCTCATATCCAGATTCTACAAGGAACTTAAACAAATTTACAAGAGAAAAACAAACAACCCCAGCAATAAGTGGGCAAAGAACACGAACATACACTTTCAAAAGAAGACATATATAGGGCCAACAAACGTGAAAAAAAGCTCAACTTTTTTGATCGTTAAAGAAATACAAATTAAAACCACAATGAGACATCATTTCATACCAGTGCAAATGGCTATTATACAAAAGTCAAACAAAACAAAACAAAACAAACAAACAAACAAAAAAAAAACAGATGCTGGTGAAGTTGCAGAGAAAAAAATGGTTTTACACTGTTGGTTGGAGTATAAATTACTTCAACCATCATGGAAGACAGTGTGGCATTTCCTCAAAGACCTAGAGGCAGAATGGCCATTTGAGCCAGCAATTTCCTTACTGGACATATACACGTTAAGTCACAAAGCAAATGTTAACAAATTTAAGATTGAAATCATATCAACTATGGTTTCCAGCCATCTAGAATAAAACTCAAAATCAATAGTGGAAATAAAAGTAGAATAGTCAAACTTACATAAAAAATAAACAACACACTGTCGAATAAGCAATACATAAAAGAGCAAGTGAAAAAGAAAATTAGATAAAAAATTTGAGATAAGTGAAAATAAAAACACAACATACCAAAATTTACAGGATGCAGCAAAAACACCCCTAAGAGGGAAGTTTATAGTAGTCACAACTATATTAAAAAAGAAAAAAACAAGATATCCAAATTATCAGGCTAACATTACACATAAAAGAGCCAAGAAAGAACAAACTAAGCCCAACGTTGGCAGAAAAAAAAGAAATAATATATATTTGAGCTGAAATACATGTAATTAAGAATGGAAAAATGGAAAATAAATCAACAAATCTAAGATGAGGTTTTTTTTTGAAAAGATAAAATTTTCAAATAGCTAGACTAAAAAGAAAAATAGAATAATCAAATAAAATAAAAAATGAAAGAGGCATTGCAACTAATGCCTCAGAATAGAAAAGATTATAAGAGCCTACTATGAACAGTTATTAACCAACAAACTGGACAACGTAGAAGAAATTGATATATTCATAAGAACGTACAACCTACTAAGACTGAGTCATGAATAAATATATTTTCAGAACCTAACAATAATGAATAAGGAGATTGAATTAGTAATCAAAACTTCCCAACAAAGAAAAGCCAGCACCAGATGGCTTCACTACCAAACACTTGAAAAATAATTAATGCTTTTTCTTTATAATCTTTTCCAAAAATCTGAAAAGAAAAAGATACTTTCAAACTCATTTTATGAGAGCAGCATTATACTGATAACAAACCCAGACAAACACGCGACAGAAATAGAATAATGAGAAGAAGAAGATAAAAAACAGTCCAATATTGTTAATAAACATAGATGAAAAATTCCTCAACAGAAAATTGGGAAACTTAATTCCACAGCATATTAAGAGGTTCATTCATCATGACTAAATGAAATTTATCCCTAGAATGAAGGATTGTTGAACATACAAAAATCAGCAAATGTGATACACATTAACAGAATGATGAATGAAGACCACACAAACATCTCGGCAGATGCAGATAGAGCATTTGACACAACTGAACAATAGTTTATGAATAAAAAAGAAAAAAGTCTCTCAACAAAATAGAAATAGAAGGAAATTACCTTAAAATAAGAAAGAACAGCTGAGCACGGTGGCTCAAGCCTGTAATCCCAGCACTTTGAGAAGCCTAGACGGGTGGATCACCTGAGTTCAGGAGTTTGAGACCAGCCTGGTCAACTTGGTGAAATCCCATCTCTACTAAAACACAAAAATTAGCCGGCGTGGTGGCATGCACTTGTAATCCCAGCTACTCGGGAGGGTAGGGTAGGAGAATTGCTTGAACCTGGGAGGCAGAGGTTGCAGTGAGCCTACCTAGTTTGTGCCACTGCACTCCAGCCTGGATGATAGAGCGAGACTGTCTCAAAAAAAAAAAAAAAAAGAAGAAAAGAAAAGAAAGAGTATTTATGAAAAGCCCACAGCTTATCATATTCAATGGTAAACAACAACAACAAAAACAAACTGAAATGTTCTTATCTAATATCAGGACAAGGCAAGGACCCTACTCTTGCTACTTCTATTCCACATAGTACTGGAGTACCAGCTGAAACCATTAGACAATAAAAATAAATAAAAGTATATAACACAGAAAGGAAAATCACCTCTGTTTGAAGATGACATGATATTATATGTGAAAAACCCTAAGTACTCCCCAAAATACTCTTAAAACTAATAATTCAGTAAATTTGCAGAATACAAAATCAACATACAAAAATCAGTTATCTTTCTGTATACTAATAAAAAATAATTAGAAAAAGGAATTAAGAAAAAGAATCCTATACAGAAACAAGTATATAGAAATAAACAAGTAGGTGAAAGTGTTATCAAAAACTACAAAACATTGATGAATGCAAATTAAAAATACACTATTTTGGAAAGGTATGTTGACAGAAAAACAATACTGTTTAAACATTCATGCTATCTAAAGCAATTCACTAATTCAATATAATTCCTATTAAAAGACCCATGACATTTTTTATAAAATTAGATATTATTTTTAAATTCATAATGAGCCATGACTGCTCATTAAAGACTCATGAAGGAGCTGAAACAATCTTGAGGAGAAAGTCCAACAAAGCTGGAGGCATCACATTTTCTTATATCAAAATATATTAAATGCTACAATAATTAATATAGTCTGCTGTTCAAATTAAGACAGATATATAGACCTATGTCACAGAATATAGAGCCCAAAAATAAAGCCACAAATATACAGTCAACTGATCTTCAACAAGAATGCCAAGTACATTCAATGAGGAATGTCAGTCTCTTAAATAAATGGTACTATGAACACTGGATATCCACAAAAGATAAATAAAATTTTATCCTTACTATTCACTACACAAAAAATCTACTCAAAATAGATAAAAGTCTTAAACATAGGACTTGAAACTATAGACTTCCCAGAAGAAAATATAAAGCAAAAGCTTCATAACATTGGTCTGGACAATTTTTTTGAATATGATCTGAAAAGCACAGACAACAAAGCAAATACAAACAGGTGGAATTGTGTGAAACAAAAAAAAAATATTCTACACAGCAAAGAAAACAGTCAACAGTGTATAAAGGCAATCTATGAAACAGGAGACATACTGTCAAGATATGTATCTGATAAGGGGTTAAAAACCAAAATATTTATATAACTGTGACAATAACAAAAAGCAAAAAAAGAAACCCTAATTAATAAATGAAAAAATAAATGGAAAAATACCTGAAAAAACATTTCTCCAAGGAAGTTACACACATGGCCAATCAGCTGTATGATAAAATGCTCAATATAATTAATCATCAGAAAAATCTGAACCGTGATGATATATGAATTCACAACTCTTAGGATGTATTTTTTAGCACAGATGCACACAAGCAAACACACACACAATTGTTGGCTTGGATATGGAGAAATCAAAACTCTTGTACACTGTAGGTGAGAATATAAAATATTGCAGACACTATGGAAGCAATGTAGAGGTTCTTAAGAAATTAAAAATAGAACTTCCACATGGTGAACCCCATCTGTACTAAAAATACAAAAATTAGACAGGCGGTAGGGGCATGCGCCTGTAGTCCCAGCTACTCAGGAGGCTGACGCAGGAGAATTGCTTCAGCCTGGGAGGCGGAGGTTGCAGTGAGCCGAGATCCTGCCACTGCATTGCCAGTCTGGGTAGCAGAGTGAGACCCTGTCTCAAAAAAAAAAAAAAAAAATAGAAATTCCATATGATCTAACAATCCTGCCATATGTGACAACATAAAAAAACCTTCAGAAAATAATATTAAGTGAAATAACACAGAGGCAAACACTGCATGCTTCCACTTCTGTAAGGCATCTAAACCAGTCAAACTCATAGAATCAGAGAGTAGCATGTTGGCTTCCAGTGACTAGGAAAAGAGAGACTTGGGAGTTGCTGTTCAATGGGTATAAAGTTTCAGTGAAACAAGATGCATAAATTCTAGAGATCTGCTGCACAATGTTGTGGCTATACTTAACAGTATTGTATTTTACACTTAAAATATATGCTTTTTATTTTAAGTTCAGGGGTGCATGTACAGGTTTATATAGGTAAACTTATGTCATGGGGTTTGCTGTGCATAATATTTTATCAGCCGGGTATTAAGCCTAGTGCCCTGTAGTTATTTTTTCTGATCCTCTCCCTCCTCCCGCTCTTCAGCCTCAAATAGACCCTAGTGTCTTTTGTTCCCTTCTATGTGTCCATGTGTTCTCATCATTTAGCTGCCACTTACAGATAAGGACCTGCAGTATTTGGTTTTCTGCTGCTGCGTTAGTTTGTTGAGAATAATGGCATCCAACTCCATCCATGTCCCTGCAAAGGACATAATCTCATTCTTTTTTTCCTGGCTGCATTGAATTCTATAGTGTATAGGTACCACATATTCTTTATCCAGTCTATCACTGATGAGCATTTAGATTGATTCCATGTCTTTGCTATTGTGAACAGTGCTGCAATAAACATGTGCATACATGTTTCTTTATAATAGAATTGTTTACATTTCTTTGGCTGTATACTTAGTAATGGGATTGCTGGGTCAAATGGTATTTCTGTCTTTAGGCCTTTGAGGAATCACCACACTGTCTTCCATGATGATTGAATTAATTTATACTCCCCAAAGTATATAGTGTTTATTTTTTCTCCCCAATCTCTCCAACATCTGTTTTTTTAATTTATTTTTTATTTTTTAATAATAGCCATTCTAACTGGTGTGAGTTGGTATCTCATTGTGGTTTTAATTTGCATTTGTCTAATAATCAGTGATGCTCAGCTATTTTTTCAAATATTGCTGGATGCAGGTATATCTTCTTTTGAAAAGTGTCTGTTTATATCCTTTGCCCACTTTTTAATTTTTTCTAGTAAATTTGTTTAAGTCTCTTATAGATGATGAAAGTTAGATTTTAGCCAGATGCATAGTTTACAAAAAAGTCTTCCACTCTGTAGGTTGTTTGTTTAATCTGTTGATATTTTCTTTTGCTGTGCAAAAGTTCTTTAGTTTAGTTAGATGTCATTTGTCAATTTTTGCTTTTATTGTAATTGCTTTTGGAGTTTCGTCATGAAATATTTGCCCGTGTCTATATTCTGAATGCTATTGCATAGTTTGTCTTCCAGGGTTTTTATAGTTTTGGGTTTTACATTTAAGTCTTTAATCCATCTTGAGTTGATTTTTGTATATGGTGTAAGGACGGGATCCAGTTCTAGTGTTCTACATATGGCTTTGTACAGTATGGCCATCTTAACAATATTGACTCTTCCTATTCATGAGCATGGAATGTTTTTCTATTTGTTTGTGTCATCTCTAATTTCTTTCGGCAGTACTTGTTTGTTTGTTTGGTTGGTTATTTTGGAGATCTTTCACCTATCTGTATTCCTTGGTATTTTATTCTTTTTGTGGCAACTGTGAATGAGAGTTTGTTTCTGATTTGGATCTTGGCTTGGCTCTTGCTGGTGCATAAAAATGCTAGTGATTTCTGCACATTGAATTTTCATCCTGAGACTTCTCTGAAATTATCACCTTAAAAAGCTTTTGGCCCGAGACGATGGAGTTTTCTAGATATAGGATTATGTCATCTGCAAATAAAGATAATTTGATTTCCTCTCTTTCTATTTGAATACACTTTATTTCTTTCGCTCGCCTGATGGCCCTGACCAGAACTTCCAATACTATGTTGATTAGGAGTGGTGAGAGGGCATCCTTGTCTTGTGGAGGTTTTCAAGGGAAATCTCTCCAGCTTTTGCCCATTCAGTATGATGTTGACTGTGGGTTTGTCATAGATGTCTCTTTTTATTTTGAGGTATGTTCCTTCAATACCTAGCTTATAAAGAGTTTTTAACATAAATGAATGCTGAATTTTATCGAAGGCCTCTTCTGCATCTATTGAGATAATCATGTAGTTTTTGTATTTAGTTCTGTTTATATGAAGAGTCACATTTATTTATTTCCGTAGGCTGAGTCAACCTTGCATCCTGGGGATAATGCCTACTTGATCATGGTGGATAAAGCTTTTTGATATGCTGCTGAATTCAGCTTGCCAGTGTGTTGTTGAGGATATTTGTATTGAGGTTTACCAAGGATATTGGCTTGAAGTTTTCATTTTTTGTTACATCTCTGCCAGGTTTTGGTGTTAGGATGATGCTGGCCTCATAAAATGACTTAGGGAGGAGTCCCTTTTCCACAATTCTTTGAAATAGGTTTAGTAGAAATAATACCAGGTCTTCTTTTTTATGCCTGGCACCATTTAGCTGTGAATCTATCTGGTCCTAGGCTTTGTTTGGGTGGTAGGCTATTTATTACAGCTTCAATTTTAGAACTTGTTATTGGTCTGTTCAGCAATTCAATTTCTTCTGGGTTTAGTCTTTGGAGGGTATATAATTCCAGGAACCATTTATTCTACATTTTGTAGTTCTTGTGCATAGAGGTGTTCATAATATTCTCTGATGGTTGTTTTTATTTCTGTCAAGTCTGTGCTAATCTCCTCCTTGTCATTTCTGATTGTGTTTATTTGAATCTTCTCTCTTTTTTCTTTATTATTGTAGCTAGAATTCTATTTTGTTAATTTGTTTCAAAAAAATACCCAGATTCTTGATTCATTTTTCGTTTGAATGTTTTTTATTGTGTCTGTATCTCTTTCAGTTCATCTCTGATTTTCATTATTTCTTGCTTCTGCTAGCTTTGGAATTTTTTTTGCTCTTGGTTCTCTGTTCTTTTAGTTGTGATTTTCAGGTTGTTAATTTGAGATTTTTCTAGCTTTCCAATGCGGGCATTTAGTCCTATACATTTTCCTCTTAACACTGCTTGGGTTTATCCTAGAGATTTTGGCATGTTGTATCTTTGTTCTCATTAGTTTCAAAGATCTTCTTGATTTCTGTCTTAATTTCATTATTTGCCCAAAAGTCATTCAGGAGTAGTCATTATTTGCCCAAAAGTCGTTCAATGTAATTGTATGGTTTTGAGTAAATTTCTTAGTCTGGATTTCTAAGTTGATTGGACTGTAGTCCAAGAGATTATTTGTTACACTTTCAATTCTTTCGTGTTTTCTAAAGAGTGTTTCACTTCTGATTATGTAATCAATTAAAGAGAAAGTGTCCTGTGGCAATGAGAAAAATGTATATTCTTCTGTTTGGGGTGGAGAGTTCTGCAGATATCTATCAGGTTTATTTGATCTACTGCTGAGTTCATATCCTAAATATTTGCTAGTTTTCTGCCTTGATGATATGTTTAATATTGCCACGGGGGAATTAAAGTGTCCCACTATTATTGTGTGGGAGTCTAAGTCTCTTTGCAGGTCTGTAAGAACTTGCTTTATGAATCTGGGTGCTCCTGTGTTGGGTGCATTTATATTTAGGATAATTAGATCTTCTTGTTGAATTAAACTCTTTACCATTATGCAGTGTTCTTCTCTTTTTCGTTTTTTGTTTAAATTCTGTTTTGTCAGAAAGTAGGATTGAAATATATGGTTTTTTTCTGTTTTTTATCTGTTTGGTAGATTTTTCTCCATTCATTTATTTTGAGCCTATGTATGCCATTGCAGGTGAGATTGGTTTCTTAAATACAGCATACCAATGGGTCTTGGTTCTTTAACCAGCTTACCCCTCTGTATTTTTTGATTAGGTCATTTAGCCCATATACATTTAAGGTTAATATTGATATGTGTGGATTTGATCCTGCCATCATGATGTTAGCTGGTTATTTTGTAGACTTGTGTATGTGGTTGATTTATAGTGTCACTAGCATGTGTACTTCAGTGTGCTTTTGTAATGGTTGGAAATGTTTTCTTTTTTTTCCTTCTACATTTAGTGCTTCCTTAAGAAGCTTTTGTAAGGCAGGTGTGGTGGTAACAGATTCCTTCAGCCTTAGCTTGCCTAAAAAATATCTTATTTTTCCTTTACTTATAAAGCTTAGTTTGGCCAGATATTGAATAATGGCCCCCAATCTCTTCTGACTTATAGGGTTTCAGCTGAGAGGTACACTGTTAGTTTTATGGGCTTCCCTTTGTAGGTGACCTGGTCTTTCTCACTATCTTTCTGTAACATTTGTTTTTTTTTCATTTCTACCAAGAAGAATCTGATAATTTTGTGTCTTGATGATAATCTTCTCATGGAGTATCTTACTGGGGTTCTCTGCATTTTCTGAATTTGAATGTTGGTCTCTCTAGCTAGGTAGGGAAAATTCTCAGGGATGGTACCTGAAATATGGTTTCCAAGTTGATTCCATTGTCCCCATATCTTTCAGGCACTCCAGTTAGTTGTAGATTTAGTCTCTTTACAAAATCTCATATTTTTTGGAGGTTTCATTCATTCCTTTTCATTCTTTCTTTTTCTATTTTTGTCTGCTTATCTTAATTCAGAAAGCCAGTCTTCAAGCTCTGAGATTTTTTTCTTTGCTTGGTCTATTCTGCTGTTAATACTTGTGATTTCATTATGAAATTCATGTGGTATAATTTCCAGCTCTATCAGATTGGTTACATTCTTCTTTATACTGGTTACTTTGTAAAGTAGAGTTCTTTATACTATATTTTGCTCCTATGATAATTTATTATCATTTTTGACTTTCTTGTTTTTGGGTTACAATGTACTTGTTTAGCTTAGTGAACTGCATTTCTATCCATATTCTGAATTTTACTTCTGTCATGTCAGCCATCTTAGCCTCAGCCTGGTTCTGAACCTTTGCTGGAGAGGTGATGTGGTCATTGGATGAGGGAAGGTACTGTGGCTTTTTGAGTTTTCAGCATTCTTGCAATAATTTTTTACCTTTGTGGGCCTGTCATCAATTTTTGAGGTTGCTGACCTTTGCTTATTTTTCTTTTTTATCTTATTTAATTACCTTGAGGGTTCATTGTGATATAAGGTGAATTCAGCCAATTGGCTTTGTTTCTGGAAGATTTTGGGGGACCAACATTCTGTTCCCAACTCCTGGACCACGTGCTTTAACTCCAGTGGACTTCTATTGGGTCTCAACTTTGTTCTCTGGCTCCTCAAGGTTTTGAGTCTTCTGAGCTGCGGTGGCCCAGGTGAAGCAGCTGCAGCAGAGTGCTAGTGAATGCAGAGGTGTCTGCCTCACTATGGTTGCTCATCACGAAGGCTGAAGCAAGGCAACTGGAGGAGGAGTGGAAGGCCCCTGCTGGAGACTGTGTGCTGTTACAGTGGAGGTGGTGTTGGATTAGGGTGGGTTGCTGGGCAGCACAATTCTGAGTCTCTTCTCTGTGCTCCACAAGTTAAGAGTGATCACTTAGGTTATGGGAGGATTTCCTGTTCTCTGTGCAGCTTTAGCACAAGGGTGGGGGACTGGCAGGGTCAGGGCTGTCTGGTTCTGTGCCTGCCAAGGCTACATCTGCAAAGGCTGTCAGTAGAGGGGAGGGGTGCAGTAGGAGGGTGTACTGCACTCCTGTGTGCTGCTGGGGCAAGTAAAGCTAAACTCACTCATGCAGATTTGCATCAGCACAGTGGCATGGGAAGTTGCTGTGGACTCAGGAGAAGCTGCAGTCTTGGGAGAGAACATGTAGACTGGGTGCATGGCTATAGGGGCCACCTTGCTGGAGTTCTCCAGTCAGGCACAGTCCACTGCTGCAGAAGCTATGGTGTGAGCCCCCAGGGCACCAAAGACTACCCTGTAAGCAGTCATGGCCAGGCTGGGGCCCTGGGGAAGGGCAGAAGTCCAAGGAGTGCTCAAGTTGAACCAGCCTCATCTGATGTGCAGAATTGCCCGGAAAAGACCAGGTTTGACAGTTCCCCTAGGGCTAAAGTCTATTATGTGACCAAGTTAAGCCTAAAGAGATGGCCTTTGATGGTCACACTTTGCTACAGATGCTCCCACACCAACCCCTCTTGGCTTCACATCAGCTGGCTTACTGCTCCACTACTTTGCTTGTCTCCTGGAGGATCCCCCCAGAGAGGTGCTGGTCAGCAATCACTCAATGCAATCATCCCAGGATGGAGACGCTGTTCTGTGGGCCCAAGCCAGGGGTTCCCTGTTTTGTGACTAGCAGTGAGATGTGTGGGATCCATGGGGGATGGTCAGGCCTCCTCTTCCTGAACCAACTGGAGCTTGTTGGGGGTGTGAATATGGCATTTAGGGTCTTTGATCCTTTGGTAGTCTGAGGGTAGCAAGGTAAATTCCACCACAGAAGCTGTGGCAGAGAGGCTTTCAGGGGCCCCTGGAGGCTCTGTCCAGGGAGTTTCCAAGTCGCTAATAGCTCAATAGTTCTGGCAGGGAGTGGCTAGAGGCCCAGGCTTGGGAGATCTGCCTGGTGAGGAGATATGGGAACAGGCAACCACATTACAGTCTGGTCACTTTTCTGTAGGGCTGCTGCAGTATGCTGGGGGCCCACTCCAGTCCCTAGTTGCCTCAGATTTTCCAGTACCTGAAGGTATTACCAGTGAAATATGAGAAACAGCAAAGATGGCAGCCTGCCCTTTTTCCGAATAGCTCTGTACCAGGGAGGTACAGACCTGTTGCTGGCCCAAACACACCTCTAAGAGGTGTCTGAAGACCCCAGTTGGGAGGTCTAACACAGTCAGAAGGACTGTGTTAATACCTCGGTGATGGGTTGATAGCTGCAGCAAAATACCATGGCACATATTTACCTATGTAACAAACCTTCACATCCTGGACATGTATCCTGGAACTTAAAATAAAACAAATACAATGAACAACAACAAAAATAAATTATTAATAAATAACAACTGAATGAAGAAAAGAAAGAAGAAAGAAAGAAAGAGAAAGAAAGAAAGAAAGAAAGAAAGAAAGAAAGAAAGAAAGAAAGAAAGAAAGAAAGAGAGAGAAAGAAAGAAAGAAAAGAAGGAAGGAAGGGAAAGAGAGACAAGGCAGGATGATGTCCCACCCAGGAGCAATGCAGAGGCAAATGAACCTCCCAGGGAAGTGATGAGTCAATGTGAAGCCCCAGGTAACATGCTTCTCCCACAGATCTCTGCAACCCTCGGGTCAGGAAGTTCCCTCATGAGCCCACTCCACCAGGGCCTTAAGTGTGACACACAGAGCTACGTGGAGTCTAAGTAGAGCAGCTGACCACATTTTCATAGAGCAGCTGTGCTGTGCTGGGGGTACATATCAGCCCCTGGTCACCTTGGAACCTCCAAACCTCAAAGGCAGGATTGGTTAGGTTGCCCAAACAGCAAAGATGACAGCCTGCCCCTTCCCCAGAAGCTCTATACTAACCCTATACCTGAAAACTCTGTCAGCTAAGGAACACCAGTGGCGGTACCCAAAATCCCTGTTGGGAGACTCCACCCAGTGATGAGGAGCAGGGTCAGGGATCCACTTAAAAAAGCAGTCTGCTCACACATTTTTGTAGGACTGCTTTGCTGTGCTGGGCTATCACTTTCACCCCAGTCATCTTGGACTGTTCAAAGCCTCCAAGTTGAAATTGCTAAGTCGCCCAAACAGCAAAGATGGCAGCCCACACCTCTTGCGAGCCCTCTCCCAGGGTGTTTTCAAATCTCTAGTGGCGGGAGAACACTGATTGGGGTGGCTAGAAGCCCCTGTTTGGAGGTCCCGCCCAATAGGAAGGAACAGGATCTGGAACCTGCTTAAAGAAGCAGTCTGGCCAAGTTTAGGTAGAGTAGATTTGCAACAGCTGAGGGATTCCTTCCACCCGCCCCCGGCCCAGTTCATCTGGACTCTCCAAAGCTCAAATGGCAGAACAGCTAAGTTGCTCAAACAGTAAAAATGGCAGTCCTCACTGCACACTACCCCTCTGCACCCAACCCCCAGCTCCATCCCCGGTAGGCACAACACTGCTACCATGACTGTCTGGAATTCCAAGCCAGTGGGTCTTATCCTGTGAGGTGTTGTGAGGGTGGCGCTTGCAGGTGGCCGCCTGAATTCAACCTCTTTGCTAGGAATATGGTCACATTCCTAACCTCCCACTTTGCCAGAACTACAGCTACTTTTGCCAGGAAGCCCAGAAAGCTGGGGTATCTAAAACTCCCAGGTCTCTACACATGCCTGAGCTGCTGCTCTGCCTAAACTCCATGTAGCTCTGTGTGTCACAATTAAGGCCCTGGTGGAGTGGGTTCATGAGGGGACTTCCTGACCCGAGGGTTGCAGAGATCTGTGGGAGAAGCATGTTACCTGGAGTTGCACATTCACTCATCACTTCCCTGGATCAGGGATGTTTGCTTGGCTCTGCATTGCTCCTGGATGGACCATCATCCTGCTTGCTTTCTTTTCTTTCCTTCCTTTCTTTCTTTCTTTCTTTCTTTCTTTCTTTCTTTCTTTCTTTCTTTCTTTCTTTCTTTCTTCCTTGCTTTCTTGCTTGCTTTCTTGCTTTCTTGCTTTCTTTTCTTGCTTTCTTTCTTGTCTTTCTTTCTTTCTTCTTTCTTTCTTTCTTTCCTTCCTTCCTTCTTTCTTTCTTGCTTTCTTTCTTTTCTTCCTTTCTTCTTCCTTTCCTTGTTCAAAGGTCATTTATTAATAATTTATTTTTGTTGTTGTTCTTCATTGTATTTGTTTTGTCTTAAGTTTCAGGATACATGTCCAGGATGTGCAGGTTTGTTACATAGGTAAATATGTGCCATGGTGGTTTGCTGCAGCTATCAACCCATCACCGAAGTATTAAGCCCGGAATGCATTAGCTATTTATCCTGATGCCCTCCCTTCCCTATCCCAACAGGCCCCAGTGTGTGTTGTTCCCCTCCATGTGTCCACGTGTTCTCGTTGTTCAGTTCTGACTTATAAGTGAAAACATGTGGTATTTGGTTGTCTGATTCTGTGTTAGTTTGCTGAGGATAATGGCTTCGAGCTGCATCCATGTCCCTGCAATGGACATGATCTCATTCTTGTTTATGTCTTCATAGTATTCCACAGTGTATATGTACCACATTTTCTTTATCCAGTCTATCATTGATGGGCATTTGGGTTGATTCTATCTCTTTGCTATTGTGCATAGTGCAGCAATGAACATATGTGTGCATGTATCTTTAAAATACAATAATTTATATTCTTTGGGTATATACTCAGTAACTGGATTATGACAATATTAACCTTAAAAGTAAATGGGCTAAATGCCCCAATTAAAAAATACTGAATGACAAGCTGGATAAAGAGTCAGGACCCATCAGCATGCTGTATGCAACAGACCCATCTCACTTGCAAAGACACACATAGGCTCAAAATAAAGGGATGGAAGAAAATTTACCAAGCAAATAGAAAGCAGAAAGAAGCAGGTCTTGCTATCCTAATTTCTGACAAAAGAGACTTTAAACCAAAAAGATCAAGAAAGATAAAGAAGGCTATTACATAATGGTAAAGGGTTCAATTCAACAAGAAGAGCTAACTATCCTAAATATATATGCACCCAATACAGAAGCACCCAGACTCATGAAGCAAGTTCTTAGAGACTTACAAAGAGACTTAGACTCCCACACAATAATTGTGGGAGACTTTAACACCCCACTGTCAATATTAGACAGAGTTTCAAAACAGAAAATTAACAACAATGTTCAGGACTTGAACTCAACTCTGGATCAAGTGGACGTGACAGATATCTACATAATTCCTCACCCAGAGACAACAGAATATACATTGTTCTTTGTACCGCATTGCACTTACTCTAAAATCAATCACAGAAATGGAAGTAAAACACTCCTTAGCAAATGAAAATAACTGAAATCATAATAAGCAGTGTCTCCGACCACAGCACAATCAAATCGGAACCTAAGATTAAGAAACTCACTTAAAACCCCACAACTACAGGGAAATTGAACAACCTGCTCTTGAATGACTCCTGAGTAAGTAATGAAATTAAGGCAGAAATCAAGAAGTTCTTTCAAACCAGTGAGAACAAAAAGACAATATAACAGAATCTCTGAGATGCGGCTAAAGCATTGCTAAGCGGGAAATTTAAAGGACTAAATTCCCACATCAAAAAGCTTGACAGTCCTCAAATTGACACATATATCGCAACTAAAAGAACTAGAGAGCCAAGTGCAAACAAACCCCAAAGCTAGCAGAAGACAAGAAATAACTAAGATCAGAGTGGTGCTGAAGGAGATAGAAACATGAAAAACTATTCAAAAAATCAACAAATCCAGGAGCTGTTTCTTGAAAAAATAAAATAAAATAGACAGCAGTCTAGACTAATAAAGAGGAAAAGAGAGAAGAATCAAATAGACACAATAAAAAATGATAAAAGGGGATATGACCACTGACTCCATAGAAACACAAACCACCATCAGAGAATACTATAAACACTTCTATGCAAATAAACTAGAAAATCTAGAAGTAGATAAATTCCTTGACACATACACCCTCCCAAAGATGAACTGAGAATAAGATGAGACCTATAACAAGTTCTGAAATGGAGGCAGTAATAAATACCCTACCAATCAACCAAAAAAAAAAAAAAGCCCAAAATCAAATGGATTCATAGCTGTCTTGTTTTTCTCCATTCTCTGTGTATCAGTTGCTTCCTTGATTAGTCCCAATGCAAGTATCTGAATGTTTCAGCTGAAGGTGCTGTATTTACTCACTCCATCTGTTTCTCTCCACAAGAGCCATGCATATGAGCTGCTTCTAGTTGGCCATCTTGCCCACTCCCCCACTTATAATAATTTTCAAGAGTATACCTCATATTAAGTGATTTTGCTAACACAAGAAATACTTCTGAGATGTTGCAGATTTGGTTCCAGGCTACTACAATAAAGCAAAACATGCAATAAAGTGAGTCACACAATTTGTTTTGGTTTCTCTGGCACATAAAAGTTATGTTTACACAATGCTGCAGTCTATTAATTCTGTGGTAGTATTAAGTTCAAAAAAAGTACACACCTTAATTAAAAACACTTCTTTGCTAAAAGTAGTAACACTCATCTCAGCCTTCAGTGAGTTGTAAACTTTTTTCTTCGTGGAGAGTCTTGCATTAATGTTGTTGGCTACTAACTCATCAGAGTAGTGACTGCTAGTAGTTGGCGTGACTGTGGCACTTTCTTAAGGGTAAGAAAACAATGGCATATGCCACATCCACTAACCCTTCTTTTCACAAAAGATTTCTGTTTAGCATACATTTTTGTTTGATAGCAATTTTCCCATAGTGGTACTTCTTTCAAAACTGGAATCAATCCTCTGAAAGTCTAATGCTGCTTTATTAAGTAAATTTAAGTCATATTCTAAATCTATTGTTGTCATTTCAGCAATGTTCACATAATCTTCACCAGGAGTAGATTCAATCTCAAGAAACAACTTTCTTTTCTCTTCCATAAGAAGTAACTCCTCATGTATTTGTTTTATCACGAGATTGCAGCAGTTTACTTACGTCTTCAAGTTCCACTTCTAATTTGAGTTATCTTTCTATTTCCACCACATCTGCAGTTATTTCCTCCACTGAAGTCTTTGTTATAGGGCCAACAGGTTCATATGCCCACTCTGCAATAATAGACCAATTACAATGAGACATT
Organism: Homo sapiens; assembly: GCF_000001405.40. Classification (NCBI taxonomy): domain Eukaryota; kingdom Metazoa; phylum Chordata; class Mammalia; order Primates; family Hominidae; genus Homo; species Homo sapiens. Next base: position 69,497,456 of record NC_000004.12, on the reverse strand, counting down.
ATGTTTTGCAACAAAGAAAGAGTATAATAATTGGAGGGCACTGAGAAGGAAGATAGTTGGAGGCCCTCAAACTTACCTCCTCAAGGAAATCTGGGCTGGAGTTTTTAAGGGGTTAATGGAGGGTGATGGACTGAAAAATTGGAGTCATAGATTAGTCAGGATAATGAAGATAAAATCAGTAGGAGTTGGAAACTGCATTCTTTGGTGAGTCAGCTCCTTGTGGGGTCCTTGAGAGCAGCTGGCATCAGGGAGGTCCCTCAGACCAGCTGAGTCAGTAGTTTCATCAGTATGCTGGACCTGAAGGAATACCTCAAAGAGAAAACCACATTTCAAAATGTTTAAGTTATTATCTATAGAACAGTTAAGATGAACTTTAATCTTGTAACAATGTCTGCATAATTCTAAGACAATAGCCAAAAAACTATTAGGAAGTGAGTCAGAGAGCAAGCTAATGTAATAATTAATACTGAATGTACTACAGGCTTGGTTTACTTTTTTTTTTTTTTTCCCCTCCCTTTGTCCTTCATTAATTCAACAAAGTCTATAGGAATAGTTTCATCTTGAAACTCTCTAAATCATACATGATGGTTGTAAGAATCAACACGTAAATGCTATATCATAAATGAACCTTTAAAATATTATGCTAAGTAAAATAAGCCAGCCATAAAATATCACATATTGTGTGATTCCATGTATTTAAAAAATGTCCAGAATAGGCAAATCTATAGAGACAGAAATTCAAGTAGCAGTTGCCCAGGATAGGACAAATGCAGAAAGAAGGGGTAGGGAGTAAAAGGCTAAAGCTTATAGGGTTTATTTTTAGGAGATAAGAGTTCTCTAAAATTGACTCTTACGGTAGAAGCACAATTCTGTGAATATACTATGAAACATTAAATTTTACACAATAATTGATAATTTGTATGATATCTGAATTATACGTCAACAAATTTACAAAAGTTTTTGAACCACATTTAGCTATTTTATCTTTAGTTCTGTGTCAAAGAGACTGCAGGAACATGAGCCTCTCACTGCTACTCTTATGCACACTATTCTGAAATATATTACATGAGTCAGGTGATGAGTCCATCCAAGATCATTGATATTAGCTGAATTACAGCACTTAAAAATCTAGGGCTGGGTGCGGTGGCTCACGCCTGTAATCCCAGCACTTTGGGAGGCCAAGGAGGGCAGATCACAAGGTCAGGGGTTCGAGACCATCCTGCCGAATACAGTGAAACCCCATCTCTACTAAAAATACAGAAAAATTAGCTGGGTGCGGTGGCAGGTGCCTGTCTGTAGTCCCAGCTACTCAGGAGGCTGAGGCAGGAGAGTGGTGTGAACCTGGGAGGAGGAGCTTGCAGTGAGCTCTCAAAAAAAAAAAAATCCAAAAAGAACATTAAACGCACTTGTGTAAACAGGTCATCTACCTTTTATTTGTCTCTTTGTCATCCACATGCTCAGACTGTTAATATAATGTATTTACTTTGAAGTGTAAAAGTTACATTTTAACTTCTTGACTGATTTATACTGGATGTCACCATGAGAAATGACAGAAAGGAGCAGCAACTGGAAAACAAGCATTGCATTGCATCAGGATGTCTATGAAATGGACTTCAGCTCTTCTGCTGATACAGCTGAGCTGTTACTTTAGCTCTGGGAGTTGTGGAAAGGTGCTGGTGTGGCCCACAGAATTCAGCCACTGGATGAATATAAAGACAATCCTGGATGAACTTGTCCAGAGAGGTCATGAGGTGACTGTATTGGCATCTTCAGCTTCCATTTCTTTCGATCCCAACAGCCCATCTACTCTTAAATTTGAAGTTTATCCTGTATCTTTAACTAAAACTGAGTTTGAGGATATTATCAAGCAGCTGGTTAAGAGATGGGCAGAACTTCCAAAAGACACATTTTGGTCATATTTTTCACAAGTACAAGAAATCATGTGGACATTTAATGACATACTTAGAAAGTTCTGTAAGGATATAGTTTCAAATAAGAAACTTATGAAGAAACTACAGGAGTCAAGATTTGATGTTGTTCTTGCAGATGCTGTTTTCCCCTTTGGTGAGCTGCTGGCCGAGTTACTTAAAATACCCTTTGTCTACAGCCTCCGCTTCTCTCCTGGCTACGCAATTGAAAAGCATAGTGGAGGACTTCTGTTCCCTCCTTCCTATGTGCCTGTTGTTATGTCAGAACTAAGTGACCAAATGACTTTCATAGAGAGGGTAAAAAATATGATCTATGTGCTTTATTTTGAATTTTGGTTCCAAATATTTGACATGAAGAAGTGGGATCAGTTCTACAGTGAAGTTCTAGGTAAGTAACTTTTTTGATTGGTAACATGAAGATCTAACTTTCTTGTACCTTTGAAGCTGAGTTTGTATAAAGCCATAAAGTCAGGGTAGTGGGGTATTTTTGTAATGAATTTATCAAATGAAATTGTAAGATGATCTACCAAACTCACAAGCACTATAGAAAATGTAAATTATAGGATCAGTTAAAACTCTGTGGCCATCACTCATACAGAAGACTCCAGGAAGTCATAAGCCTGTATATTAGTGCACCTAAGATTTCTTTAAGCAATCACATATCTGTTTTATTATACATTTTTTCATCTTAAAAAAAAGTCAGACTTATTCAGAAACATCTTGCTGAATGCATACTGGTAGATTGAGTAGTTACACATTTTTTAGAACTATCTATATAACATTGCAGAAATTGTTTTTTCTTGTATATTTCAGTCTTATTATTTAGTAATTGCAATATGTACCCATGTTACTAGAACGTTTCCTCCACAGTTGAGAGAAATGATGTCTCCATTTCAGAATCAAAAACCAATGCATGTTATTTGAAGTTTCCAGTGTTTCTATTCCTTCACTAAAGGATTGGAAACCATTTATTTTAAGGCTAATCATCTTGTCAAAGTGTGAACATTAAGTTACAACTGTATAGTTTTTTTTTGAAACTATGTATCTTTCTTTAAAAATATGAGCCAAATTAAGGTTGAATGCAAATTTCTGTTTCAACAAGTTCTCAAAATTTTCTAGCTGTAATTTGCAAACATATTTACCTAAAAACTAATATTATTATGAGGTTAGCATGACTCAAAAGCAGTAGTAGGTACAAGGATTTCAGCCATCATTTCAAAATAATCAACAGTTAACCTGAAGAACCAAAGATAAAAGATTAGATTAATGAATGGGAAATTAGACTATTTGTTAGAAAATTGTTTTTATGGGTATGGTAGAATTAATTGATCACGGAGCTCAAAGAGTGGTTTATACGTATATCTGCTACTATCGAAGGTTTACAAAATAAAGAAATGGAGATTAATTCTCTATGGCTTGTTTGTGATTGTGAATATACTGATGTGACATGAGGGATGCAGTTTTCCCTCATGATTCTCTCACCACTTTGCCTTTCTTGTAAATACACATGGGTAAAATATATAATACATAAAAATTAAATTATGCCTATATACGAATATATGTATTTTTTTTCAAGGCACAAACACTTTGCCTACATTTTTGCCCACATTATTCTAACTTCTTTCAGAAAATTACCTAGTTTAATTATCTTGTGTCATCTATCTTTTCTTTTTTTTTCCCCCATCAGGAAGACCCACTACGTTATCTGAGACAATGGCAAAAGCTGACATATGGCTTATTCGAAACTACTGGGATTTTCAATTTCCTCACCCACTCTTACCAAATGTTGAGTTCGTTGGAGGACTCCACTGCAAACCTGCCAAACCCCTACCGAAGGTAAACTATTACTGTTTGTTTTGTCTGCTTTGAAGTTTCAGTACGAATGGTTCTATATTCATTCAAAGTGTTTGACTTACACTGGAAGAAAGGTGGAAGTGGGAAGAGTAAAGCAGATACCAATTAGAAACTGACGTACATGTTGATACTATCACAAGTTTATGAATTTCATCATTATTACCAATAAAGAGGGATACTAAAGAGACTTTGAAAATAGGGTTGGTAAATTAAAGCTTTGATTATGCAACATATAAGAAGGTACTGGCCATTCATTCAAAGAATATTTATAAAGAGATTAGCACACACCACAGGTACGTGTATGGGACACAGTTTCTATCCCAACACACCTTACATTCTATTTTGAAAGATAGAATATATGCAAGTAATAAAAACTGTGTAAAAACTGTTATCTCCAGAGAAAAACCAATGCTAAGGAAGCATCCAGTGTAGATAATAGAGAGTATCCTGGAGTCACTGATATTAATAATTTAGATGAGAGCTGAACTATATGCAGGAATAGGTAAAAGAATGAAGAAGAGAAAAAAACACAAAAAGAAAAGCAGGTAAAGTGTTCAGGACAGTTCTCAAGACTCAAAGTTTAGTTTGCAAGGAAGATACTGAGTAAGAATCAGATGATGCTGATAGGCAAGATAAGAGCCAGATACTCCTCAGGAGTTGAAATATTTATTAAGCACATTTAGGGACTACTAAAAAGAGTTAAGAAAAGAAAATATGGGATAAGATTATAGTTTTTAAAAAAAGATTCCAAGATGTTCGATGGATTAAATTGTGGAAGGGCCAAACTAGAAAGAGCTGACCATTGAGGAAATTTTGTATGAATTCAGGTAGCAGATGATGGAAAAATGGACTAGAAAGTGGATAGAATTACCTATGCCTACTTTTACAGTAATATGACTAACTTCATATTGTGTTGTGTGGAAAAAAGTTAATACAAATAAACCACTTAAAATGTCTCTGGCATATAGTTAGTGATTCAGAAATATTATTTTGCAATTATGGTTATTTTTGTTATTACTAATACTATGAATTACTTAACATGTGTAAGTCACTTGAGATATTATTCCTCATTTAATAGAAACTAATTATTCAGCATTTCAAGATTATATTCTCTAACAAAGTCCTATGGTCTTCTATATGACAGATACCCTGTAGACTTGTTTAAAATAAGACATATCAGTTTTGACAGTAAGATGAGCAAAATGAAATTGTAAAATTCTACCACAAGTGACAAGGATCTTCATCAGTATTCTAACTTATAAGAAAATAATCCCTTACCGATATAAATGTGTGATTCTATTAGTATTTGCAGCCAGACCCAGTGTTCACTTGATTTTACTAAAGCATTTAAATCATTCTGCGTTGAGATCCCAGAGGTTTACATCTTAGCATAAACATACCCTATTAGAGCAGGTGTTTTCTGCCTTAAGACAAGCAACCCAGTAAAGCTTCCTGGGATAGCTTGTGTCTCAACATCATAAGTGCCTGAGAGAGAAGCACAGAAAAAATGAACAACGCATGTATAATAAAGACCAAATAATTTCTACCACTCGTATCTGAATCGTGCCCTCAGTTTACAATAATAAAAGAATTCTGTCATCATATAACATTATATTCTTTATGGAGGAATATAAGAATGTAATATATTTTAAATTGATATCACCCTTCTAAGAAATAGGTAGAAAGTAAGCATTTTTATTACATTATGTAATCTCTTAAGAGATAATTTTTGCCTACCTCCTTATTAACAGCAACATGAAACTGATATTTTATTCCATGGTTAAAATCCAATATCTATGTTGAATGCAAATTGTATGGGCTTTATATGGTAACTTTCTAAAGAGACAAAAGCTGAGATAAGACTAATGAAAATTCTGTCCCACCCTATCCTACTCTTGAAAGATTTCCCCACTCACATTAAGGGAAACTGACAGTGCCAGTAAGAGGGAGAAGAGAGTACGAGGTGTGGAAGGATAAGAAAAAGATTGAGTCGTAGTACATGTGATAATTACTAATACTAGCTGTTGTTACTAACTTGTAGAAAGCTTTGAATGCAAGTCAATGGTTGTGAAAGCCATTCTCTAATTGTTTATCATGTAAAATAACTGCAAACCCAATTTGCTTTCTATTCAATTAAATATTAGATTCTCAGATAATTTATGCATACTTTAAGAGAAAAGGACACTTGGCAAATGTATTAAGTATTAAAAATGCATATAGCCATTGGTTTTATAATATATTCACATGAAATCATACAGAGAAAAAATAAATCAAGATGTACATATTTAATATTTATGGAAAATATTCATAAAATAAACATCAAAAGTAATCAAACATCTGAAATTAAGGAATAATTAAAAACATATACTAGATGCATACTATAGCATTACAATAATTTTATCAATAAAATATTCAGTTACAGTCAGCTATAATACAAGTAAAGTGAGGTAGAAAATTATAAATATTACAGGCTGACACGTTTTTTGTAGGAGGAAAAGGTATATACAATCAGAATAAAATTGTCTAAATAAACGTCACAAGTGTACATTGAACTATAAAGATAGAACAAAAGCCATGATGAAAACATATGTAGTTTACAAGGTGACATCTCTCGACAAAAATTTTAGAAAAAAAATTATTTTCTTTTTAGAACTTGCACTACTTCTATAAAATACCTTACATACATAGTGTATTATTATTTTAAAGTTGTCACAGAATGGGAAACAACCAGTCCACATCAATAATGAATCCCCTTTAGGGATTATATTACTTTAACACTGGGTGGATGAAGGCGGCTCTGGACATCAAGCCACTGAAACAAAACACTGAACGTAAGTTACATCAAATGTGGCTACAGGTAACTGCAATTACGCACAATACCTGGATATCCTATGTATTACCTTGAATAGCAGAACAATGACTCTAACATCATTAACACTGATGTCTTAAGATTAAAAATCATATTTTAAAAAATGCTTAGCCATATGTGGTCTGCAAATAAACATTTGGAATCTTTTTTCTTTGTTTTGTAGAGAACACTTAAGAAAAAGTTTTACCCCAATGATTAAATCTGAAAGTATTTAAATTTCAAAATTGGCGTACATTGGGGAACACAGGTCAGAATGATTCCCAGTAAATTCCAGCCAAGTACATCTTCACTAAGATTTTTATGTAGTGTGGGTGATCTACTCAAGAGGGTGACCAAATCTCTGCAGAAAGTTCTGGCAGTCTCTCGCATTCTGGTGCAAGTGCTGCTGCCTCTGAGACACAGCAAAATGATGATGAGAATTCCTCACATGCAGTTATAAATAGCACATCAATTTAACAGTGTGATTTCAGGGAAAAATTGTTCCACTTAAACAATCACCTGAAAAATATAATCATTCGACTATGTAACTACATACTGTACGATTCTGTATTACAAATGAGAATACAGAATTATTTATAGAAATTTATAGAAATTCCAAACCACAACAGCAGACTCCATAATGTCAGTGATTCTTAACCACCACCTTTTACAGCTACTTTTTTTTCTCTTTTGAAAAAAGACTGGAAAACTCTGACAAACTTTAAGTGAAGTGTAAAGGATTATAGAATAAGATAAATGTAGGTTTACGTAATCCCAGCTGTGAGTAACTTTTCCTCAGTGCTCAGAGTCAGGGAAGTCAACCACTAATGACTTCAAACTAAAATAATTCTGTAGAAAACCTGCCTAAAATAAGCATATGTGATTTAGCGAGCAACAATATAGCATTAAAGCCAACTGGTGCCACTTTAAAGAACCTATATTAGTACTTATAATATGATAAGTGAAGAGTTTGGGTATCTCCTCAAATACTGTGTAATAACTCTATTTCATTTCTCCCTTTCACAAACGCACACACATACACACACACATATTTACACAAAGACCCTTAACAGAGGCAACCTATCTCATATTATACATATTGCAAAAAAAACTGAGTAATTGAGTCAGTTAAAAAACATCCTTTACTCCAATAATTCCTGATAAAACTTGATTTTCTCTCTTTTTATAACAATTCTTTCACAGTGCTTGCTGTGCTGATAATCTATTATGATAGAACAAATTCTTTTTTTTCACAGGAAATGGAAGAGTTTGTCCAGAGCTCTGGAGAAAATGGTGTTGTGGTGTTTTCTCTGGGGTCGATGGTCAGTAACACGTCAGAAGAAAGGGCCAATGTAATTGCATCAGCCCTTGCCAAGATCCCACAAAAGGTAAGATAAAATGTTTTAATGGTGTAAAAAACTACTGAAAGAGGCTGTTAAAGTTTGTAAAGAACCCAATTGTAGAAACTTCCTGCCTATATATTCAGCTGTTGGGAAAGCACTAATTATCTCAGATATTAATTCAAAATCAAAAATATGTATGGAAGATGATAAACTCATACAGAAGGTGTTTTTCATTGGTAATTAATTTGGCATTAATATTGTGATCAGGAATAAATACAATTAAGAGTTGCAGGTAAAGTTTTGGTATTATCATGATACTGGGGTCAGGTAAGAGCTATCACCAAATTCTGCCCCTGTGATTTGATCCTTTTGTTTAAGAACTCCTGAGGGCGATGTACATCCTACAGGTGTTAGAAAACGTTACATTTTAATGAGTAACTTCACTAGCACAATAACAATAGCAGGTATTTCAAAAAGGCTGACATGCATCATGCAGTTTAGTGTTGCCATGTTACCCAGCCTCGTGTACTTCCTGTACATTTTGGAATAGGCCTATTCAAGTGATATTCAGGGTACTATTCAGAGAAAGGAAGGCCTAGGCTGTCAGACAACTAGTGTAAGGATCCGCAGAGCTAGGCAGATTTGGAGAAAGAGAAAAAGCAGCCTGCTTTGCTGGACTGGACCCAGCCAATGTCTGAAGTAGGCAGATGAAAGAGAAAGGGTGGAGATGGATCCTGCTCTGAGGGTGGACCCTGTGTAGTATAAAATGTGGCCCCACAAGGACGCTGCACTATGAGATTAACAACTCCTCCCAATGGAGGCAGCAGAAGGAAATATAGAAAGGACTCAAGCAGAAGGAAGCCAGGCAGGGGAACAGGTTCAGATGCCCCCTCCATAGAACATAGTAGGAACATATTTTCTTTTATATAGAATAAAATGTGTATTTGTCAATTACTTTTTAGTTCCCTGCCTGACATATCCTTCTTGTAATGACCTATGCTAATATTTTGCCAAAAACTCAAAGTTACTTTAACACTGATGTAACAAATAGAACTTAAACACCGTAAATTATTTTTTTTTAATTTATAAGGATTCCTTGGGGGTTCCAAAATTAGTAACTTAAACATAAAAATGTCTCAGCTATAGCAAAACATACGAATCACTGTTGTCAAAATTTTGTAGCACATTTTCTAAGTGTTAACAATCAATTGACCAAAATTCAGCAAAATGCAATTTTGAATTTATTCAAGAGTTGTATTTTTATTTATGGTACCAACAGGTTCCTTATTTCTACATTGACAAAATATCCAAAATTAGCAATACTGAGAATACTCTGAATTTGTGTCAAAAATTGTCACTTGAAATTTTTCTTGGAAGTAGTTCTTGATAATTTGTAATTTCCAAGAAGTTATACATGCTACCTTTGCAGCATTAATTGACTTCTTCCAAGTAGCTTATTTTATAGACTTGCATTTTTGTCAATCAAAGGACATCAAACTCTGTTAAAATGACTTATAGATAAGTAGATATAAGTGAACTACTTCCCATATTACTCAAAAAAATGAATAAATTAATATTAAATTTGGTAGATGAAAACTCATAAAATACATTAAAAAAGCATATAGGTCATTAGTAAATTGTTGTTGCTTTTTCACACTAGAATTATGACTACCTAAAATTTTTAATGCATATAATTATTAAAATTTTTTATCTTTTTAAAATTAAGTTTTATTTTTTAACTTTTAATTTCAAGGGTAAATGTGGAGGTTTGTTACACAGGTAAACTTATGTCTTGGGGTTTGTTGTATGGACTGTTTCATCTTACAGGTAGTAAGACTAGTACCTTTTAGTTATTTTTCCTGATCCTTTCTCTCCTCCCAACCCCCACCCTCCAATAAGCCCCAGTGTATGTTATTCCTCTCTATATGTTCATGTGTTCTCATGTTTTAGCTTCCACTTATAAGTGAGGGCATGTGGTATTTGGATTTCTGTTCCTGTGTTTGTTTGCTAGGGATAATGGACTGCAGCTCACTTATGTTCCTGAAAAATACATGATCTTGTTCTTTTTTATGGCTACATAATATTTCATGGTGAACATGTACCACATTTTCTTTATTGAATCCATCATTGATGGGCATTTAGATTGATTTCATGTCTTTGCTATGGTGAATAGTTTTATATAGAGTAAAATGTATATTTGTCTGTAGTAAACATACATGTGCATGTTCTAATTTGCAGTCCTTTAGATACATACCCAGTAATGGGATTGCTGGGTTGAATGGTATTTCTGCCTCTAGGATTTTGAGGAATCGCCATGCTGTCTTCCACAATGGTTGAACTTACAGTCCCTTCAACAGAGTATAAGCATTTCTTTTTCTATACAACATCACAAGCATCTGTTATTTTTTGAGTTTTTAATAATGGCCATTCTGACTGGTGTGAGATGGTATCTCTTTGTGGATTTGACCAGTGATGTAAACCTTTTTTTCATATAGTGGTTTGCCACATATAGTTTTCTTTTGAAAAGTGTAACAACTTTTTAAATACTTGAACTTTTCATTGATTATCTTATTTGTCTAAGCTACTATTTTGAAAAATCATGATTTCCTTATATACCTAATTATGAAATTAAGGAAATGAAATATGAGTATTCTATTTACATCAGTCTGAGTAGTTCTTGTTACTTAACATCCCTTGTTCTTCTCATTGTTAATCTCTTTAGATTTCTAACATTCTATGACTTTTGAGTTCCACTCATGGAATAAGATATTTTCTTCACTGTAACAGGTTCTGTGGAGATTTGATGGGAATAAACCAGATACTTTAGGACTCAATACTCGGCTGTACAAGTGGATACCCCAGAATGATCTTCTTGGTAAGTCTCTGAAGAACAAATACTGAATATATTAGTAACAGATTATTAAAGTGTTAATAGTTATCATGAAACAAGCTTACTGAACATTTGTTATGGAAAAACTTAAAAATAAAATGAAACTTCTTTATATTTATTTTCCAGTCCCGGGGGAAAAGAATAAATTGTTGGCATTTTATGATATGCACCCACATTCTTTACAATCAGAGTCAGAGTATCTTTATTTCAGGTGTTATTACCTCCCACAGAATTTTTCTGGCACTTCCTGGGTTGTCTTCCTTTCTCATATTTCTACAACTTTACACCTGTTCTTTCCTCCTCTGTAGGGTTATTTCAAATGTCACTAAAAGTAACAGCTCTTCTGCTATCACCAGGGATGCTGCATTTTCTGTAGGATTAAATCCCTAATCTTAATCAAAAAGTGATGACACATTTCATAATGAAATGTGACCTGTCTTTCCTCAATTCTAGCACCACCACCACCTCACTGCCTGCTGCCTTGCACACCCTACATATCACACTCCGTGACTGTACTTAAGAGAACACATTCTGGCTGGGCACGGTGGCTCACGCCTGCAATCCTAGCACTTTGGGAGGCTGATGCAGGTGGATTGACTGAGCTCAGGAGTTCAAGACCATCCTGGGCAACATGGTGAAACTCTGTCTCTATTAAAATACAAAAAATTAACTGGGCATGGCTGTTTGTCCCTGCAGTCCCAGCTACTCAGAAGGCTGAGTAGGAGAACTGCCTGAACCCAGGAGATGGAGGTTGCAGTGAGCCGAGATTGCACCACTGCACTCCACCCTGGGCAACAGAGGGAGACTCCGTCTCCATTAAAAGCAAAAAACAAAAAACAAAAAAACAAGAACACATTCTTTCATGTCCATCCCTTTTCTGTGCTTTTTTTCTTTTCTGCACATGATGTTTCCTTATCTAAATTGCACCTTTTTGTTAGTTCAACTGGTAATCTTGTATTAATTTTTTCAGTCTGAAGTTAAACACACCACATAGCCTTCACTTACATCTCCAGCAGAAGTAGGCGTTCCTTCCTCTGAAGTCTCAAAAACAATTTTAATTCAGTTCAGTGTGTTATCTAGGAAACACCGTCACATTCAGATTCTTCCATTGTGCATTTCTCATTTTATTCCTATGAATAATTTTGCTAAAATTCATCCAATCCTAGGTCACCCAAAAACCAGAGCTTTTATAACTCATGGTGGAGCCAATGGCATCTATGAGGCAATCTACCATGGAATCCCTATGGTGGGCGTTCCATTGTTTGCAGATCAACCTGATAACATTGCACACATGAAGGCCAAGGGAGCAGCTGTTAGTTTGGACTTCCACACAATGTCGAGTACAGACTTACTCAATGCACTGAAGACAGTAATTAATGATCCTTTGTGAGTATAACTTTTTTTTTACTCGGTGGTCTTTATAGATAGGTTCCCTTGTGAATAGTGAGTATGACTTTTATCCTTTTTATAAGCGACTGATTTCGAAAGAATTTAAGTGATTTAAACAATCTGAAATCTGCTTTTATTTTTGAGTGGTTATTTAAAAATTTTATTTGAACCACATACATTTAATGAATAATCAATTATTGAAATAATTTTCTACACAAAAATAATTTTAAAGTGATATAGATAAGAAGACATTTTAAAATAAATTTGACGTAATCAATCCACAGTAGAAAGGAAAGATAAACTTGACGTAATATAATAAAATATTTTAATTCAATATCTAAAATGTCTCAAAGTATATCTGTTTTCTCACTGAAAAATTTATTTTTATTATCATTATTGTAACAGACTTGATAATTAAATTTAATTTCCATAGCATAAAACCGACCTATTTAAGTATAAAATCCAAATATATTTAGTATGCTTACAGTCATGAAGCCATCACCATCATATAATTTTAGAACATTTGTATCAACGTAAAAGAAGCCATAATGGTATAGAAGTCACTCTGCATGACCCCTTAGCCCTAGGCTAACACCAATTTGCTTTCCTTCTCTATAGATTATTCTCTCTACATATTTCATATAAACTGAATCATATAATTTATGATGTGTAAATGACTTCTTTTACCAAGTACAGTTTTTGTTGTTTTTTTATGGTTTTTAGCTTTATTTATATTGTGTGTATTAATAGTTCATTTATTTTTGCAGCAATATATTTTATAATATGGGTATGCCATATTTTATTTGTCTCTTTATTAGCTCATTCACCTTTTGATTGTTTCCAGTTGTGGCTATTAGGAGCATTGCTACATGTTTTTGCATGAACGTGATTTCATTTCTTTTGGGTAGATACTAGACGTGGAATTTCTGGCTCTTGTAGGAACTGTGTGTTTATGAAAATTGCCAAACTGTTTTCCAAATGCTTGTTCCATTTGTCATTACCACCAGCAGTACAGGAGGGTTCCAGTTCATCCACATTGTTGCCAACACCTGTTATTATTTGTCTTTTTGTTATACCATTCTTGGTGGGTGTAAAAAGACCTCTCATTGTAGCCTTGGATTGCATTTTGATTATGGCCAGAGATGTTGATGTTCTTTATATGTGGTTACTGACCATGCATATACATTCTTTGGAAAAATGTCTATTTTAATCTTTGAAACATTTTAAAACTTTGATATTTGTCTTATTATTGAGTTTTATATAAGAACTATTTATGTATTATGGATACAATCCCATATGAGATATATAATTTATAAATATTTCGTCTCGTTCTTGGTGCACTAACATTTTACATTTTTGATGATGGTCTTTGAAGCACACAAATTTTATTTTTAGTGAGTAAAATTTTTGATAATTGATTTTTTCATACTCCAAAGAAAGCAATGCGCAAAATGCCTTGCCCAACCCAGCTACTATCAATTCAGCATTCATAACTACTATTAATAATGTTTTTATGTAAAAGGGGCTTCACCTAAAGGAATACTTTAAAAGTACTTTATCACAAAGAAAATAGAAGGATAATGAATGATAAAGCTACCTTTAAAGAATACAGGAAATAATTGGAAAAGAAACATAAAACAGGTTAGACAAATAGAAAAGAAATATAAAATAAGGTAGTAGATTTAAATGTGAATATACAGATACTTCCATTAAATCTAAACTGACCTGAAAAATAAGACCAAATAATGAGTAAGGACATAAAACAACTGAAGAACACAATTAACAATTGTAATGTTGTAATGTAACATAACACACACACACATATATAACTCATACATATGTATTCTATATATCAACTGGAAGGCATAGTTTTCTAGAGCATGTTGAGTAGGTAATAGTTATTTGAAGTTACATGGGGAGGGTCATAAATCAAGATTCAGTATGTATGAAAAGATTCAATATCATAAAGAGTATAAGATCCAGCCATAGTGAATGTGAGAAATTATAAAAATGATAACTAAAAAATCTTTAAATTTTGAATATTAAATACACTTTAGAATATTTTAAAGTAAAAAAGTAAATCATAATTATGCACACACTTTTATTTCAACAATTCCACTCTCAATTATATAGGAAAATATATGTATAAATTTGTAAGCCTATTGCTATATACAAGAATGTTTATGACAGAATTATTAATAGTGTCCAGAAATTGTTGGCACTCAAATGTCTATTGATTATAAACTAAAAAGATAATCTGTGGTATTCTCAATCAATGAAATACTACACAGCAACAGAATTAAACCAACAACTGCTACATTAAAAAAAAAAGACACTTTGGGAGGCTGAGGCAGGTGGATCACGATGTCAGGAGTTCGAGACAAGCCTGATGAACATGGTGAAAACCTTGTCTCTGCTAAAAATACTAAAATTAGCCAAGCATGGTGGTGCGCACCTGTAATCCCAGCTACTCAGGAGGCTGAGGCAGGAATATTACTTGAACCTGGGAGGTGGAGGTTGCAGTGAGCCGAGATCATGCCACTGCACTCCAGACTAGGTGACAGAGTGAGACTCCATCTCAAAAAAAGGAAAAAAAAAGGAGTATATATTACATAATTAATTTAATTACATAAGCAAGTAAAGCTGAAGTATGACCTTTGAAGTCAGGTTAATACTTAATTGGAGGACAAAAGCAGTGACTAAAATGGTCCAGGAAAAGAGAGTTCTTCTAAGAAGATTCTGATACCCTCTATCATGATCTGAGAGATAGTGGTATCTTCACTTCGAAATAATGTTTAAGATGATCTTACCTTATTGGGCTGTTTCACTTAGCGTATGTACACTTATGTTATGTGTTTTATGCTTAAATGTGTATTTTAGAAGACGTACAATGTATTTTAAGATTATAGGAATCAAATAAGTTCAAAATAAGCACAAAAAGTAGAGGAAATCCTAGGGGTTCTATCATAGTGTGGCCAGGAAAAGCCTCTCTTATTGGTAACATTTAGAGGGTTGCCTCAAAAAGAGATAGAAGCATGCCTTGAGTTGTTGCAAGAAAGAATACTCCAAGTGTGGGTAGAGGGGACGCAATGTGTAAGATGCTAGGACAGGAGCTTAAAGAAAAATATAAGGCCAATGTCCCTAGAAGACCTAGTGTGCATGGGAAAGTGGAGAAGAGCTTGCCAGTGTCTGATAATGCAGGATCCTGAGGACCAAATAACAGAGTTGGATTTTATTCTTGATATGATGAAAAGTCAGGCAAAAGTCTTAATCAGGGGAGTATCACAATCTGACTTTTATTTCAAAAATAATCATTCTGGCTACTGCGTGGGAAACAGTAGGACACAAAGAGTAGAATAGAAGCAGAGCATGTGGCTATGAGGCATTTCACCCACATGACACAATTCCTCTTTAGAAACTTAAAGATGATAATTCTCAAATTGTATTTTAAGGTGTATATCTTTTACCACTTAAAACGGCTCATGATGCTGACCATGATTTTATACGCCTGCTGGAGAACTAAAGGAGTGTAACTGGATATTTCATAACACAAAGATAAATGCTTAAGCAATGGGTAGCCTTTCTTCATGATGTGATTATTTCACACTGCAGCCTGTATCAAAACATCTCATGCACCTCATAGAAAAATACCCCTACTATGTAACCACAAAAACTAAAAATTAAAAGAAAATAAAATTGCTCATATGTTCTCTGCCTCAAATAATTAACTTTCTCACCTGACCCTCCATTGTTACTTTAAAAATATTTGTCAATTATGAAATTCCAATTTAAAAGCCAAACTTTCTATGATGACTCAAATTAAAATACACACATTCTATGTCAATTCTATGACATTTACTTTGAATGATCTGGCACTTTAAAAACCTTTCGTGGACTTGATGTGCTCAGGCAAATTAACTTACCTTCTCTTTTTTTGAGAGGGAAGTCTCACTCTGTCACCAGGCTGGAGTGCAGTGGTGTGATTGTGGCTCACTGCAACTTCCGCCTCTTGGGTTCAAGCGATTCTCCTGCCTCAGCCTCTCAAGTAGCTGGGACTACAGGCACATGCCACCACGCCTGGGTAATCTTTTTTTTTTTTTTTTTTTTTTTTTTCATATTTTTACTGGAGACGGGGTGACGGGGTTTCACCGTGTTAGCCAGGATGGTCTTGATCTCCTGACCTCGTGATCCGCCCGCCTCGACCTCGGAAACTGCTGGGATTGCAGGTGTGAGCCTCCGTGCCTGGCCAAATTAACTTACTTTCAATGTTGATACTTTTCTGCTTATCGTTTAGATATAAAGAGAATGCTATGAAATTATCAAGAATTCATCATGATCAACCAGTGAAGCCCCTTGATCGAGCAGTCTTCTGGATTGAATTTGTCATGCGCCATAAAGGAGCCAAGCACCTTCGGGTTGCAGCCCACGACCTCACCTGGTTCCAGTACCACTCTTTGGATGTGACTGGGTTCCTGCTGGCCTGTGTGGCAACTGTGATATTCATCATCACAAAATGTCTGTTTTGTGTCTGGAAGTTTGTTAGAACAGGAAAGAAGGGGAAAAGAGATTAATTACGTCTGAGGCTGGAAGCTGGGAAACCCAATAAATGAACTCCTTTAGTTTATTACAACAAGAAGACGTTGTGATACAAGAGATTCCTTTCTTCTTGTGACAAAACATCTTTCAAAACTTACCTTGTCAAGTCAAAATTTGTTTTAGTACCTGTTTAACCATTAGAAATATTTCATGTCAAGGAGGAAAACATTAGGGAAAACAAAAATGATATAAAGCCATATGAGGTTATATTGAAATGTATTGAGCTTATATTGAAATTTATTGTTCCAATTCACAGGTTACATGAAAAAAAATTTACTAAGCTTAACTACATGTCACACATTGTACATGGAAACAAGAACATTAAGAAGTCCACTGACAGTATCAGTACTGTTTTGCAAATACTCAGCATACTTTGGATCCATTTCATGCAGGATTGTGTTGTTTTAACTGTTGTTGAGGAAGCTAATAAATAATTAAATTGTATAGAAAGTCTCTTCCTCTTGATATTTTGAGATGATTAGTGCTGCTTGGCTTTTATTGTGCATCGTGCTTCAACGTCATTTTTTTTCCTAAAAGGTATGATAAAAATGCTTACCATTTTAGAGCTTAAGTCATTTCCCAGTGAAAAGTATGTGGAATTAGAAATATAGCAACTCCTACCTGGTTTCTACTACAAAATGAACTAATTTTACAATGCGTTTGGTTTTTTGAGCCAATTCTATTTTTCTGTTCATTTGAAAATATTCATCTTTTTTTATTCTTTGTTTTTTAGGTATTTCAATAGCTTTTGGGTGACAACTGGTTTTTGGTTACATGGATAAGCTCTTTAGTGGTGATTTTTCAGATTTTGGTGCACTCATTACTCAAGAAGTATACACTGTACCCAGTGTGTACTGTTTTATCCCTCACATCCCTCCTACCCTTCCCTCTGAGTTCCAAGAGTCCATTATATCATTCTTATGCCTCTATGTCCTAATAGCTTAGGTCCCCCTTATAAGTGAGAACATACATTGTTTGGTTTTATATTTCTGAATTACTTCACTTAGAATAATGGTCTCCAACTCCATCCAGGTTTATTTTGTCCATTTTGATGGCTGAGTAGTGTATATATATATATATAATATATGTGTGTGTATATATATATATTCCCCAACTAGTGGCTAAAGTAAATGTGATATTTATATATAATATATATTAGATATATATAATTATATATGTATGTGTATATATATATAATTATATATGTATGTGTATACAAACACACACACACACACACACACACACACACACATATATATATATATATATCTCACATTTTCTTTATCCACCCATTGACTGATGGGAATCTAGGCTGGTTCCACAGTTTTGCAATTGTGAATTGTGCTGCTATAAACATGTGTGTATATGGGTCTTTTTCATATAATGACTTATTTTCCTCTAGATAGATGTCCAGCAGTGGAATTGCTGGATCAAATGGCAGTTCTACTTTTAGTTATTTAAGGGATATCCATATTGTTTGCCATAGTGGTTGTACTAGCTTGCATTCCCACCAGCAGTGTAAATGTGTTCCCTTATTACTACCATGCCAACATCTATTATTTTTGGATTTTTAAACTATGGCCATTCACCATTTGTATATCTTCTTTTGTAAATTGTCTATTCATGTCCTTAAGTCACATTTTGAGGGATTATTTGTTTTTGTCTTGCTGATTTGTTTCAGCACTTTGTAGATTGTGGATATTAGTCTTTTGTGGGATGTGTAGTTTGTGAAGATTTTCTCTAACTCTGTGAGTTATCTGTTTACTTTGCTGATTATCTCTTTCGCTGTTCAGAAGCTGTTTAGTGTAATTGAGTTCCATCTATTTAACTTTGTTTTGGTTGCCTTTGCTTTTGGGTTCTTGGTCATGAAGTCTTTGCCTAAACAAATGTCTAGAACAGTTTTTATGATGCTATCTTCTACAATTTTTATACTTCCAGGTCTTAGATTTAATTATTTGATTCATCTTGAGTTGATCTTTGTATAAGGTGAGAGATGAGTATCCAATTTCATTCTTCTACATGTGGCTTGCCAATTATCCCAGCACCATTTGTTGAATAGGTTTTCCTTTCCCCATTTTATGTTTTTGTTTGCTTTGTCAAAGACTAGTTGGCTATAAGTATTTAGTTTTATTTCTGAATTCTCTATTCTGTTTCATTGGTCTACATGCCTGTTTTTATACCAGTACCATGCTGTTTTGTTAACTATAGCCTTGTAGTATAGTTTGAAGTCAGGTAATGTGACACTTCCAGATGTGTGTTTTTTTTGTTGTTGTTGTTTGTTTTTTTGCTTAGTCTTACTTGGGCTATGTGGACATCAAAGCTGAGAATCAAATAAAAACCTCAACCCCTATTAAAGCATCTGCAATAATAATAATAATAATAAAATAAATACTTACAAATATACTTAACCAAGAAGGTGAAAGTTCTCCACAAAGAAGACCACAAAACACTTCTGAAATAAATCATAGATGATGCAAACAAATGGAAACACATCCTGTGTTCATTTGTGGCTTGAATAAATATTGTGAAAAAGACCATACTACCAAAAGCAATCTATAAATTCAATGTAATTTCCATTAAAATACCATCATCTTTATTCACAGAACCAAAAAAAAATTCTAAATTTCTTGTGGGTTCTATTCTCATTTTTCACCTTTAATGACAAATGTTAAGTTCTTAATTTTTGGTTGTAATAATATAGGAATTTCATTATGAAGGGATTAAGTGTATTTTTAATCTTGCTAAACATACATGTACATATACATGTCCATTTTTTTAAAATAAGACACTGCATCATTTAGTTACCTAATAGATAGGTGGTAAAATTCAATGTGTTTATTGAAGACAGTTTGAAATAATAATTATATTCCACATACTATACTTCAAATAATCATCTCTAATTTTTCTCTTTTTCCACAGGGTCTTTTGATCCATTTCTTCTCTAAATATAAAATAGAAGCATGAAATCTTTTAGGATGACAAAAAGTGTACAAAGTATACAATGAGTTTATAAATTTTGTGGAAAATAGCTAAATCAAGCCATAAACCTTCTTTAATATACACATCAGGGAAGCACTTTATGATAAAAGTGGTCCAGATGGACAAAAACTTAGTTGTCTTTGCTGGTAAGAAGCCTTACTATTTACTAATTATCACACAAGTATTCTCCAGTCTAAGGAATGATTTAAATATAAATATTATATATATATATTTCACTACATATGTATATATATTTATATATGTATATATAAATCATGACTATATATATATATATATACACACACACACAGTATAACATTGATGCTAGAGAAATTATAGGAAAAGTTTATAACAGAATATTTCATACAAATCATCCAGGAACTGATACATATATAAAGAAACACAGAACTAATATAGTGCCAAAGGTTAATAATGTTGTTTTATCATGCTTATAAACCTCTGCTTATTTACATTAAACCTATCCTACAACACATGTAACAATAGATTGGTTTCCATTGTTTAGTGACAACTACAAAACAACAACCAAAAAAGACAAACAAATCTAATAAAAAGTTGATGAAAGTATGAATAGGTAATTCAAAGTAAAAATGGCAAATAACATATCAAAGATGATAAAGTTACTGATGCTCAATTAAATAGAAATAATGCCAATAAATTATTGCTATAAAAACCTCAAATAGAAGAGTCAGCATAACATGGTGGTTAAGAGCTGGCACTCTGAATTCAGGTCACCTTGATTCAAATCTCTGAGAAATCACTAAATAATGGTGTGGGTTGGACAAGGTATTTAAACTTTATTTGCTTCAGCTTTCTCACCAATGAAATGGCAATGTTGGTCACAGTATTATCTACCTCAGGGGTTGCTGAAAGAAGGGATTCACTAATATTGTAAAGTACTAGAAACAATTTTGTATACATCAAAATAAAATTTGCACTCTTATAATTAAATAAAAAAATTTCCACAACAAGTTTACTGTTCATAAAATTGCGTAGTACAGGCTAGGCATGGTGGCTCACACCTGTAATTCCAGCACTTTGAGAGACCAAAGTTGGTGCATCACAAGGTCAAGAGGTCAAGAACATCCTGGCCAACATAGTGAAACCCCATCCTTACTAAAAATACAAAAATTAGGTGCGCATGCTGGAGTGTGCCTGCAGTCCTAGCTACTCAGGAGGCTGAGACAGGAGAATCGCTTGAACCCCAGGAGTCGAAGGTTGCAGTGAGCTGAGATCACGCCACTGCACTCTAGCCTGGTGACAGAGTGAGACTCTGTCAAGAAAAAAAAAAAAAAAAAGTAAACCAACAGATACACAAAAAACATAGTACCATTTGAAAACATGATGTGTTTGTAATGTAAATAATAAAAATGACATAATTTACTATTTCAAATATGTGGGAATTAAATTTATAGCATAAAACAAGGGCTAACAAACTATGGCCTTTTGGTCAAATCTGGCCATCCACTTGTGTTCTTTTTTAAATAATTGGTTAAAAATTTTTATGCCACAAAATTAAACACTTTAACCATTTAATGTGTACAATTCATTGGCGTTTAATATATTTGCAATATTTTGCCACTACCACCACTCTCTAGATCCAAAGTATTTTGTCACTTCAAAAGGAAGCTTTATACCCATTAGACAGTCATCTCGCATTCTCCCATCCTCCATCTCCTGCAA
This sequence comes from Homo sapiens, assembly GCF_000001405.40. Classification (NCBI taxonomy): domain Eukaryota; kingdom Metazoa; phylum Chordata; class Mammalia; order Primates; family Hominidae; genus Homo; species Homo sapiens. The sequence continues at coordinate 69,475,928 of NC_000004.12, read as the reverse complement.
CCTGGCATTATCTGTTGGCATCATTCTATAGCCTAGTAGATAATGTTTTTTTAAAGGCAAATAGGTACATAACTTCAACAAAGTGTTTTATTTTTCCTTATTTTTACATCTCCTATTTGTTCCTAAATGAAAATTCTGTGATGTATAAGAATTAGTTATTATTTCCTAGTTGCTCTGTTATTACATATATTCAGCAGTGTTGTGATTTATATTGTTACAGTTTCTGTCCAATTTTGTATTGAAGTCTGTCCCTTGAGAATTGCAATAAACCAAGCTCTGATGGAGGTGAGGAAGTGAAATTCAGATGTGTGTGTCAGGTAAAATACAATGAAATGTAAAATAAAACCAAAATGCATGAAATAGAAGAAATGTATTACAGTTCCTAGAGATATTAAGGATAATGACATAAAACGGACAGAAAATTCAGAAGTGGCAGAGAGCTCAACCAGCTGCCTGGAAGTGATAGAGAGAATCCCTGTGTGGGGGGCTGTGGGGGTGCTTTTCTTAAGGTCTATGAGCATTATTTCCTAGTCTTGTCTGCCGGAGTTGTGGAGTGGCTATCTTAAGAAAACACACATGAAGAGGGAAAATTATTATTTGATTCTGGTGTTGACCATTAGGTTATCTCATGGTAATCAGCTCTGTGGTATGTTGCATTTCTGGGTCAGTGGGATGAGAAACAAGTGTACTCTGTCACAAACAACTACACAAGGAAGGGAAGTTTCACAAAGCCAAAAGTGACAGGCTATGACTTGCTCTTAAACAACTCAAGTTAAGTCTAAAAATGGATGTGGAATCAATAACTATATTCAACAAATGTATGACAAGAAGGTAGAAAAGGGATGGATCCAGCAGGACCCAGGAGACAGCCCAAAGACTGTGAGTGCCCAAACTGTGAAAGTGGGAAAGGAGATCATCTGCCTTTGAACACACACCCTTACCAGGAAACCTAAAGTTTCAGACCACAGAAGTTGACCTGACCTGGAGCTGAGTCAATTAGAGAGCAGAGTGAAATACAGGGGTACAGGAAGCAGCGGGAAAAGCCCTGTGGATTCTCTGGGTTTCCAGGGAAGCCATTTCTGTCTTGTCTCACAGGGGTCCTTGGGGAGGGCTGCCAGAGGAACTGGGAAAAGACCACAGGGAGAAGGAAACCTCCAGCTGAACTTTGCAACAATTCCAATAGAATGCAAAATCTCCTGGTCAGAACTCCAGAGAGTATGTGAATTGGTGTGTAGACTCAACAGGTGGGGAGGTGTGAACACCCTGCTTGCTTTCTCAGCTGGGAGGCTGGTAGCCTGGAGCAAGCTCTCAGCCCTGCTCACCCATTGACTAGAAATAAAGTTGGTGCTGTTGGTAAGCGCATGGTGGAAGTGAGACCGGTCTATTGGGTTGCATGGGTGCTGGGTGAGGCCTGTAACTGTCAGCTTTCCCCCACTTTCCTGACAACCTGCATGACATAGCAGAGGAAGCCATAATCCTTCTGGGATTATAACTCTATTGACCTGGGAACCACACCCCCAACACCCACAGCAGCTACTACATCAAGGGAACACCCTATGAGACAAAAGAATCTGAACAGCAGCCTTGAGCCCTAGATCTTCCATCTGACATAGTCTACCCAAAAGAGAAGAAACCAGAAAAACAATTCTGGTAATATGACAAAACAAGGTTCTTTACCACCCTCAAAAATCACACTAGCTCACCAGCAATGGATATAAACCAAAAAGAAATCCTACCTGTTGTATTAGTGTGGCCTGGAAATGGGACATGGAGTTAAAGGAAATTATTTTGGAGGTTTAAAATTTAATGACTTCCCTGCAGGGTTTCGCACCTGCATGGGGCCTGTAGCTTCTTTGTTTTGGCAAATTTCTCCCTTTTGGAAGAGGAGCATTGATGCAATGGATGTACGCTAATGACATCTTGAAATTAACTAACTTGTTTTTAATTTTACATGTCATAAGTGGAAGGGCCTTACTTTGTCTCAGATGAGACTTTGGACTGTTGACTTTTGAGTTAATGCTGAAATGAGTTAAGACTGGAGATTGTTTGGAAGGGATAATGATATTTTGCAATATGAGGAGAACATGAGATTTGGGAGGGGACAGGGGCAGAATAATAAGGTTTGGATTTTTGTTCCCACCCAAAATACATGTCGAATTGAAGGAGTGGCCTGGTGGGAGGTGACTGGATCATGGGAGCTGATTTCTCCCTTGCTGATCCCTGATCCCATGATAGTGAATAAGTTCTCATGAGATATAATGGTTTAAAACTGTGTGGCTCTTACCCTTTCACTCCTACTCTCCTGACACCATGAGAAGATGGTTCTAATTTCTCCTTTGCCTTCTGTCATGATTGTTAAGTTTCCTCCAGCCTCCCAGTCATGCTTCCTGTTAAGCCTGCACTACTGTGAGTCAATTAAACCTTTTTCCTTCATAAGTTATAGTCTCAAGTAGTTCTTTAAAGCAGTGTAAAAACAGACTAATAGAAAGAGTATCTGCAAAAAAAAAAAAAAAAAAAAGCTAATGGCACACTTAATAGAAAAGCCTAAATGATTTTTTTTTCCTAAGGTAAAGAACAAGAGAAAGAAATCAACTCTCTTCACTTTCATTCAAAATTGATTTGGAGATTTTGGCAAGACCATTAGGCAAAAACATAAAATAAATCAAATCCATATTGGAAAGGAAGATAATAAAACTATCTTTATTGGTATATGGAATGATCTTATATACAGAACATCTTAATGAATCCACTATAAAAGTATTTGCTCAAAAAAAAACAAAAATTTTAGGACATAAGATCAATATATTAAAATTATTTGTATTTCCACATAATTGCAATAAATTATTCTATATGATATTAAGAATACAATTTTACATAAAATACCATCAGAAAGAATAAAATACTTAGGATAACTTTAACAAAAGAAATACAAAATGTAAATTGTGAAAATTACTAAAAATTGTGGAAAGAAATTAAAGATCTAAATGAATGAAAACATATCTCATATTCCTGATTTGAAAAACATTATAGTAGCATTGCCTTTATTTGCCAAATTGATACATAGATTGAACCTATCAAGACCCTGTCATGGCCCCATCAAGACTTCAGTTGGTTTCTTAGCATACACTCACAAGCTGATTCTAAAATTCATATAGATATATAAGAAATCTAAATATAACCAAAGCCATTTTGGCAAAAAAGAACAAAGCTAGAAAACATAAAACAAATCTACAGTAATCAAGACAGTAGGGTACAGGTATACAGTGAGACACATGCACCATTTGAAAAGACTTCAGAATCCAGAAATACAGCCACACATAGGGTCAACTGATTTTTGACAAGAATGTCATTGTATAGACAATGATGAAAGTATAGCCTCTTTAACAAATGCCAATGAGCAAACTGATTATTTATGTGCAACAGAATGAAATTGAACTTCTTCCCTCAAACCATACACAAAAATGAACTCAAACTATATCAAAACCTAAATATAAGAGCTAGAATTATAAAAATTTTAGGAGAAAGAATATGAGTATAACTTTGTAACCTTGAATGTGTCAAGGTTTTTAGATATGACACCAAAAACAGAAGAGACAAAATTAAAATTGATAAATTGGACTACATCAAAATCAAAACTTTTGCACATCAAATAACACGTGGCACAATCTCTGCTTATTGCAGCCTAGACCTCCTGGGCTCAAGGAATCCTCCCACCTCAGCTTCCCAAGTAGCTGGGACTACAGCCACGCACCACCATTCATGGCTAATTTTTGTTTTTTGTTTTTGTTTTTGTTTTTGTTTTTGTTTTTGTTTTTGTTTTTGTTTTTGTAGAGACAGGATTTCACCATGTTGCCCAGGCTGGTCTTGAACCACTGGGCTCAAGTGATCTACCTGCCTTAGCCTCCCAAAGTACTTGGACTATGGGTGTGAACCACCATGCCCCTCCATTGAATTGTCACTTTTAATATGTAAATTGTTATTATATATGTATAATAATACATATATAATATGTAAATTGTATGTGTACAAATTTTTTACACACAGAATGAATCTTGAACCATGATATCGAATAACTGCTGATTCAGCTGTATAATTACTTTATTTCCAGTTCTGTGTCAAGAAGACTGCAGGCAAGGAAGCTGCACACTTCCCACTGGTCTTGCCACTTAAAATCCTCTTACATGACTTAGGTTTCTAGCATATTCAAGTTTAACTTCTACTGGGGGGTAAACCACTTTTAACAATTTAAGAGACATTAACATGCTCTTGTAAGCATGAGGCCATCTACCTTTTCTTTATCCATTTGCCATCCAAAAACTGTGATTGTTCATATAATGTATTTACTTTGACATTGCTATGGTTTGAATGTATTCCTTCCAAAATTCAGGTGTTGCCAATGGGACAGATTAAGACTAGGGGCCTCAGAGAAGTGATACTGCATTCCTTGTGAATTTTAATGGCGGTCCATATAAAAGAGCTTCATGGCAGTGCGCGGTGGCTCACACCTGTAATCCCAGCATTTTGGGGGTGGGTGGATCACCTGAGGTCAGGAGTTCGAGACCAGCCTGGCCAATATGGTGAAACCCCATCTCTACTAAAAATACAAAAAAAAATAGCTGGGCATGGTCGTGGGCACCTGTAATCCTAGCTACTCAGAAGACTGAGGCAGGGGAATCACCTGAACCTGGGAGGTGGAGGTTGCAGTGAACCAAGATCGCAGCATTGCACTCCAGCCTGGGCAAGAAGAGAAAAACTACGTTACCAAAAAAAAAAAAAGAAAAAAGTCTTCATGCAGCATTCAGCGGGCTTGCTATTCTGCTTTTCTACCATGTGAGGCTGCAGTGTTGGTTACTTTTGCCCTTCCACTTTCCACCATGTGAGGATGCAGCAAAAAGGCCCTCTGTAGATGCTAGTACCTTGGTCTTGCATTTCTCTGCCTCCCGAACTGTGAGAGATCAATTTCTGTTTTTTGCAAACTATCCAGACTCTGGTATCTTGTTGTAACCAGAAAAACTGTTAAATACAGATGTGAAAAGGTTTTATTTTAAGTTCTTGATGATTTCTCCTTAGATATAAGCAACAGCAATGGCATAGAGAAGAGTAGTTCAAAGAGATGCATTGCATTTAACCAGAGTGTCTATGAAATGGACTTTGGTTTTGCTCCCCCTACAGTTGAGTTGAGTTGTTACTTTAGCTAGTGGAGTTGTGGGAAGGTGCTGGTGGAAGAAAGACATTGGTCAATGTTAAGTGAGCACTGGATGAATTTGTCCAGAAAGGTCATGAGGTGACTGTCCTAGAGCTTTATCTTTCATTTTCTTTGATCTTGACAAACCATCTAGTATTAAATTTAAACTTTTTCTACATATTGCACTACTAAAGACAAATTGTAGAAAGTTTTTACAGGATCAATCAATGCACAGATAAAAGGTGTGCCCAAAGATACATTTGAACGTATTTTCCACTACTGCAGAAAAACTCATGGGCATATGCTTGATTAAAAAAAACAAAACAAAACAAAACAAAACAAAACATCCAACACAGACACACACACACACAAAACCTCAGCTGAATTAAATGTAAAGGAGTTTAGTTGAACAATAAATATTTCACGATTCAGGCAGCTCCCAGAATCACAGCAGATTCACAGAGACTCTAGCACAGCCACATCATGGAAAAAGATTTTTAGATCCAAAAAGGGAAATGATGTACAGAAATTGGAAGTCAGGTACAGAATGGCTGGACTGGTTAAAGGTTGAACACTCAGCAGCGTATGAATGATTGAAGTGTGGCCTCTGGGATTGACAAGACTCAGTTATTTTTATAGGTGCATATTCCTAAGTTAGGTTTTTGATCTTGTCTACCTGTTAAGCTAGGTTGCAGTTTGTCCACAAGGACTCAAATATAAAAGCATGGAGTCCTTCTCAGTCTATATTTAGTTCACTTTAACAATTCCCCTTTTTGGTCATTTTCTCAATTATGAGAGATTGACCAAAACTTTAGTTATTGATGTCACTCTCACCATTGTAAATGTATTTATTTGGTCTTGAAACCCACTGGGAAACAGAGAACAGTGAGTTACTCAAAGTTAGGAAAAAGGAATGAGTAAAGGGTACATTTTTATGCTGGAACATCGTGTTTAAAGGAGAAAAACAAAACCTGGTCTGTTCTAGGATCTGTGTTTCCTTAACGTCTTAGTTTAATTGTATCACATTTAGCACAAGTGACTCTCCATTTTAGTTTGGTTTGGTCTGTTGGGGCCTAGGACAAGAGCTTAGTTCAAAATAATGGTTTCCCATAATTTTGTTAAAAAAAATTCCCCTTTTGGTCAGGTTGTCTGTTAGGTGAGAGTGTGACCAAAACATAGGGCTTAGCACCACTCTCTACCATCATTTTGGGTTTCTGGTCTCAGTACGATATTGAAAGGTTATGAGATCCTCATGGTTGCACATTTCTTTTGGCTCTTGTCATTCCAATTGAAGAGAGACCAGACTAAACTGCCAATATTCTATGCTTTTAAACTTTACCTAAAGTAACCTTACAGGTTCTCTGAAAAAGAAAAATTTAAGATAGTTCGTGGAGGAAAGAGAATTAAAAGTGGCTAAGGTCACCCAAATATCAATCAGAAAGGCTCATCCCCTAAGCTAGGGATTAAACCCTGAATCTAGGCTGCCATTGTGAATAGAGAAACATGGCCACATGGTTACAAGGTCAAGCTCCCAAGGACCTAACTGACCAGTGTGCTAAGCCACCTTGTACAGCAGGCTTAGAAGGTTTTAGGCATGCATTTTTTCCTAAGGTACCCATCTTTATGAAAGAATAATACAGAAAGACACAAAAAGCACACCAGATTCACTACAGCTTAAGACCAACCTCAGAATTCTTTTTTTTTGTATTAATTAAAACGTCACAGAGGAGATAAACAGTGATTTTTACCATTCATTTAACCAGTTTGCACAGAGAAAAAGAGGGAGAATAGCCAGAAATCTGACTGCTAATAAATTATTATTACCCTTTTGCCAGTGATACAGGAGTTATTAAGAAATCATTTTTAGGAAGATAGTAAGGGTAAAGGTTCTCAGTGGAAACTTTCCTTTAATAAGAAACAACTCTCAGGCCAGGCACGATGGCTCACGCCTATAATCCCAGCACTTTGGGAGGCCGAGACGGGTGGATCACAAGGTCAGGATTTTGAGACCAACCTGGCCAATACGGTGAAACCCCGTCTCTACCAAAAATACAAAAATTAGCCTGACATGGTGGCAGGCAACTATAGTCCCAGGTACTGTGGAGGCTGAGGCAGGAGAATCTCTTGAACCCCAGAGGTGGAAGTTGCAGTGAGCCAAGATCGGGCCACTGCACTACTACACCCTGGGAGACAGAGCGAAAATCCTCCAAAAACGGACAAACAAACAAAAAACAAACAAAAAAAACCCAAACAACCCCCAAACTATCTCTTTCCTTTTTTCTTTTTTTTTGACACAAAGTCTCACTCTGTCACCCAGGATGGAGTGCAGTAGCACTATCTCCACCTCCCGGCTCCAAGCTATTCTTCTGCCTTAGCCACCTGAGTAGCTGGGACTACAGGTGCTTGCCGCCATACCCACCTAATTTTTGTGTTTTTAGTAGAGACGGGGTTTCATCATCTTGGCCAGGCTGGTCTCAAACTCCTGACCTTGTGATCTGCTGTCCTCAGCCTCCCAAAGTCCTGGGATTACAGGCATAAGCCACCTCACTAGGCCAAACCATCTCTTTTCTAACAGAAAAGGTGGCTTAAGGGGCTGGGCTGGCAAGCTTTGATATGCAAATGCCAACCATTAGAAACTGGATTCACTCAACAGGGTGATTCTCATAGTCTTTTTCTTGTCACCACGTGTAGGAAGTGTCACGGCCACCTCCAGATAACACCTTGTGTTTGGAACATCATGGTGAACTGCATTTGCATATTAAAGCCCTACGGTGGGAGGGCCAGGTTTTTCACAGGCTACATAAATGAATACCTGGTCAAACCAATCCCCTGGGCAGTATGGAAACCAGACACCACCTTTTCCAGCATCCCAACGTAAGTAGTCACATGTCCACCACACACAGGATTTTCTCTTTGTTCGAATTGCCCCTCCTTCTGTCTCTTAAGAGGTGAGCTGTTTTCTTCTTCCTTCCTTTTTTCTCACCTGTTAAACTTTTCAGTCCTTAAAAACACTCCACATTTGTCCGTGTGTTTTTATCTAAACTGGCACAAGACCAAGCACCCTGGTGTTACTCCAGTCATCAAAGCTGTGTCACCAGTATGTCAGACTTCCAGATTTTCTTTCCCTGAGTGGTCCTGGTAACCCAGCTTACCACATGATCACCCTGGGGGCCAAGCTGCATCATAAAAGAAAATTACCTTTTATCACTCTGGTCAAAGCAAAATATATGTGATAAAACACAGACATTAGCCACTCTGCATATCACCCAATATCAAACTGTCAAGACTTAAATTTGCCCCCAGATGAGCCCTTTTATCTTTAATCCAACCTCTGACTAGGAGTTTCAACAACTAGTCTCTTGGCAAGAGGGCTGCCCTGAGTAATAGAAAAGATAGGAAGGGAAAAGCAGAGACAGAAAACTACTGCCTGTAGCAGGGTGGGAAGGTAAAGAGTTCAAGGAGGCCACAGCTAGACCCACCCATTGCAGCTGACAATGAATCAAAAGTTTAGGTAGCTACTCTTCAGTCATGAGGGGATTTTTTTCCAGTGGTTCTGAGAGGTGAAGCCAGCTGGACTTCCTGGGTTGAGTAGGGACGTGGAGAACTTTTCTGTCTAGCTAAAGGGTTGTAAACACACCAATCAGCACTCTGTGTATAGCTAAAGGTTTGTAAATGCACCAATCAGCACTCTGTAAAAACGCACCAATAGGCGCTCTGTGTCTAGCTAAAGGTTTTTAAGTGCATCAATCAGCACTCTGTAAAAATGCACCAATCAGTGCCCTGTGTCTAGCTAAAGGTTTGTAAATGCACCAATCAGTACTCTGTAAAAACGCACCAATCAGTGCTCTGTGTCTAGCTAAAGGTTTGTAAACACATCAATCAGCACTCTGTAAAAACGGATCAATCAGCACTCTGTAAAATGGACCAATCAGTGCTCTGTAAAATGGACCAATCAGCAGGGTGTGGGCAGGGCCAAATAAGGGAATAAAAGCTGGCCACCTGAGCCAGCAGTGACAACCTGCTCAGGTCCCTTCCACACAGTGGAAGCTTTGTTCTTCTGCTCTTCACAGTAAATCTTGCTGCTGCTCACTCTTTGGGTCTGCATTACCTTTATGAGCTGTAACACTCACTGTGAAGGTTTGGGGCTTCACTCCTGAAGTCAGCAAGACCACGAACCCACCGGGAGGAACAAACAATTGCAGACACGCCACCTCTAAGAGCTGTAACACTCAATGCGAAGGGCTGCGGCTTCACTCCTGAAGTCAAGGGAGACCATGAACCCAATGGAAGGAAGAAACTCTGGACATATGAACATCTGAGGGAACAAACTCCGGACACACCATCTTTAAAAACTGTAACACTCACCACAAGGGTCTGTGGCTTCATTGTTGAAGTCAGTGAGACCAAGAATCCACTGGAAGGAACGAACTGTGGACACAGTTCCATCAGCTATCAAGTTTCCCGTTTTGGGGAGGAAAAAGCTCCCCGTGTCCCATGGTTTTGTACATGCCTAATCCTGTCACCCATAGCAGTCAGCAATAAATGTAAGACAGATTAATCCAACGAAAATAGCAGTTAACATCCCATAGTGTCAAACCAGTTCTCAGCCAAAAGGGACTTTACTGAGAGCCCTCATTTTTAAATGTACTTCAAGGCATTTTTGTTCATTCAGAACATTCCACTGTAAGTTACCTTTAGTAAGGGTTCGTCATTTCTGGAAGACTTTGCTGCTTCCCAGGCATCATGTATAAGCAGGAAAGAACTTAAGGATCCCATTTTTATCTGAAATATTGGCTTTACTCTCCAATTCTCTTGATTAACTTAGCCAGTGGTTTTTTTCCTACCTAAGCATGCAAGAAAAATAAAGCAAAGGGTGTAACACAAAAATCTCTGTAAATTTTCCAAGCCAAATTTTATAACCCCTGCCATATAACTGCTTAACTAGTTCCTTTCTGCCCCAGTCAGATATAAGAGGCCTCTAAGTATATCCAAGCCAGTAAATTCCCAGATCAAATCCATTTCTGTCACAGTTTCCAAACCCAGTTTGGATCAGGAATTTTTTTAAAGAAACTTGGAGAACTCAAAACACAAATCTGTGGAGTTCCAAAATCCCAGAGAGCTTAACCACAATCCCCAGCCACTCTGGAGATCAATGGACACAAGTGGGCCCTGCAAGTACTTTGCTTGTTCACTAAAAGCTCCTGGGGGTCTCTAGAAGCTCCACTTCAGATCCTGCTTCTGATGTCATCTGATAAACTAAAAACTTCAACCAAATTAAATTTAAAGAAGTTTAACTGAGCAATGAACAATTCAAGAATTGGGCAGCCCCTAGAATCACAGCAGATTCAGGGAGGCTCCAGCACAGCCACGTGGTGGAAGAAGATTTATAGACAAAAAAGGGAAATGATGTACAGAAATAGGAAGTTAGGTACACAACAGCTGGATTGGTTAGAGGTTGGCGTTGGCCTTATTTGAACAAAGTTTGAACACTTAACAGTGTATGAATGATTGAAGTATGGCCGCTGAGATTGGCCAAGACTCAGTTATTGTTACAGGCACATACTCCTAAGTTAGGTTTTCAGTTTTGTCTACCTATTAAGGTAGGTGGCAATTCATCCACAAGGACTCAAATATAAAAGTACAAAGTCCTCGGGCCATATTTAGTTCACTTTAGCATGCTGATTGTTATGAAAATCTTCGTAAAAATTTGGTTTTGAACAAGAAACTTATGAAAAAACTACAAAAGTCATTGTTTGATGTACTTCTTGCACATGCCATCAGTCCCTGTGGTGAGATGCTGGCTGAGCTACTTAAATCATCCTTTCTTTACAGTTTCTGCCTCTTTCCTGGTTACGTATTGGAGAAGTACAGTGGAGGACTGCAATTCCCTCCTTTCCACATGCCTGTTGTTCTGTCAGAATTAGGGAACCAAGTGTAACATATATGGAGAACGCAAAATGTATATGTAATTTATTTTGACTTTTGGTTCCAAACATTTAATGAGAAGAAGTGGGATCAGTTTTACAGTAAAGAACTATGTATGTTCTTAATTGATAGTATAAAGTTCTAACTTTCACGATGCCTTTGAAGATAAAGTTATATAAATATAAAATCAGAAAATTGTGTTTTATAGGCGAAATGATGAAATAAAAAGACAAAATGATTATTTTCCAAACATTATGGAACGGCTGATGTTATATGATCCATTAGAATCCTGTGGCCATCACTCACACAGGACACTCTAGAACGTTATACAACTATGAATTGAAGCAATATGGATGTCTGTGAGCAATTAGATATACAATTTACCATACATTTATTTTCATCTCATAAAAATTCAGCAGACATCTCCCTAATTTTTTGATAAAGATATAAATTCATGAGGGACACATATATTTGTAGCACTTCTATCTATGTAGCGCTGAGGAAACTGTTTTACCTTGTGTACCTCAGTCTCCTTATTGAAAATGAAAATATGTATTTCATATTACTTAAAGGATTATTTCACTGGTAAATAATATATTATCTCTTTCTGATACTCAAAAACCTCTAATAATAGTACAATTTGAGGTTTAGAATAGTCACACATTTTTTATTAAGTCCTAACAAATCTATCGCAAAAATAACGGATGTAAATGTAAACAATTATATTAGCTCTAGAATCAAGTAATCTTAACATCAGGAAACAGCCTTCCCAGGAGTACTCAGTCTATGTTTCTACTATTTAGCAAGCACGTCTTTGAATCTTTGTTTTTCAAGATAGCAGAAATTCAGACATTCTCTCAAAAACATTTCATTCCCTTGGGAAACCAAGGTTTAAAGACATGCTTGGAAACCAAGGTTTAAAGACATGCTTGTTAAATAGTAGAAACATAGACTGAGTACTCCTGGGAAAGCTGTTTCCTGATGTTAAGATTACTTGATTCTAGAGCTAATATAATTGTTTACATTTACATCTGTTATTTTTGCATCTTTTGAGAGAAAAACAATACATGTTCAATTCTATGGTGGGTTATTTCAATAACTATTTACGGTTGTGAATACACCTATGTAATGTTACAGACGTAGTCTCCTCTCACTGTACCTTTTATAAATATGTGTGTGTTTATGTGTGTGTATATATACATAATATAAACAACACAAATTATTCATGTAAGTTATATTATGGCTAAATAAGTATATTTGTTTTATCAATTATTAGACATTTTATACATCATTGACTGCATTATTCCAACTCCTTTTAGAAATTACAAAGTATATTCACATGAAAATTCTAGTAATATTTTGTTTTTTATTTTACTCATTCTGGGAGACCCACTACATTATCTGAGACAAAGGGGAAAGCAGAAATATGGTTCATTTGAACCCAACGGTATTTAGTACTTCCTCACCGAAACTTACCAAATTTTGATTTTGTTGAAGGGCCCTATTACAAACCTGCTAATCCCCTGTCTAAGACCAATATATTTATGTTTACTCTGCCGTGTTTCCTTTGCATTTTCAGTGAGGATGACGCTGCATTCATTCTTCAGAGTTTTGGCTTGCAGTGAGATTTGGGAAATGAGGTAAAGTAATCTGCCAATTTGAAACTCATATATTTTTATACCATCACAAATGTCTGAATTTTGTTATCATTACAGAACAAAGTGGTATGCCTTTGAGACATTAGCAATAGGGTTACTTAAACTAAGGCCTTCATTATTCAACATATAAGACAGTATAAGTCATTCCCTCAAAAACTACTTATAAAATGATTGAAATACACCAGAGGTAACTGCTGGATTTGCAGATAAACAAATTTAGGCACAGTTTCTCCTCCCATACACTTTAAGTTCTATTTGGAATGACAGAAGAAAAAAACATGCCATAAAAATTGCATGAAAAAGATTTTAAAAAGGAAAGACCACAATGCTAGGGAAATTTTCAATGGGGATAATAGAGAGTAAACCAACAACGTTGATAATAAAAGCAAAACCTGAATGATGTACAGAAATAGGTGAAGAGATGAAGGGAAAAGGAAGACATGGAAAGAAAGCAGTAGAGTAGTAATGACAGGTTAGTTCCCAACACTCCAAGTTTTGTCTGGCAGGAAGAAGTTGAATACAGAGGTAGATTTCTCTAGAGAGGTAATTTGGAGTCAGATATTCCGCCAAGGGCGTTGGAGAGCCAGAGAAAAAAGTTGAGCTAGGAAGGTATATTATTAAACTTCCTTAAAGAAGAAGGAAGAAAAACCATTTAAGATGCAGTGCCTAGATTGACTTGCAGAAGGGGCAAACCTATGGAAAGAAGAAGCATTTAAGACATGCAAAATGTACACCGTCCGTTGCAATAAGATAAAAAGGATGAAATGCTGAAATTGTCTTTCAAGGATTGAAACTCTTCACCAGCATTCTAACTTAAAAGGTACACTAGTTCTCAACAGTGTAAATGTGTTGCCCTACCAATAATTGCAGCCATATCCAATGTTGACTTGCCCTCACCCCATAATTAAATTATCGTCCGAGATCACAGAGTTGTACATCTTATAGAATAAAAGTGATGGTTTACCTTATCAGAGCTGGTGATTTATGCTATATGCCAAACCTATAAAACACTTCAGTAAAGCTTCCTTGGAAAATGTGGGTCTTGACATCATACCTGCCTGACAGGGAAACACAGAGAAAATGTACACTGCATAAATTATAAAGATCAAATAATTTTACCACTTGTATCTGAAAACTGTCCTGAGTTTCAAATTCCAAAATAATTCTGTCAGCATATAGGATAATATTTCTTAGAAAGGAACATAAGAAAATAAATTTAAATATTTCAAATTCATATCACATTTTTAAGATATGTAGAAATCAATAAATCTTTACTATCCTGTTATATGATCTTCTAAAAAATTCTTTTGGTCTACCTGTATATTAGCAGTGACATAAAACTGAAATGTTTTTAAATTGTTGAAATCTTGTATCTATTTTGACTGTATACTGTTTAGGCTATGTATGGTATGATGACTTTCACTGGTCCAAAGTCTGAGGTTGTATTAGTGAATGTTCTATGTAATATATCCTTATACTTGAATGATTTCCCAATTCATACAAAGGGAAAATGACGGTGCCAGTAGGAGGAGCAGAAAGAGGTTGAGGAAAAAGAAGGTAAGGAGAAGGATGAATAGCACTTTAATGATGATAAATAGTTGAACCCAAGTCAAAGATTGTGAAGTCTGTCTTCTTATTCTATGTTAAAAATATTTTTGCATGTCAAAATTACTTGCTTTTCCATTAAACATTCAATGCTCAGATAATTTTTTCCTTTCTTATAAAAGAAAATGGCATTTGGCAAATTGCATCTAGAGTGTTAAAAATACTTATACTTTTTGGATATATAAGATATCATATAAAACTATACAGAGAAAAAAGAGAAGCAAAATTAACACTTATAGCAGTTATTTACAAAAATAAACATTGGAAGTATCCTAAATACCCAATATTAAGAAATAATAAATAGCATATACATATCACAATATTACAATTGTTTTATCAAAGTATCTTTGATAACACTAAAACAGCCATTATCGATGTTTAATTGGAAACAGAGCAGCAAAGAAAATAAATATAAGATCACCTTGTTCTTGTAGAATAATACAAGAAATATATGGTGGGTTACAATTTTCTAAATGTATACAAAATAATATACATTTAGTTATAGGAATAAAGACTAGAATAAAAGCATAAAGTGTTAAACAGGGTATCTGTGTATGGAGTGACTCTTACTTTTTCATTCTCTTTCAATTTTCTTACAACACGCTTGCATAATTTTCATAAGGATATCACAGAAAGAGAATGAACTTTCCATGTTAGTTATTAACCTTCAAACAGAGATGACATACTGCAACACTGTAAGTTCCACCCCTAAAAGGTTTTAGGCAGGAAACCATTGAGATGAAACGTTGAACACAGGTTACTTTATATGTTGCCACAAGTAACTGGAATCATACAGAATACTTGTTTTATGTGGTTGATATAATTAGTATAGTGACCTTCATTTTGAAACTAATGTCATAAGGTTAAAGTCACACTTTTGAAGAATGCTCTGGACAATACATATTTGGCACAGTGAAAGGCTGAATGGTTTTTCCTTTTATCTTTTTCCTTTGAAAAATTGTTTTTAAAGTAAGCTTTACATCCATGATTTATATCAGAAAGTACACTTTTTATGTTCAAAGGGTTTGATCATTATTTTACAGAAAGTAAAGTTAAATGGTGAATGTAAAACACAAGGAATAACAAAAAAGTGAGTATACAGTTTTGACAGGAGAACAAGGAAACTTTGGCTTCTCCATATTTCTTTTTTGGTGGGAAAGTACATCAAGTAACATGGGAATTACTCGTTTACAGAAAGAAATTGAATTTTAAAACTCGTAAGTAGAAGGGATCACAAGTAAGAATAATTCTCAAACAAATCCAGGAAAACAAGTCTTTAGCAGGAGTTTTCTGAAGCGTGAAGTGAGCTGCTCAAGAGAGTGACCGGATCTTTTCTGGAGAAAAGCCTGGTGGACCTCTCCCACTGAAGTGTGCATGTGCATCCTCCGCATAGGACATGGTGAGGTGATGATGAGAGTCCCTCGAAGCCAGTTGTACATAACACATTCCATGAGGGTGCCAATTTTACAGTAAGATATCAGAGTAACAGGTGTCACCCATAAACAAACCCAGAAATATGTAACTATACATGTTTACTTATGGATTATCAGTAGGATTTTGAGGATGAGTTCACAGAAATTCAAAACCATACACCAGTCAAAACCATGCACCAGGCTTCGGGATGTCAGCAATTCTTACCTTATGTGATGAAGGAGTGATTTAGAAGGAAGGTTTGGGAAATTCTGACAAATTTTAAGATAGGTTAGAAATAATTATACAGTTGAGAGAAATATATAATATCTTCCCAATCATAAGTGACTTTTCCTTAGTAGCATAATCAAGGAAATGAAATTATAATGACTACATTAAAGTAATGATTTAGAAAACCTCCCTGAAATAAAAACAAGTTACTTAGGAGAACAATAACAATATAAAATTAAAGAGAAGTAAACAGTGGTAGTCTTCCTAAGAATCTATATTAGTGATTACAAGAGCTTGGTTCCCATATTTTTAACTGTATCTTTCCCTCACTACTGTGTAAAGATACTAATTTATTTCTTACTTTACATACTTAATCAAATACATACACACACACACGCACATGCACACACTTACATAACTACAGATTAATAATAGAGAAAATTGATGTTGTATAACATAAGTCTTTCCAAAGGAACTGAGCGATGTCGTATTTAAAAAACTGGCACTACTAGAAGTCAGTATGGAGGTTTCTCAAAAAATGTTAAAGATAGAATTAACATGTGATACAGAAATTCCACTTCTGAATTGTATTAATAAGAATGAAAATCAGGATCTCAAAGAGATATTTGCACATCTATGTCCATAACAGCACTATTACAAAAGCTAAGAGCTGGAAACAATCCAAATGTCTATCAAGGAACAAATATATAACAACTGTAACTGCTATATGTTATATACACGAAATAAAATTTTACTCAGCCTTAAAAAAAGGAATTGTGACACATGCTACAATGTAGATGAAGCTTGATGTCATTAGACTAAGTGAATAAATCAAAAAAGACAAACACTGTAATCCACTCATATAAGGTATTTAAACTGTGAAATTCATAGAAAAAGAAAGTGATTAGTAGGTAAAAAGGAGAGCATAAAATGGAAAGTTGTTGTATATTAGGTATAGAGTTTTCATTTTAGAAGAAAAAAATTCCGAAGATTGATTGCATAGCATTGTGAATATATCTAGCATTCTCTGTGTACTTAGAAGTGGTTATGATGGAAAGTTTCATGCATGTTTTACCATAGCCACTCCGCTAACAATTCTGGCTGATACTTGATTTTTTCTACTTAGTTTCTTGTAGCAATTCTTCCAATAATGTTGGCTGTGTTATTGCTCTTTTGTGACAGAGCAAATTATTTCTTCATAGGAAATGAAAACTTTCCCAGAGATCTGGAGAAAATAGCATTGCATCGTTGTCTCTGGGGTCAATGGTCAGTAACATCACAGAGGAAAGGGTCAATGTGATTGCAACAGCCTTTGTGCACTTCTCTCCAAAGGTTAGATAAATTGCCTGAGTGATGGAAAACTACTGAAAAGAGCTTTAAACTCTGTAAAGGGTTAAAGGATAAAAATTTCCTGCCTGACAAGTTAGCTTTTCAGATAATTTGAATTCACCTCAGATGTCAGTTTAAAAACAATGTATATGACAGATAATAAAATGGTAAGAGTTTTTTTGATGAACAGTACTTTGGCATGACCATTATGATCAGAAAGGATATATAATGAAGAAGCGCAGTGTGGCATTCTGGTATTATGGTATTTGAGGCAGGTAACAGATATCACCAAATTCTGCCCTGTCATTTGATCGCTTTGCTTACAGGAATCCTGAGAGCACTCTATACACTACAAATATTATCAGAAAGGAGTTATATTGATGGCTAACTACACTAGCACAATAACAATAAGTAGGTATTGAAAAAAATCCAAAATGTATTATGGGAATTTAGACTTCCCATGTAATCTGAGCCTCTTTACTTTCCCTAATTTTGAAATAGACCTATTCAGTGTGTTGTTCAGGGGACTATTCAGAGAAAGAAAGCCCACGGCTCCCCACCTTGAGTCTAGGCACCCACTCAGCCAGGTAGATTTAGAGAAATAGAAAAACCAACCTGGCTTGATAGACTAGACATTGCCAACGTCTGAAAGGAAGGTGTAACAGAAAGGAAGGGGATTGGATCCTGCCCTTAAGGTGGACCATCAGTATAAAATGTTCCCCCAAAAGACTCCACTTCTAACCCATGTATTTACGCTATCACCCACTTGAAGAAGAAGAGGATATAAGAAAGAGTCAAGGCCAGGTATGCTGGCTCACGCCTGTAGTCCCAAGACTTTGAGAGGCTGAAGTCGAAGCATTCTTGAGCCCAGGAATTTGAGACCAGCCTGGGCAACATACAGAGACCCTGTCTCTACAAAAAGTAATAATAATAATAAATAGAAGTGTGCAGAGGTGCATGCCTGTAGTCTTAGCTATTCTCGAGGCTGAGGCAGGAGGATTGATGGAGTCCAGGAGTTTAAGGTTACACTGAGCTATGATCACACTCCTGCACTCCAACCAGAAAGGCAGAGTGAGACTGTTCCAAATAAAAAAAAAAAGTAAGAAGAAGAAGAAGAAAGAGAGGAAAAATCAAGCAAGGAGAGAAGCTCAGATGCTCCAACCCCTAAAATATAGTAATAACTAACTTTCTAATATGTACAACAAAACTATGATCTTTGAATACTTATGAAATACTCTTTATTTTTATATTCTATATAGCTTTTTGTAATTACCTATACTATTTTTTGTCTGCAAACCTGAAGTTATTTTTAACACTCGCATAAAAAATGAATTTTAAAACTTGTAAATTATACACTAGTTTATGAAGATTTCCTGGTAATTCCAAAATCAGTACCTCATTTTGTTACTAGGAATATACCAAATGGCTTAGCTATAGACAACCACATTAAACACTGCTTTCAATGCTTTGGACTATGTCATCAAAGACTTAACAGTCTTTGAATAAAATTTAGCATCATTGCATTTTAGAAATTTTTTCAGCAGTATTATTATTTATAAGATGCCAATCATTCTTACCCAAATCTAAAAATGTCTATGCTAACAGATGTAATAATATTATGGATATATGTGAAAAATGCCACTTGAATTTTTTCTCTTTATATGTAATTCCTAAGCAGAATTAATTTATTTCTCATACAGAGAGGATTGCATAGATTTGCTTTCTTTGTAAATCAAAGGATGTCAGACTCTAACTATGGAACAAGTGAAGATAAGTAAACTGTCTCCCATTTCATTATTTTAAAAATCAAAAAGCTTAATAATAAATTTGGAAGATGACAGTAAGTATAGTACACACATTAATTTTAAAAGTGTGGACCATTATGAATTTGTTACTCTTCTTCACACTAGAATTATGACTAACAATTAAATACTTGAATTTTTCATTTATTATCTCAATTGTTTAAGTCACTATGTATGAAATATTATGATTGCATTTAAACTGACTTAATGTAAAAATAAGTCCAGGAAATATAGTTGTTCTATTTACTTCAGACTTCCAGTAGTTCTCATTAATTAACCTGTCTTATCCTCATCTCTTTGTGTGCTATGTAGAAGACATTTAGCAGGGATCTCAGTCTTTAGAATTCTAACAAATATGCTTTAATTTGAATTTGACTCAGAATAAAGTATTTTCTTTATATAAATTATTACATGGAAATTTGATGACAGGAAATCAGATACCTTTGTACCAATACTTCGCTGTGTAGTGGGTAGTCCAGAATGGCCTTGGTGAGACTTTGAAAACAAATATTGAAAACATGGCTAACAGCCAATCCTGATGAAAATACTTCAACAGAAAACAAACAGACTCACCATTTATTATTTAAAAACTCAAAAATAAAATCTAACATGTTTATATTTATGTTCCAGTCCTGGGGAAAATTACAATAAACTACAACAGTTACCATTTTTTTATACACAGTTACATTCTTTATGGCCAGAAACAAATTATCTTTATTTCTATTTCAACTGTAGTTACCTCTTCAACA
Organism: Homo sapiens; assembly: GCF_000001405.40. Lineage (NCBI taxonomy): Eukaryota > Metazoa > Chordata > Mammalia > Primates > Hominidae > Homo > Homo sapiens. The sequence goes on along the minus strand of NC_000004.12, from coordinate 69,456,034 downwards.
ATAAAAGTTCAATAATTTTCTAGGTTGTCTGTCTCCTAATTCAATCATTACAAACACCCTTTCTCCCTATGTAGGGATATTTCAATTGCAACTGAAAAATAGCAGCACATCTATTATTTCCAGCGACTGCATTTTCTTTGGGAAAAAATTCCCAGTCTTTATCATGAAGTGGTAACACATTTCATACTGGAGTGTCGCCTATACTTCTCTTTGGTGGTTTTAGTGGAAATATTTATCAGAGGTTCTAGGCTAGTGCATAAGTTTTAAAATAGTCAAAAATGAAATAAAAGGAATTGCTGAAGATGGAACAACAAATTATAAGGAAGACTGAGAACAAAGTTGAAGCAGGGAAGCATAAATATTATTAGAGTATTAACTAATTTTCAGCATGTTTATGCCAGTGTTTCAGCATGAGAGTTCATCAAATGTTAGTTTTCTGGATAAATTTTATTTGGTATATTTAAAGTTACGAGGTGATATTATCAGATACAAATAGATAGTGAAAAAGTTACTATAATGAAGCAGGTAAGCATGTCAATCATCTCACATTAGTTACTCAATATTTTATTGATTTTAAAACTCTCCCAAAATGCTTTATTTTCAGTAAATTGGCATGACATAAACAATCGCTAGTTCCTCTTCTATTTAATTATAAGGATATAATTTTGACGCTAATATTTTTAATCCCATCACTGATGAAGTGTAGACCACTACGCCTTTCAAATTTACCTGTTTAAAACAATTGAAAAAATAAGATACTAGTATAAATGTGACCATACTCTTTGCTATTGTAGTTGTGGTTGCTTTTGTCTTATTTGAAATAATTATAAAATAATGAACTTGAAAGGGATAAATTGGAATATTTCTGGTTAACAGCCAAAGTGTCTGAAACCAGAAATTTGTTGTTTTTAAATTATCTTAGTACACACAATAATTTTAGTTATGCTATTTTATCAATAGTTATATTAATAAAAATTAAATAATTTTAATATTTACTATTATGTTTTTAATATTAATTTTAATGAACTCATTCTGGTGTTGAAAAAGAAAGATAATTTTTGAATAGTTAACACATATTGAATGTATATGAAATGACTTGCATCGTATTGTTTCTTTGTACTATGTAACTTCTTGATTATAGTTTTTTGCAATTGTATTAAAAACATAAATCAAGATTAATGTCACCATCTGAAAAGCACAATCTTCCTACTGTGATTTTTAAACAACAAGAGCAGAAGTTACCTCCATTGCTATTGCTACAGTGCTATGCATTAGCACTTCATAGTTTTAACTTGGTAAGCATATACTTATATCCATCCTTATTATTTTTCTATTAGTCCATAATTACTTCAACACTAAATGCCTCAAAGCATTCAATACAATGCCTCAAAGTAAAATGTTGACACTTCTTAAATTCTAAAACCAAAATACAAGAAAAAACAGTAATAGTAGCAAACATTTACTGAGAATCTCTTTATGATGAGAATAATTTTACCAAATATTCTAAGAATCATTGCATGGCTACTCACAATAACCAGATAAGAAAGATATACAGTTCTTATTCATTCAATTTAACAATAAAATCTAGGAAGAGATGTGCTTTTTTTACTTATAGTCAGTATATATATATAATTGAGTAGAGTATGTTTTTCAGTATTTTATTATAAAATTTACATACAATGAAATACATATATCTTCACTACACATTTTTTGAGTTTCAACAAATGCTTACACCTCTGTAAACCCAAACCCCCTAAGACATTATTATCACCACAAAAATGTCCTTTCATGCCTCTTCCCAGCCCAACTCAGCCCTTGCTTCCCAGAAGAGATTGTTTTAGAACATCTTATATATGAAATTATGCATGCAGTAGGTACTCTTTTGTGGCTAGTTTCCACTCAGCCTAACATGTTTTGGATTCATCTGTATTATTGCATGTCACAGATGTATATGAGTACACTGCATATTCTGCACCTCCGTTTGTTTATTCATTCTCCAATCGATGGATACTTGGATTGTTTCTACAGTGTCTTGTGAGTGGGAGATTTTGCGGTTGTCATTTGTTTGTTTATGAAGTCTAATTTATTATTTTATTATTTTTTCTTTTATGGTTTTTCTGTAACCTAAGAAAGCTTTGCCTGCTGCCAAGTAATCAAGGGAGATGGCTCCTGTTTTCCTCTAAAAGCTTTATGTTTGGGTTTGGCAATCCTTTTGTTTTGTTTTGAAACAAGGTCTTTCTCTGTTGCCCAGGCTGAAATGCAGTGGTGACATTGAGGCTTACAGTAACCTCCATCTCCTAGGCTCAAGGGATCCTCTCACCTCAGCCTGCTGAGTAGCTAGGACTACAGGAGCACTACCACACCAGGCCAATTTTTTAAAAAGTTTTTTGTAGAGACAATTTTTTTTTTTTAAATTATACTTTAAGTTCTGGGATACATGTGCAGAACGTGCAGGTTGGTTACATAGGTATACATGTGCCATGGTGGTTTCCTGCACCCATCAACCCGTCATCTACATTAGATATTTCTCCTAATGCTATTTCTCCCCTACCTCCCCACCCCCTGACAGGCCCCAGTGTGTGACGTTCCCCTCCCTGTGTCCATGTGTACTCAATGTTCAACTCCCACTTATGAGTGAGAACATGCGGTGTTTTATTTTCTGTTCTTGTGTTAGCTTGCTGAGAATGGTGGTTTCCAGCTTCATCCATGTGCCTGCAAATGACGTGAGCTCAGCCTTTTTTTATGGCTGCATAGTATTCCATGGTATATATGTGCCACTTTATGCAACCTATCATTGATGGAAATTTGGGTTGGTTCCAAGTCTATGCTGTTGTAAACAATGCCACAATAAACATATGTGTGCATGTGTCTTCATAGTAGAATGATTTATAATCTTTTGGGTATATACCCAGTAATGAGATTGCTGGGTCAAATGGTATTTCTTGTTCTAGATCCTTGAGGAATCACCACACTGTCTTCCACAATGGTAGAACTAATTTACACTCCCACCAACAGTGTAAAAGCATTCCTATTTCTCCACATCCTCTCCAGCATCTGTTGTATCCTGACTTTTTAATGATCACCATTCTAACTGTCATGAGATGGTATCTCATTGTGGTTTTGATCTGCATTTCTCTAATGACCAGTGATGTTGGTCATTAGAGAAAGATACATGCACTTTATTTTTCACAACACTTATTTTAAAAAGAACCCATAGAATGAATCCTATACATAAATTTCAGTTGCATCCATTGGATGGAATAATATGTGACCATTGAAGGTGGCAATAGATACAGAAGTACGTGGATGTGAAAAGATGTATTTTGTTATAGCTAGTGAGGAAAAAAATCAGTTAAATTATACATACACACAAACATACTATGGTCTTGTTTTAGCAAAAAATATGTATAAAATATTAAATTTGTAATTTCTGAGCATTTGAATTTTAAGTAGTTTTTTTCCTTTTTCTTATCTGTGATTGCTGCAGTGAGCATGTACAAAACTTTTAGTAAAAGTTTATTATTAATGGAATAATCCTTGGGAGGAGAGGAATATGAATCTTGCACTGATAAAAATAATTTCTTGCTTCCTATTTTTTATCATTATTGTGTGTATTGTTATCTTCTTTGAACTTTTAGTCTCTTCAGAAGTAAAAAGGGAATGTTTTTATGTTTCCAGATTTTATTTTCTATATATTTTATTATGTACATGTTTTTCTTATATATTCATTCAATTTTTTATGCAAACAATGATAGATTAATCATTTCATTTTAATTGTATTCTTTAAAAATAAACATAACACATATAAATAATTACTATTGCAAAAATATTGCCTTATAGGAGTTCATTTAAAAATATTGAACTCCCCAACTGTATTTATCCATTCTTTCATTCCACTTATTCATCAAACCTAACCTGAGTACCTATTATGTAGCAGACATACTCTACTATCTTTCAGGACCCTTCTATCCTTAAAAACTTCATGTTTACCTGCCCTGCCTGCACAAGCTGAGAGATTTAAAATAGGAATATTGGGACTTAATCTCCTTGAAACTTTATCTCCCACCTTTCAAACAAAAGTATTTCTGAAGTTAGAAAACAGTAGACTATAACCTTTAACTGCCCTTTCAAAAGTTTATCAGTCTTAAATACTACTATTTATCATTGGAAAGGCGGATTTGCATATATTCTGTAAGTATGATTATTGAATAAAATGAGCCATATGTATTCATTTGAAAAAAAAAATTCTGCATTGCTTGAAACTTACTTTAAAAATAGGAAGTAAGAATCAAAAAATTAATGACCAATTATTTATTTAATTAAAATTAAAGTAACAAACTATACATTTTAAATTTTTGTTAAACTTATTAGCTGTTAAACAGTAATTCAATTTTTCCCTCATGAAATTCCTTATTTTACTTTGTCATAATCTTACCATGAAGATCACTCTGGCATATCCAAACATAGAGCTGAGTATTGGCACCTAATGTAGTTGGTTTCTTTCCTTTGAATCTCCATAAAACCTGAGGAAGAAAATGTATGCATTTCACAAGTTAAACCACAATATAATAGCATTTTGAGTTTTCAGAGCATTATAATTCATACAATCCATTCTATTTCAGATGATATTTGAGACAGGGATATATAAGGGTCCTTTGTAATCACTGAAAGAAATAGTAGGATTGTTCACAGTCAAAAGGGTGTACACTATTCAAGTATACCATTTATTATTTTGTTTACTGCAAACTCAAAGCATCTAGGAGATTATATAAATAACAACAAATAAGCAGTCTTGGCTAATTTGTCAGCATATGGAAGTTAAATATCCTTGTGGACACACAACTGCTGTGTAAATGTAAATCACTTGGCCATTCTAGCTCTATTATCAAATTTACAGTTTCCCAGAGACAAACATTGCTTTGGCTTTTGTCTGGTTTTGGATAGTTGGTTGTCTTTTCTCTTTATGCTTCATTCTCTCCTTTATTTCATTTATTTTTAATCAAAAAAGAAAGAGACAGAAGTTACCTATACTTCATTGTTCAAGGCTGAATTTTGTTTGTATTTGTACCTTAATTCCATACTTTTTTCTTTCTGGAAACCTATATGAAAATCTTACACTTGAAAACAAAGGATTACATAGATATTCTGAACTCCCAAAAAGAGAATCTCATAATCAAAACTAATTTCACATTCCTAATTAGCATACTGGCTTTTATTGAGTGTTTTGAAATTTAAACATAAAATTTTAAAAAGTAACCCTTGAGGCTAGTGTATAAATAGCACTAACTAAAGAGAGGAAAACTAGAATTACAGTAATAAAATTAATTGAATATCATAAAGTATTACATGCAGGTTGTTAGACTGTAATATTAAAATCATAATTGCCTTGTAACTATAGAAAACTCCAGTTCATTAGAAAGACTACATAAATCTAAGCTTCTACTTTTATGTTCAAACACACTGAATAGAGCTCCTATACAATAAAATATGTTGAAGATAATATTGAGCATGATTCTTCTCTATCTTTCTTATATCATCCCCCAAAGTTTAGGTTCCTTTGAGCTAGTATACTTAAGAAGTTTCCTTTGGAGTCATCAGAATAGGTCTTAAGATTTCAAATCCTGCAACGTGAAATAGGGACTTAATGCTTTATTTTTACTTTATTATTAACAAACGACAACCAAGAGATGTGTTACTAAAGTAATAGCAAAGATCACTAGACAAATAATCAGTTGTGCTCACATAAACTACCATAATACTTTCCAAATTGTTACATAAATCTAGTGCCTGTTATGCAAATTGAAAAATGAGATTCAAGTTCCAGGTGGAAAGCCATACTTTCTCCATTGTGTGAATAGTTTCTTATAAGGATTGGAGGTTGTACTGACTTTTTGTGGAATCTGAGCCAGGGCCGAAGTGATAAGATCAGCTTTTTCTTCTGTAAGGTTTTGCACAGCTGACTCCAGAGAAAACACAACACCGTCTTCATCAGAGCTCTGGGCAAATTCTTCCATTTTCTCCAGAGAAAAAATTGTCTTCATTATAAAGATGCAATACCACATAAAATAATATAGTTTATGTATACTTTTAAAATAAAATTTTGAAGTTGTCATACATATAGCTATATTGTCCCTATATTCTGAGATGCATGTTAGAACAGAAATTATAAAGTTTGTGTTAGAAACATATAGCTTCAGTATATAATAATTATTTACTAGAAGCAGCACACAACCCGATAATTATACAGAACATTTAAGTGAGAAATGTCCAACTCATTTAATATTTGGTAGACATCAAATTCTAAAAACATAATGGTTTGCAAACTCATAAAACTATTTCAACAATATCAAGTGTCAATTTGTTGACACTTTGTGATGTCAACAAAACAATAAAATTGTAAAAACCCAACATCAATTCTCCCACAAAAGTATAACTAGTAGCTATCCAAATACACAAATGCCACTCTGAATTCACCAGATCTCAAGAAAGAAGGAGAAAACCTCAAGACTCACGGACCTGAGAAAACTTATGATTGGTAAGATGAATAATTTTTTTGGACTGTACCACTCCCCTTCCACACACCAAAATGACACCACTGTGAGATAACTTCCTTTCACCTGCAGTTATTGAAATGGGAGGAGGAAATTTCAAGTGGACATTTAATTTCTTCATGGGTCTGTAAATTTTGGGGGAAAGCCCACATTTGTCCCACCCCACAGGAGGTATGAAGAGTGTTCAGAGGGCTGAACCACCGGGGGTAAATTGGAGACAAAAGTGAGAGTAGTAATCACAGTGAGTGGCACACAGATCTTGGCATCTGCTTTGTGTACCTAGCTACAGGGATACCACACTGAGGAGTTTGACCAGAAGGATAGCACTGCAGGGGGCAAGATCTAAAGGAAGGTCTGAATCTTTGATAAGACTTTTTACAATTCCCAGGTAATCATGTGGAGATTTTCCATGACTGGGAAACAAGTATAAGGTTTGAAATCAAGTTCCCATGATTGTTTAATTTTCTCCCAGATCTAGAAATCACTGCAAGTCTGGGTTTAAGTTCCAGTGCAGCATTTAAGTTCAGATGCTCACAATAAGTCTCCCAAGACTGGAAAACAACATTAGAGCAAATATTGAGTTTTGGTGCAGTATTAAATTCTGGTGGCAAATATTAAGTCCTTGCCCAAACAAAAAGCAACTGGTGGCAAGGAATTAGATTCCAATAATAAATAGTAAAGGTTGAACAACACAAGAATACACCTATAAAAGCTAGAACATGTGGATATCTCTTTAAACATGGAAATAGCAATGTACAGATGAAAGGAAACACAACACCGCTAAAAAACAACAGAACTCACCTAATGCAGTAGGAGAAATAAACATATATAACATTTCTGACAGAGAATTCAGAGCACATCTTTTTATAAAAGAGCTCAGGAAACACCGAAAATATAAAGTTAAAAAAAATTTGGAAAATATTTAAAGATCAACAAGAGAAAAATTGTTTTTTTAAATACAGAAATTGAAAAAGCTTCAGCTAGAATAGCTACAAAAAGAGATGACGGAAATAAATGAAATAAGAGATGAAAAGGATACATAACAACTGATACACAAAAATACAAAGGTTTATAAGAGGCTATTACAAACAAGTACCTGCCAAAAAATTAAAAAATCTAAAGTATACAGACAAATTCTTAGATATGTACAACCAATCAGGATTGGATTATGAAGAAATAGAAACATGAGCAGAGAAATAATGAGTAACAAAATTGAAGCAGTAATAAAAACTCACATAAAAATGTACTTTATTAAAAAATAGTTAAACCATTTTTCTAAAATGTTTCTTCCAAAACATGAAGGAGAATTGAATGCCTTAAAAAATAGGGTTTTATGGCTGGGATAAGGATCACATTGATACCAAAACCAGAAAGAGGGAGTAAAAAAATAAAAAATAAAATACAGAAAAAAATCTGTCCAACTTTTCTGATGAACATAGATGCAAAAATTCTCAACAAATAATAGCCAATCAAATTCAACAGCACATCAAAAAGATTATACACTATGATGAACTGGGATTTATCTCAGGGATGCAGGGAAGATTGAACATATGCAAACCAACAAATGTGATACATAACACCAAAAGAATTAAGAAAAAAACATATTTTTTATGTCTTTAAAAAAATCTTCTAATATACAACAGAATGATTTTAACAGAAAATGCCATGTTACCAGGATAGGGCAAGCTCGAATGGAGGGTGCCTGTCTAATGTGTATAAACATCCTTTTAGGTTGGTGACAGTTTTGGATCTAGATTGAAGTGATACACAATACTGTGAATGCCACTGAATTGTTCACTTTTAAATGGTTAAAATAGTACATGTTATTTTATGTAATTTTACCTCAAATATTGAATAAAAACATGTAAATATGTGGCTGACCAAATTTTGCCCAGAGGACCCAACTGATTTGTCAGCCCTTGGTGAATTAAATTATCATAAATTTAATTCTGACATATTTAAAATAGCAAATGCTGTCATTTTTATCATTTACATTTGAAGCATGATACATTTAAAAATATATGAGGCAATTTAGGTAAGGACTCAAATCATTGTGGAAATTTTTCTGTCTACTTAATAATTATTATAATTAATGCAAATTTAGTTTGTTACATACAGCAACTGTAGTGCTTTACCAGGTTAATGTATCAGTCCTTTCATCAGCCACCTGAGGTAGATAATGGCATTACTCCATCTCCGTTTCACTGATGGAGAATTTGAGGCATAGAGTGGAGGCAACTTGCCAAACCCCACAAAATTCTGTAGTGGTTTTGCAGGGACTTGAATCCAGGCTAACTGGATGCAGAGTGCAAGAGCTCTTAACCACCATGCTATGCTGACCTCCCTTTCTGAGTTACAGTTATTTTCAAAATGTTACATTTGTAGTTTTCATTTTCTTGCCTCTATATTAATTGTATATTATTATGAATGTATAATTAAATTTTTAGAAATATCATTTTAGTTATCTATCACTTCATAACCAACTACCCTCAAAAGTGGGGACTTTGAAAAACAATAAGCATTTTATTAGAACTCTCATAGCATGAGTGTTGGGTAGGCTCAGCAGGTGGTTCATACACAGTATTTCTCAAGTCGTTACTTTCCTGTGGTGGCTGGGGATGTAATCATCTGAAGGTCATTCATTGACATACTTAGTGATTGATGTCAAAAGACTGAAACTCCTTTTTGACTGAATAATCCTGACTTCCTAGTCTCCTCTGTGCTCCCCTTCCCAAACTGTCATTTATCATCAGGACTTTTGCTGTAACACAGGGCTCCAAAGTGTACAGAGGGAGAAAAAGAGACAGAAGGAGAAGGACAGAGAGAGAGAGGAAGAAAGATACATAAGTAAAAACAAAGACAGACAGACAGACAGAGAAAACGAGACAGACAGAGATAATGTACTGCCTTTTCTAATGCAGTCTTCAAAATTATGCTGTCAATTCCACTATGCTTTCTTCGCTGAGACAGCCACAGGCCTTGCTAAAGTTCAAGGGAAAGGGACCATGGTTTGATTAGAATGTCAAAGTATTTGCAGTCATGTCTCAAAGTCACCAAAATATAAGCTGTTGAATTAGTCAACAGAAGCCATTAAGGAACCAGCAAATTCATTACATATTGACATTACAAACACAGTAAAATCATAAAATTGTGTGAATTTAAATTTTATGACTACTGAAACATTTATTATGCATTGTAAAATATTTATTCATAGATATTTTAAATATAAAATAGGTTTCCTATGAACAGGCCTCAAATTAATCATATGGCATAGAATACTGAGGTGATCCTAAGTGGCTCAATTCTTTCCCATTTATTCTACTGCAGACACATACACATCTACAAGAAAAAATGACATAGAACAACATGTATAGCCTAGTATAAAATGATGGAAGAGCCAGGCATGGTGGCTCACGCCTGTAATCCCAGCACTTTGGGAGGCCATGGTGGGCGGAACTCCTGAGATCAGAAGTTCGAGACCAGCCTGGCCAACATGATGAAACACTGTCTCTACTAAAAATACAAAAGTTAGCCAGATGTCATGGCGGGTGCCTGTAATCCCAGCTACTCGGGAGGCTAAGGCATGAGAATTCTTTGAACCAGGGAGGCAGAGGTTGTAGTGAGATGAGATTGTGCCCCTGCACTCCGGAATGGGCGTTAGAGTAAAAACAAACAAACAAACAAACAAAAATGAAGGAAAGATGCTTACCGATTGTTAAAATCAGAGGGAATTCTGTGACTAGATGCTTGTAAGAGCTGTTACAAAGTGACTTTTGGGAGGAAAACTGATGAGACATAGTCTTAGAAGCAGGGAACAATATTTACTCTACCGGGTGCAGTGGCATCCTGTTAAAAAATAAATAAGGAAAAAGTGTGTGAAACTAGAGATCTCCCTAGACTGCAGCAGAGACAATTGAAAAAATGTGAAGGGATGCTCTTACAATACAGAACATGAGGGATGTTGCAGAAAGCAACACCCATTGAAGATTTCCTCAAGAAAACTACATGAGGCATTAAGCAGTCATACACAATTGGAAGATCTGCACTCAAGGATTCTAGATAGAGGAAACGACCAGAGTGAGATTTTGATTTTCGATTTTTATATTTATTTTTTAAGGCCTTGCTCAGTCATCCAGGTTGGAGTGCAGTGGTGTGATCACGGCTCACTTCAGCCTCAACTTACTAACCTCAAGTGGTTCTCTCACCTCAGCCCCCTGAGTAGCTGGGACCACAGGTGCATGTCACCACGCCCAACTAATTTTTTATTTTTTGTAGTGATGAGCTCTCGTTGTGCTGTCCATGCTGATTTCAAACTCCTGGGCTCAAACAATCCTCTCATTTCAGCATCCCAAAGGGTTGAGATTACAGCTGTGAACCACCATAACTTTACTAAAGAGATTTTTAAATAAGCATGATTTAAATGTTCGGAGATGAAAGAGTCATACAGCCCCCAAGAAGAATCACTTAATGCTCTCGAAATTACCAGTAAACTGATTAAAATCTAAAAGTGCTGCTTGTTAACACCTTCCATTAGAGCTTTCCTGATTAGTTTTTCTTTCAAAGCTCTCTTGTTTCTAGTTGTTTTCTTGGTCTTAACTTCCCATTATATGCTTTGTTAAAGTATTTATGCCCTGATTCAATGTGATTGTCTCAATTTTTATTTCATTCTGTCCTACCTCTTGCAACCTGCATTTCTTCATTATTATTGATGAATCCAACTGCAAAGTTCACCTTATCTGACTAAGGATTATTCATTAATTTTTACTTGTTTATCTGACCTTTATTAATTTTGTTTATTTGTTAGTCACTCTGAGCCATGGTCATGATGACTTAGGATTCTGGATCTCTTATGACTAACAAATTTATCCTTAATAAAGTCTCTATACTAAAGAAGAATCTAATGAAAAATATCACTTGACAAAATGAGTGCAGTACATGAACAAAGTTCTGACTGGATCATAAACCCAAAAGTGATTAATCAGTTTATTAATTAGGGACTAACAATGAAATCAATGATATGTCTTCATATACTTTGAATTGGCAAAAATTCATATTTATCATAGGTAAAGCACCAAATAACTGGCAACTCCAGTGCTGGTTTGTTGGGAGTATGAATAGAGTGGTGATAAGTGAAGGGCACACATAGGCCCAGCACAAGAAGAATCCCTCTAACCAAGTCCAAGCTAGCAACTACAGAAATCAAAAATCCAACCTACTAGTATAGCAATTCTTATTATACATTTGAACATTAGGCAAGTGACCACCAGTGGAACTGTGAACTCAGTGGGCAACTCTAAGCTCACCTTTGTCAAAACCTCTATATGCCCCCACTTTCAAAAACGTTATTTTCAAAAGAAAGTCCTGCCTCCTACTCACTCGAACTTTACCAAGATTCAGTGCCCAAGGGTACAATTTTTAGAATAATAACAAATGAGAAATTTGAAATTTTATGCCTCACCAGTGTTCAATTTATTGTCCCTTGGATCCAAATATAGCTTTATGATACTGAATCAGGATCCTGTAAGCATTCCCCCTGTGCCAGCTAGTTGAATGTTAAGCTTCATCAATAGAGGACACTGCAGTGATAGTGACGTGGTTGATGTAGGAAGGCACATCCCTTTCAAGGACCCACTCTTTAGGTACTCAGTAATGTTTATCATTAATGTTGGAGTTTAAGAATATGTATATTAATGACTATACTTATGAATAGTAAATAATATACTTAAAGAATGTAAGAGGAAAACTTCTAATAGCACATTTGTTTTATCTTTTAAGAAGTATCTCATTCTGCAAGGAAATTAATTCCGAAAACTCCTACATAAATCATTTGTCCTTGACATAGATAGATTCAGCTTCATATGTTATTTCCAAGATAAAACTTACAATTATTTTATTTTTGTGTTCAACTTCTGTGGTGCTTACATATCCCTGTCTTTATGCAGCATATTCAAAAATTTTTTTAAAAAGAATATCACAAATATGAAGAATGTTATATCAATTATATCATTCTATGTGATGGCTTAGAGTTTCTGTGTTTAAATTTTTTTAACTGCTGAGATATTTAAATGCTTGTAGAATCAATCTCCAGGAAGCAGACACATCATATTATTGCAATTTTTGTAATCCAATTTACCATGGAATTTTTATGACTCTCCATCAAGCATACCTTCATGTTCACATATTTTCCTAAATATATAAGTACATATCACTTTATGTAAAAAGGCTTCTCAGAATTAAATTGGTGAAAGTATTATTTGTTAAATCATGGATAGACATAGATATATGTATTGGATATATGGTCTAAGAATTTCAAAGAAGATCTATTTTAAGAACGTACTTTGTTAAGAAAGTATATTCTGATATATTCTGATACATTTTCAGAAGATATTTCATTAAGAAAATATAAACAGACCAGAATTTATCTTTTGTAGTACATGCTGAGCATCATTATTGCCTCAGACTAATATTTATCCATAAGTTTTTCCCTCTTTTAAAAAAAGACATTACTATAATTAAAGCGCACGAATGCATTACTTTTTTCCTTTCTTGTGCTTTGTTTTTTTTTCCTTTCTAGTGGCATGATTATATGTTCAAAGTTTAATAAAGTAAAATATTCACTGTATATTTATTTTCTAGACATTAAAATAATTTGTTTTATAACCAATTGTTGCTAAAAATATTTTTTTCATAGAAAAGTATACTATAAAAATCGTTTTCATATGTTACAATGATCACTATGCCTCTCTTCCATCTGATTGTTCAGGCACATCTCTTGTCAGACAGAAGAACTGCTCTAAGTTGGTTTCTTTCTTCGCTGTGACTTGCTTTGTAAACCTTTCTCTGAATCCAGAGGCCGTAATGACCAATCTTTAAAGGCAGGATTTAGAGAGCTTTTTGCTATGTATTATGCTTTCTTCAACATAGATTTTAAAAATTATTGCACAGGATATTTGGCTTTTTATTCCATCTACAATTTATTTTTCCATATTTATGAGGGGAGAATAAGTAAAATGATTATATATATATTTGTGGTTTGTGTATCCTCAGTATTCCAGGTATTAAAGAAGTTGGAAATGTCTGACTTGACAAATTAAGGCTAAGAAATAGTGAGATATTATTGCAGGAGAGAAATCATGTAACATTATAATCTAGAGGGACTGGACTAAACTTGCTGAACCATATCTCCAATTACTAACTAAAGGGAACTATCCTCTTCTTTTATTTTGTGTATTATTATCCCATTACAAAGGGTTGTTACTAAAGTGAAAATAGTAACTCAAGCATATTCCAGGCCTCATGTGGAAAACATCTTTTGTCTTTCTAACCAAGGATTTTTACCAGGTTGCACAGTTTTGGATAGGAAGTCAGTTACGACCGTTAATAATTTTGAAACACAGAATATTCCCATTAAGAAATATTTTGTATTTCATGAAGGACTTGAATTTTACACTCCCACGTAACACAAAAGACTTGCATAAACACCATGTTAAGAGACTGGGCCAAGTTTAGCTTAGCTTATATGGGCACTAGGTCATGAATTTGTCTTTAAAGGCCACCCTAGCTTCCATGGTAGGTCTTGGCTCAAAGGAATATGATCCTGCCAAACTGCAAAATATACACTGCCTAACCCACCTTACCTAATAATTTTCAATTATTTCACACTGAATTTTTATGTAATATTCCATTTTCATATAACCTCCTAGCTCCTTTATGTTTTCGTCATTTTTAGTCATATCGGTTTTCTCTTTAAAAGCCCCAGTTACCTTTGTCTTAATTAGAGTTGAGCTCAATTTATACTGTAGTCTCTATCCCCTAATTCACCAGTCAGAATAAAATGTGTCTTGCCATTTTTAAGAAGGGTTTTGCTCTGTTTTTCTTGACAGGGACACATATAGTCCATATCATTGTATTTGTTTATACAAGAGTGTTTTTTTACCTATGTAACAAACCTATACCTCTTGCACATGTACCTCTGAATTTACAATAAATGTTGGAAATAAAAAATAAAATAAAAATAAAAAAGGGTTTTCTAAAAATGCACAGTAGAAACACACTATTTCTGACCTTCTCAAATAAACAGCCTGAGTTTTCAGTGAATCTCGGTTTTTTTTCAGTTTAGAAATATACATAAATAAGCATTAATATTGAGTTATTTTAGGTTTTCTAAAATTATAATTATATATTACTTAATGTTTAATGAGAGTAAAATATTCGAATAAATCAGGAAAGCACAAGTCTTGTGAAATATAGAGGATAATTTTGCCACACCTTGATGACTAGTGGTGGCATTAAATGTCATGACCTTCCCTATCATGCCTGCTTGCCTTAGATCTCAAACAGTGCTACTCTCTACTTTTTTCTTGTCTTAACAAACTTTTGATAATCAAACAAGAAACATATCATGACAAAGAGAGTAAAAATTGCCTCGCAGGCCAGCACAACCAGAGAGCAGTACTGGAGCCAGGTGAGGTTGTTCGCAGGCGGCAGCAAGTACTTGGCTCCTCTGTGGCGCATGACAAACTTGATCCAGAAGACTGTTTGGTCCATGGGCTTCATAAGCTGATCATAATGAATGATTCATAACCATATAACATTCTCTTTACAGTTAAGGAAAATCAAATAGACATAAACTTATAGAATATAAAATATAAATATGTGAAATTTTTGTGTAGATGTTAAAAATTAGTGCCACATAAAAGTGGAGGAAAAATAAAATATTTTATTTCCTGGTGGTTATAGAGATTTTGGTTTATGGGTTAGAATTTATTGGATGCATAAGATTTCAAGATGTGAAAAGATAATTTAAGAGAGAACAAGTATTTCTATCCTAGAAATGAAAATTAGATAAGTCCAAAGGATAAACAGAAATCACTTGAGAGTACAGAGGTTGAATTAGCCATTAATGAAATTGTAAGGAACCTGGTGTGCAAGTTTCAAAATAGTATCAAGGTCTAGAGATAGGAGACAAATTTATGACAAGGTTCAGGTACATGTCAGGGCAAAGCTGATAAGAAGTTGGCATTGATCAGGAATTAGTATTGACATTATATGAGTGAATCAGTGATTAAATGTGTAAAAGTAAATGGCCTTAGTTTGAATCATTACCTGCTATCTACTGGTCCTTTTTTTTTTTTTAAAGTATCTATTCCTAGCTTTTTTTGAATTGTTAAATTGAATGAATAAGATAATTGAATGAATAAGATGGTTTCTTTTTTTTTTTTTTTTTTTTTTTTTTTGAGACGGAGTCTCGCTCTGTAGCCCAGGCTGGAGTGCAGTGGCGCGATCTCTGCTCACTGCAAGCTCCGCCTCCCGGGTTCACGCCATTCTCCTGCCTCCCGAGTTGCTGGGACATCAGACACCGGCCACCACGCCCTGCTAATTTTTTGTATTTTTAGTAGAGGCTGGGTTTCGCCGTGTTGGCCAGGATGATCTCGATCTCCTGACCTCGTGATCCGCCCGCCTCGGCCTCCCAAAGTGCTGGGATTATAGGCGTGAGCCACCTCTCCCAGCCTAAGAGTGGTATCTTTCTTATCTGATTATTGTAATTAGTAATGTAATGATTCTTAGGATACTTGGTAGAATTATTCTCATCATAAAGACACTCTCAGTAAATGTTCACTATTATTACTGTTTTTCTTGCATTGTGGTTTTAAAATTTAAGTGGTGCTTAATATTTTACTTTGAGGCATCGTAGTTCCATTTATTTCCAGTGCTGAAATAATTATGGACTAATAAACAAGGAATAAGGATGAATATAAGTATAAGCCTTACCAAGTTGAAACAAAAGGGTGCTAAAGCATGGCACTGTAGCAATAGCAATGGAGGTAACTTCTCTTTTTGATATTTAAAAAACAGAGTGGGAAGACTGTGTTTTTCAAAGGAGGGAATTAATCCTGATATATATTTTTAATACAATTGGGAAAAACTATAACCAAGAAGTTACATAATACAAATTACCAATATAATGCATGTCATTTCATATACATTCAATAAGTATCAACTAATTAAAAATTATCTTTATTTTTCAACACAGCCTTATATTTATTAAAATTTATAATATTACCAATTTAATAGTAATAGCAAAACTGAAATTAATGCGTGTACTGACATAACTTAGAAATCCTATATTTCTGGTTTCAGACATTTTGGCTATTAAACAGGAATATTCCAGTCTCTCTCTTTCAAGCCAATTATTTTTTTCGATTTTATAAATCTTCCAAATAAGCAAAAGCAACCACAACCATAAGAACAAAGAATATGGCTACATTTATAAAGTATGTTCTTTTTCCAATAATTTGTAAAGCCAAATTTGAAAGCTCTAGTTGTTTACAAGTTATCAGTGATGGGATCAAAATGTTAGCATAAAAATTTGGAAAGCATTAAATATAATAGGAATTAGAGATTGATTATGTCATGCTGACTTACTGAAAATAAATTATTTTACAAGAGTTTTATAAACAAGGAAAAAAGGGTAACTAAAGTGAGATGATGGACATGTTTATTATGTATCATTATGGTAGCCTTTTAAGTAAGTATTTGTATCGCATAATATCACTTTATATACCTTCAATAGACAAAATAAAATTTATTTAAAGTCTAACGTTTGATGAGATCTCATCCTAAAAGACCCTCATAACTGTGCTGAAAATTAGTCAGTGCTGTCATAATATTCATGCTTCTTTTCTTCAACTTTGTTCTCAGTCTTCTTTATAATCCTTCTGTTACCATCTTCAGTAATTCCTCTTATTTCACTTTTTGGCTATTTTAAAACTTATGCACTATCCTAAAAGCTCTGACAAATGTTTCCACTAAAACCACCAAATAAACAGATCGTGATACTCATAGTGGTTAATTGACGATTGCCTTTAAGCATTACCAAAAAAAAATGTAGTCAGCAAATACATGCTACGTAGTTAAAAAAATTACATTCATGAAGAGTCATTAATGACTGCTTTTTATGCATTGAGCAAATTTGTAGATGACATCGTTTTTGAGTCTACTGTAACAGCTTCCCCCTTAGCCTTCATGTGAACCAACTTATCGGGTTGATCTACAAACAAAGGAAGGCCCACCATAGGGATCCCATGGTAGATCCTCTCATAGATGTCATTGCCTCCACCATGAGGTATAAAAGCTTTGGTTGTTAGATGACCTAGGATTAGATAAATTTTTGAATAATTATTCGTGGTGAGTCTTAAAATGAGCAATGCTCAATATGAGGCAATGAAATGGGCATGGTTCTCTAGGTAACAAATTACTGTAACAGTAAAACTGCATTAAAATTACTTTCAGATCTCAGAGAAAGAAGCACCAAGTCCTCTGGGGCGATAAGTGATGGCTACATATTGAAGAAGTGGTATGTGACTTGAGACTTGAAGAATGAATACAAGATTGTCAAGTGGACAAATAGAAAGAGCACACTGCAGACAAAAAAAACTGCATATCCCCCACTCTAGCCCCCAAAAAGCAGGATGCATGCTAGAACATATTCTCTTAGAGAAACAGTGAAGTCACTGAGTGTGATAGGGCATGGTGTCCACGGCAGCAGGGAGTGGGGTGGTGGTGATGCTCCAGTAGTAGAAGGACAGGCCACACTCCATGACAAAATGTGTTACCACTTCATAATAAAGACTGGGGATTTATTCCCATAAAAAGTGCTGTCACTGGTAATAAAAGAAGGGCTGTTATATTTCAGTTACATTTGGAATATCTAGCTATTAGGAGAAAAAGGTAGGTGTAACATTTGAATTAGTAGACAGACAACCCAGAAAATGATTGAAAAATTATTTGTGAGATGTAACTACACTTGAAATAAAGGTAGTTTGTTTCTGGCCATAAAAAAAAATGTGACTGTGCATAAAAAATGCCAACTGTTGTAGTTTATTATATTTTTCCCCAGGACTGGAACATAAATCAAAAGAAGTTAGATTTTATTTTTGAGTTTTTAAATAATAAATGATGAATCACAAATTTTCTTTTGGACTATTTTCATCCTGATTGGCTGTTACCCAAGTTTTCAAAATTTATTCTTCATAGTCGTATCAAGAAAGTCATTCTGGGCTACCCACTTGTACAGCTGAGTAATTGTACTAAGGTATCTGATTTTCTGTCATCAAATTTCCATAGATCCATATAGATAGGTGAGCCTACTGATGAGAACACATGGACACATAGAGGACAACAACACACACTGGGGCCTTTCAGAGAGCGAAGGGTTTGAGGAGGGAGAGGATAGAGAAAAATAACTAATGGGTACTTGGCTAAATACCTGGGTGATGAAATCTTGTGTACAACAAACTCCCATGACAAACGTTGACCTATGTAACAAACCTGCGCTTGTACCCCTGAACTTAAAACTTCAAAAAAAAGAAAGAAAGAAAGTACCTTGTTTTATGAGTCAAATTCAAATTAGAGCATGTCTGTTAGAATTCTAAAAAGGGACTGGGCGCGGTGGCTCAAGCCTGTAATCCCACCACTTTGGGAGGCTGAGGCAGGTGGATCACAAGGTCAGGAGTTCAAGACCAGCCTGGCCAAGATGGCAAAACTGTGTCTTTACTAAAAATATAAAAAATATTAGCCTGGCGTGGTGGCAGGTGCCAGTAATTCCAGCTACTGAGGAGGATGAGGCAGAGAACTGCTTGAACCCAGGAGGCAGAGGTTGCAGTGAGCTGAGATTGCGCCACTGCACTCCAGCCCAGGCGACAGAGAGAGACTCCGTCTCAAAAATATATACATATATAAAAAGATGGAGATCATCTACTAAAATGCTTTCCATATGGCTGATAAGGAAATGAGGACAAGGCAGGTTAAGTAATGAGAACTACCAGAAGACTGAAGTGAACAGAACATCTATATTTCCTTGACTTGATTTTATATTAAATCAGATTAAATAAAATCATGATGTTTTATACAAAGTGACTTAGATATTGAGATAATAAATGAAACATTCAAATATTTAAGTAATCATTAGGCAGACATAATTCCAGTGTAAAGATGAGTAAAAAATTACTAATGGTCCCCACCCTTTTTATTAATGTATTTACTACATTCACTTTCAACTTCCAAATAATGTTAAGCTTTTCATTTCTAAAGCAATGAAAAGGGAGTGAGTTTACTTATATTCACTTGTTTCATAAGTTATATTCCCATATCTGATGATTTACAAAGAAAGCAAATCTATCAATCATCTATGTCTGAGAAATACATTAATCTGCTTAAAAGGCACATATAATTTGTTTCCGATTACAAATTATTAAGCACTTTTTCCAAGAAAAAAATTCAAGTGACTTTTTTTCCCATATGTGCAGAATAATATCGCATGTGCTACAATTGGAAATTATTTAAAGGTGGAAAAGACTGATTGGCAGTTCTTTAATAATAGGTCTGTTTAAAATATCCCAAATTTGTGGTGATGCTAAATTTCATTCTGCTGGCTCTTAACTCTTCAGTGGCACAATCCAAAGCGTTGACAGCAGTGGTTTATATGGTCTGCTATAGCTAAGCCATGTAGTACATGCCTAGTACCAACATGTGGTACTGATTTTGGAATTACCAAGCAATCTTCATAAACTAGTGTATAATCTACAAGTTTTTAACGTGTACTTGCTATCTGAATTTTAAAAGTAACTACACATTTGCATCAAAAAATTAGTATAGGTGATTACAAGAATGTTATACAGGATATAAAACTAAAAACTGCTTTATAAATATTCAAATATCAAAGTTGCTGCATCAGCTCAGAGACGCTGAGGCTGTGCTGGAGGCAGCAGAATTAATGGCGGCAAGTCCCTGTGGAGGGACCTTCACTAACCCACATTCCTCCTTCCTGCCCTCCATCCTTCCCGATCTCCCGCTCCTCTTGGTGTCATTTCTTACTGCAATAGAGTTTTGCGTCCACATACCTACCTAGGGCTATTATTAACAAATATATTACATATATATAAATTAAATATTCAGCATGACAACTATATATATATATATGCTTTATATATTTGCTTCTTAAATTTGTTAAGAAAGTGGAATAAATATGAATTTATATTATCTGTTAAAATTACATAATTATTTATTCAGGTGCACTTTTATATTAAGTTCGCACTGCTTTCTGTGTTTATTTACTTTTAGCCTGGAACACTTTCTTCAGAATTTATTGTGAGACAGATTAGTTAGCAATAGTTTTCTGTTTTTGTTTGTTTAGAAATGTCTTTATTTCACCATTTTTTTTAAAGATGATTTTGTAGTATAAATAATTTTTGATTGGCAGTTTTTTCTTTCAGTGCTTTGAATATGACATACCACTGCCTTAGGGGCAGCATTGTTTCTGATGAGTAGTCAGCTATTAATGTTATCTGAGTTCCCTTATATGTGGTTACTTGTTTTTGTCTTTGTGCCTTATAATTTTCTTTCTTTAGCTTTCAACTTATTGTGTCTCTGTTTGGATCTTTTTGTGTTTACCCTAAACTAAGAATTTATAGAACCTCTGAAATGCATAAATTAGTGTTTTTAAAATAGTTAATGGGGTGTTTGGGGCATTATTTATGAATATTTTTCACTGAATCTTTCCCTTCTTCACGTGGTACTCTTATTTTGCATATGTTGCTGTGCTTAAGTGTGTCCCAAAAGTCTACAAGGTTCTGTGTATTTCTCTTCATTCTTTGTTTCTCTGTTCTTTGGATTATATAATCTCTATTGATCTCTCTTCGGCATTTTTTTGGCTCTTATTCATCTGCCTCAAACATGAAGCAGAATCCTGCTTATGCAATCTCTATGTCTGTTATTATATTTTCATTCCAGTATGTTCACTTGGTTCTTTGAAAAACATATAACTTCTATTTCTTGTGACTTATAATGACAATGTGACATTGTCATTATAGCTTAATTTTCAGCTTTATGTGTGGTTTCCTTGAGGTCTTTGAGTATATTTATAATGTCTAATTTAAAGTTTTGCCTACTAAATCTACAACTCATTTTTTTTTTTTTTTTGAGAGAGAGTCTCACTCTATTGCCCAGGCTGGAGTGCAGTGGCACCATCTTGGCTCACTGCAACCTCCACCTCCCTTGTTCAAGCAATTCCTGTCCCAGCCTCCCAAGTAGCTGGGATTATAGACATGCACCACCAGGCCCGTATAATTTTGTATTTTTAGTAGATGGGATTTCACCATGTTGGCCAGGCTGGTCTTGAACTCCTGACCTCAAGCGATCCACCCACCACGACCTCCCAAAGTGCTGGGATTACAGGTGTGACCCACTCCACCCGACCCAACTCATTCCTTTCACAGGCATGTTTTATTGCCCGTTTTCCCCATATAGCAGTCCCACTTTCCTATTTCTTTGTACACTTGTTTAAATTTGTTAATCCTCAATATTTTAAATAATATAATTACTCTGGAAATTATATCCCCATTTTCTTTTAATTTTCATTGTTAATTTGTTTGGTGAATAGATGGACTATTTTAATGAAGTCTCTTTACATTGCAGTGTTATTTCCATGGAATTTCTACTCAGAAAGTGAACCCTTGGGCATTTTCACAAGCCCTAGAGTAACAGCGGTTTTAATAGGAACACTCTTTGACTCTTTTCTGTTTTTTTGTTCGTTAATTTTACAAGCTCGGTCTAGCTCTTAACCTTCACAAATTATTGGCTGATTGATATTTTGCTTTTGGCATTGTCCTTGGGGAATATATCACTTCATATTCTGATCCAATAACATTTAGGCACTTTTGCAGTGATCGTTTCTGAGGCATTTCAGGGTGGTATGAACACAGGAAATGCTGTTCTTTCCTATCTTTCTTTTTTTTTCTGATTAACTTTCTTATGATCAAGCATTTACTTCAAGATAATTTTGTCACAAAACATCTAGCTTTTATTATTATTTTTTCATTTCTCTGGTATATCAACTTTGGAAAAATATCATTCTATTTGTAGCATTCTATTTGTAGTGGTGCTATTTCCATTTACAAAATATAGAAATTTTCAATCGTTGAAAATGTCAAATCCTAGAAAATACACGATGATGTTAACATTATTATCAAGCAGTTGTTGGCTGAAGGTTAATTTGATAAATTCTATTTTTCTAAATTAGATGATTCAGATGATTCTGATATTAGCTCTGTTTAGAAATAACTCCAAGAAGAGTTTATAGAATGTATGTTCACACTGAAAATGAGTCAGATTTGCTTCAGCCTCAAAGAGTGTATTTATGTAAAATTAAATGAGTGCTGGCTGTGAGCTGCACTATTTTTTTCCTAAACTGGAAAACGGTAAAGAGGTGTAGTTTCACAAAGTTGCCCAGGCTGGCCTTGAACTCCTGGGCTCAAGTAATCCACCTTCCTCAGCCTCCTGAGTAGCTGGAACTATAGGTGCATGCCACTGCAGTCAACTTCTCCTAATATGTTTGCATAGTTGTCTCTAAAAACAATTTTCACTATTCTTGTTACATTTAGAAGCTGATTCATGGTACTTTTTATACTACCAATCCAGAAGCGGCTAGGTCACATTTCTTCTAAAATGTCTGTCTACCTTCTCGTCGTAAGTTTGTTTTGCCTCAGCATTGATTTTTAGGCTTAACATGAGTTGCTTAAGACCTAGTCATAGGTTGTCACTATTGCCTTTGTTAAAACTTCCCTTCTTTGAGATAGAGTCTACATGTTTCTCATCCTAATGACCCAGAAACGCAACACATCACAGAGGTGATGACCATGATATAACCTAATGATCAATACCAGAGTCATATGATAATTTTCCCCTTCATGTGTGTTCCCTTAAGCTAGCCATTCCTCAACTCCTGCGGAGAAGCCTAGGAAATAATACCTAAGGTCCTTAATAAAAGCCTTCCTACAAGGGTTCCCCCTCGCACTTCTAGGCAGCTGGTTGAGCTCTCTACCACCTCTGGACTTTCTGTCAGTTTCC
The DNA here is from genome assembly GCF_000001405.40 of Homo sapiens. NCBI lineage: Eukaryota > Metazoa > Chordata > Mammalia > Primates > Hominidae > Homo > Homo sapiens. Next base: position 69,432,578 of record NC_000004.12, on the reverse strand, counting down.
TATCATCATCCCTAACATCACTTAGGAACTGTGAGTAATAAATTTCTTCTACCTTTGCATTTTGTTCTTTCTTTCTCATTTCGTTATATTTTACCGGACTCATATATCTGAAACTCACTTCCCCACCTTATTCAGAGCTTTCCAGGATCTTGGTTTATGGCCATTCTCAAGAAAATACTTCAATATAAAATTGGAGAGAACTCACAACAATGTAAATCAGAACACCTCTGAATATATTTAATAACAGAGAAATCAGAACATAGAAGTTTAATTTTATGCATCATAAAATTGCTGTTTAGAAACAAATAGGACATGTTAGAAGTAAGAAAAAATAAAACACTTTGTTGAAGTTATATACCCAATAAGCTATACAATGATGCCAACACATAATGCCAGGTTGCAAGGCACGGATAATGGGAGAATGCGAGATGACTCTCTAATGGGTGTAAAGCTTCCTTTTGAAGTGAAAAAAATAATTTGGATCTAGATAGTGGTGGTAGTGGCAGAACATTTCAAATGTGTTAAATGCCAGTGAATCATAAAGATTAAATGCTTAAAGTGTATAATTTTGTGGTGTGAAATTATTATACCAATTATTTTTTTAAAAAACAAGTAGCTGACAAGATTTGACCAGCCAAGAGGCCATAGTTTGTCAGCCCTTGGTTTATGCTACAAATTTAATTCCCACATGCTTGAAATAGTAAATACTGTCATTTTTATCATTTGCATTAGAAACATAGCATGTTTTGAAACTATAATATATTATGCAATTATATGAACACTAAAATTATTATTGTGGAAATTTTTTGACTTGTTTAATGATAATAGTACAATTTTATTTTGCTGTACACACAATTGTTAGTGCTTTGCAATATTAATGAATTCGTTCTTTCAGCAACCCATGATATTGATAATGTGATGACAACTATTGCCATTTCATTGGTGAGGAAGCTGAGTCAAATGAAGTTCAAGTAACTTGTCCAGTCCCACATCATTATACAGTGGTTTCTAAGACTTGAATCAAGGCCATCTGGATCCAGAGTGCCAGCTCTTAACCACCAGGTTATATTGACTCTCCTATTTGGGGTACAGATATTTTCCAAGTGTAGTATCACAGTTTCCCATTATGTAGATATATATTAATTGTAATTTTATTACATATATAATTTAAAATATGTAGAATTATTATTCCAGGTGTGTATCACTGCATAACAAATAGTTTTCAAATGTAGGGCCTTAAAACAACTGTAATCATTTTATTATCATCTCTCAGAATCTGTGTGTTAGGTGGGGTCAGTTATGTGTTCCTTCACAGAGTTTCTTAGGTAGCTACTTTTCTATGGTGCCTGGGTCTGTAATTATATGAAGATCATTCACTTACATACTTAGAGATTCGTGTTGAAAGGCTCAAAGTGCTAGTGGGCTACCAGGATTCCTTAGGCATATATTTGTATCTCTCTACAAATTGTCATTTATTATGGGGACTACAGGTTGAGTTATTTAGTAATAGTGAGCGAAAAAAAAGACATGAAGAGAAGAAACAGACGGTGGCCATGGAAGTCAGAATCCGCTAAGGAGTGTGTAACAACTCACCTGCCGAATCAACTAGCCCTGAAAATGGATGGCGCTGGAGCGTTGGGAGGCTACCAGGCTGTTGCCGGCAGTCGAGAGTGGACGGCAGCAGCCTGGGCAGTGCGGGCGTGCGAGTGCAGTGGGGGGTCCTCCCCCCTCTCTTCCTCCCCCATCCCCCGGAGCTCTCCTTAAGCTGATAAGCAACTTCAGCAAAGTCTCAGGATACAAAATCAATGTACAAAAATCACAAGCATTCTTATACACCAATAACAGACAAACAGAGAGCCAAATCATGAGTGAACTCCCATTCACAATTGCTTCAAAGAGAATAAAATACTTAGGAATCCAGCTTACAAGGGACACGCAGGACCTCTTCAAGGAGAACTACAAACCACGGCTCAATGAAATAAAAGAGGATACAAACAAATGGAAGAACATTCCATGCTCATGGGTAGGAAGAATCAATATCGTGAAAATGGCCATACTGCCCAAGGTAATTTACAGATTCAATGCCATCCCCATCAAGCTACCAACGACTTTCTTCACAGAATTGGAAAAAACTACTTTAAAGTTCATATGAAACCAAAAAAGAGCCCGCATCGCCAAGTCAATCCTAAGCCAAAGACCAAAGCTGGAGGTATCACGCTACCTGACTTGAAACTATACTACAAGGCTACAGTAACCAAAACAGCATGGTACTGGTACCAAAACAGAGATATAGATCAATGGAACAGAACAGAGCCCTCAGAAATAGCTCCGCATATCTACAACTATCTGATCTTTGACAAACCTGACAAAAACAAGAAATGGGGAAAGGATTCCCTATTTAATAAATGGTGCTGGGAAAACTGGCTAGCCATATGTAGAAAGCTGAAACTGGATCCCTTCCTTACACCTTATACAAAAATCAATTCAAGATGGATTAAAGACTTAAACGTTAGACCTAAAACCATAAAAACCCTAGAAGAAAACCTAGGCATTACCATTCAGGACACATGCATGGGCTAGGACTTCATGTCTAAAACACCAAAAGCAATGGCAACAAAAGCCAAAAATTGACAAATGGGATCTAATTAAACTAAAGAGCTTCTGCAGAGCAAAAGAAACCACCATCAGAGTGAACAGGCAATCTACAAAATGGGAGAAAATTTTCGCAAGCTACTCATCTGACAAAAGGCTACTATCCAGAATCTACAATGAACTCAAACAAATTTACAAGAAAAAAACAAACAACCCCACCAAAAAGTGGGCAAAGGATATCAACAGACACTTCTCAAAAGAAGACATTTATGCAGCCAAAAGACACATGAAAAAATGCTCATCATCACTGGCCATCAAAGAAATGCAAATCAAAACCACAATGAGATACCATCTCACACCAGTTAGAATGGCAATCATTAAAACGTCAGGAAACAGGTGCTGGAGAGGATGTGGAGAAATAGGAACACTTTTACACTGTTGGTGGGACTGTAAACCAGTTCAACCATTGTGGAAGTCAGTGTGGCGATTCCTCGGGGATCTAGAACTAGAAATACCATTTGACCCAGCCATTCCATTACTGGGTATATACCCAAAGGACTATAAATCATGCTGCTATAAAGACACATGCACACGTATGTTTATTGCGGCACTATTCAGAATAGCAAAGACTTGGAACCAACCCAAATGTCCAACAACGATAGACTGGATTAAGAAAATGTGGCACATATACACCATGGAATACTATGCAGCCATAAAAAAGGATGAGTTCATGTCCTTTGTAGGGACATGGATGAAATTGGAAATCATCATTCTCAGTAAACTATTGCAAGGACAAAAACCCAAACACCACATGTTCTCACTCATAGATGGGAATTGAACAATGAGAACACATGGACACAGGAAGGGGAACATCACACTCTGGGGACTGTTGTGCGGTGGGGGGAGGGGGGAGGGATAGCATTAGGAGATATACCTAATGCTAAACGAAGAGTTAATGGGTGCAGCACACCGGCATGGCACATGTATACATATGTAACTAACCTGCACATTGTGCACATGTACCCTAAAACTTAAAGTATGATAAGAAAAAAGAAAAAAAAAAGAGAAAGAAACAGAAAGAGAGAGAGAGAGAAACAGAAGGAGAACACGCTGTGTTTCCAGCAGAGCTTTGAAAGTTTAGCCACATTATTTTCATTACATTCTTTTTGTTGAGACAGCTACAAAGTTTGCCAAACTTCAAAAGGAGGGGATATTAATTGATAGGAAAATTGTCAATGTATTTATATTCATGTCTCAAAATAACAACAAGTATAACCCTTTGAAGAAGGCAGCAGAAGTTATTAAACTATTGTATGATTCATAAAATATTAAAAATAGTACAAGAAAAATATTAAAATTGCATGAATTTAGGTTTCTACAATTATTGCAATTTTTAAACATTGTATTATATTTATTCATACATATTTTCAAAACTAGAAGGATTGTCCTAAAAACAACCTGCAAGTGGATAAAATAATATATGAGAAACATTATCAAGTTTTTTGAATAACACTAGCGAATTAATAATGCGATGTCACATTTTGAAATTTTCTGTCTTAAATGGCTGTGCTTATTTCACAAATTAAACTTTAAATATGATAATTAATACATTAAAACTTTGTGGAAAGTTAAACATTGCAGAATTATATAGAATAAAAATTAAAATTTTCATCCTTGGAATTACATGTGTTTTTTGAGATTCTTTCTTGTTTGTACTAGTTTACATATATTTTATTTCATTGCAAAAAATACTTTTTTTTTCTGGAAACTACTTTTTCTGTTTAGCAATGTGATAATCAGCCTGTTTTCTGCAATGGCTCCCCTCATACATTTGTTGGAGGTACATGTGTTCAGTGGCTGAAAGCCATTTAAGTGCCGGAGGAATCATTCTGTTCATACATGTGCTGATGTGCATGGATTTTTCATGACAGATTCCTAAGTGTAGAACTTCAGTTTCAAATGGCATATTTACATTTTATTTAAAAGGGTTATTTCAAATTATACTCCCTCAAAATAGATTTCTCAGGTTTTTATAGGGTGCAAATCTTCTGTATGACATCAATTTGTTGGCATTAATTCTATTTTACTGAGCATCAGTAACTTTTTAATCTTTTATGTCTTATGGGCCATTTTTACTTTGAATTGCTTCTTCATATTTTAATCACTTTTTAATTAGATTGTTTGTCAGTTTTGGTTAGTGATTTGTAGTTCTCACTGAACAATGGATACCAATCTTTTGTTATGTGTGTCATAGGATAGGTTTTATGTGAATTAATTCAGATTTATAAGCATGATAAAACAACATTATTAATCTTTGGCACTATATAAGTTCTGTGTTTCTTTATATCTGTATTAATTCCTAGATGATTTGTATAAAATTTTCTATAATCTATCTCATCAATGTTTTCAAGTGGGTGTGTATATGTATATTACATGATTCATCTATGTCTATATAATTATACATATACATATATGTGCATATATATGTTTTTAATCAGACCTTATGCAGTAGAATATTTTTGTGAGAAGTAGTTAATGGTAAGACTTCTAGTGACAAAGACAACTAGGTTTCTGTTAATCTGGACTAGTCTGATCATAAAGTGCTTCCCTGATGTGTAGATTAAAGGAGATTTATGGCTTGATTTAGCTGTTTTCCACAAAATTTATAAACTTTTTGGTATCCTTTGTATATATTTTTTGACTTACTAAAAATTTATGTTTACATATTACATTTATAGGAGGGATGAATCAAAAATCTCTGTGGAAAATAAAAAAATAGATATGATCATTTAAAGTATAGTTATGTAGAATAATGATAATTATTTCAAGGTGTCTTCAAAATACACATTAAATTTCACAGCATATCTATTAGCTAGTTGATGCTGTGTCTTGTTTTAAAAGAAATGGACATATATATGTACCTGTATATTTAGCAAGATTGAACATTCAGTCAGTCCCTTTAGAGTGCAATTTCTATATTATCACAACCTAAAATAAAGGACTTACATTTGTTATTAAAGGTCAAAAATGATAATAAAACCCATATGAAATTTAGGATTGTTTTTTCTAGTTCTCTTAAGCATGATGATGGCATTTTTATGAGAATTGAATTGGATTTATAGATTTCTTTTGGCAGTACGCTCATTTTCATAAAATTGATTCTACCCATCCATGAGCATGGGATGTATTTCCATTTGTTTGTGTCATCTATGACGTTTTTCAGCAGTGTTTAGTAGTTTTCTTTGTAGAGGTCTTTCACCTTCTTGGTTAGGTATATTCCTTAGTAATTTGTTTTGTTTTTCTTTTTTCTTTGCAACTATTTTCAAAATGGATGAGTTCTTTATTTGATTCTCAGCTTTGAAACCTGCATAGCCAAAGAAAGACTAAGAAAAAGAAGAAATCTGTAGGCATCACATTACCCAACATATTACAAGGCATATTACAAGTTACCAAAACAACATGGTATCAGTATAAAAACAGGCATGCAGATCAATGGAACAGAAGAGAGACACCAGAAATAAAGACAAATACTTACAGCCCACTGAACTTTGACAAAGCAAACAAATACATAAAGTGGGGAAATGTCACACTATTCAACAAATGGGGCGGAATAATTGGCAATCCCCATGTAGAAGAATGAAACTGCATCTTTGTCTCTCACCTTATAAAAAGTCAACTCAAGATGGATCAAATAAGGAAATCTGAGACCTGAAACAATACAAAATTCTAGAATGTAACATTGGGAAAACTCTTCTAGACATTAGGTTAGGTAAAAACCTCATGACCAAAAATCCAAAAGCAAATGCAACTAAAACAAAGATAAATAGTTGTGATTTAATTAAACTAAAAAACTTCTGCCAGCAAAAGAAATAATCAGCTGTGTAAACAGACAACTCGCAGAGTAGTGGAAAATATTCATGAACTATGCATCTCACAAAGGACTAATGTCCAGAATCTTCAAATGGCAAAAAATAAAAAATAAAAAAATATTAAAAAAAATAATCCACAGGAGAAAACAAATAACCCCAACAAAATGTAGGCTAAGGTAAAAAATAGACAGCTCTCAAAAGAAGATATATAAATGGCCAACATATATGAAAAAATGCTCAACTTCACTAATTATCAGGAAAATGCAAATCAAACCCACAATACAATACCACCATACTCCTGAAAGAATGCATATAATTTAAAAATCCAAAAATAATAAAATATTGGCATGGATGTGGTAAAGAGGGGACACTTTTATGCTGCTATGAGAAGGTAAACTAGTACAACTACAATGGAAAACCATATGAAGATTTCTATAAGAAATAACAGTAGAAATACCATTTGCTCCACCTATCGCACTACTGTGTATCTTCCCAGAGGAAAGAAAGTTTTTATATGAAAAAGACCCACACACATACATGTTTACAACAGAGCTATTTGCAATTAAAAAAAAAGAATGGAACTAGCCTAAATGCACATCAACCAACCAATAGGTGGATAAAGAAAATGTAGTATACATCCATACACACACACACAGATGTTGCAGAAAGTCAGGGACCCCGAATGGAGGGACTGGCTGGAGCTGAGGCAGAGGAACATAAATTGTGAGATTTCATTTTAATATGGACATTTATCAGTTCCCAAATAATACTTTTATAATTTCTTACTCCTGTCTTACTTTAATCTCTTAATCCTGTTATCTTTGTAACCTGAGGATGTATGTCACCTCAGGACCACTGTGATAATTGCGTTAACTGTACAAATTGCTTGTAAAACTTGTGTTTGAACAATATGAAATCAGCGCACCTTGAAAAAGAACAGAATAACAGCAATTTTTAGGGGAGAAGGGAGGACAACCATAAGGTCTGACTGCCTGTGGGGTCGGGCAAAAAGAGCCATATTTTTCTTCTTTCAGAGAGCCTATAAATGGCCGTGTAAGTAGGGAAGATATCACCAAATTCTTTTCCTAGGAAGGACTATTTATATTAGTACTCTGGGAAAGGAATGCATTCCTGGGGGGAGGTCTATAAACGGCCACTCTGGGAATGTCTGTCTTATGCGGTTGAGATAAGGGCTGAGATATGCCCTGGTCTCCGGCAGTACCCTCCGGCTTATTACGGTGGGGAAAAACTTCACCCTGGTAAATTTGTGGTCAGACCAGTTCTCTGCTCTCGAACCCTGTTTTCTGTTGTTCAAGATGTTTATAAAGACAATACGTGCACTGCTGAACATAGACCCTTATCAGTAGTTCTGCTTTTGCCCTTTGCCTTGTGATCTTTTTTGGACCCTTATCAGTAGCTCTGCTTTGCTCTTTGGCATGTTCCCTGAGAAGCATGTGATCTTTGTTCTGCCTTTTGCCCTATGAAGCATGTGATCTTTGTACCTACTCCCTGTTCTTACACCCCCCCCACCCCTGCCTTTTGAAACCCTTAATAAAAAACTTGCTGGTTTGAGGCTCGGGTGGACATCACAGTCCTACCAATATGTGATGTCAACCCCGGTGGCCCAACTGTAAAATTCCTCTCTTTGTACTCTTTATCTTTATTTCTCAGCCAGCCAACACTTATGGAAAATAGAAAGAAACTCCATTGAAATATTGAGGGTGGGTTCCCCTGATACACACACACACACACACACACACACACACACACATACACATATACACACACATGCATATAGATACTATATATACATATATACCATGGAATACTACTAAGCTGTAAAAAGAAACAAACTAATGGCATTAACAGCAACTTGCATGAAGTGGCAGAGCATTATTCTAAGTGAAGTAATTCAGGAATAGAAAACTCAACATCATCAGTTGTCACTTATAAGTGGGATCTAAGCTATTAGGATGCAAAGGCATAAGAATGATATAATGGGCTCTAAGGATTCAGATGGGAGGGTGGGAGGGGGGCAAGGGATACTAGACTATACATTCAGTGCAAGGTACACTTCTCACATGATATGTGCACCAAAACCTCAGAAATTACCACTAAAAAACTTATCCATCTAATCAAACACAACCTGTTCCCAAATAACTATTGAAGTAATTAAAACTATGAGAATAAAATCAACCAGACAAATATGTTTAAATATCTGGAAAAAATAGAATTTGCTCATGAAACCAAAGATGTGGCAAAATAGTTAAATTTTACAGTAGGAAGCAGGTAACAGTGGCTATATTTCTAATTCCACATAATTTCCACTGAGAAATGACTTAAGTTCTTAAAACAGTAAACATTTGGCCATCAATTTTAGCAAAAAATTAGACAATAAAGCTGCATGGAGTGTAAAAGTGAAGCAATACTACTTATCTCAAAATATCAAAAGGCAGAGAGAAACTTTCTATACAATTTAACTATGTAATAGTTTCTTTAGCAACAGTTAAAACAACAGAATCCTGTGCAAAATGAAGCCAAATTATTCTGAGTATGTGCAAAACAGTACTGATACTGTCAGTAGACTTCTTAATGTTCTTGTGTTTATGTAAAATGTGTGAAATATAGTTAAGCTGAGTAATTTTTTTTCATGTAACTTGCGAATTAAAACAACAAATCTCAATATAAGTGCAACAAATTTCAATATAAGCTCATATGGCTTTATATTATTTTTTATTTTCCCTAGTGTTTTCCTCATTGCCACAAAATATTTCTAACCATTACTTGGGTGGTAAATCTCTGAAAAACAAATTTTCACTTGACAAGGTAGATTTCAAAAAGATTTTTTTTTGTCGTAGGAAGAAAGAAATCTTGCATCACAGTCTTTCTTGCTGGAATAAACTGAAGTCATCCCATCTATCAGGTTTTCCAGCTTCAAATGTCGGACATAACTAATCCCTTTTTTCCTTCTTCACTTTTCTAGTAAACTTCCAGAAACAAAACAGACAACACTTTGTGATGATAAATGTCACAGTTGCCACACAGGCCAGCAGAAACCCAATCACATCCAAAGAGTGGTACTGGAACCAGGTGAGGTCACGGGCTGCAACTCGAAGGTGTTTGGCTCCTTTGTGGCGCATGACAAATTCAATCCAGAAGACTGCTCGATCCAGGGGCTTCACTGGTTGATCACGTTGAATTCTTGATAATTTCATAACATTCTCTTTATATCTGAAGGACAAAAATAAAGATACCAACACTGAAAGTAAGTTAATTTGCCTGTACATATCAAGTCTATGAAAGGCTTTTAAAGTGTCCAATAATTCAAAGTAAATGTCAAAGAAATGACAGAGAATTTGTGTATCTTAATTTGAGTCATCATAGAAAGTTTGGCTTTTAAATTGGACTTTTCTAATTGACAAATATTTTTAAAGTAGAAATGGAAGACCAGGTGAGAAAGTTAATTTTTTTCAAGCAGAGAAAATATAAGGCATTTTAATTGTTTTTAATTGTTTAATTTTAAGTTTTTGTGGGTCCATATTAAGTGTATATATTTATGGGGTACATGAGATGTTTTGATACAATGTGAAATAATCACATCATGAAAAATAGGATATTCACCCTTTAAGCATTTATCCTTTGTATTATGAACAATCCAATTACACTCTTAGTTCTCAAACAGGCATATGAGTACATGCTCAACATCATGAGCCATTTTAAGTGCCGTAAGAAAGATTGTGAAAATGCGATGTGAGAATTATCATCTGTAAGTTCCTAAAAAGGAATTTTATCATGGCGAGTGACATACCTCATAGCTTGTCACTTTGCTTCTACATTACTCTTTTGTCTCCTTCTGTTTCCCACCCTGTAGCCAGAATGATTTTTAGAAATTAATGTCAGATTATGGCACTCTTCTGATTAAGATTTTTGCCTGGCTTCTCATTGTTTTAATCATAACATTCAACTCTGTTATTTGATCTACAGAACCCTACATTGTAAGACACTGGCAAGCTCTTATTCTAACACTTTTCCCCTGCACATTGTCTTCTAGATTGGCCTTCTAATTTTCTTTAAGCTTCCAAAGGTGTTCTCATCTTAGCACTTTACACATTTTGTCCCTTCTCTCCTGCTTTTGGAGTATTCTTTGTTGCTACAACCCAAGGCATGCTTCTCTCCCTTTTTGTGGCTACCCTCTAAGTGTTACCTCTAAGAGAGGCTTTTACTGGCCAGACTATGATGGAGCCTCTAGGATTTTCTCTATTTTCTGTGCTTATTTTCTATCTGATTCCTAGAATTTTGTAAATGATTTATATATCTCATAAAATATACATTTAAATATAAAACACAAAAGATAAATATACATACACTAAGTGAATAGTTCAAAAATGGAAGATCATCTTGAACATTATCTTGGGGTGAAGATACCAATTTAACTACTGTTCAGGTCACGGTATAGGCTATCAAAACCTGCCCAGAATAACTTTCTGTTTCTGAACCATTTAGTGACTACTTTTGTCCTCCAACTAAGGACACAACTAAGGATTAGCCTGACTTCGAATAACAACATTAGTTTTGCTTGTTTGTGTAATTGAATTATATAATATGTACTCATTAGTGTCTTTTTCTTTACTGTAGCAGTTCTTGGGTAATTCCATTGCTATGTAGTATTCTGTTGACTGATAAACCACAGATTACGTCTTTATTTTATGATGAATAGATATTTGGGTTGCTAACAATTTTTGGACACTGTTGATAATTCTGTCATGAACACTCTTCTATACAGCATTAGATTTATATATTTATGTATATCTGTTGGGTATATAATTGAGAGCAGAATTGCTGTGATAAAAGTGCATGAATACTTATGATTTACTTCTTGACTTTAAAGTTTTTTGAAGTGTATTTTGTTAATTTCCAAAATTTAAAGATATTTTAGTAATAGTATTTTTAACCTCCTTTATTTCCACTATGGCTGGATTATATAGTCTTCATAATATTGAATCTTTTTATACTTCCTAAGTCTTGATTTATTGCCCACCACATATCACTTCAAGTAAAGATTAACTACTTGACGTACTCTAGGAAAAAGTGTCTTCAAGTTGATATATACAATACATACATGTATATTGTTTATGTATATATGTGTGTGTATATCATTTTACTTTATAAGATTCCATTTGTTAATTGTGTTCTTCAAATGTTTTATGTCCTTACTCATTATTTGCTCTTTTATTAAAAGTCTGTTTAGATTGAGTGAAAGTATTTGTATAATTACATTTAAATCTACCACTTTGTTTTATATTTCTTTTCTATTTGTCCAAGCTGGTTTGTGTTGCCTTTCAATTATTTCCCATCTTCTTTAAAGGTATATTGATCATTCATTATCCTTCTATTTTCTTTGGGATAAAGTATTCTTAAAGTATTCCATTAGATGATACCCTCCTTACACAAAAACTTTATTGAGAGTAGTTATAAATGCTGAATTGATGGTAGCTGGACTCCGCAAGGAATTGTTCACATTGTTATCTTTGGGGTGTGAACAAAATCAATTATTAAAAATATGACTTAAAATTATATTTTTTGTGCTTCAAAGACCATCAAAAAGTAAAAAGTTAGTGCACCCAGAATGGGAAAAATATTTAAAAATTATATATCTGATTTGTCCCATAATATATAAATAGTTCTTAAAACTTAATAATAAGACAAATAACAAAGGTAAAAATGTTCCAAGCATTGGAGTAGACATGTTTTCTAAGAAGATATGTGAATGATCAATAAGCACACTTAAAGATTCTCAACATCTTCAGCAGTAATGAAAATGCAATCCAAGACCAGGATGAGAGATCATTACACCCACTAAGAAGGCTGTAACAAAAAGACAGAAAATAAAAGGTTTGGCAACAGTGTGGAGGAATTGGAACCATGTTATACTGCTGACGGTATTGATGAACGGAACAAGTACTTTGGAAAAGAGTTTAGCAGTTCTTCAGAAACATACAGTTCTCACATGAGGCAGCAATTCCACTTATAGCATCAACCCAAAAGAAAGTAAAACATGTTTATGCAAAAACATATATAGCAATATTCCTAGTAGCCACAATTGGAAACAATCAAAAGGCCAATGCACTGACAAATGAACAACTAAATTATGACATATCCATACTATAAAATATTATAGAAGTGAAAAGGAAATGAAGTATTAAAACACACAACCATATGAATTAAAATAAAAACCATAAAACAACACAAAAAGTTAGGCTAAGTGAAATGTCATTTACACAGCACCCAAGACTGTATAATTCCATTTATATGAAATATCTAGAGAGAATAACCTATATAGAAAGAAAACAAATTGGTGTTAGACTAGGACTAAGCAGTCATGAGAATTGATTTTGGTGTCATTGAAGTTTCTTCTGTGTTGATAAAAATGTTCTAAAATTATATAATGATGATAGTTTCATGACTGTGTAAACATAGTAAAAATATTTGGATTTTATGGCATAAATAGGTGGATTTTAAGCTATCGAAATTAAATCTCATTTTCAAGTCTGTTACAATGATGATAAAAATTAATTTTTCAGCAAGAAAATAATTATATTCTGAGTCATTTTAGATATTTAATTAAAACATTTTATTATATTATTTCAAGTTTATTCTTCCTTTCTACTATGGGTTCATTATGTTAAAATTTTAAGAAATGTATTTTTTATATTATTTATCATTTTAAAATTATTTTTGTTTAGAAAATTGTTTCACTAACTGGTTACTCATTAGATGTATGGGGTTCAAATACAATTTTTAAATAACAGATGAAAAAAAGCAGATTTCAGATTGGTTAAATTATTTAAATTCTTTCAAAATTACTCTCATAAAAAGGATGAAACTCATGCTCACTATTGACAAGAGAAGCTGTCTACAAATACCACCTAGTGAAAAACATTGTTCTACTCACAAAGGATCATTAATTACTGTCTTCAGTGCATTCAGCAGGTCTGTACTCGACATTGTGTGGAAGTCCAGTCTAACAGCTGCTCCCTTGGCCTTCATGTGAGCAATGTTATCAGGTTGATCCCAAAACAATGGAATGCCCACCATAGGGATCCCATGATAGATTGCCTCATAGATGCCACTTGCTCCACCATGAGTTATAAAAGCTCTGGTTTTTGGATGACCTAGGATTGGATGAATTTTAGCAAAATTATTCATAGGAATAAAATGAGATGCACAATGAAAGGCTCTGAAAGTGACAGTGTTTTCTAGATAACACATTGAACTAATTTGCTATTACTTTTCAGACTTCAGATGAAAAAGCACGTACTTGTTTAGGAGATGTAACTGAAAGCTATATGGTGTGTGTGACTTCAGACTGCAAAACTTAATACAAGATTTTCAGTTGCACTAATGAAAAGTGCATTCTAGATTTTTTAAATGTGCACAAAAGAGGACAGCAAAGAGATGGGCATGAAATAAAGTTTTATTTTAAGTACAGTCACAGAGTGTGATATGCGGGGTATGCAAGGCAGCAGGCAGTGGGTTGTTGGTGGTGCTAGGATTGAGGAAAGACAGGTTACACTTCATCATGAAATGTGTCATTACTTTAAGATTAAGATTAGGAATTTAGTCCTCCGGAAAATACAGAGTCACTGGTGATAGAAGAGCTATTATATTTAGTGGCATTTGAAATAACCCTGCAGGAGAGGAGAAAACAGGTGTAAAGCTGTAGAAATAGGAGACAGAGAGACAGCCAAGGAAGATATTGAAAAATTCTGTGAGATATAATAACACCTGAAATAAAGATTCTCTCTGATTCTGACCATAAAGAATGTGAGTGTGTATCACAAAATGCCAACAATTATAGTATATTCTTTTCCCCTAGGACTGGAAAATAAATATAAAGAAGTTCCTTTTTGTTTTCCTATAACAAATAATCAATAAGCTTGTTTCAAGATGAACTATTAACACTCTAATGTGCAGTTACTAATATATCCAGTATTTGTTCACCAGAGTGTTACCTAGAAGGTCATTCTGGGGTATCCACTTGTACAGCCGAGTATTGAGACCTAAAGCATCTGGTTTATTCCCATCAAATCTCCACAGAACCTGTTACAGTAAAGAGAATATCTTATTCCATGAGTGGAACTCAAAAATTATAGAATGTTAGAACTGTAAAAAGGGTAGGAATGAGATCAAGGGATGTTAGTAAATAAATCTACTCAAAGACTGATGTAAAAACAATACTCACATTTTATTTTCTTAACTTTTATAATGATTTAGATATATAAGAAACCATGATTTTCCAAAATAGTACCTTAGAAAAATAAGATTATCAATGAAAAGTTCAAGTATTTAAAAAATTGTTACACTTTTTAAAAAAAGACCTACCTGCGGCCAACCATCACATGAAGAAAAAAAATTAACATCACAGATCATTAGAGAAATTCAAATCAAAACCATAATGAGATAGCATCTCACACCAGTCAGAATGGCCATTATTAAAAATTCAAAAAATATCATGATGTTGGTGAGGTTATATAGGAAAGGAATGCTTATACTCTTTTGGTTGGAATGTAAGTTAGTTCAACCATTGTGGAAGACAGTGTGGTGATTCCTCAAAAACCCAGAGGCAAAAATACCATGAAACCCAGCAATCCCATTACTGGGTATATAACCTAAGGACTATAACTTGTTCTTTTATAAAGATCCATGAACATATATGTTAGTTGCAGTACTATTCACAATAGCAAGGACATGCAATCAACCTAAATGACCATCAATTATGGAATGAATAAAGAAAATATGGCATATATACACTACAGAATATTATGCAGCCATAAAAAAGCAAAAATATGTATTTTTGCAGGGATAAGGATGGAGCAGGAGGCCATTAGCCTTAGCAAGCTAACATAGGAATTGAAATCCAAATGTGACATGTCCTCACTTATGAGTGGAAACTAAAAGATGAGAACATGTGGACACATACATGGCAACAACATACACTGAGATGTATTGGAGGGTGGAGGGTGGGAGGAAAGAGAGGATCAGGAAAACTAATAAACAAATATTAGTTTTAATACCTGGGTAATGAAACAATCAGTACAGCAAACCCCCATGACACAAGTTTACGTATGTAAGAAACCTGCACGTGTACTCCTGAACTTAAAATAAACGTTAAAAATAAAAGTTAAATTAATTTAATTTAAAAAATAAAAATATTCTAAAAAAAGTATAAAAACTTATAAGGAGTCATTGTAATTCCAGTGTAAAAAAACAGTAACTATTTAGTAATGACCTATATGTTTGTTTTATGTATTTTATATTAGTCTTCATCTCCAAATTTAATTGTAATGTATTCATTTATTTTTGAATAATATGAGAAGTTGTTTAAATATATCTACTTGTCGGTAGGTTATTACATTAGAGCCTGTTGTCCTTTGATTGACAAAATAGCAAGTCTGTAAAATAAGCTACTTATAATAAATAAATAAATGCTGCCAAGGTGTTATGTATAACTTCATTGGAATTACAAATTATCAAGCACTACTTCCAAGAAAAATTTCAAGTGACAATTTTAGACACAAATTCAGAATATTACCGTATTGTTAATTTTTTTTTTTTTTTTTTTTTTTTTTTTGCCTAGAAATGAGGAACCTGTTGGTATCATGAATACAAATAAAGCTGTTGAATAAACTCAAAATTGTATTTTGCTGAATTTGGTCAACTGATTATTAACACTTAGACAACGAGCTACAAACTTTGACAACAGTGATTAATATGTTCTGCTATAGCCAAGACATTTTTATGTTTAAGTTACTAATTTTGAAACTCCAAAGCAATCCTCACAAACTGAACAATAATTTACAGTGTTTAACTTTTATTTGCTACATCAGTGTTAAAGTAACTCAGGTTTCAGCAAAAAGTTAGAGGTCATTACAAGAAAGCTTTATCAGATAGGAAATTAAAAAGTAATTCACAAATACACAAAGGTCCCTTGTTTATTCTATATAGAAGAAAATATATTCCTACTGTGTTCTATGGAGGGGGCATCTGAACCTGTTCAACTGCCTGGCTTCCTTCTGTTTGACTCCTTCCTATATTTCCTTCCGCTGCCTCCATTGGGAGGGGTTGTTAATCTGGTAGTTAGTGTTGAGTCCTTGTGGGGCCACATTTTATACTGGACAGGATCCACCTTCAGGTCAGGATCCATCTCCATCCTTTCTCTTTCATCTTCCTGCTTCAGGCAGTGTTCTCTATTTGTTGTCACATATTTCACATAAGCATTTGACTTAAAGTACAAACAGAAATAGTACATTCCTTAATTGTAAACATTCACCAAGAGCTTCCAGAGTACGGTAAGTAGTAGAGGTGGCCCAAGAGTAAGTCAAATGTTCTTCACTCATTGGATATTGCTGAGATTAGGAAAATTGTTTTGAAGAAAATTATCATAAGTCTTCCTTGTATTTCTACAAAGATGCAGTTCTGGATATGTATTTTTAGTTGAAAACACCTGAAAGTCATTCTAAAGATTACATTAAGCACCATTTTCACTTACCTGAACTATATTGAGTTAAATTCAGCAGTATGTATGACTGTTAATATTAGAAATTAAAAATAACCATGAGTCTCAATTCCCTTTTGTGGATACATATGGAGTACTGAGTTCCCACTGATACTAATAGGAACCACTCATGCATAACAAGGGCAGTAACTACCCCAGGGCCACATGTAACCACTAAGTCTGAGGCACAACTATTACTTGTGTCAGTGGAAGCTACACAAGCATATTTAAGGCTGCATTTGGCTGTAAAGAGTTCAATCTACTCTTAATATTCTTTCTATGTAGATCACAAACTTTAACAGCCTCTTTCAGTAGTTTTCCACACCAGTAAGGCACTTTATCTTACCTTTTGTGGGATCTTGGCAAGGGCTGTTGCAATTACGTTGGCCCTTTCTGCTGTCATGTTACTGACCATTGACCCCAGAGAAAACACCACAACACCATTTTCTCCAGAGCTCTGTACAAACTCCTCCATTTCCTGTGAAAAAAAAAAATTGTTTCATCACAAAAGAGTATCACCACAGCAGGCACTACTGAAAGAATTGGTACCAAATATTAAAGAGAGAAAATCAAGTATTTTGAGGAATTATTGGAGTTAATAATATTTTTTAACTAAATCACTCAGTTTCTTTGCAAGAAGATGTTTGAGATAGTTGGCCTCTGTTAAGGATATTTGTGTAAATATGTGTGTATATGTATGTATGTGTCTGCATGTGTGTAATGGAGGAAAGAAATGGAGCCATTACATTGTAGTCAGCGAGATAATGTTAAAAAATATACCCAGACCCTTCACTTATAATACTATAATTACTAATATAAGTTCTTGGAATAGTGGCACCACTCGGCTTTAATCCTATGTTTTTGTTCTACTAAATCACTTGTGTTTATTTCAGGCAGGTTTTCTGTAGAATTCTTTTAGTTTGAAGACATTAGTGGTTTTCTTCCCTAAATATGAGCACTGAGGAAAAGCTATTCACAGTTGGGATAATTTTATCTCTACATTTATGTTCCTCCAGAATGCTTTATGCTTCACTTAAAGTTTGTCAGAGTTTTCCAGTAGTTTTTCAAAAAATGAAAATAAAAGCTGGTGGTTAAGAATCACTGACATTCCTGAGTCTAGTATTGTGATTTGGAATTTTTATGAATCAGTCTTGGGAGTCTCATTTATCACATGGAATTGTAGAGTTTATAGTTAGTTGTTGAATAATTGTACCTTTCAGGTTATTGTTTAGGTGGAACACCTATTGCCCTGAAATCACACTGTTAAATTGATGTGCTATTTCTAACTGCATGTGAGGAACTCTCATCATCACTTTGTTGTGTCTCAGAGGCAGCACTGGCACCAAAATAGAAGAGGCCACCAGGCCTTTCTTCAGGGGGATCTTGTCTCTCTTTTGAGTAGCTCACGCACACCACATTACACTCCTGGTGAAGATGTGCTTGGCTGCAATTGATTGAGAATTATTCTGACTTGAGTTCCCCAATGTATACCAATATTTAAATTTAAATATTTTCAGATTTAATCATTGGGGTAAAACTTTTCCAAATGTTTTTTAACAAAACAAAGAAAAAAAAGTCTAAATGTAAACAGTGCATCACATATGGCAGAGTGTTTTCTTAAAATATGATTTTTAATCTTACATTAACGTGAGAGTCCTTGTACTACTATTCCACGTAATACCTGGGGCTTCTAGGTGTTGTATGTGATTGCAGTTACCTGTAGCCACATTTAATGTAACTCGTTTTCAGTGTTTCATCTCACTGGCTTGATACCAGAGCCTTGTTTTTCTACCAGGTGTTGAAGGAATCTAACCTCTGTTTAGAGATTCATCACTGATATGGACTGCTTGTTTCTCCTTTTGTGATAATATTATAAAAATAATACAAAATTAATGTAAGAAATTTTATAAAAGTATGAAAACCTTTTTAAAAGATAATTTTTCTAAAATTTCTATCTAGAGGTATAATTTTTAGAAAATATGTATTTTTTATTATGGATTTTGTCAAATTTATATAGGTCAATGTATACATGTGACACTTATTTAGAAAATTTTAATCTTATTGTATATACATTTCCTCCTGCAAAAACTTGCCATCTTGCTATATTTATCATTTTCTAATTCACTTTGTTTGTATTATGGCTGAAAGTGTAACTGAACATTTCATTGATAAAATTATTTTAATGCTACTATATGCACATAAGTTTTAATCATTCTTTCGTATAAGATGTTGGATTACTTCTAATGTTAATTTTGTGAATATTTTCCATAAGGTTTAATAGATACACCTTGATTTTTTTATGATTTCACGTGAATATATTATAAAATTAATAACAATATGCATTTTTAAAACACTTGATACATTTTGTCAAGTGTCTTATTCTCTTAAAATATATAGAAATTATCTGAGAATGTAATATATAATTGAAAAGAATGCAACCTGGGTTAGCAATTGTTTTACATAATAAACAATCAAAGAAGCAGTTTCACAACAATTGACTTGCATTCAAAGCTTTCTGCAAGTTAATAACAAGACCTACTATTAGTAATTACCACTATTGTACTACTAGTCAACCTTTTTTCTTGTCCTTCTACATCTCCTACTCTCTTCCTCCTCCTATTTGCACTGTCAGTTTCCCTTAATGTGAATGGGGAAATCTTTCAAGAGTAGTGTTGAGTGGCATAGATTTTTCATTAGTCTTACCTCAGCTTTTGTCTCTTGAGAAAGTGACTATATAAAGCCCATACAATTTGCATTAAACAGAGATACTGAGTTTTAACAATGGAATAAAATCTCAGTTTTATGTAAGCAAACATGTTCTTTTAAGAGGTTGCATAATCATGCATTGAAGAAGGCTTTCTTTGTACGTATGTCTTAAAATGTGATATTAATTTAAAATATATGTGGTTTTTGTGTTCCTTCAAAAAGAATATAATCTTATATGCTGACAGAATTTTTTTCGTATTGAAACTAAGGGCACTATTCAGATACAAGTGGTAGAAATTATTTGGTCTTTATTATACATGCATTGTTCACTATCTCTGTGCTTCTCTGTCAGGCACCTATGATGTTGAGACAAGTTCCCCCAGGAAGCTTTACTGAGTTGCTTGTCATAAGGCAGACATCGTCTGCTCTAATAGGGTATGTTTATGATCTAAAATGTTAAATTCTGGGATCTCAATGCAGAATGATTTAAATACTTTATTAAAGTCAAGTGAACCCTGGGTTTGTCTGCACATATTTGAGGTACACATTTATATTGCTGAGGAAGTGTTTTAAGCTGGAATACTGGTGAAGATCCCTATTACTTATGGTAGAATTTTAGAATTTCAAGCAGCTCAACTTGCTGTCACAATTGATATGTCTAATTTTAATCAAGTCCACAGGGTATCTGTCATCTATGACTTTCCAAGAGAATATAACCTTGATGTGCTGAATAATCTGGTTCTCTTAAATGAGGAATGATATCTCAAGTGACTTACACATATTAAGTAGTTAGTAGTATTAGTAATAATCACAAAATAACCATAATGCAAAATTAATAACATTTCTGAGTCACTGACTATATGCCAGAGACATTTTAAGTGTTTTGTCTGTTTTAATATTTTTTCCACACAACAAAATATGAAGTTGGTACTATTTTTGTAAATGTAGGCATAATTATTTCTATCAACATTCTAGTCTACTTTTCCATCATCTGCTACCTGAATCCATGCAAAATTTCCTGAATGGTTGGCTCTTTACAGTGTGGCCCTTCTGTAATTTAATCCATTGAATATCTTGGAGGCTTTTCTTAAAAAAGAGAATCGTTTCATATATATTTATTTCTTAACTCTTTTTAGTAGTTTTTCAATATTCTTAACAAATATTTCCACTCCTAATATGTATCTGGCTCTAATTTACCTCTTAATATCATCTGATTCTTAATCATTCCCTGAAAACAAAACCTGAGGACTTGAGAACTGTCCTGACCACTTTATCTGCTTTCCCTTTTTGTCTGCCCCTCCCCGTCGTTCTTTTACCTATTCCTACATATTGTTCAGCTCTCATCTTACTAATCAGTAACTCCAGGATACTTTCTATTATCTCCACTGATGCTTTCTTGACATTGGGTTTTTCCTTGAGATAATAGTTTTTTATAACATTTTCATTAATTACTTATAATCTATATTTCAAAGTAGAATGTAAAGTATGTAGGGACGGAAACTGTGTCTTTTTTTTTCTCTGAAATTTCTGCACTTACTTGTGTTTTGTGCTAATCCCTTTATAAATATTCTCTGAATGAATGATCAATACCTTCTTAGGTGTTGCATAATCAAGACTTTACTTTAACCAACTCTATTTTCAAAGTCTCCTTACTATTCCTCTCTCTCTGTAATATGCATAAAACTCACATATGTGTGATGGTATTAACATGTACATGAGTTTCTAATTGGTATCTGCTTTACACCACCTACTTCCCATCTTTCTTTCAGTGTAAGTCAAACATTCTGAATGAAGACTATAGACTCATTTCTACTGAAACTTCGAAGCCAACAAAATAAAACCAACGAAAGCATGTTTACCTTAGGTAGGGGTTTGGCAGGTTTGCAGTGAAATCCTCCAACAAAATCAACGTTTGGTAAGAATGGATGAGGAAACTGAAAATTCCAGGAGTTTCGCATAAGCCATATGTCAGCTTTCCCCATTGTCTCAAATAAGGTAGTGGGTCTTCCTGACAGGAATAAAGAAAAGAAAAAGTGGATGACGTAAGACAGTTACTTTATATAACTTTCTCAAAGGGGTTAGAATAACGTAGGCAAAGATGTAGGTAAAGTTTGTGTGCTTTGAAAAATATATACATATATTCATATATATGAATAATATATTTTTATGTATTATATATTTTGCCCATGTTTATTTATAAGAAAGGCAAAGTGGTGGGAGAATTATGAGGTTAAGCTACATCTCTAATGTCATGTCAGTATACCCATAATTATTAAAATAAGTCATAGATAATTAAACATCAATTTATTTTCTCTTTAAAGCTTCAATAGTAGCATATAGATATTTAAACAACTCTTTGAGCTCCATAATCAATTAATTCTACTGTACCCATAAAAACAATTTTCTAACAGTCTGGTTTACACAGCTCATTTAGCTAATCCTTTTATCCTTGGTTCTTCAAGTGAACTCTGGACTATTTTGAGAGTATGGCAGAAATCCTTGTACCAACTACTCATTTGGATTTGAGCTAAGATCTTAATAATATTATCTTTTAAGTAAATATATTTGTAAATTATAGCTAGATATTTTTGAGAAATTATTGAAGTAGAGATCTGTACTCAACCTTAATCTGTCTCATATTTTTAAATAAAGAGACATAGTTTCAAATAAACTATATAGATCTAACAACCTTCACACTTCAACAAGATAATTGGACTTCAAATGAATGAATTCCAATTCTTTAGTGAAGGAGTATAAAAACATTAGAAACTTCAAATTACCCTTATTGATTTTTGCACCTGAGATGTAGACATTATCTCTCTCTACTGTGAAGGAAACCTTCTGGTAACATGGGAATATCTTTTAATTTCTAAATAAGAAAACTGAGATTTACAGAGAAAAATTTCTGCAGTAATATAGATAGTTGTAGAAAAATGTATAATTACTCATTCTAAATCTATGCATTTGGTAAGATGTTACTTGATGGATTTTACTGTTTTTAAGATCTAAAACATTATATAGTAAAACAGATGTGTAATTGCTTAACGTCTTAGGTGTACTAATATTTGTTTATGATTTCCTAGCGTGTTCTATGTGAGAGATGGCCACAGGGTTTTAAGAGACCCCATAATTTAAGATTTTCTATAATATTTGTGAGATTGATAGATCATCTTGTATTTTCATTTCACAAATTCACTTACCAAAAACTCCACTTCCCTGACTTTATGGCTTTATATAAGCTCTGCTTCAAAGACACAAATAAGTTAGATATTTATGTTACCAACTGAAAAAATTCTTACCTAAAACTTCACTGTAAAACTGATCCCACTTCTTCATATCACATATTTGGAACCAAAAGTCAAAATAAATCACATAGATCATATTTTTTACCCTCTCCATGAAAGTCATTTGATCACTTAATTTTGACATAACAATAGGTATGTAGGAAGGAGGGAAAATCAGTCCTCCACTGTGCCTTTCAACTGTGTAGCCAGGAGTAAAGCGGAGACTGTACACAAAGGGTATGTTAAGTAGCGCAGCCAGCAGCTCACCACAGGGAAAAAAAGCATCTGCAAAAACGATGTCAAATCTTGACTCTAATAGTTTTTTCATAAGTTTCTTATTTGAAATGAGATCTTTACAGAATTTTCTAAATATGTCATGTAATTCCTACAGCATTTCTTGTTCTTGTGAAAAATATAACCAAAATGTATCTTTTGGAATGTCTGACCATCTCTTAACCTGTTGCATGACGATATTCTCAAATTCAGTTTTAGTTAAAGATGTAGGATAAACTTCGAGTTTAAGAGTGGATGAGTCGTTGGGATCAAAAAGAATGGAAGCTGAAGATGCCAGTACAGTCACCTCATGACCTCTCTGAACAAGCTCTTTCAGGATTGTCTTCATATTCATCCAAAGGCTGTATTCTGTGGCCCAAACCAGCACCTTTCCACAACTCCCAGAGCTAAAGTAACAACTGAGATGTATCAGCAGAAGAACTGAAGCCCATTTCAGAACCATCCTGGTGCAATGTGATCATTCTTTTCAAGTCACTGTTTCTTTCTCATACTTACATACAGAGATAAATCAATCAAGTTAAAACATAACTCCCTCAATTCAAAGTAAATACATTATATGAACATCCTGAGTCCATGGATGGCAAGGAGACAAACAAAGTTCGGTTGCTTCATATTTACTCAAGGATGTTTGATGTTTCTTTTATATTTGCTGTCATCTACCTAAGATTAATGACCTTGCAAGTACCCTGTTTTATACAATGTATTTTATAATGGTGTCAAGAACAGTGGCAAGTGAGACAGTCCTGCAGGGCCCTTGACACCAAATAAGAGATAAAGAGATTGTACAATGCAAATAGCATTTTTGAATATCGTAGTTCAAGGAATACCTTGTAAAACTTTGTTGAAGTATAATTCAAATACCATATGATTCATCAATTATTATTTAAAATTAAGTATTTCCTTGTAAATTCACAGATTTGTGCATCCAACATAACAATGAGTTTTATCTAAAAAAAAAGAAAATTCCTCCTGTATATTAGCTCTCTTCTCCCCACTGAATTTCTGCATCCATCCTGCACTGGGTAACCAGTAATCTAATTTCTGCCTCTAGAAATACACCTATTCAGGATCTTTCTAAAAGTAAATGGAACGATATAATATGTGGTCTTTTGTGGCTGCCTTCTATTATTTAGTTTAATGTTTTTAAAGGACCATCCATAGAATAGTGTAAATAAGGACTTCGTTTCTATTGCCAAATAGTATCAGATGCTATTTATAAATACAATTTATTTATTCATTTATCAGTTGATGGATATTGATTTTCTTCCACTTTTGGCCATTATGAATAACATTGATTAACATTGATGTACATGATTTCTGTGGACATGTTTTTATTTTTCTTGGGTATATGCCTAGAAAGGCAATTACTGAATTATGTGTAAATGTAAGTGTAACCTTTTGAGGAATTGCTAGACTTTTTCAGAGTGAGTGAATAATTTTCTATTCTCACCAACAATGTATGAAGGTTTCAATGTCTCCACAATCTTGCCAACCCTTGTCTTTCACATAACCAAAAAGGTTATTTTTTATTTTAATTTATAAACACACTCCAACAGACACAAAAAAGGAAGGTTTCTTTCCATATATTGGAGGGAAAAGTGAATAAATTAAACACTAACTTACCTAATACTTCACTGTAAAACTGATCCCACTTCTTTTTGTTAAAAATCTCAAATGCAAAGTCAAAATGAAGAAAATGCAACAGACTTTTCACCTTTCTACAAATGTATTTTTGTACTAAGTTCTGATATGACAACAGTTACATCAGAAGGAGGTAATGTAAGTCCTCCACAGAGTTCTTGGTACATACTGCCAGTTGTAAATTGATGATAGTAGACCAAATGTATAACAAATGTTTAACAGACTAAGCTGTTCAGATAGCAGCTCACTACTGAGAACTGACATCTGCAAGAATGACATAAATTCTGGAATCCTGTTCCTCATAATTTTCTTGTTCAAAACAGCATACTCAAAGAGCTTTTGAACAGTATCAGAACATTCATGATATGTAGTTTTTGCATCTTTGAATCATATGCCAACAATGTACTCTTTGGAAACTTATACATCCATATATTGATCAATTTCATAAAAAGGAAATCAAGTTCATTCTGAGTAAAAGATGTGGGATAAACCTCAAATTTAACAGCAGATTGTTGGAATCAATGAGGATGGAAGCTGAAGGTGACAAGCACAGTTACCTCATGGTGTTCTGAGCAAGTTCATCAAGTATCAACATTAAATTGATACAAAGACTGTATTTCATCGGCCACACCAGCACATTCTCGCAGGATTCAGGGCTAAAATACAACTGTCAGCATAAGAAACAAAAAAGCCCATTTCTTAGACAACTTGTTAAAATGCTATCTTTCTTTATAACTTTCTCTAACTTGGTACATATCAATATCAATCAATGTCACAATGATTTAAGTATTGACAATAGAGGTTTTGGAAAGCAAGTGAATAAAGAAAAGGATGAATGATTTTGTGTTTGTATGTGTGAATAATCAATTTCATTCTTATTGTAAATGTGGCTGTCTCCAGAACAAGAGATAATTTAATTGTATATGAAGAGTTTCTAGTATAAGAAAGCAGCATTGTGTCAACAGTGAGGCAGTGGTGTGATCTATTCTTATTTATCTTAACATTCTCAAATAGACCGTCTTCATTTCCTCTATGTATTTTCACAATTATGATATTAGCATCATTTCATGTTTCTTGACATTGTTTTTGTGACTATAGAAATTCATTTTCTTTTTATCCAAACAGATATATTTTAAGTATAATTACAGTTACTTTGCTTCATTTGAAAATATTTTGTCTAAATCACAATATTTTCTTTTTCTGAATATTTGCAGCATTCCTTACGTTTCTCACTCTTAGAAAGTATTTATCTTCTAAATGCCTACTCCTGAACTTGTTTCACAGATTGCCTTGTAATTCAGGTAATTTGTACTTTTAAAAAGTCTCACCAGAAATTTACATCAAAGTAGAATTAGGAAGGAAAAGATGCATGTCACAAAATAGACAAGTTTGTTTTTATTCTATTAATAATCTGCTAACCTGAAATGAGATAAGTCTTTCTTAAAAGGATGTTGGAACACAATTTCTGAGCAAATATTGCCTGCAGAGTGGCAATATTGTTCAATATTTTTAATGTCCTTGAGTGCATGCATTATATGTCACCCAGATTTTTCTTTTGGGAATATAGAAATTACTTTCCAGCTGATGAAGTGATTAACAACTGACATACCTCACCTATAAGCTCTCTCTCTCTCAGTACAGCGCTGCTGAAAGCTATCTAGTATAAAGTGACCTTTCCAAGACAGCCCATATCCAATGCCTGGTCATATGTAAGACTCTAAAGGCCCATCTTCCTCATTTCAACGTGGACCAACTCTGAAGGGCTAACTTGTCTTCAGAACTCCCAGTGGGTGAGATGAAACCGATGCTGAGACTGCATGTCTTAGCATGCTCAGGGTGCTATACAGAAAAATACCATACATTGCCTAGCATATAGACAAAAAACATTTATTTGTCACAGTTCTTGAGGCTGAAGTTTTCACAATCAAGATGCTGGTATTGGGCATTCCTCCAAGATGGCAGCCCATCACCATGTCTTAATGGGGAAAAGAGATGAATGAGTTCTTGTGAGCAAATTTTGGAATGGAATTGATTCCACTAATGAGGACTCTGCCTTCGTGACCTAAACACCTCCTAAAAGGTTTTGTCTGCTAATACAATCATTTTGGTTATAAGAATTTTAACATATTAATCTTTGGAGCACTCAAGCATTCAAACCATTGCACTGAATTTTATCCTAATTTGTTCCACAGTCCAGTGTTGCTTCCTACTTTTTCACAGATGTTATTTTCAATAAAACTCCTGAATTATCTCCCTCAAAAACATATTCAGCTTAGAGTCTACTTCTTGGAGCCACCCAGCATTTGAAAATATGTACCAAGAGAGGTCAGAAAAAAAGAACAGACAACAAAATGAGATTTTAGAGTTGGATCATTCACTACCAGTTGTAAGGAGAATCCTATCACTATTGGTAGGGAGAACACAAATAGACCCTGGAATGTGATAATTTAAATTTTTCATACTTTCAGTAATGGCAAATTATGATGGTAATCTTTTGAAAGGGAAAGTGTTACTTATTAGGATATATCCCAAATTTATCAATATGAGAAAAGTAGAAATTATGACCACAATAGAGGCAAATGTTTTTTTCTTCAGAGTTAATGCTTGGGAGAAAATAATAGAAGAGTGAGGACTAATAACCATCAAATTAAGATAAACGGTGAAAGCCAGAAAAGTCTCCTTGGAAGTGTTCCCAGAAAAAGGGGCCTTGATTCAGACACCGAGAGAAGGTTCTCGGATTCCACACAGGTAGGAATTCAAGGTGAGTCACAGAGTGCAGTGAGAAAAGATAGTTCATTGAAAGCTATGACATTACAGAGTAGGGCATCCTCTGAAGGCAAGGAGTTGAATGCAACACCTTTGCTTCAAGTTTTTCTTATATAGGAGACTTGTCTCTGTAAAGGACCTATTCACAAAGGTCCCTGGATTTTGTCTGCAGCTCCATCTCTGTGCAATCTCTGGAGATCCCTCTGCCAGTCCACATGTCCTTGAAGGTATGGAGCCCCATCTAGCCAGAATTCCAGATGTCTACAGTGAGAGGAAGCTGTTTACTATTCCTTTCACTCACCCTTCCCTAGAAACAGCTCAGGGTAGAGAACCAGCTGTAGTATTCAGGCACCCCATTCAGCGTCCTCAGCTTTCTTTCTCTTCAGCCTCGGTGACTACTTCTTTTCTCCATCCACATTCAGTATTTTCTCTTCAACGATCTGTTCAAATTATGTTGGTATGATTAAAAAAACCTGGTGTTCCCCTGTTGGCAGTGGCACTTCCTGACTGCATCTAGTTGATCATCTTGAACATTCCTGTGTATATATTCTTTTGAGAATTCTTTCTTGATGTCCCTGCCCCATTTTTTAATGGAGTTATTTGTGTATGTTTTGTTAATTTGTTTAAGTTCCTTATAGATTTTTGATATTAGGCGATTATCAGATGCATAGTTTACAATTATATTCTCCCATTCTGTAAGTCATCTGTTTATTCTGTTGATAGTTACTTTTGTT
Source organism: Homo sapiens (assembly GCF_000001405.40). Lineage (NCBI taxonomy): Eukaryota > Metazoa > Chordata > Mammalia > Primates > Hominidae > Homo > Homo sapiens. The sequence goes on along the minus strand of NC_000004.12, from coordinate 69,404,137 downwards.
GCACAGAGGCTTTTTAGTTCAGTTATGTTCTATTCTCCTGATTTGTTCTAGGGTTTTATAGTTTTAGGATATTGTACTAGCCTATTCTCATGTTGTTACTTAAGACATACCCAAGACTGGGTAATTTATAAAGGAAAGAGGTTTAATAGATTCACAGTTACACATGGCTTGGGCGGCCTCACAATGATGACAAAGGCAAATGAGAAGCAATGTTATGTAATACATGGAGGCAGGCAAGAAGGCTTGTGTAGGGAAACTCTCCTTTATAAAACTATAAGATCTCAACACACTTACTCACTATCATGGGAATATCATGGGAAAGATGTGCTACGATGATTCAATTACCTCTCACGAAGTTCCTCCCACAACAGGTGGGAATTATGGGAGCTACAATTCAAGATTAAATTTGGGTGAGGACACAGCCAAATCATATCATTCTTCCCTTGGCCCCTTCCAAATATCAGGTCCTCACATATTAAAACCAATCATGCACTCCCTTCAGTTCTCCAAAGTCTTAACTAATTTCAGCATTAACTCAAAAGTCCACAATCCAAAGTCTCATCTGGGATAAGGCAAGTCCTTTTTGCCTATGAGCCTAAAAAACAAAAGCAAGTTAGTTACTTTCTAGATACAATGAAGAAACAGGCACTGGGTAAATACTCTCCTTCTAAATGGTAGAAATTGGCCAAGACAAAGGGGCTCTGTGATGCTCTGGTGGGCATCACAGTCCTACGGATATGTGATGTCATCCCCAGTGGCCCTGCTTTAAAATTCCTCTCTTTGTACCCTTTATCTTTATTTCTCAGCTGGCCAACACTTATGGAAAATAGAAGGAACCTACATTGAAATATTGAGGGCGGGTTCCCCTGATACACACACACACACACACACATATATATATACACATGCATTTACATACTACACCATAGAATACTACTAAGCCATAAAAAGAAACAAACTAATGGCATTAACAGCAACTTGCATGAAGTGGAAGAGCATTATTCTAAGTGAAGTAATTCAGGAATAGAAAACTGAACATCGTAAATCATCACTTATAAGTGGGATCTAAGCTATTAGGATGCAAAGGCATAAGGATGATGTAATGGGCTCTAAGGATTCAGATGGGAGGGTGGGAGGGGGTGAGGGATACAAGACTATACATTCAGGGCAAGGTACACTTCTCACATGATGTGTGCACCAAAACCTCAGAAATTACCACTAAAAAATTTATCCATCTAATCAAACACCACCTGTTCCCAAATAACTATTGAAGTAATTAAAATATGAGAATAAAATCAACCAGATAAATACTTTTAAATATATGGAAAAAATATAACTTGCTCATGAAACCAAAGATGTAGAAAAATAGTTCAATTTTACAGTAGGAAACAGGTAACAGTGGCTATATTTCTAATTCCACTTAGTTTCCACTGAGAAATGACTTAAGCTCTTAGAACAGTAAACATTTGGCCATCATTTTTAGCAAAAATGTTACAATAAAGCTGCATGCAGCATAAAAGGGAAGCAATACTACATATCTCAAAATATCAAAGGAAGAGAGAGACTTTCTATACAATTTAACTATGTAATACTTTCTTTAGCAACAGTTAAAACAACAGAATTCTGTTCAAAATGAAGCAAATTATTCTGAGTATGTGCAAAACAGTACTGATACTGTCAGTAGACTTCTTAATGTTCTTGTGTTTATGTAAAATGTGTGAAATATAGTTAAGCTGAGTAAAATTTTTTTCATGTAACTTGTGAATTCAAACAACAAATCTCAATATAAGTGCAACAAATTTCAATATGAGCTCATATGGCTTTATATTATTTTTTATTTTCCCTAGTGTTTTCCTCATTGCCACAAAATATTTCTAATCATTACCTGGGTGGTAAATCTCTGAAAAACAAATTTTTACTTGACAAGGTAGATTTCAAAAAGATTTTTTTTTTTGTCATAGGAAGAAAGAAATCTTTCATCACAATCTTTCTTGCTGGAATAAACTGAAGTCATCCCATCTATCAGGTTTTCCAGCTTCAAATGTCGGACATAACTAATCCCTTTTTTCCTTCTTCACTTTTCTAGTAAACTTCCAGAAACAAAACAGACAACACTTTGTGATGATAAATGTCACAGTTGCCACACAGGCCAGCAGAAACCCAATCACATCCAAAGAGTGGTACTGGAACCAGGTGAGGTCACGGGCTGCAACTCGAAGGTGTTTGGCTCCTTTGTGGCGCATGACAAATTCAATCCAGAAGACTGCTCGATCCAGGGGCTTCACTGGTTGATCATGTTGAATTCTTGATAATTTCATAACACTCTCTTTATATCTGAAGGATAAAAATAAAGATACGAACACAGAAAGCAAGTTAATTTGCCTGTAGATATCAAGTCTATGTAAGGCTTTTAAAGTGTCAAATAATTCAAAGTAAATGTCAAAGAATTGACAGAGAATTTGTATATTTTAATTTGAGTCATCATAGATAGTTTGGCTTTTAAATTGGACTTTTCTAATTGACAAATATTTTTAAAGTAGAAATGGAAGGTCAGGGGAGAAACTTAGTTCTTTTCAAGCAGAGAAAATATAAGGCATTTTAATTGGTTTTTAATTGTTTAATTTTAAGTTTTTGTGGGTCCATATTAAGTGTATATATTTATGGGGTACATGAGATATTCTTTCTTGCTACAACCCAAGGCATGCGTCTCTCCCTTTTTGTGGCTTCCCTCTAAGTGTTACCTCTAAGAGAGGCTTTTACTGGCCAGACTATGATGGAGCCTCTAGGATTTTCTCTATTTTCTGTGCTTATTTTCTATTTGTTTCCTAGAATTTTGTAAATGATTTATATATCTCTCAAAATATATATTTAAATATAAAATACAAAAGATAAATATACATACACTAAGTGAATAGTTCAAAAATGGAAGTTCATCTTGAACATCATCTTGAGGTGAAGATACCAATTTAACTACTGTTCAGGTCATGGTATAGGCTATCACAACCTGCCTAGAATGACTCTCTTTTTCTGAACCATTTAGTGACTACTTTTGGCCTCCAACTAAGGATTAGCCTGACTTCGAATAACAACATTAGTTTTGCTTGTTTATGTAATTGAATTATATAATATGTACTCATTAGTGTCTTTTTCTTTAATGTAGCAGTTCTTAGGTAATTCCATTGCTATGTAATATTCTGTTGATTGATAAACCACAGATGATGTCTTCATTTTATGATGAATAGATATTTGGGTGGCTAATAAGTTTTGGACACTGTTGATAATTCTGTCATGAACACTCTTCTATATAACATTAGATTTATATATTTACGTATATCTGTTGGGTATATAATTGAGAGCAGAATTACTGAGATAAAAGTTCATGCATACTTATGATTTACTTCTTGACTTTAAATTTTTTTGGAGTGTATTTTGTTAATTTCCAAAATTTAAAGATATTTTAGTAATAGTATTTTTAGCCTCCCTTATTTCCACTATGGCTGGATCATATAGTCTTCATGATATTGAATCTTTTTATATTCCCTAAGTCTTGACTTACTGCCCACCACATATCACTTCAAGCAACAATTAACTATTTGACGTACTCTAGGAAAAGTGTAAAGGAAATGTATTAAAATACACAACAATATGAATTAAAATAAAAACCATAAAAAACAACAAAAAATTAAGCTAGGTGAAATGTCATTTACACAGCACCCAAGACTGTATGATTCCATTTATATGAAACACCTAGAGAGAATAATCTATAGAGAAAGAAAAAAATTGGTGTTAGACTAGGACTAAGCAGTCATGAGAAGTGATTTTGGTGTCATTGAAGTTTCTTTCGTGTTGATAAAAATGTTCTAAAATTATATAATGGTGATAGTTTCATGACTCTGTAAACATAGTAAAATATTTGGATTTTATGGCATAAATAAGTGGATTTTAAGATATCAAAATTAAATCTCATTTTCAAGTAAGTAACATTAATGATAATAAAAATTAATTTTTCAGCAAGAAAATAGTTATATTCTAAGATATTTTGGATATTTAATTAAAACATTTTATTATATTATTTCAAGTTTATTCTTCCTTTCTACTATGGATTCATTATGTTAAAATTTTAAGAAATGTATTTTTTATATTATCTATATCATTTTAAAATTATTTTTGTTTATAAAATTGTTTCACTAACTGGTTTCTCATTAGATATATGGGGCAAATACAATTTTTAAATAACAGATAAAAAGCAAAGCAAATTTCAGATTGGTTAAATCGTTTAAATTCTTGCAAAATTACTCCCTTATAAAAAGGATGAAACTCATCCTCACTATTGACAGGAGAAGCTATCCACAAATACCACCTAGTGAAAAATATTGTTCTACTCACAAAGGAACATTAATTACTGTCTTCAGTGCATTCAACAAGTCTGTACTCGACATTGTGTTGAAGTCCAATCTAACAGCTGCTCCCTTGGCCTTCATGTGAGCAATATTATCAGGTTGATCGGCAAACAATGGAATGCCCAATATAGGGATCCCATGGTAGATTGCCTCATAGATGCCATTGGCTCCACCATGAGTTATAAAAGCTCTGGTTTTTGGATGACCTAGGATTGGATGAATTTCAGCAAAATTATTCATAGGAATAAAATGAGATGCACAATGAAAGGCTCTGAAAGTGACAGTGCTTTCTAGATAACACATTGAACTAATTTGCTATTACTTTTCAGACTTCAGACGAAAAAGCACGTACTTGTTTAGGAGATGTAACTGAAGGCTATATGGTGTGTGTGACTTCAGACTGCAAAACTTAATGCAAGATTTCCAGTTGCACTAATGAAAAGTGCATTCTAGATTTTTTAAATGTGCATAAAAGAGGACAGCAAAGAGGCATGAAACGAAGTGTTATTTTAAGTACAGTCACAGAGTGTGATATGTGGGGTGTGCAAGGCAGCAGGCAGTGGGTTGTTGGTGGTGCTAGGATTGAGGAAAGACAGGTTACACTTCATCATGAAATGTGTCATTACTTTAAGATTAAGATTAGGAATGTAGTCCTCCGGAAAATACAGAGTCACTGATGATAGAAGAGCTATTATATTTAGTGGCATTTGAAATAACCCTGCAGGAGAGGAGAAAACAGGTGTAAAGTTGTAGAAATAGGAGACAGAGAGAGAGCCCAGGAAGATACTGAAAAATTCTGTGAGATATAATAACACCTGAAGTAAAGATTCTCTCTGATTCTGACCATAGAGAATGTGAGTGTATATCATAAAATGCCAACAATTATAGCATATTCTTTTCCCCCTAGGACTGGAAAATAAATATAAAGAAGTTCTTTTTTGTTTTCCTATAACAAATATTCAATAAGCATGTTTCAAGATGAACTATTAACATTCGAATGTGCAGTTACTAATATATCCAGTATTTGTTCACCAAAGTGTTACCTAGAAGGTCATTCTGGGATATCCACTCGTACAGCCAAGTATTGAGACCTAAAGCATCTGGTTTATTCCCATCAAATCTCCACAGAACCTGTTATGGTAAAGAGAATATCTTATTCCATGAGTGGAACTCAAAAATTGTAGCATGTTAGAACTGTAAAAAGGGTAGGAATGAGATCAAGGGATGTTTGTAAATAAATCTACTCAAAGACTGATGTAAAAAGAATACTCACATGTTATTTTCTTAACTTTTATAATGATTTAGATATATAAGAAACCGTGATTTTCCAAAATAGTACCTTAGAAAAGTAAGATTGTCAATGAAAAGTTCAAGTATTTAAAAAATTGTTACACTTTTTAAAAGAAGACCTACCTGCGGCCAACCATCATATGAAGAAAAAAAACTTAACATCACAGATCATTAGAGAAATTCAAATCAAAACCATAATGAGATAGCATCTCACACCAGTCAGAATGGCCATTATTAAAAATTCAAAAAATATCATGATGTTGGCAAGGTTGTATAGAAAGGGAATGCTTATACTCTGCTGATTGGAATGTAAGTTAGTTCAACCATTGTGGAAGACAGTGTGGCCATTCCTCAAAAACCTAGAGGCAAAAATACCACGAAACCCAGCAATCCCATTACTGGGTATATAACCAAAGGACTATAACTTGTTCTTTTATAAAGATCCATGAAAATATATGTTAGTTGCAGTACTATTCACAATAGCAAGGATATGCAGTCAACCTAAATGACCATCAATTATGGAATGAATAAAGAAAATATGGCATATATACACTACAGAATATTATGCAGCCATAAGAAAACAAAAATATGTATTTTTCAGAGATAAGGATGGAGCAGGAGGCCATTAGCCTTAGCAAGCTAACATAGGAATTGAAATCCAAATGTGACATGTCCTCACTTATGAGTGGAAGCTAAAAGATGAGAACACGTGGACACATAGATGGCAACAACATACACTGAGATGTATAGGAGGGTGGAGGGTGGGAGGAAAGAGAGGATCAGGTAAAATAATAAATGAATATTAGTCTTAATACCTGGGTGATGAAACAATCAGTACAACAAACCCCCATGACACAAGTTTACCTATCTAAAAAACCTGCACATGTACTCCTGAACTTAAAAGTTAAAATTAAAAGTTAAATTAATTTAATTTAAAAAATAAAAATATTCTAAAAAAAGTTAAAAAAATTATAGGAAGTCATTGTAATTCTAGTGTAATAAAACAGTAGCTATCTAGTAATGACCTATATGTTTTTTTATGTATTTTTTATCGTTTTCATCTCCAAATTTAATTGCAGTGTATTCATTTGTTTTTGAATAATAAGAGAAGAAGTTCAAATGTATCTACTTGTCGGTAGGTTATTATATTAGAGCCTGTTGTCCTTTGATTGACAAAATAGCAAGTCTATAAAATAAGCTACTTATAAGAAATAAATAAATGCTGTTAGGGTTTTATGTATAACTTCATTAGAATTACAAATTATCAAGCACTACTTCCAAGAAAAATTTCAAGTGACAATTTTTGACACAAATTCAGAATATTACCAGTATTGTTAATTTTGGATTTTTTTTTGGCCTAGAAATGAGGAACCTGTTGGTATCATGAATACAAAAAAAGCTATTGAATAAACTCAAAATTGTATTTTGCGGAATTTGGTCAACTGATTATTAACACTTAGACAACGTGCTACAAAGATTTGACAACAGTGAATAATATGTTCTGCTATAGCCAAGACATTTTTATTTTAAGTTACTAATTTTGAAACTCCGAAGCAATCCTCACAAACTGAACAATAATTTACAGTGTTTAACTTTTATTTGCTACATCAGTGTTAAAGTAACTCAGGTTTCAGCAAAAAGTTAGAGGTCATTACAAGAAAGCTTTATCAGATAGGAAATTAAAAAGTAATTCACAAATACACAAAGGTCCCTTGTTTATTTTATATAGAAGAAAATATATTCCTACTATGTTCTATGGAGGGGACATCTGAACCTGTTCCCCCACTTGGCTTCCTTCTGTTTGACTCCTTTCTATACTTCCTTCTGCTGCCTCCATTGGGAGGAGTTGTTAATCTGGTAGTTAGTGCTGAGTCCTTGTGGGGCCACATTTTATACTGGACAGGATCCACCTTCAGGTCAGGATCCATCTCCATCCTTTCTCTTTCATCTTCCTGCTTCAGGCAGTGTTCTCTATTTGTTGTCACATATTTCACATAAGCATTTGACTTAAAGTACAAACAGAAATAGTACATTCCTTAATTGTAAACATTCACCAAGAGCTTCCAGAGTACAATAAGTAATAGAGGTGGCCCAAGAGTAAGTCAAATCTTCTTCACTTCACTCATTGGATACTGCTGAGATTAGCAAAACAGCTTTGAAGAAAATAATCATAAGTCTTCCTTGTATTTCTACAAAGACACAGTTCTGGATATATATTTTTAGTTGAAAACACCTAAAAGTCATTCTAAAGACTACATTAAGCACCATTTTCACCTACCTGGAATATATTGAGTTAAATTAAGCAGTATGTATGACTGTTAATATCAGAAATTAAAAATAACCATGAGTCTCAAGTTCCCTTTTGTGGATACATACGGGGTACTGAGTTCCCACTGGTACTAACAGGAACCACTCAGGCATACCAAGGGCAGTAACTACCCCAGGGCCACATGTAACCACTAAGTCTGAGGCACAACTATTACTTGTGTCAGTGGAAGCTATACAAGCATATTTAAGGCTGTATTTGGCTGTAAAGAGTTCAATCTACTCTTAATATTCTTTCTATATGGATCTCAAGCCTCTTTCAGTAGTTTTCCACACCAGTAAGGTACTTTATCTTACCTTTTGTGGGATCTTGGCCAGGGCTGTTGCAATTACATTGGCCCTTTCTGCTGTCATGTTACTTATGATTGACCCCAGAGAAAACACCACAACACCATTTTCTCCAGAGCTCTGTACAAACTCCTCCATTTCCTGTGAAAAAAAAATTGTTTCATCACAAAAGAGTATCACCACAGCAGGCACTACTAAAGAACTGGTACCAAATATTAAAGAGAGAAAATCAAGTATTTTGAGGAATTATTGGAGTAAATAATATTTTTTAACTGACTCAATCACTCAGTTTCTTTGCAAGAAGATATTTGAGATAGTTGGCCTCTGTTAAGGATATTTGTGTAAATATGTGTGTATATGTATGTATGTGTCTGCATGTGTGTAATGGAGAAAAGAAATGGAGCTATTACATTGTAGTCAGGGAGATAATGTGAAAAAATATACCCAGACTCTTCACTTATAATACTATAATTACTAATATAAGTTCTTGGAAAAGTGGCACCACTAGGCTTTAATCCTATATTTTTGTTCTACTAAATCACTTGTGTTTATTTCAGGCAGGTTTTCTGTAGAATTCTTTTAGTTTGAAGACATTAGTGGTTTTCTTCCCTAAATATGGGCACTGAGGAAAAGCTATTCACAGTTGGGATAATTTTATATCTACATTTATGTTCCTCTACAATGCTTTATGCTTCACTTAAAGTTTGTCAGAGTTTTCCAGTAGTTTTTCAAAAAATGAAAATAAAAGCTGGTGGTTAAGAATCACTGACATTCCTGAGTCTAGTATTGTGATATGGAATTTTTATGAATCAGTCCTGAGAGTCTCATTTATCATACAGAATTGTAGAGTTTATAGTTAATAGTTGAATAATTGTACCTTTCAGGTTATTGTTCAGGTGGAGCACCTATTGCCCTGAAATCACACTGTTAAATTGATGTGCTGTTTATAACTGCATGTGAGGAGCTCTCATCATCACTTTGTTGTGTCTCAGAGGCAGCACTTGCACCAGAATAGAAGAGGCCACCAGGCCTTTCTGCAGGGGATCTTGTCTCTCTTTTGAGTAGCTCACGCACACCACATTACACTCCTGGTGAAGATGTGCTTGGCTGCAATTGACTGAGAATTATTCTGATTTGAGTTCCCCAATGTATACCAATATTTAAATTTAAATATTTTCAGATTTAATCATTGGGGTAAAACTTTTCCAAATGGTTTTTAACAAAACAAAGAAAAAAATGTCTAAATGTAAACAGTGCACCACATATGGCAGAGTGTTTTTTAAAATATGATTTTTAATCTTACGTTAACGTGAGAGTCCTTGTACTACTATTCCACGTAATACCTGGGGCTTCTAGGTGTTGTGTGTGATTGCAGTCATCTGTAGCCACATTTAATGTAACTCGTTTTCAGTGTTTCATCTCACTGGCTTGATATCAGAGCCTTGTTTTTCTACCCAGTGTTGAAGGAATCTAACCTCTGTTTAGAGATTCATCACTGATATTGACTGCTTGTTTCTCCTTTTCTGATAATATTATAAAAAATAATACAAAATTAATGTAAGAAATTTTACAAAAGTATGAAAACTTTTTTAAAAAATAATTTTTCTAAAACTTCTACCTAGAGATATTATTTATAGAAAATATGGTTTTTTATTATAGCATATGTCCTATTTATATAGGTCAATGTATACATGTGACACTTATTGAGAAAATTTTAATCTTCTTATTGTATATACATTTCCTCCTGCAAAAACTTGCCACCTTGTTATATTTATCATTTTCTAACTCTATTTGTATTATGGCTGAGGGTGTAATTGAACATTGCATTGATAAAATTATTTTAATGCTATTGTATGCACATAAGTTTTAATCATTCTTTCATGTAAGATGTTGGATTACTTCTAATGTTAATTTTGTGAATATTTTCCATAAGGTTTAATAGGTGCACCTTGATTTTTTTATGATTTCATGTGAATATATTACAAAATTAATAACAATATGCATTTTTTAAACACGATGCATTTTCTCAAGTGTCTTATTCTCTTAAAATATATAGAAATTATCTGAGAATGTAATATATAATTGAAAAGAAAGCAACCTGGGTTAGCAATTATTTTACATAATAAACAGTTAAATAACTGGTTTCACAACCATTGACTTGCATTCAAAGCTTTCTGCAAGTTAATAACAAGACCTAGTATTAGTAATTACCACTATTGTACTACTAGTCAACCTTTTTTCTTGTCCTTTTACACCTCCTACTCTCTTCCTCCTCCAATTTGCACTGTCAGTTTCCCTTAATGTGAATGGGGAAATCTTTCAAGAGTAGTGTAGAGTGGCACAGAGTTTTCATTAGTCTTTACCTCAGCTTTTGTCTCTTGAGAAAGTGACTATATAAAGCCCATACAATTTGCATTAAACAGAGATACTGAGTTTTAACAATGGAATAAAATCTCAGTTTTATGTAAGCAAAAATGTTCTTTTAAGAGGTTGAGTAATAATGCATTGAAGAAGGCTTTCTTTGTACGTATGTCTTAAAATGTGATATTAATTTAAAATATATGTGGTTTTTGTGTTCCTTCAAAAAGAATATAATCTTATATGCTGACAGAATTTTTTTTCATATTGAAACTAAGGGCACTATTCAGATACAAGTGGTAGAAATTATTTGGTCTTTATTATACATGGATTGTTCACTATCTCTGTGCTTCTCTGTCAGGCACCTATGATGTTGAGACAAGTTCCCCCAGGAAGCTTTACTGAGTTGCTTGTCATAAGGCAGACATCGTCTGCTCTAATAGGGTATGTTTATGATCTAAAATGTAAAACTCTGGGATCTCAATGCAGAAATGATTTAAATACTTTATTAAAGTCAAGTGAACCCTGGGTTTGTCTGCACATATTTAAGGCACACATTTATATTGTTGAGGAAGGGTTTTAAGCTGGAATACTGGTGAAGATCCTTTTTACTTATGGTAGAATTTTAGAATTTCAAGTAGCTCAACTTGCTGTCACAATTGATATGTCTAATTTTAATCAAGTCCACAGGGTATCTGTCATCTATGACTTTGCAAGAGAATATAACCTTGATGTGCTGAATAATCTGGTTCTCTTAAATGAGGAATGATATCTCAAGTGACTTGCACATGTTAAGTAGTTAGTAGTATTAGTAATAAAATAACCATAATTGCAAAATTAATAACATTTCTGAGCCACTGACTGTATGCCAGAGACATTTTAAGTGTTTTGTCTGTTTTAATATTTTTTTCCACACAACACAATATGAATTTGGCACTATTTTAGTAAATGTAGGCATAATTATTTCTATCAACATTCTAGTCCACTTTTCCATCATCTGCTACCTGAATCCATGCAAAATTTCCTGAATGGTTGGCTCTTTACAGTGTGGCCCTTCTGTAATTTAATCCATTGAATATCTTGGAGGCTTTTCTTAAAAAAGAGAATCATTTCATATATATTTATTTCTTAACTCTTTTTAGTAGTTTTTCAATATTCTTAACAAATATTTCCACTCCTAATACATATCTGGCTCTAATTTACCTCTTAATATCATCTGATTCTTAATCATTCCCTGAAAACAAAACCTGAGGACTTGAGAGCTGTCCTGACCACTTTATCTGCTTTCCCTTTTTGTCTGCCCCTCCCCGTCGTTCTTTTACCTATTCCTACATATTGTTCAGATCTCATCTTACTAATCAGTAACTCCAGGATACTTTCTATTATCTCCACTGATGCTTTCTTGACATTGGGTTTTTCCTTGAGATAATAGTTTTTTATAACATTTTCATTAATTACTTATATTCTATATTTCAAAGTAGAATGTAAAGTATGTAGGGACGGAAACTGTGTCTTTTTTTTTCTCTGAAATTTCTGCACTTACTTGTGTTTTGTGCTAATCCCTTTATAAATATTCTCTGAATGAATGATCAATACCTTCTTAGGTGTTGCATAATCAAGACTTTACTTTAACCAACTCTATTTTCAAAGTCTCCTTACTATTCCTCTCTCTCTGTAATATGCATAAAACTCACATATGTGTGATGGTATTAACATGTACATGAGTTTCTAATTGGTATCTGCTTTACACCACCTACTTCCCATCTTTCTTTCAGTGTAAGTCAAACATTCTGAATGAAAACTATAGACTCATTTCTACTGAAACTTCGAAGCCAACAAAATAAAACCAACGAAAGTATGTTTATCTTAGGTAGGGGTTTGGCAGGTTTGCAGTGGAGTCCTCCAACAAAATCAACGTTTGGTAAGAAAGGATGAGGAAACTGAAAATTCCAGGAGTTTCGCATAAGCCATATGTCAGCTTTCCCCATTGTCTCAAATAAGGTAGTGGGTCTTCCTGACAGGAATAAAGAAAAGAAAAAGTGGATGACGTAAGATAATTACTTTATATAACTTTCTCAAAGGGGTTAGAATAACGTAGGCAAAGATGTAGGTAAAGTTTGTGTGCTTTGAAAAATATATACATATATTCATATATATGAATAATATATTTTTATGTATTATATATTTTGCCCATGTTTATTTATAAGAAAGGCAAAGTGGTGGGAGAATTATGAGGTTAAGCTACATCTCTAATGTCATGTCAGTATACTCACAATTATTAAAATGAGTCATAGATAATTAAACATCAATTTATTTTCTCTTTAAAGCTTCAATAGTAGCATATAGATATTTAAACAACTCTTTGAGCTCCATAATCAATTAATTCTACTGTACCCATAAAAACAATTTTCTAACAGTCTAGTTTACACAGCTCATTTAGCTAATCCTTTTATCCTTGGTTCTTCAAGTGAACTCTGGACTATTTTGAGAGTGTGGCAGAAATCCTTGTACCAACTACTCATTTGGATTTGAGCTAAGATCTTAATAATATTACCTTTTAAGTAAATATATTTGTAAATTATAGCTAGATATTTTTGAGAAATTATTGAAATAGTGATCTGTACTCAAATTTAATCTGTCTCATATTTTTAAATAAAGAGACATAGCTTCAAATTAACTATATAGATCTAACAACCTTCACACTTCAACAAGATAATTGGACTTCAAATGAATGAATTCCAATTCTTTAGTGAAGGAGTATAGAAACATTAGAAACTTCAAATTACCCTTATTGATTTTTGCATCTGAGATGTAGACATTATCTCTCTCTACTGTGAAGGAAACCTTCTGGTAACGTGGGAATATCTTTTAATTTTTTAAAAAGAAAACTGAGGTTTACAAGGAAAAATTTCTGCCATTTTATAGATTGCTGTAGAAAAATGTGTAATTACTCATTCTAAATCTATACATTGGGTAAGATGTTACTTGATGGATTTTACTGTTTTTAAGATCTAAAACATTATATAGTAAAACAGATGTGTAATTGCTTAAAGTCTTAGGTGTACTAACATATAGGTTTATGATTTCCTGGGGTGTTCTGTATGAGTGATGGCCACAGGGTTTTAACAGACCTTATAATTTAAGCTTTTCTATAATGTTTGTGAGATTGATAGATCATCTTGTATTTTCATTTCATAAATTCACTTAACAAAAACTACACTTCCCTGTCTTTATGGCTTTATATAAGCTTTGCTTCAAATTCTTACCTAAAACTTCACTGTAAAACTGATCCCACTTCTTCATATCACACATTTGGAACCAAAAGTCAAAATAAATCACATAGATCATATTTTTTACCCTCTCCATGAAAGTCATTTGATCACTTAATTTTGACATAACAATAGGTATGTAGGAAGGAGGGAAAATCAGTCCTCCACTGTGCCTTTCAACTGTGTAGCCAGGAGTAAAGCGGAGACTGTACACAAAGGGTATGTTAAATAGCTCAGCCAGCAGCTCACCACAAGGAAAAGAAGCATCTGCAAAAATGATGTCAAATCTTGACTTGTAGTTTTTTCATAAGTTTCTTATTTGAAACTACATCTTTACAGAAGTTTCTAAATATGTCATATAATTCCCACAGGATTTCTTGTTCTTGTGAAAAATATAACCAAAAGCTATCTTTTCGAATGTCTGACCATCTCTTAACCTGTTGCATGACGATATTCTCAAATTCAGTTTTAGTTAAAGATGTAGGATAAACTTCAAATTTAAGAGTGGATGCATCATTGGGATCAAAAAGAATGGAAGCTGAAGATGCCAGTACAGTCACCTCATGACCTCTCTGAACAAGCTCTTTCAGGATTGTCTTCATATTCATCCAATGGCTGTATTCTGTGGCCCACACCAGCACCTTTCCACAACTCCCAGAGCTAAAGTAACAACTGAGATGTATCAGCAGAAGAACTGAAGTCCATTTCAGAGCCATCCTGGTGCAATGTGATCATTCTTTTCAAGTCACTGTTTCTTTCTCATACTTATATACAGAGATAAATCAATCAAGTTAAAACATAACTCCTTCAATTCAAAGTAAATACATTATATGAACATCCTGAGTCCATGGATGGCAAGAAGACAAACAAAGTTGGATTACTTCATATTTACTCAAGGATGTTTGCTGTTTCTTTTATGTTTATATTCGCTGTCATCCACCTAAGATTATGACCTTGCAAGTACCCTGTTTTATGTAACGTATTTTATAATAGTGTCAAGAACAGTGGCAAGTGAGAGAGTCCTGCAGGGCCCTTGACACAGAGTAAGAGATGAAATGACTGTACAATGCAAATAGCGTTTTTGAATATCGTGGTTCAAGGACTATCTTGTAAAACTTTGTTGAAGTATAATCCAAATACCGTATGCTCCATCAATTATTATTTTAAATTAAGTATTTCCTTGTAAATTCACAGATTTGTGCATCCAACATAACAATGAGTTTTATCTAAAAAAAAAAAAAAATCCTGTATATTAGCTCTCTTCTCCCCACTGAATTTCTGCATCCATCCTGCACTGGGCAACTAGTAATCTAATTTCTCCCTCTACAAATGTACCTATTCAGGATCTTTTTAAATATAAATGAAACTATACAATATGTGGACTTTTGTGGTTGGCTTCTTTTATTTAGTTTAATGTTTTTAAAGGACCGACCATAGAACAGTGTAAATAAGGACTTCATTTTTATTGCCAAATAGTATCAGATGCTATTTATAAACACAATTTATTTATTCATTTATCAGTTGATGGATATTGATTTTCTTCCACTTTTGGCCACTATGAATAGCATTTATTAACAGTGATGTGCATCATTTCTGTGGACATGTTTTTATTTTTCTTGGGGATATGCCTAGAAAGGCAATTACTGAATTATGTGGTAAATGTAAATATAACCTTTTGAGGAATTGCTAGACTTTTTCAGAGTGAGTGAATAATTTTCTATTCTCACCAACAATGTATGAGGGTTTCAATGTCTCCACAACCTTGCCCACCCTTTTCTTTCACACAACCAAAAAGGTTATTTTTTATTTCAATTTATAAACACACTCCAACAGACACAAAAAAGGAAGGTTTCCTTCCACATATTGGAGGGAAAAGTGAATAAATTAAACACTAACTTACCTAATACTTCACTGTAAAACTGATCCCACTTCTTTTTGTTAAAAATCTCAAATGCAAAGTCAAAACGAAGAAAATGCAACAGATTTTTCACCTTTCTACAAATGTATTTTTGTACTAAGTTCTGATATGACAACAGTTACATCAAAAGGAGGTAATGTAAGTTCTCCACAGAGTTCTTGGTACATACTGCCAGTTGTAAATTGATGATTGTAGACCAAATGTATAACAAATGTTTAACAGATTAAGTTGTTCAGATAGCAGCTCACTACTGAGAAGTGACATCTGCAAGAATGACATAAATTCTGGAATCTTGTTGTTCCTCATAATTTTCTTGTTCAAAACAGCATACTCACAGAGCTTTTGAACAGTATCAGAACATTCATGATATGTAGTTTTTGCATCTTTGAATCATATGTCAACAATATACTCTTTGGAAACTTATATGTCCACATCTTGATCAACTTCATAAAAATGAAATCAAGTTCATTCTGAGTAAAAGATGTGGGATAAACCTCAAATTTAACAGCAGATTGTTGGAATCAATGAGGATGGAAGCTGAAGGTGACAAGCACAGTTACCTCATGGTGTTCTGAGCAAGTTCATCAAGTATCAACATTAAATTGATACAAAGACTGTATTTCATCGGCCACACCAGCACATTCTCGCAGGATTCAGGGCTAAAATACAACTGTCAGCATAAGAAACAAAAAAGCCCATTTCTTAGACAACTTGTTAAAATGCTATCTTTCTTTATACCTTTCTCTAACTGGGTACATATCAATATCAATCAATGTCACAATGATTTAAGTATTGACAATAGAGGTTTTGGAAAGCAAGTGAATAAAGAAAAGGATGAATGATTTTGTGTTTGTATGTGTGAATAATCAATTTCATTCTTATTGTAAATGTGGCTGTCTCCAGAACAAGAGATAATTTAATTGTATATGAAGAGTTTCTAGTATAAGAAAGCAGCATTGTGTCAACAGTGAGGCAGGGGTGTGATCTATTCTTATTTATCTTAACATTCTCAAATAGACCGTCTTCATTTCCTCTACGTATTTTCGCAATTATGATATTAGCATCATTTCATGTTTCTTGACATTGTTTTTGTGACTATAGAAATTCATTTTCTTTTTATCCAAACAGATATGTTTTAAGTATAATTACAGTTACTTTGCTTCATTTGAAAATATTTTGTCTAAATCACAATATTTTCTTTTTCTGAATATTTGCAGCATTCCTTACGTTTCTCACTCTTAGAAAGTATTTATCTTCTAAATGCCCACTCCTGAACTTGTTTCACAGATTGCCTTGTAATTCAGGTAATTTGTACTTTTAAAAAGTCTCACCAGAAATTTACATCGAAGTAGAATTAGGAAGGAAAAGATGCATGTCACAAAATATACAAATTTATTTTTATTCTATTAATAATCTGTTAACCTGAAATGAGGTAAATCTTTCTTAAAAGGATGTTTGAACACAGTTTCTGAGCAAATATTGCCTACAGAGTGGCAATATTGTTCAATATTTTTAATGTCCTTGAGTGCATGCATTATGTGTCACCCAGATTTTCCCTTTGGGAATATATAAATTACTTTCCAGCTGATGAAGTGACTGACAACTGACATACATCACCTATAAGCGCTCTCTCTCAGTACAGCGCTGCTGAAAGCTATCTAGTATAAAGTGACCTTTCCAAGACAGCCCATATCCAATGCCTGGACATATGTAAGACTTTGAAGGCCCATTCTCCTCATTTCAATGTGGACCAACTCTGAAAGGCTAACTTGTCTTCAGAACTCCCAGTGGGTGAGATGAACCCTATGCTGAGACTGCATGTCTTAGCTTGCTCAGGGTGCTATATAGAAAAATACCATACATTGCCTAGCATATAGACAAAAAACATTTATTTGCCACAGTTCTTGAGGCTGAA
The DNA here is from genome assembly GCF_000001405.40 of Homo sapiens. NCBI lineage: Eukaryota > Metazoa > Chordata > Mammalia > Primates > Hominidae > Homo > Homo sapiens. The sequence continues at coordinate 69,386,374 of NC_000004.12, read as the reverse complement.
GGTTTCACAATCAAGATGCTGGTATTGGGCATTCCTCCAAGATGGCAGCCTGTCACCTTGTCTTAATGGGGAAAAGAGATGAATGTGTTCTTGTGAGCAAATTTTGGAATGAAATTAATTCCACTAATGAGGACTCTGCCTTCGTGACCTAAACACCTCCTAAAAGGTTCTGTCTGCTAATACAATCATTTTGGTTATAAGAGTTTTAACATATTAATCTTTGGAGCACTCAAGCATTCAAACCATTGCACTGAATTATATCCTAATTTGTTCCACAGTCCAGTCTTGCTTCCTACTTTTTCACAGATGTTATTTTCAATAAAACTCCCGAATTATCTCCCTCAAAAACATATTCAGCTTAGAGTCTACTTCTTGGAGCCACCCAGCATTTGAAAATATGTACCAAGAGAGGTCAGAAAAAAAGAGCAGACAACAAAATGAGATTTTAGAGTTGGATCATTCACTACCAGTTGTAATGAGAATCCTATCACTATTGGTAGGGAGAACACAAATAGACCCTGGAATGTGATAATCTAAATTTTTCATACTTTCAGTAATGGCAAATTATGATGGTAATCTTTTGAAAGGGAAAGTGTTACTTATTAGGATATATCACAAATGTATCAATATGGGAAAAGTAGAAATTATGACCACAATAAAGGCAAATGCTTTTTTCTGCAGTTAATGCTTGGGAGAAAATAATAGAAAAGTGAGGACTAATAATCATCAAATTAAGGCAAACGGTGAAAGCCAGAAAACTCTCCTTGGAAGTGTTCCCAGAAAAAGGGGCCTTGATTCAGACACCGAGAGAAGGTTCTCAGATTCCACACAGGAATCTGTGTGCGCTCACAGAGTGCGTTGAGAAAAGATAGTTCATTGAAAGCTTTGACATTACAGAGTAGGGCATCCTCTGAAGGGAAGGAGTTGAATGCAACACCTTTGTTTCAAGTTTTTCTTATATAGGAGTTGTCTCTGTAAAGGACCTATTCACAAAGGTCCCTGGATTTTGTCTGCAGCTCCATCTCTGTGCAATCTCTGGAGATCCCTCTGCCAGTCTACATGTCCTTGAAGGTATGGAGCCCCATCTAGCCAGAATTCCAGAGGTCTATAGTGAGAGGGAGCTGTCTACTATTCCTTTGACTCACCTTTCCCTAGAAATCGCTCAGGGTAAAGAACCAGCTGTAGCTGTAGTATTCAGGCACCCCATTCACTGTCCTCAGCCTTCTTTCTCTTCAGCCTCAGTGACTACTTCTTTTCTCCATCCACATTCAATATTTTCTCTCCAAAGATCTGTTCAAATTATGTTGGTATGAAAAAAAAAAAACTTGGTGTTCCCCTGGTGGCAGTGGCACTTCCTGACTGCATCTAGTTGATCATCTTGAGCACATTCCTGTGTATATATTCTTTTGAGAATTCTTTCTTGATGTCCCTGCCCCATTTTTTAATGGAGTTGTTTGTGTATGTTTTGTTAATTTGTTTAAGTTCCTTATAGATTTTTGATATTAGATCTTTATCAGATGCATAGTTTACAATTATATTCCCCCATTCTGTAAGTCATCTGTTTATTCTGTTGATAGTTACTTTTGCTGCACAGGGGCTTTTAGTTCAGTTATGTTCTATTCTCTTGATTTTGTTCTAGGGTTTTATAGTTTTAGGATATTGTACTAGCCTTTTCTCATGCTGTTACTAAAGACATACCCGAGACTGGGTAATTTATAAGGAAAGAGGTTTAGTAGATTCACAGTTACACATGGCTTGGGAGGCCTCACAATGATGACAAAAGGCAAATGAGAAGCAATGTTATGTAATACATGGAGGCAGGCAAGAAGGCTTGTGTAGGGAAACTCTCCTTTATAAAACTATAATACCTCAAGACACCTATTCACTATCATGGGAATAGCATGGGAAAGATGCACTACCATGATTCAATTACCTCTCACCAAGTTCCTCCCACAACATGTAGGAATTATGGGAGCTACAATTCAAGATGAAATTTGGGTGAGGACACAGCCAAATCATATCATTCTTCCCTTGGCCCCTTCCAAATATCAGGTCCTCACATTTAAAAACCAATCATGCACTCCCATCAGTTCCCCAAAGTCTTAACTAATTTCAGCATTAACTCAAAAGTCCACAGTCCAAAGTCTCATCTGAGATAAGGCAAGTCCTTTTTGCCTATGAGCCTAAAAAACAAAAGCAAGTTAGTTACTTTCTAGATACAATGAAGAAACAGGCATTGGGTAAATACTCTCCTTCTAAATGGCAGAAATTGGCCAAGACAAAGGGACTACAGGCTCCATGCAAGTCCAAAATCCAGGTAAGGCGGTAAAATCCAGGGGCAGTCATTGCCAAAATCATCTTCTTTGACTCCATGTCTGAAATACAGGTCACACTGATATAAGCAGTGGGACTCCATGGTCTTGGGCAGCTCAACCCCTTTGGCTTTGCAGGGTACAGCCCTCCTCTTGGCTGTTTTCATGGGCTGGCATTGAATGTCTGTGGTTTTTCCAGTTGCATGGTCTAAACTGTTTGTTGATGTATCATACTGGGGTCTGGAGGATGGTGGCCCACTTCTCACAGCTCCACTAGGTAGTGCTCTGGTGGTGACTCTCTGTGTGGGTGTGTTGGGGCTGGGGGAGCTCACAGCACACATTTTCCTTTCACACTGCGCTAGCAGAGTTTCTTCATGATTTTCTCACCCCTGCAGCAAACTTCTGCTTGAACATACAGGCATTTCCATAAATCTTCTGAAATCTAGGCAGAAGTTCCCAAGCCTCAATTATTGACTTCTCTGTACCCACAGACTCAACACCACATCAAAGCTGACAATCTGCCAATGCTTGGACGTTGCCCCACTGAAGCCATGTCTTGAGCTCTACCTTGGCTCCTTTCAGCCACAGCTGAGACACAGGGGACCGAGTTCTGACACTGCACAAAGCAGCAAGATTCTGGGCCTAGCTCACAAAACCATTTTTTTTTTCCTTCTAGGCCTCCCAGTCTGTAATGTGAAGGGCTACAGCCAGAAAGACCTCTGACATGCCCTGGAGACACTTTCTCCGTTGTCTTGACTATTGACAATTGGTTTCCAATTACTTATGCAAGTTTCTGCAGTTAGCTCGAATTTCTCCTCTGAAAATGGGATTTTTCTTTTATACCACATCGTCAGGCTATGGATTTTCCAAAATTTTATGCTCTGCTTCCGTTTTCACCATAAGTTCCAATTCCAAACCATATCTTTGTAAATACATAAAACGGAATACTTTTGACTGTACCCAAGTCACCTCTTGAATACTTTGCTGCTTAGAAATTTCTTCCATCAGATGCTCTAAATCAGCTATCTCATATTACAAGTTTCACAAATCTCTAGGGCAGGAGGAAAATGCCACCAGTCTTTGCTAAAACATAGCAGAGTCACCTTTGCTCCAGTTACCAACAAGTTCCTTATCTCCATTTGAGACCACCTCTGCCTGGACTTTATTGTCCATATCACTATCGGCATTTTGCTCAAAGCCATTCAATAAGTCTCTAGGAGGTTTCAAACTTTCCCACATCTTTCTGTTTTCTTCTGAGTCTTCCAAACTATTTTAACCTCTGCCTGTTACCCAGTTCCAAAGTTGCTTCCATATTTTCTGATATCTATACATGAGTACCCCACTACCTGGTACCAATTTACTGTATTAATCTATCCTCATGCTGTTAAAAAAAGACACACCCAAAGCTAATTTATAAAGGAAAGAGTTTTAATGGACTCACAGTTTCACATAACCAGGGAGACCTCACAATTATGGTGGAAGGTGAATGAGGAGCAAAGTCACATCTTACACAGTGGCAGGTAAGAGAGCTTGTGTAGGGAAATTCCCCTTTATAGAACAATTATATCTCACAAGACTTATTTACTATCAAAAAAATGATATGGGAAAAACCCACCCCTATGATTAAGTTACCTCTTGCTGGATCCTTCCCACAACATGTGGAAATTATGGGAGCTACAATTGAAGATGAGATTTGGGTGGGGACACAGCCAAACCCTATTAGCTAAACATTTACATTTTTAACCCATCTTCAGTTGGTTTTTGCATATGGTAAAAAGAAGATATCTAGTTTCAGTCTTCTGCATATGGCTAGACAGTTATTTAGCACCATTTATTGAAGAGTGAGTTGTTTCCCCCATTGTTTGTTCTTATTGACTTTGTTTAAATCAGATGACTGTAGGTGTAAGGCTTTATTTCTGGGTGCTTTAACTGGTTCCATTGGTCTATGTGTCTGTTTTTGTACAAGTACCAGGCTGTTTCAGTTACTGTAGCCTTGTATTAGAGTGTGAAGTTGGGTATTGTGACGCCTCTGGCTTTGTTTTTGTGCTTAGACCTGTTTTGACTTTTGGGCTATTTCTGGTTTCATAGGAATTTTAGAAGTTTTTTTTTTCCAATTGCATTGAAAATGTTCATGGTAGTTTGATAGAAATAGCACTGAATCAGTAAATTACTTTGGGCAGTATGGTCAATTTAACAATATTAATTCTTTCTATAATTGAGCATGAAATACATTTCTTTTTGTTGGTGTTGTTTCTATTTTTTCAACAGCATTTTGTAACATTTAGGGTAGAGATTCCTCACCTCCCTGGTTAGTTGTATTTCTAGGTATTTTATTTGTGGCTGTTGTAAATGGTAGTGCATTCTTGATTTGGCTCTCAGCCTGGATGTTGTTGGTATAAACAAATGTTACTGATATTTGTCTAATGCCGAAGGTTCTTGCCTTAGCCACACCAAAGATTTGGTGTGGAGGCAGCCTTCGGTGAGAGAGAGACATGGATCAACTGAGAGAAAAAAAAGCTGCAGGCTTTATTGAGCAGAGTGACAGTACAAAGCTTCCACAGCATGGAAGGGGTCCCGAGCGGGTAGCCAGTGTTAGATTTTTTGATCACCTTTTAAATTCTTTTAAGGCAGAAAATACATGTGGTGGGAAGATGTTTCCAGAGAGATAAACAAAGACAATTAACAAGTCTTAGGTCTTGAGGAAAACCAGAATTGTAACTTAAGTTTTATCTACTTTATAACCTTGCAGTGGCATGGCAAAGGAGACAGAATCTCACAGGATTTTACAAATTGTGTTTACAAGGAATTGGAATTGGGAGCATAGACAAGTTCTGCTGGTCACAGAAAAACTGGCTGTTAAAATTCCTTTCAGTTTCAGGGGATGAGGAAGGGAGAGAGGGAGCATGGACACAGGTAAGCTTACAGCAAAAGTTTCGCTTTTTATAGCTTTCTTGGGGGAAGAAAACACATGCACAAATTCTGATGTTAGGAATATTTTAAGCATATATCGTCAATATTATTCATCCAGGACCAAAGTAAGCCATGATGTAGGAAATGAGTGAGTTTCGCAGCTTTCTGAGCCCCTACTTAACCCAGAAAGCCCAGCTGGAACCAACTCAGTCCCCCCTCTAGACAGGACACACCAACCGCTGTTGGGAACAGGGCGGCGGTCATTCTGGCTACTTCCTGCTGGTTAGGGGCAAAGAAGGGGACCTGTAGTTGTGGTGTCTTCCAGAGGAGAAGTTTTTAGGCTAGTGAGGGACCAGCGGGTGGATCCAGGGGTCCTTGGTAGAAGCATGAGTTGAGCTCATTTGAGGTTCCATGTGTAAGATCATCTGTAGATTGATGGCCTCGATCCTGGAGGAAACAAATTTGACAAGGAGGTTAAAAATGCAAGGCCCAAAAGCGAGTAATAGTTGGATGGCTGTCACAGGCCTACAAAGGGGAGGATCCAAGGTACCCATTGGTTAAACATATTTCAGGGCCCTGAGTGTTCAAGCTCCTTTTTTCTACTTTCTATTCGTTCTCTTATTTCTTTGACCTTTTCAGTAATGATTCCTGACTGGTTAACGAAATAGCAACATTCTTCTCCTAAGAAGAGGCAGGTTCCTCCTCTTTCAGCTGTTAATAAGTCTAGGGCTCTCCAATTTTGAAGGACTACCACAGCTAGAGAATTAAGCTGGCTTTATAGGGTCACTAGAGAGTTGGCAACTCATTCCATGTGATCATTTAATTCTCATGATAATTTATAATAGAATGGGGTGGAGGTGGTTATGCCTCCAATTCCAGTCCCAAGCCTGCCTAGTATTCTGGCTCCTATAGTAAAAGGGACACTAAGGGCTTGTGTGTGGCAAGATTGGGTTATAAGGAGACTTTGTAACTCTTGTTCAGTATATATGGACATGGGAGGTGCTAGAAAGGAGAGAAAGCACAGTTCTTTCGGAGTGCCATTTAGGCATGATAGGCAGTGTTATAACAGATGAAAAAAATGCCTGAAGGTAGACAGGTGAAACCTGAGGTCTTGCACTAGTCTCCACTGACTATTTGGTTTTTGTATTCCTAGGATTGGGGTGTTCCAAGGACTGCTACATATTTTTACTAAACCTTGAGCTTTTAAATTTCTAACAATATCCTGTAATCCTTTGAGAGCTTCAGGCCTTAAGGGATATTGCCTTTGATAAGGAAAAATGGTGGGGTCTTTTAGCTTGATTTGGACTGGATGAGCATTCTTTGCCCTTCCAAATTATCCTTCTAAGGCCCAGACCTCGAAGTTGATTCCTTCTTCAAGTAGGGGACAACAAATGGGTAATTTGTTCCCCATATTCATGTAGATAATGGCCCCAGCTTTGGCTAATATGTTCTTCCCTAAGAAGGGTATGGGACTTTCAGGCATTATAAGAAAGGCATGTGAAAAGAGCAAAGTCTCCCAACTGCAGCTGAGGAGGCAAGAGAAATACCTGGTTACAGGCTGTCCTAAGATTCCTCGGATAGTAACAGACTTTGGGGACAGTCGTCTGGGGCAAGAGGTTAAAACTGAGAAGGCCGCGCCAGTGCCCAGGAGGAAGTCCACTTCCTGGCCCTCAATGGTCAAACTTACCCGGGGCTCTGTGAGGGTGATGGCATGAGCTAGCGCTTGCCCCAGGCACCCTCAGTCCTGTTGCTGAATCATCTGGGTGGGTGCTTCTGGTCCAGAGGGCCTTCATCCTCTGGGGCAGTGCACCAATTGGACATGGGTGAGGGGGTGGTTTTTTTTTTGTTGTTGAACACTCTTTCTTAAAGTGTCCTTGCAAACCCCACTGATAACAAGCCCTACTAGGCAATTGGCCTCTCCTCTTGATTCTCTCTGAGCCACCAAGGTCTGCCTGTCTGAGGGCCATGACTAAGGCTGCAGCCTTTCTCTTATCTTGCTTTTCCCTTTTGGCCTGTTCCTCTTGGTCCCTCTTATAGAACACTGAGGTTGCCAGGTTTAATAATGTCTCTAAATTTTGTTCCGGGCCAAAAGCAGACTTTTGGAGTTTTCTCCTAATGTCAGCCACTGATTGGGTGACAAATTTATCCTTTAAAATAAGTTGGCTTCAACGGAATCTGGAGTTAGGGGTGTGTGTGCTTTCTTAGGGCCTTCCTTAGCCTTTCTGGAAAAGCGGATGGGTTTCCCTCCTTTCCCTGTGTAATTCCCTGTGTAATAATAGCATTGAGTAGTTCATAGGCTTTTTCCTAGTCTTCCTCAACCCACCTAAATGCAAGTTTGCAAATGCCTGCGGCTCCTATCTCCATGATCTGAGTAAGTATCCCAGTGAGGGTCCACACTAGGGACTGCCTGTTGCCCTGGGGGGATATTTCCCTCTCCTCCAGGGTCATTCAATCATTTACCTAGCTAAGGTACCACAGATCCCCAAATTGCCAGGCTGCTGCTAAAGCTGCTTCTTTTTCAGTAGGACTTACGGTCTGATCAAGAAGCAACATGATATCTGTCCATGTTAGATCAAAGGACTGCCCCAATCCTTGCAGGACATCTATATAGTTATCAGGATCATCTGAGAATTTCCCTAAATCTGCCTTTATTTGTTTCAAATCTGAGAGTGAGAAGGGGACATGCACGTGAATGGGCCCCAATTCTCCTCCTACTGCTTATAAGGGACATAGTTTGATTGCCTGGTTCACACAGTTTACATTCTCTTTCCGGTGTGCCTTTAACACTTCAGTAGGGCTGGATGGAGGAGAGTCAGTGCAGGAGGAGAGTAGGGCTGAGGGAAGAGGCCCTGAGTATGGAGGCAACTGTGTCCCTCTGTCATTTGGGCAAAGCTTGCAGGCTTGGCACAGGGCAGTATTGTCACGAAGGGCAAAGAAAGCCTGTACATAAGGGACTTCACTCCATTTATCTTCCTGTTTACAGAAAAGATCTGGTTGTAGAAATGTGTTATAATTAATACTTCCCTCAGGGGGCCAAGTTTCTCCATTTTGTGAGGAATATTGTGGCCAGGCAGTGGTACAGAAGATAATCAGCCGCTTCTTTTTTAAGGTTTCAGGGTTGAATTTGTCCCAGTTATTCAGAATACATCTTAAGGGAGTGTCCGGTTTGGAAGGTGTGGTGCCCATCTGGAATTTTAAACACAGGGATGCCCGCACCCCTGGTTATTCCTGGGACTCGTCTTCCCTTAGGGCGTCCCTCAAGGGTCAGGTCCAATTGTGCTCAAAGCTCATGGCCTCTTTACCTGAGCCCTCCATCTACTGGATTTAACCATGCTTACCGGCGGTATGGAAACTTCCCTTGTCCCTGCTGTGCACCCATTGACCACTAAATGGAGCACAAGGACTGTTGGATTTATTGTGGTCCTTCTGCCAATGCGTCCTACCTGTTCCATGGCGGCAAGGCCTGGGCCTGAGGCACCACTGATGCCTGCATGCTAAGGCCCAATTTACATGGGCCTGGCCACAAAACTGTCCTTCAAGGAGAAATCTCTAAATTAGTGACAGGAGGCTTAGTAAGCTTGAAGGGGGTGGTCGATGTTCTCTAGGCCAGGGCTGAGAGAACAGCTGCTGTACTCTAACCTTCTGTCCCCACTTGCCATCTAAGGAGCAAGCCCCTCTCTTACGGCGGTACCAGTATCCTGTGTCCCAACTGACTACATTTCTTCCTTCCAGTACCAACTATTGAATGGTTCAAATAGCTTTTCAATGGCTCTAAGAGCTGTACCCATGCACCACAGATTGTACTTGAGAGGCCCCAAGAAGGGGGAAAGTCTGTCTGGGGAGCAATGGAGGAAATACCCTAAGGCATCTACTATCCACATGAAAATTACAGACCTACATTTAAATTGTCTTGATGTGGGGGACCATACACTATGGTGGGGAACTGGCCCTTCAAAATAGCCATGGAACGGAAAAACCTGCCTAATCCCTGGAAGCAACCATGAACAGGGCTCTTCTGGGCACCATCCCAAGAATTTAAGACTTTTAAATAGAAAATCTTCATCCTGCCTAGTGGGAATAACCTTGCTTGTGAGGTGAGGAAAGAAGTCTAGCTGGCGGACATTAGGACCCAGGAGGAAGGGGTCAGAAGATATGGCGGTCTCACACTCAGTAACCCTTGCAGGGGAGGCCTTTGGCGGCTCCATGATCTCAACCAGGAAATCTGGACTAGAAAGTCCGCTGATAACTCCCGGTGTACTTGTGGACCACCACGGAAAGTGAAAGAGTATGAACTGCATCCAGACTTACCAACATTCCCAGTCCCAAAGGGTAGGGGTTGTTAGCCCTTTTCCAGAGAGGCTGACACCCTGTCTTTAGTCCCATGGCCGCGATAATCACCTTTAAGTGGCTGACAGGTGCCCGGTTTAGCCTCTGAATTCTAAGGAAGGACAGGATAGAATAGCAAGCCAAAGAGGTCCCATCGTACTCGCCACGTGACGATCTAGATGCCTTTCCTGGAGATCCTCCTGGCTGGCCCGCCAAAAATGTAATGCCAAAGGTTCTTGCCTAAGCCTTGCCAAAGATTTGGTGTGGCGGCAGCCCTCAGTGAGGGTGAGAGAGAGACACGGGTCAACCGAGAGAAAAAAAAGCTGTAGGCTTTATCGAGCAGAGTGATGGTACAAAGCTTCCACAGGGTGGAAGGGGTCCCAAGCGGGTAGCTAGTGTTGGATTTTTCGATCACCTTTTAAACTCTTTAAGACGGGAAATAAATGTGGTGGGAAGATGTTACCAGAGCGAGAAAAAAAGACAATTAACATGTCTTAGATCTTGAGGAAAACCTGAATTGTAACTGAAGTTTTATCTACTTTATAACCTTGCAGCGGCATGGCAAAGGAGACAGAATCTCACAGGATTTTACAAATTGTGTTTACAAGGAATTGGAATTGGGAGCATAGACAAGGGCTGCTGGTCATGGAAAAACTGGCCTTTAACATTCCTTTTAGTTTCAGGGGAGGGGGAAGGGAGAGAGGGAGCAAAGACACAGGGAAGGTTACAACTAAAGTTTCTCTGTTTATAGCTTTCTTGGGGAAGAAAACACATGCACAAATTCTGATGTTAGGAATATTTTAAGCATATATCTTCAGTATGATTCATCCAGGACCAAAGTAAGTTCTGATGCAGGAAATGAGTGAGTTTCACAGTTTTCGGAGCCCCTACTCGACCAAGGAAACACAGCTGGAACCTCCTCTCATTTGTACATACATTTTTTCTTCTGAAACTTTGCTGAAGTTTTTCAGAAGTAGGAGCTTTTGGACAGAGGCTTTGGGGTTTTCTGTGTATAAAATAATACCATCTGAGAAGAGAGATAGTTTGTCTTTCCCTCTTTCTATTTGGATGACTTTTGTTTTTCTCTCTTACTCTGGCTAGGACTTCCAATACTGTACTGAATAGCAATGGTTAGAATGGACATCATTGCCTTGTTCCAGTTCTCAAGAGGAATCCTTTGAGCTTTTGCGCATTCAGTATGATGTTGACTGTGAGTTTTCACAGATGGCTCTTACTATTTTGGAGTATTTTCCCTTAACACATAATTTGCTCAGGGTTTTTTAGAGTAAAATTGAGAACAAACAATCATAGAAAACATCAACAATACTGAAAGTTTGTTATTTGAAAGAATAAATAAGATTGATTAATTACTAGATAGACTACAAAAGAATGAAAGAGAGATGATCCAAATAAACACACTCAGAAATGACAAAGAGGGGATCATCATCAACCTCAGGAAAAACAAACTACCTGCAAAGGCCATTATGACCATCTCTAGGCACACAAATTTAAAAACCTAGAAGAAGCAGATAAATTTCTGGACACCTACATCCTCCCAAAGTTGAACCGGGTAGAAATAGAAACCCTGAACTGACCCAAAATGAGTTCCAAAACTGAATCAGTAATATAAAGTCCAGCAAACAAAAAAGACCTGATTCAGATAGATTCACAGCCAAATTCTTTTATACATATAAAAAGAAATTCTAGCCATCCTGCTGAATTATTTCAACAAATTGAGGAGGAGGGACTCCTCCTTAACTCATTCTATGAGGCCAAGATTGCTCTGATACCAAAACCTTGCAGAGACACAGGAAGAAAAGAAAACATCAGGCCAATATCTATCATGAATATAGACACAAAAATCGTCAACAAAGTACTAATTAATTGAATTCAGCAGCACATCAAAATCTAACCAGCACAATCAAGTAGGCATTAATCTTAGGATGCAAGATTCGTTAAACATATGCAAATAAATAAATGTGATTCATCACATACCTAGGACTAAAAAGAAATACATCATGATCATTTCAATAGATGCAGCAAACACTTTCAAAAAGTTCAACAACACTTTCCTTTTTTGTTTTGAGGCACTCTCAAAGGAAATAGAATTTAATAGTTGTGCTCAAACTTCAGAAGGTAGTGGTAACAGACTACTACTAAGATACCTTCATAATCTTGGGAAAAACTGTGGCTACTACAAAATGAAACTTGTGTGCTGGAATGGCCTTGCCAGTGAATGAAAGAGGGAATCAGAAGGCTTATGATAGTGGATATATTAACATAGACATCTTTTTTTTTTAAATTTTATTATTATTATACTTTAAGTTTTAGGGTACATGTGCACAAAGTGCAGATTTGTTACATATGTATACATGTGCCATGTTGGTGTGCTGCACCTATTAACTCGTCATTTAGCATTAGGTATATCTCCTAATGTTATCTCTCCCCCCTCCCCCACCCCACAACAGTCCCCAGAGTGTGATGTTCCCCTTCCTGTGTCCATGTGTTTTCATTGTTCAATTCCCACCTATGAGTGAGAACATGTGGTGTTTGGTTTACATTCCTTGCGATAGTTTGCTGAGAATGACAGTTTCCAATTTCATCCATGTCCCCACAAAGGACATGAACTCATCATTTTTTGTGGCTGCATAGTATTCCATGGTGTATATGTGCTACATTTTCTTAATCCAGTCTATCGTTGTTGGACATAGACATCTTATACAGTGCTGGAAATCTATCAAATATTTGCTAGTTGTAATGAATGTTCAACATGTCTATCCTTTGATAGGTCTTTTTTGACTCACCAAACCAATCTCACTGATACGATTTATGATCAGATATTGAAATAATAGAGACCTTCAGAAGGGAGATAGTCATAATACACATGAGTACTAAGACTGGGGTGTTATCCAGAAAGACCTAATTTAGAAAGCTGTGTACATAGTAATAGAGAAGATAGCACTAGGGACAAAACAGATAGGTGACCAAGGGAATTTCTCAATCTATAATACCAGAAGAGTTCAAGAATGGATACTAAAAAGTTGAGGGCAGCTGTCCTCACTAGAAATCACAGTAAACTGTCAAGGGTCTGGATCTAAGTTTGCTTTCAGACCTGAAATTTATTTACGGACAAAGACACCAGGCCCTTCAGGGAAAAAAATTCTGTAAAGCCAAATAAACTCCCATGATACTGATTCCATATTTTTTTTTTTTCCTGAAAGGGACAGTGACATCCCTAGGATAACTGGTGATTTCCTCAATTTCCAAAATGCATAATTGTGTAGATACACTTTCTCTTTAGAAAAACCGTGAATTATATCATTGGTGCCTGGATACAAGTCATTTTAGTGGGAAAGGCCAAGTGGATTATCTTTGCATTAGTTTCTTGGGCTGCTTAAAATAGAAATTATTCTCTGATAGCTATCTAAGCCAGAAAGTCAAAATCTGTGTTCTCAGGGTTCATTTGTTCTGGAGGCTCTAAGAGAAAAACAGTTCAATGCCTGTCTCTTGGCCTTTACTGGTTGCTGACAATTCTTGGAGTCCCATGGCTTATGGCTTCTCACCAACTTCTCTTTCCTCAGCATCATCTTTTCTTTTCTTTCTTCCCAATTTTCTCCTGCCTTTATTCTTTTCAAAAAAATTTGTTTGTTTTTAATTTTTTGTAGAAGCGATGTCTTGCTATGTTGACTTGGCTGGTCTTGGATTCCTGGCCTCAAGGGATCCTCCTACCTTTCTCCTTATAAAGATATCTGTCATTGGATTTAGAGCACATCATAAATCCAGAATAAATTTGTCTTGATTTTCTTTTTTTACATACATCTGCAAAGATCTTCTCTCCAATAAAGTCACTTTAATAGATTCTGGAGGTTACTCACTGGACACATTTATGGGGAAGACAACTCTTCAATTCACTAGATACATGAAGCTTCTTCATTCCTCCATTACCACAGATGTCAGGTGACCCAGAAAATGGAAAATAATATTGCGTTACATGCCTGGGGATTGTGAAAATAAAAGACCTTAAAAGTATAAAGGATGCAGGATGATGGGCTCCATTACATCTTTGATTAAAAGTCTGACCATTGCAAAATCCAATAGATCCTAGAGTCTGGTAGTGGACTCCTGCAATTTCCACCAAGTATTTGCTCCACTGGCATCCCATGTGTCAGATGGAGTATCTTTGCTAGACCAGAGATGAACATTCATATTATTAAAATGGCTGTACTTCTGACAGTGATTAATGGATTTATTGCAAACTCTATTAAATTCCTATGGTATTTCTTACAGAATTGAAAAAAAATCTTAAAATTTATGTGAAAACACAAAAGACTGTTAACATTCAAACCTGATTTTTTAAAAAAGCACAGGATGATCTCATATGTTACTTTTAAAAAAGCAACTATAAGACTTTATAGAAAAAAGACTTTCTTTTTTTATAGGTTAAAACTGAATCTAGTCAGTTTTATTCAAGATTAAATCTGGCTACTTCTTCTTCACCTCAGAATGTTAAAGTTTTTATAGGGTTATTCAAAAGTAGCTTAATTATGCCCTGTTCTCCATGTACAAGCCAGGAGACATTAAGTTCTGAGACTTATGTCCCAACTTTTTGGGACTGACTTTTGTTCCAATTGTGGGAATTGACTTTTGGTCTTTCCTTTCTTCTACAGTCAAAATGTCAGTGGATTCATTTTGATCCGTGCCATCTCTCTCTAAAGAAATATGCTTGTTTCCAAATTTTAAACTGTACTTAGCTTGGAAAAGAAGGACTAGTAACAGCGATAGGAGTTATCATTACATATCTAGCTATCATTACATAATGGAAGTCAGACCTTGTCAACTCAATCTTTTACCAAAATGTTAAACTCATTAATAGATTATTGAAATGATAACATGATTTCCTCTAGTGCTGCGCACAGGCTTCCCACTTTATTTAAGAAAATCCATTATTATAGAGCTTGGGTGATGGATAAAGTAAGGCATTCACTTGGTTTTTTTTATGTTATAGACAGAAGCTGGGTTTCGGTCCATAAGATCAAAATGTCCTCTGTTATTTATATTGATATAACTTTCTGAAAACAGTGCAAGTCAAAATTTGCAGTGTTAAAGGCAACCTGGATTTTGAAATTTTATCTCTTTTTGTGGGAAGTAATTTTAAGAATCAGATATAAAGTTTAAAATTTAAATAAATTTCTGTCTGATCTAGGAAATATTATTTCGCTATATTTGTGTTTTTGTCTGTGAAATGTTTGATCATCAATTCAAATAAAAACCACAATACCATTTTCCCCGACACCTCAATGAATTATTTGATTTCTTGTAGAGAAATAATTTGTACATCAATTTAAGAAATGCATCATATAAATTTCAAAAATAGATGTATATAATTTTAATGGCTTTATTGAAGTACAATTGAATAAAAAACCAAGTATTTTATACATACATATATATTATATATATTATATATAATATATATAATATATATATTTATATATATATTATATATATGTAATATATGTATGTAATATATATATTTATGAATTGTTGAGTTTGGACATATACGTGCACCCATGATGCTGTCATTATAACAGTGAAGGTAATAAACATATCCATTACCTACAAAAGCTCTCTTTGTCAGTCTTTGATTTTGATGGTAATAATGCTTGCGATTTACCCTCTTAGCACATTATTAAGTGCACAATACCACGTTGTTAACCATAGGCATTATATTGCAGAGGAAATCACTATGCTTATTCATAAGCATAAGTGAAACTTTATACCCGCTGAGCAACAACTCCCAATTTCTCTCTCTCCCAAACCCCTGGAAAACACTATTTTATTGTCTGCTTCAATTAGTTTGCCTATTTTACTTACCTAATATAAGTGGAATCATAAAATATTTGTCCTTCTTGAACTTGCTTAATTTACTTAGCATAATATCTTCTAGGTTCATCCATTTTGTCAAAAATGGTATCTTTTGTCAAACCTTGGCAACTGAATTAACATTTCCATTACTTCCATATACAGAGAAACAATTCTAACTGAACTTGTGAAAATAATTATATTGATATTAAATTAAAATGCTTATGAATAGTTTTTGAATTTTTGCAAGATCAGATATGGAGAAAAATCACAAATTTATCTTTATTTTAATGAACAAAAATATTTAGCATCTTGAAATAATTAGCTATGTGAAGTTAATTTGGAGATTTTCAGATTGTTCTACTGTATTTTGATTATTATTGACATAATATGATATATCTTAGTTATATTTCTGTATTTACTTTAAAATACATGTTTATATATACATATATACAAATATATATTTATAGACATTGTGAGTAAGTTAGTGTGTATGTCTTTGTGGGTGTGTGTTTTTTTAATGGATTCTCTACCAGCAGTTATCTAGTGTATGTCATGTCCTAATTAATATTACATCCCAGAAACAACTACTAAAACTCCTTTGAATTTTTATATTTTCTGTGCCTTCTTTCTAATAAATGCATGTATGATTGGAACAATACTGTCTGAATTGTTTCATTTTAGCATACTATGTAATAGTATGGTGAAGGGGTGTGAGGATGGCACACAGAGATGGGAATAACAGAGAGACAGATAGAAAGAAAAGAAGAAAGAAAGAAAGAAAGAAAGAAAGAAAGAAAGAAAGAAAGAAAGAGAACTTATTATAGTGCAGCCTTATTTATCTTTGTATCAGGGGAGGCTAGCTGAGGACCTGGCATGAATGGAGCTCATAAAGTGTACATTAAAAGAAATAGGCCACTTATGACATGGATTAGGTCATTCATATTCCAAATTCAATGTAAGACGTTCATTCTAGTCTAAATATATATCTTAGGCTTTACAATATAGTAAAATATTGTTACTTTTATACATATGATATAGGTTTAATTTTGAGAACACCCACAATATTTGTTTAAAATGCTACTTAAATAAACTTAAAAATATACTTCTACATAAATATAATGTGATGTTAATGATTTTATTATTGAGCCTCCGTTTTTTTCTTGTAAAAGAAACTTACAATGATAATACGTAAGTAAAACTGTCATGATTATACCTACTAGACACATAGAAGCTTAGAATTGAATAATAATTTTATAATAATCTGGGTTAGGTTATAATTTAAATTTAGAATTATGGTATTCTAAATTCTCAAACAGATATCATGACTATTTCTTAGTAATGGTACTGAACTCAATTGAATTTTAAATGTGTGTCATTTCTGTGAGCTGGCATAGAGGAATCATGATTAAGTAAATCAAAATAGTACTAATGCTCAATGATATGTGGTAGAGAGAAATAATTACTTCTTAAGTTGGAATTCAGGCATTCAAAAACAGGAATCACAGGAATAACAAAAGCACATAACTCTGAACTATGCACACCAGATGAACATGAAATTTATTTTGCAAATGTTTTTGCAGTTTAGTCCTTTGCATCAGCTTATATTGTGGGAAAGTAAGGGATCAAGAGCAGCTGAAATGGTATAACATATAGAAATAGAAGAGAATTTTTATTATAAACAGATATAAGATGAACTTGAAAACACCATTGATAAGAAATTAAAGGGGAATATATGTCCCACTTCTTCCATTTGTATATAAGACCAAAGCCTAAAATTATGATTCTTTATGGAAATATCTCTCCACTTTTTAGTCATTTGTCAATAGAAGACGAAAATCAATATTTATTTTTAGGGCTACATTACTGCATCATGAACCTAAACTTAATGCTGACTCTAGAAACCAAGTCAAACCATTAAGAAATGTAAACCGTGTGCAAATGAAAATAAATGCAATAAAATCACAACCGATATAAAAGGCACAGAGATACTACAAAGAATAAGATACATCAGAAAGGGCTTAGGTGAAAATATAATAAATATTCCTTTTCTAAAATGTTGTGGTAGCAATAGTTTATTACATAGGCTAGAAAAAAAATTTATCAGCATTTCTATACTTACCAAAATGAGTATGCAACCTCAAGCTCACTAAAACAGTATTTTTTTTAAACTATTACTATACTATGGTATCATTCAACAATGTTAAAGATTTAATCACAATTTAAATATTAAGTATTAATAATTAGGATAATAAGCCTTTACTATGGCCTATGCTATTCATCCCATTCTGGAAATATAACATACAAGACTAGCAGATCACAAGTTAAATAGACCAAAACCCTCTCAAAACCAAAAACAAACAAACGAAAAATACAAACAAAAACATTCAGCTCTGCATTTAAGGGATGTTTTTCATTAATACTGATGTGCTGCCAGGAATATACAAAGAAGTGGTGAGACACCTGGCATTCCCATGGGAAACCAGAAACAAATATATAAATGAAATGTTGAGAAGCCCAGCCATCAACTGTCCGTAGTAAGCTAAAGGGTCAGCAAAACAAATAAACTTGGCCGCCTACGGCCTGCTCAGTAACTCCTCATTTATTACACACTGTCATACATACTTTCGGATATGTACAGTTTTATTTTTATATTCTATTTCTGACAATTTTATTTGCCTGCCACACCATGAAAGACTCTGCAGTTCTAAAGAAGCTGTAAGGAGAAAGGAATATATATCTTCTGTGAGGGTTTCTTAGTTACTGAAAGTAGGAGAACCTTCACATTAAAAGGAATCTTGGTATGATCAAGCAGGAGGCTTGGTGGAGGTACTAATATGGTTATCTCATGTCCATCACGCTGGAGTTTTTCTAGAATAACTTTTAAATTGAGTGACTAAAATTCATGGGCTGGACAAGCAATTTCCCAGACTTTCCAGAGTCGAAGAAACACAGATTCAGCAGAAAAAAAAAAAAAAAAAAAAAGCCATTCACAGTTTTCATGACCAACTCTTCCTTTAATTTACTGTGGGCTTAAAATAAGTACAGCAAGCTGATAAGCCAGTTTAATCCTAAGTGAGTTTCACGCTTCAATTTCTCAATCAATTGGTGGTGAATCAGTCCAGACTTTGGACAGCCTACTTATCTCAATAGTCAAAGTGGAATATAGCTGCCCTCATGGAAAAGATCATCCAATTAAGCAACTTACATAATTACATAAATTACAAATTACATAATTACAAATGACATAAAAGCTTTCTAAAATAATTGTATAGAATAGGAATTTGTGCACTTAAAAGTAAATACAATGGAAAGGATTTCTAGTTGAGTCTAAGAAAGTTTGCCATAAGACCTTAATTTTTTAATAAGTTGTTTTGCATTGCCTTCTTTAGATGTATTGGAATGTTCATGTGGACACCATATTTCACTTTGTTCATCTTAATGTTGGGAAAATAGAAAGTATATATGTTGAGAATGCATACTCTACTATTGGTATTTTTTTGGTCAAAATGTATATTTTATTTTGAAATGTTAAATAGTGCTTATAGGCTGAATCATGGCTCATTACTCCGAATTCCTTTGTTAGTGTTCTAACACCCAGTTCCTCAGAATAAGACTACATTTGGAGACAGGGCCATTAAGTAAAAAGTTAAAATGAGGGCATATAGAGGACATCTTACATGGACATAAGGACAAACACAGAGAAGAAAGTCCATCTAAGGAGGGCAATCATCTACAAACCAATCATAGAGTTTTTAGAAGAAACCAACACTGTTAATCATACCTTGATTACACACTTCTAGCCTCCTGAATTGTGAGAAAATATGTTTCTTGTTGTTTAAGCCACCAAGTCTGTGGTACTTTATTATGGCAGCCCTAGCCAACTAACAGAGTGGTATATAGAAATATACTTGAAGTTTGAATGTTGATGTTATATATGAAATGAATTTTGAGAGTATCAGGTATGTATTAAAATATGAAAGAAGGATTATGCACTATTTGGAAGATGATACATACTTTATTATTTAGATATTCTTATCAAATTTGGTCATTTGAGAAAAAAAAACCTTATATGGTTCCTGGAACATACTGTTTATTTTCTGATTATTCCTTTGCACATTGAATAGCTGTATCCAGATTCTCTTTTATTTTTCATAAATTAGGACTAGCAGTAACCATTAACTTTAAATTTATTAATACATTAGCTTGCTAAATAATATAAAAATATATTTTGTTCACTTGAGAATATAGAGCTAGGTCTCCTTCTTTTCTTTCTTTCTTTGTTTCTTTCTTTCTTTCTTTCTTCTTTGTTTTTACTGCACAAGTTCTGGGATACGTGTGCAGAATGTGCAGGTTTGTTACATAGGTATGCATATGCCATGGTGGTTTGTTGCATCTATTGACCCATCCTCTAAGTTTCCTCCCCTCACACCCCACCTCCTAACAGGCCCTGGTGTGTGTTGTTTCCCTCCCTGTGTCCATGTGTCCTCATTGTTCAACTCCTACTTATGAGTGAGGACATGCAGTGTTTGGTTTTTTGTCCCAGTGTTAGCTTGCTGGAGATGATTGTTTCCAGCTTTATTCATGTCTCTGAAAAGGCTTTGATCTCATTCTATTTTTGGCTATGCATTATTTGGTGGTGTCTATGTACCACATTTTCTTTATGCCGTCTATCGTTGATGGGCATTTGGGTTAGTTCCATGACTTTGCTATTGTAAACAGTGCTGCAATAAACATGTGTGCATGTGTCTTTATAGTAGAATGATTTATATTCCTTTGGGTATATACCCAGTAATAAAACTGTGGGGTCGAAAGGTATTTCTGTTTCCACATCCTTGAGAAATCCCCATACTGTCTTCCACAATGGATCTCAATAGATGCACAAAACAGGCCTCTGGTAAAATTTACCATCTCTTCATGTTAAAAACTCTCAGTAAACTAGGCATTGATGGCACATATCTCAAAATAATAAGAGCTATTTGTGACAAATGCATAGCCAATATCACATTGAATGGGCAAAAGCTGGAAGCATTCCCTTTGAAAATAGGTACAAGACAAGGACGCCCTCTCTCTCCACTCCTATTCAACATAGTATTTGAAGTTCTGGCTAGGGCAATCAGGTAAGAGAAAGAAATAAAGGGTATTCAAATAGGAAGAGAGGAAGTCAAATTGTCCCTCTTTGTAGATGACATAATTTTTTATTTAGAAAACCCCATCATCTCAGCCCCCAAACTCCTTAAACTGATAAGCAACTTCAGCAATGTCTCAGGATACAAAATCAATGCACAAAAATCACAAGGATACCTTTACGCTAACGATAGACAACCAGAGAGCCAAATCATGAATCAACTCCCATTAACAATTGCTACAAAGAGAATAAAATACCTAGGAATATAGCTAACGAGGGATGTGAATGACTGCTTCAATGAGAACTACAACCCACTGTGCAAGGAAATAAGAGAGGATGAAAACAAATGGAAAAACATTTCATCCTCATGGACAGGACGAATCAATATCGTGAAAATGGTCATGCTGCCTGAAGAAATGTAGAGATTCAATCCTATTCCCCTCAAGCTACTATTGACATTCTTCATAGAATTAGAAAAAAGCTACTTTGAATTTCATATGGAATCAAAGAACACCCTGTATAGCCAAGACAATCCTAAGCAAAAAAAAACAAAATTGGAGACAGCATGCTACCTGACTTTAAACTGTAATACAAGGCTGCAGCAACCAAACAGCATGACACTTGTACCAAAGCAGATATATAGACCAATGGAACAGAACAGAAACCTCAGAAATAACACCACACATCTACGACCATTTGATCTTTGACAAACCTCACAAAAACAAGCAATGGAGAAAGGATTCCCTGTTTAATAAATGGTGACGAGAAAACTGACTAACCATATGCAGAAAATGGAAACTGGACCCCTTCCTCACACCGTATACAAAAACTAACTCAAGGTGGATTAAAGACCTAAATGTAAAACCCAAAATCATAAAAATCACAGAAGAAAATCCAGGCAATACAATTCAGGACATAGATACAGGCAAAGACTTCATCATGAAAACATAAGAAGCAATTGCAACAAAAGTCAAAATTGTCAAATGGGATCCAACTAAACTAAAGAGCTTCCGCACAGCAAAAGAAACTATCATGAGAGTGAACAGGCAACCTACAGAATGGGAGAAAATTTTTGCAATCTATCCATCTGAAAAAGTTCTATTATCTAGAATTTACAAGGAACTTTAATAAATTTACAAGAAAAAAACAACCTCATCAAGAAGTGGTCAAAGGATATGAACAGCCACTTCCCAAAAGATGACATTTAGGCAGCCAACAAACATATAGAAAAAAGCTCAACATCACTTATCATCAGAGAAATGCAAATCAAAGCCCAAATGAGACACCATCCCACGCCAGTCAGAATGATGATTATTAAAATGTCAAGAAACGATAAATGCAGGTGAGTCTATAGAGATATATGAATCCTTTTACACTGTTGGTGGGAATGTAAATTAGAGCAAGGTCTTTAAGATTATGTTGATTAATTGATTGATTGATTTCCAACACAAACCAAGTTCAAAGTAGATGAATAATTAGAAAGAAAGCAACAAATACTGAGTTAAAAAATTATTAAATAAAAACAGTCTAGATGGTAAAAACACTAATTTCAAGGGAGCTTTTTTGAAGTTTAGTGAAACTTAAGTTATATAACATTTAAAAATTTCAATTTTATCTGTAACTGCTGAGTGATTGGTTATGTTAAAAAAGTTACCATACAATTTCCCATCTTAACAATATTTAAGTTTGCAATTTATCAATTTTAAGTATCTGTACGTTTTTGTGCCACAGGTTTCTAGAAAATTTTCATCTTGGAAAACACATTGAACAACACCCCATTTTTCCCTTTACTCCAGCCCCTGGTATCTACTAGTCCACTTTTTCTTTCTATAGGTTGTACTAGTTTTGATACCACATGTATGTAAAATTACTTATATGTGCATGTATCTTTTTTTGACAGGCTTATTCAGCTTATTATAACATTCTAAAGCTTCATCAATGTTGTTATATATGTTAGAATTTTCTTCTTTTAAAAGCTAAATAATCTTTCATTTCATGTATACACCATCTTTTCTTTGTCCATTCATCCATCCATGGACATTTGTGTTGCTTTTCTCTCTTAACTATTGTGAATAATGTTGCAAAATACATGGATGTGCAAATATGTCTTTGAGATCCTGCTTTTAATTATTGTGGATAAATACCTAGAAGTAACATTGTTGGGTCATATGGTAATTTGATTTTAATTTTTTTGAGGAACTTCCATTCTGTTAACTATAGGGGTGTCATCATTTTCCATTCCTACCAACAATGCACAAGAGTTCCTATTTATATATATTCTCTTCAAAACTTGTTTTATGGGCTGTGTGTGTGTCTGTGTGTCTGCATGTGGGTGAATATATGTATCCAAAAATATTTTGAGGTGCCTAATGGTTATGATGTGATAGCTCATTGTAGTTTTGGTTTACATTTCTCTAATATTTAGTGATGTTAAGCATCTTTTCATATGCTTTTTGGCCATATATCTATATTTTCTGAATAAATGTGTATTCACGTCTTTGAATTATTTTAATTGAGTTTTTGCTATTAAATTATAGAGAATTGTCATATATTTTGAATATAAAACACTTAGCGGATAAGTGATTTGCTAATATTTTCTCTCTTGTAACCTATTTATTTCTATGGCATCAATTGTAATGTCTTCTCTTTCATTTCTGATTTTTTTTTTTGACTGCGTCTCTGCTCTAACCCCAGGCTGGAGTGCAGCAGCAACACCATCTCGGCTCACTGAAACCCTCACCTTCCGAGTTCAAGCGATTCTCTCATGTCAGTCTCCTGAGTAGCTGGAACTACAGGTGCATGCCACCACACCTGGCTAATTTTTATAGTTTTAGCAGAGACAGGGTTTCACCATGTTGCCCAGACTCCTCTCCCACTCCTGGGCTCAAGCAATCTGCTTGCCTCAGCATTCCAAACTGCTGGGATTACAGGATTAAGCCACCAAGCTCAGACTGATTTTAATTATACAGCTATTCACACTTTTTTCTTTAGTCAAGAAAACAATTTCTCAATTTTGTTGATCTTTTCATAAAAAGAAAGCAACAACTCAGTTTTGCTGATTTTTCCCTTCTTCCTATTGTATTTATTTCTGCTGTAATCTTTATTACTTTTGTCTTTCTGATAATTTTGGCCAGTTCTTTGATATGTAAAGTTAGATTGTTTTAGATATTTCTTCTTTTTTAACATAGGCATTTATTACTAAAAACTATCCTCATAGTACTGTTTTTGGTACATTCGTAAGTTCAGGTTCCTTTTTTCACTTCTTTTTCTGTATCTTTTACAGCAAGCTTCTCCAACCTGCAGCCTGAGGGCTGCATGCAGCCCAGGACGGCTTTGAATATGGCCCAGCACAAACATGTAAACTTTCTTCAAACATTGTGATTTCTCTTGCGATTTTTTCCCCAGCTCATCAGCTATGGCTACTGTTAGTGTATTTTATGTGTGGCCCAAGGCAATTCTTCTTTCCCAGTGTGTTCCAGGGAAGGCAAAGTGTTGGACACTCTTGTTCTATGGGTATATTTTGTGGTTACCATGAGGATTGAATAAAATGTTTTATAGTTATAATAGTCCATTTGAAACCAAACAAAAACTTTAATTATATCTGAAAATTCTGTTCCTTTACATCTCCCATTCCTACTTTATGTTAGTAATATCACTAATTATATATTTTATGTTGTGTCCCAATTAATATAAATGCAATGTTACTTTTATGCTTTTCTCTTTTAAATTGCATATCAGAATTAAAAGTACCTTGTGCATCAACATGAAAAACATATGGGACTTCATATTTAATACTTATTTATCTCTACCAGACAGATTTATACTTTTACATTCATTCATTTTGCTTCCTAGCCTCCCTCATTTCAACTTGAATGACTCCTTTTCACTTTTCTTGTAGGACAGGTGTGGTAATAATTATCTTCTTCTACCCTTTTTTAACCTGAGAAAGTATTCCATTTTCCATAATTTCTGAATGACAGGTTTGTCAAATGAATGTCTTATGTGTTCGGGTTGTTTTCTTGTTTTTCGTTCAACACTTTGGATATATTATGTTGCTTACTTTCGGTTTAAAAAGATATCTGCTAGTATCTTGTTGATAATATATGTGAGTTCCTTTTTATGTCATGATTCATTTTTATTTTTCTGCTTCCAAGATTCTTTCTTTGTCTGTGACTTTTGAAAGTTTGATTATAATGTTTATTGATGTAAAATTTTTGAATTGATCTCAGTGTACAGTAGTTGTGTTTTAAAACAATTCTATGTCCATATTCTTCCTCAAATTTGGGAAATTTTCTGCCTGCCATTATTTCTTTAAATAGACTTTTTGTCTCAATCTTTTCCTCTTCTCCCATGAAAGCTCTCGTAATGCATAACTGGTCAGGTTAACAATGTCCCATAAGTCTCAGGCTTTCACGTTATTATCACACTCCTTTTGATCCTCTTCCTTAATAGTTTCAAATGGCCAATATTTTCAAATTCATCAATTATTTTTTCTACCTGGTCAAGTCATCTATTGAATTTTTCTAGTAAATTTTTCAATTTAGTTATTGTATTACTTATCTCCAGTTCTTTTCTAAACTTTTATGTCTTTTTTGATACTCTTATTTTATACATGCCTTATATTCCTGATTTTTAGAAACTTGTCTGGGTTCTTTTAGGTAATCCAGCATCTTTAAATATTTTTGAAAATTTTGATAGGTATTTAATGTATTTTGAATTTTTTGACAGGTAATTAATAAATCTTTGTTTATTCAGGGTTGAAAAAAAAGGTTTATTTTGTTCCTTCAAATAGGTCATGCTTACCAGTGTCTGCATGCTTCACATTTCTTTGTTTAAACTTAGATTTAAAGAAACATCCACATCTCCCAGTCTTTATGCACTGGCTTAGTGTAGTGGAAAACCTTCATCAATCACCCCAGCTAGAGATGCTGGGAGCTTTGCAAACCATTCCAAGAGCTGTATCTTCTCTGGGCTTTTGAATGTAATTACCAAGTTAAATATAGTTTTTTGTTTGTTTCCAGGATTTTGTAATATTTTACTTCACCTGTTGTTATTCTGTAGTAATAATGCAGCTCTTCCGGTACTGCCCAAAACTGTCACACTGCCTTTATTCCCAGGCATTCAAATGCTGGGGTTTCCGTAAGTGATTTAAGTTCAGTGACAGAAATCAGACCCTTGGGAAGTCTCCTAAGGAGCCAGAACATTAGACCACATTTCACTCTTCTTTCACTCCTGTGGGAAAACTGATGACTAAAGATTTTTTTCCTGATTGTGTAATGCTGTACTGGCTAGGGAAGGATCTATAGAGAGTATATGGTACAACATTTCTTAGATATTAAAATAGAATTCTTCTTGGCTTTGCTCTTTTCTGTGGTGCTGCAACCTTTGGACTGGTTTCTGAGATTATTGCCATGGCAATTTGGTCTATATAATGTCGCCAAGTCTCTTTCTGCATGGGGAACAGGGACAGGGCATTCCTGCTCTGCCACATTTAAAACATCAATTTTGCCACCACACCATGTGCAAATTTTAAAGACAATGTGATGAAAATATGGCAATTTGCTGTTAGTTGTTGGGTCTAGAAGTGAGGCTCTAGGTAATTATTAAGAATTCATTTGAGATTTTTCTTTGTTTGCAATAATTGATATAATGTAAAAAACAAAAGATGATATTACAAGAAAATTTCTGAAGTAAAATGAGATTAAATATTATTTATTTGGTGACTTTGTATCATTTATTTGACCCTTGTTGGATACTTAGAATCTGCTGTTTAATTTATACACTTTAATATTTATAACACACACATATAAGATTATAATTTAATTTACATCTCCTCACACTATGCTCAACCTAAAGTGAACATGGTCCAAAGGTTTGTTAATAACTTAATAGTCTGAAATGTAGAGTATCTATGTTGGGAGCTTTTAGAGAACAAACCTGAGCAGGTTCCTGGTATGAAAGTGGTGGTTAAGATAGAACATATTACAACTACAAGGCCAGTTGTATTCTGATTGCAACTGATCTCCAATGGTAATGCCAGATTGATGAAGGAGAGTCTTATGAGCAACAGCTCTTGAGAGGAAGGGTGTCCCAGGTACAATGAGTGTGCAACCTAAAAAGCCCCAGAGTGTCAGCAGGCTCAACTCCAGAAATGGCTTCCCACCTGTCACAGCATGTTGATCAATTGCTGTATTTAATTACAGAGAAAAGATGAGGCTTAAAACAGATATAATCAGCTTTTCCTAGATTATGATAATGTTGTAAAAGTCAGAAACATATCAATGTAAAAACTTAAGAAATTTTAAAAACCTACTAATTTTATTTACATTTAATTGTATACACATGCAAGAAAAATACTTATATTTCTTTTTATATAGTCATTTTAAAATTGGAATTAATTTATGGATGTACTTTATCGACATGTGTAACAATTTCAAAATTTTCAAAAAGCCAGTTGAGCCAATTTATTCATTTAATAAATCAAGTCCTTGAATTAAAATTTAAAGGCATGTCACTAAGATTATATGACAGTAAACAAAATGAAAAGTGTAACATATTTGCTTAGTGTAAAGATTATTAAACTATATTTAGGGTAGAGCTTTACTTATCTAAATATTTAATATATACTAATATTTGTTAAGCAGGTATTCTAATACCTTAAATTTTTACCATGTAAGCCATTACTTGATGAATTTGCAATTCTCGAATTTTGAGGCTGGAAAGCAGTATACTGATCTTGCTTTCAGAGCAAGCATCTCTTTATTTTTCTACAGTAAACTATACTTTTGATTATAGAGATAAGAATTATGAGTATTCATCATTTTTAAAGAATAGACATTTAAATCTTCTTAAGTGTACTGTCAATTAAAATTTTATAAAATCAGTAATTAAAATCATATATTTCTAATGGTTACTTATCTCAAAATAATCTGTTTAACTTGAATATCTTATGGACATTTTCTCTAAGTAAGAAAATATCAGTTTCTTTTATTATTTGAGAACAATAATAAGAACTGTTTATCATCAAGAACACATAAAAAATCTTGGTTGAGTGATGGCAGAAATGTAGGCTATGACATCTAGATGAGGTATGTGGAAATATAGCAAACTATTCTGAGTGTAATGCTCTATTGTCATTTTTAGTAATTCATTGTCTGAGATCAGTAATGCTGGGTATGTAGAAGGGCTTATTTAAATTGAAAAAGAAAAATCATTATGTTTCTCATAACAAGCTAATGTCATAGAATGCTTCATTGATTTGTGTGGTTTACTGAATTTTGTGAATTTTACATTTTTTACTTCTTTACATCCATGTGTTTGTGCAAACACCAGGAATCAGCATATTGCAGGTCACCCTATCACTTAAGGTTAGAGAAGTGATGACATCATGGAAACAGTGATATCAGAAATATGAAAATTTACATGTATTCATGTCCTTGTGTCACAAAGTGAGAGAAGAGAGTAAGCACACCTAGGAAAATACAATGAAAGAATGAGATATACTCACAAGTTCATGATCGTGGAATTCTAGGCTACTTAGCTAAGATAAAATATCAGAATAGATAATATGAAAATAGGAAGGGAACATGTTTTCACTAAATTCTTTGTGTCTGGAATTAACAGGATTACCCCATCAGGTCTTCCCTAAATTTGGAAAGATCTATTCCCTCTTTTCTATCTTTCTAGTGTTATTAAATTTTTGACAGGAAAATAAACAACATCTTGTGACCAAGAATATAGCAGTTGCCACACAGGCCAGCAGGAACCCAATCACATCTATAGAGTAGTGCTGGAACCAGGTGAGGCTGTGGGCAGCTGATCACAGGTGCTTGGCTCCTTTGTGGCACATGACAAACTCGATCCAGAAGTTTGCTCGATCAGGGGCTTCACAGGTTGATCATGGTGAATCCCTGATAAACTCATAGCATACTCTTTATAACTGGAAGGCAAAAACACACATAGAACTTAGAAAGTTGTAATTTTGTTTTCATAAAAGACAGGTAGATAAACTGTAGTATATGTTATGCAAGCCAAAACTTGTTGAGTAAAAGATTGATTCTGGTTGTGACATGAACGTTATTGGTTGCATAGCATTAAACAGATATAGTGGGGAGACTGAAAAAGAGTATATTTTTAACAAAATGGGGTAAAGCAAAGATGTGAATAAAACCTGAGCAAGCCAGTTGTTAACTTAATATTTCCATGAAGATTGACACTCTATGAACTATAATTTCCAGAACTATTCCAATACTAAGGTGATGAATGACTTAATATTGAAGGGAAAAATCCCTTAAAATGTCTACCAGCATGATATTTAACATTTTCCGACATAATGTATAATATAACCAATGTTAGATCAGTCTTTACAAGCAGTAGTACTTATGAGGAATCGTTAATGACTGTTCTCAAAGCCCTGAGTACATCTTTGCTTGTCATAGTTTTGAAGTTTATTTCTACAGCTGCTCCTTTGGCCTTCATGTGAGCTATGGCATCATTGTGATCACCAAATAGGGGAACTCCCACCATAGGGACCTCATGGTAAATAGCTTCATAGATCCCATTCATTCCTCCATGAGTGATAAAAGCTTTGGTTTGAGGTGACCTAGTACGCAAATTCGATGAGAGATGGTGAGATATTTTATTATGAATTTTTAAAATAATTTCAGGACTAAAAAAGGGAATTATGAGATAACTCCCTGAAGTGTACAGCATTTTCTTTAAAAGGAGATCACATGGAGCTTTGCTACTAAAGATCATTTCTAACTTAAGTAAAAGAGGCATTAATTCCTTCTGCATATCCTGTCACTCTCACCCTAACAATAGAGAGTGTGAGTCTATACAATTTTAGTCAATCCTTTAATTATATCTGCTTCAAAAGTGTAAGTAAAATAAAGTTTTATAATTTTAAATATTTGCTGAATTTGCTCACTGTTTAACATTTATTCATTTTTTCCTCATCTAGTTCGTATTTTTACTTTCTCATAGTCCTACCAAGAAGATCATTCTGGGGTATCCCATCAGACAGTCGAGTATTGGTTCCTAATGTGGATAGTTTTTTCCCATTGTATCTCTATAACACCTATGGAAGAAACACATGTATTTCACAGATTGAACCACAGGATATTAGCATTCTAAGGATATAGATATAGTTATAAATTATAAATTTATAAATTACAAACTCATTGTACTTCAGGTGTTGGTTGAGACAGGGGTATTTAGAGGTACTGTGTAAACACTAAAAGACATAGTAAGACTTTTTACAAAGGTCTTTTCAAATAATGTTTACCAGTTGACTAAGTATACTATTATTATTTTAATATCGATTAAAAATATCTGAGTATGAGAATATCAGTGAATCATTAAAAAGTAATTCAGCACTGGCTACTCAATTTTCTTATAAGAATAAAATATTTTATAAGTACATGATCTCTGTGTCATTTCAAATCATGGAACTATTCCAGTTCTACCATCAAATTTACAGTTCCCCACAGATAAAATTTGCTTTCAATTTTGTGTGTGTTTTGGATAATCGGTTATCTTTTCTTCTCTATTTCCTTCCTGGCCTCTGTCTTCTTATATTTATTTGTTTTATTGAAGACGAATGAGCTAGAGAATTACTTATGTTCCATTGTTCAATGATAAACTTTCTTTGGGATTGTGTCTTTTTTTTCCATAATTTTGATTTGTGGGAACTTATAAAAAAATTCATACATTTGAAAAGAAAGGGTGGCACAGATGTTTCAAACTACTTAACAGATAATTTCTTAATTAAAATTATGAGATTTCACATTCCTAATTAGTATATTTGCCTTTATTGAGTTTGATGTATTTTAGCTAAATATGAAATAAAACATCTTTTGGATAGTTTATATATAGCACTACCTAAAGTGTGAAATTCTAGAATTACAGTAATAACAAAGTTGAAATTAGTTGAGTATTATAAATAATTACATTGCTTAAATAATTAAGTTACTATAATATAATTGTAATTGACATTTAACTCTTGAAGAAAGCTCTAATTATCGAGAAAGACTACATTAATCGGAGCTTTTATTTCTATGCAAAAGTACCCTGAATACAATTTTTATGCACTCAAATATGAGAAGGATATTCCTGAAATTGATTCTTCTTTTTCTTTTTTATATCAGTTTTCCTTTTTCTGGCCCTTGGAAATAATACATGTCAGAACTTTTTTTGGAATAGTTGGCACATGCCTTTAAATTTCAAATTCTAAAATATGATGTAGGGGCTTATTTTTTTATTTCTATTTTATTATAAACGAACGACAATCAAGAGAGTTGTTTCCAATAACAGCAAGACTGAGTAGGGCAAAAGCCATACTTTCTCACTATGTGAATAGCTGCTTATCAGGAATGGAGGTTTTACTGACCTTCTGTGGGATCTGGGCAAGGGCTGAAGCAATATTAGCCTTTTCTTCTGTAACGTTTTGAAACAGTGACCTCAGAGAAAAGAACCCAATATCCTCTTCCCCTGAACTCTGGACAACATTTTCCATTTCTGGAAGATAAAAATTTCTCTGCATTACACAGGGGTAATACAACAAAGATTAAAGTAAAGCCTACTTACACTTATAAAATAAAGAGTTGAGGAATTATTACTGTGTAGTTGTATTCTATTCTTATGTTCTGACACACAGAACTATCTAGTCTCTTTATAAGAAAGTCTAAGTATAAAACATATAGCTTAAATACATATTCATTCATTACTAGAAAAGGCACACAATCAAACAGTATATGAAAAGTTTCAGTGACAAGAGTACTTTTCATGTCTGTGTCATGTAGCCACAGAATCCTAAAAACAAAATAATTTACTAACATATACAAATATTATTTGAGGAGTGACATCAGCAAGATGGTGGAATAGAAGACGTCCAGCATCAATCCTTCTTAAAAGTACAACTAGCAACTATTCAAATATAAAAATACCACTCTGAATGCACCAGAGCGCAGGAGAAAAGTGAAAAATCTTATGGGTTCATGGAAATTAAAAAATCCATGACCAGAAAGAAGAAAGGTCATTTGTGCTGCGTCACCCCATTCTCCAAAGGAAAATAGCATCACTCACAGAAAACTTCCCTCTACCTGCATTTACACAGGTGGAAGAAAATAATTGCAGGTGGACATTCAATCCCCATATGAGTGTGTGAATCACTGTGAAAAGCCTTCTTCGTTCCATCCCACAGGAGGTATTAGGAGCGTCAGAAGGGCTGAACCACCTGGGTTGAATTGGAAGCAAAGAGCAGAAGCACTAATCACGGCAAATGGCAAACAGATCTTGGCAGATGCTTTGCGGTCCTATCAGCAGGGAACTCACACTGATGGGGGCCTAGCCAGCACTACAATAGTGCAGGAGGCACAATCCAAGGGAAAGCTAGAATCTTTGGTCAGATTTTACAAATATCCCAGGTGATCATACAGAGCCTTTCTCTGACCCAGAAACAACTATCAGGTCAGTAACTAAGTTCCAGTTATTTCTTAAGCCTTCCCCAACCCAGATATTACTACAGGTTTGAGTTTAAGTTCTGGCACAACATTATCTTTTTATCATCATGATAAGGCTTCCCCAGGCAGGAAAACAATAGCATGGAAGAGATTTAGCTCTGGTGCACTATTTAGGTTCTGTTATCAACTATAAGCTCTCCTCAGAACAGAAAGAATCCTCTGGCAGCGATTCAGCTCTGGTATTAAGCAGTAAAGTTTTAATACCACTGAATAACACCTTAAAAAGCTGAATCAGGTGTCTATCTTCTTAAATATGCAGGCATCAATGTAAACAGCAAGTATTGTTAAAAAAAAAAAACAGGGAAATATGACATCTCCAAAAGAAACCAATCAGTGTTCAATAATGCACCAGAATTGATAATTCTTAAATATTCAAAAACAAATTCACAATAAATCTATAAACAAAAAACTAAAAGAAACTTGGAAAATAATGCAGACACAATATTATACATTTGAGAATGAAATCAGAATAATAAAATATGAAATCCTTGAAATGCAGGATAAAAATTGTTAAACTAAAAACTCACTAGAAATCTTTAACAGCAGACTTGATCAAACAGGAAAGAATCAATAAGCTCAAAGAAAACATGCAATTACCCAATCAGAGGAATAGAAAGAAAAAAGAAATAGTGGCAGCCACAGAAATTATATGACACTATGAAGGGAAATACTGCCATATAATATAAATTTCTAAAGGATATGAGATAGAAAAGAAAGGCCTAGAAAACATACTGAAGATAATAAAGACTCAACATTTTCTAAATTTGGAGAAAGACAATAATATCTGGGAACAGTTAGCTTAGACATCACCCAACAAATTCAACCCAAAAAGTAATTCCCAAAGGTACATTATAATCAAATTACCAAAAATCAAAGAACAAAAAGAATAATGAAAGAAGTAGGAGAGAGGACAAAACAAAACAAAACAACAACAAAACATAACACATTCAATAGTGGTCCCGAACTGTTTTCAGTGAATTTCCCAGAAACAAACAAACAAACAAAAATCTTTCAGGACAGAAGAGAGTGGGATAATATAGTCAAAATGCTGAAGTAAACAAAAATTTGTAAAACTTTTAATACAAGAATACTGTACTCATCCAAGCACTTCTTCATATATGAGGAAGAGATAAAGACTTTTCAAGAAAAATAAAAACTAACAGAATTCACCAACACCAAACCTGTCTTAGAAGAAATGCAAAGGAAAAGGAAAGGACTCTAAAGGAAAAGGAAAGGACACTAAAGGAAAAGGACACTAACATGTAACAAATAAAAATGTAAAAAGTCACTGGTAAATGTAAATATATACACAAATTCAGAATACTCTAACGCTCTAATTGATATTTAGTATAAAGACTATAAAGGAAAACTAATAAAGGTAACAACTACAACAATGATTAAGGGATAGACAACATAGAAAGATGTAAATTCAGACATGAAAAAGTCCAAATGTTGGGGAAATAGTGTGAAAATACACAGTTTAAATTTTTTTTTTCTTTGGAATTAAAGTTGTCATTTATGTAAAATAACCTCTTATAACTATAAGGTGTTTCTGTAGCCTCTTGGTAACCACAAAGCAAAAACCTATAATAGATACACTAAAAATACCTAAATGGAATTAAAACATACTACTAGAGAAAGTTACTTGATCTCAAAGGAGCACAGTAAGAGAAGGGAGAAAAGGACAAAGGGATCTAAATACAACCACAGAAAAAATTTTAAAAAGGCAGCATTAAATCTTTATTTGTTAATAATATTCTTAAATGTAAATGGATTAAATTCTTCAATTAACATACATAGAAATGGCTAAATGGATAAAATAAAAATACCCAACTATATTCTTCCTATAAGAAAATTATTATACCTATAAAAGTATGCATAAACTAAAAGTAAAGAAGTAGAAAAGGGTATTCCATTCCAGTGGAAACCAAAAATAAAAATTAAAAAAAGCAAGAGTTGCTATTATTATATCAGATTAAAGACTTTAAGAATGATTTTAAAAAGACAAAGAAAGCCATTATATAATGAAAAAAGACTTAATATTGCAGCAGAATAGAACAATTGTAAATATGCGTGTCTCTCATGCCACAGCAAATATACAGCAAATATTGATTTATGTCTCTAAAGGACGAGATCAGCTGTAATACAAAAATAGTAGACTACCTAAAACCCTAATTACCTCAATAACCAGATAATTCAGACAGCAAATCAACAAAGAAATATAGGAGTTAAACTTCCCTCTAGACAAAATAAATCTAACACACATTTACAGAAAATGCCATTCAACAACTGCAGAATACACATTCTTCTCAACAGCACACAGAACCTTTTCTGTCAGATTACAAAAAAAAAAAACTTACCACATTTAAAAAAATTCAAATCATCTTATATGTCTTTTATAACCACAGTGAAAAAAGACAAAATCAGTAACAGAAGGAACACTATAAACTGTACAACTATGTGGAAATTAAACGTGTTCATGAATGATCAAAGAAATTTAAAAGTAAATTTAAACATTTTCTTGAGACAAAACTGGCAGCATAATATAGCAAAACCAATGAGATACAGCAAAATTAGTTCTAAGAGGAAAGTCTGCAACAACGAACACAAACATCAAAAAAGTAGGAAGATTTCAAATAAACAATTTATGATAACATCTCAATGAATTAGAAAAACAAGAACAAGAAAACAAAATTATTAAGAAAAAAGATATTTAATGATTAGAGCAGAAATAAATGAAATAGAAATAAAATACAATATAGAAAATCAGCGAAATATTGTTAGTTGTTTGAAGAGATAAAATTGACAAAGGTTTGGCTAGACTAACTGAAAACAAAACAAAACAAAACAAACCAGAAAAGATTCAAATAAAATGGGAGCTTACAAAGAGATAAAACAAATCAGGCACAGGGGCTCATACCTATAATCCCAGCATTTTTGGAGACAGAGGCTGAAGAATCACTTGAGGCCCAAAGTTTGAGATGAGCTTAGTAAGAACCCATCTCTACAAAATTTGAAATAAATTAGCCAAGCTTGGTGGTGTATGCCTGTCTCAGCTACTCTGGAAGTTGAGGTAAAAAGATTGCTTAAACCCAGGAGACTGGGCTTCAGTGAGCTATAATAGGGTCACTGCACTCAAGCATGGGCGACAAAGTGAGACTTCATCTCTAAAACCTTAAAAGTTCTAAAAACAAAGAAGAAAAAACAATTGACGCTAGAAATAAAAAGGAATATAAGAGGCTACCATGGACAAGTATATGCCAACAAATGGAAAAATCTAGGAAAATAAACAAATTACTGGACACATACAGTAAAATAGGACTGGATTATGAATAAATAAAAACATGGAGAGATAAAAAATGAGGAAGAAGCTTAGAGCAGTAATAAAGTCTCACTAAAAAAGGCAGTGAGCTAATGTCTTCACTATGAAATTCAGCCAAATTTAAAGAATAATTAATATTAATTTTTCTCACTCTTCCAAACCATCAAAAAGGCAAAAATACTTCAGCATCATCTTGTGAGGCTAGCATTACTGTAATCCCACAACAGACAAGGAGACTATATATATATATATATATATACACACACATATATATATACATATATATAAAATATATAGCAATTTATTATATATTATATATAATATATATAGCAGTTTATTACTGCTTTAAGCTTCTTCCTCATTATTTCTCACCATGTTTTATTTATTTATATGTGTATATATATATATATAGGTCCATATTGGCCTATATATATATATATATATATATATATATATAGGCCCATATTGGCCTATATATATATATATATATATATATGCCCATATGGGCCTATATATATATATATATATATGTCTATATCTATCTATATATCTATATCTATATAGGTCTATATCTATCTATATATCTATATCTATATCTATCTATATATGTCTATATAGATAGATATATATATAGGCCAATATACCTGATGAATAATGATGCAAATGTCATCGACAAACTACTAGCCAACCAAATCCAACAGCATATTAAAAAGATTATTCAATATGATCAACTGCAATTTATCCCAGGGATGCCAGGATGGTTCAACATATGCAAGTCAATACATGTAATGCACCACATCAACAGAATGAAGGACAAATAAATTTATAGGTAGATAGAAAGGTGATAGATAGATAATAGCAAAAAGGCATTTAATAAAATTCAGTATTTCTTTAGGATAAAAATTCTCAACATATTAAGTATATAAAAAAAAAACATACATAAAACAATGAAGCCCATGCATGATAAACACACAGCTACCATCATACTGAGCGGGGAGAAGTAGAAAGGTTTCTTTTTTTTCCTAAGATCTGGAAAAAGACAAAGATGCACACTTTCTCCACTCTTATCCAACCTAATACTGGAACGTCTAGTCAGAGTAATTAACCAAGAGAAAGAAAAGAAGGGCATACAAATTGGAAAGGAAGAAATCAAATAGTTCCTCTTTGCAGATGACATGAACTTATAAAGAGAGAAAACTAAAGACTCCATGAAAACAACACATAATGATTGATAAAAAAATTCAGAAAACTTTTTGAAAAAAATTATCATACAAAAATTGGTATTATTCTGTATGGAAATAGCTATCTGCAAAAAATTAGAAAAACAATTTCATATAATATAGCTACAGAATAAAACCCCTAAGAATATGTTTAACCAAGGAGGTATAAAATATCTACAATGAATATTATAAAACAAGGATGAAAGAAATTAAAAAAGACACAAATAATTAGATACATCATGTTCATGAATTTGAAGAATTTGTATTATTAAAATGTACATAGTACCCAAAGGAAACTGCAGATTCTTAACAATCTCTATCAGAATACCATGACATTCTAAACAGAAATGGAGAAAAGCTTTTTTAAAAATTTGTACAGAACTGCAAAAGACCAAGGCCAAAGCAACCTTGACCAAAAATAACAAATCTGGAGGCATCACACTACCTGACTTCAAAATATATCACCTAGAGGGCTCCCGTTCCAAGATGGCTGAATAGTTCCAGCTCCGGTCTGCAGCTCCCACCATGATTGACACAGAAGATGGTTGATTTCTGCATTTACAACTGAGGTACGTGGTTCATCTCATTGGGAGTAGTTGAACAGTGGGTGCAGTAGCCCAAGGAAGACCAGCCGAAGCATGGCGGGGCGTCACCTGAGCTGGGAAGTGCAAGGGCTGGGGAGATTTTCCTTTCCTAGCTGAGAGCCTGTGACAGACTGTACCTGGAAAAATGGGACACTCTCGCCCAACTACCGGGCTTCTCCCATGGTCTTAGCAAACAGCAGACCAGGAAATTATCTCTGGTGCCTGGCTCAGGCGTCCCATGCCCCGGGAGGCTTGCTCACTGCTAGTGCAGCAGTCTGAGATTGACCTGCCAGGCGGCAGCCTGGCGAGGGGAGGGGCATTCACCATTGCTGAGGCTTGAGTAGGTAAACAAAGTGGCCAGGAAGCTTGAACTGGGTCGAGTCCACTGCAGCTCAGCAAGGCCTACTGCCTCTATAGACTCCACCTCTGTGGGCAGGGCATAGCTGAACAAAAGGCAGCAGAAACTTCTGAGACTTAAATATCCCTGTGTGACAGCTCTGGAGAGAGCAGTGGTTCTCCCCACAGAGGGTTTGAACTCTGAGAATGGACAGACTGCTCTTCAAGTGGGTCCCTGACCCCTGTGTAACCTAACTGGAAGACACCTCCCAGTAGGGGCTGACAGAAACCTCATAAAGGTGGGTGCAGTTAGTACACACACAACATTTATAATTAAGTTTGCTGTCTTATATGGGAAGAGCTCAAGGTGCCCCAAAGCTAGTAAACATGGAACCATCAAAGATCACTGATCTCAGATCACCATAACAGATATAATAATGAAAAATTTGAAAAAGCATGATAAATGCCAATATGTGATACAGAGTCAAAAAGTACACACTTGCTGTTGGAAATATTATGCCAAATTGATTTGCTTCATTCAGGGTTTTCAAAAACATTTAATTTGTAAATTGCAATTTCTGTGAAGCACAATAAAGCAAAGGATAATAAAATGAAATATGACTATGTATAAGAAGTTGTGGAAATAAAATGGTAAGCTAGGCAGAGCTTACTGAAAACAGAATTAATTAGGGCAAATCAATACATGTAAATTCAAATCATGTCTAAGGCTAAGGACATTTGAAGTGGGATCCTCTGAATATTAGTTCTTTGAAACAGTCTATGTACTGGAATTCAGTGGAATATATTAAACAATATTTTAGTGTCTATTATGATTGTTCCTTTGTTCATGTTTCTACATATTTCTCAAACATATTTGGATCAAAAACATGTCTTTCATTGACCAGCGCTGATCACAACTGTGTATGAAAACCGCAAAGCAAAACAACTTTTTATCAGTAAAGCAAAGAAATAAAAATAAGTCAAATGGATATATATCAGTAAAGTAAAAATTCTATCTCCTGCCCCACAAGACCAAAAGTCATTTAACTTTTTATAATATTTTTTCAAGTTTTTGTGAAGTAATCAACTAAGAAATTAGAGAATTCTAGAAAATGTTTCCATTTAACC
The DNA here is from genome assembly GCF_000001405.40 of Homo sapiens. Taxonomy (NCBI): domain Eukaryota; kingdom Metazoa; phylum Chordata; class Mammalia; order Primates; family Hominidae; genus Homo; species Homo sapiens. The sequence goes on along the minus strand of NC_000004.12, from coordinate 69,347,727 downwards.
ACTCTTGAAAAAATAATTCAAAGACGACTTTCTAAAGATTTTTTTTTGAAATTTTTGATAAGAGAGAAAAGAATGGTTAGCATCTTGTTTCAGTAGAAATGGTATAACAATAAAAGTAACAACCAATAATTCTCAAAAATATGCGATCTAGACTTGGGCTATTTGGAGGAAATACAAAATATAATCTCCTTGTTAATGATGATCATTTGTAAGTTTATTACTGGTATTAAGGAAGTAGGTTATCTTACACTTAGAACAAATCTACTTTCTTTATGAAGAACAGCTATAACATTTTCTATAACAAAAACTCATTAACCTGCATATATGTGTCATAGATGATGTATGGCAATTTTTAAAAATATTTATTTTGATAATTAAATTAAAAATAAAACAAGAATCTCTTACCTAATGCCTTACTCTAAAACTCTTCCCAAAAATGATGGTCATAATCCTGAATCCAGAAGTGGAAGAAAACTGAAAGCATTGGATTTTTAATCTTTCCTGAAAGGTCATTCTGTCTGTTAATCCTGTCATAGGCACAGGTACATAGGAAAGTGGAGCTGGAAGTTTCCCACAGCTTCACTCCATATTGCCTCTTAGAGAAGTTCTAAGTGTGAGCACAAAAGGGACTGGAAGCAACTCAGCCATCAGGTCTCCACGGGGAATCACAGGGTCTATAAGCGTTACATCGTAGTTGGTTTCCTGTAGCTTCTTCATAAGTGTCTGATTGTAGATAATGCTCTCAAACATCATTTTTAAAGTTCCTCTTATTTCAACAAAAAAACATTTAATTTTATGACTGATTGCCACGTTGGTAAGCCTGGCAAGACACTGAGAGCTAGGTCAACAAATATTTCATTTTCTTCTGTTTTATCCTGTGGCATATGGACCACCTCAAATTTCAGTGCAGAGGGCTTCCTGTAGTCAATTAACAAAGGCTTTGAGTGAGTCAATACTGTTACCTCATGGCCCCTCACTATGATCTCCTCTAGAATGACCTTGACATTCAGCCAATGGCTCATGTCACAGGGCCACACCAGGACCTTCTCTCAGAATCCACAGCCAGCACAGAAGAGTTGCAGGAGCAGAAATACCAAAGCTGACTTCTGGGACCTCATGATGACATTTCCCTCACTCACTCATCTGCAATAGTTTTGTAGTTACTAAGCATGAAATTGAAATGACAATATAAGCACAGAAGTTAAAAATTAATATTTTTAGAGTAAATAAAGTTCATTGGTTGGTTGCCAGCTTCACATTTATTGAAGATATCAAAAAGAAATGCAATGTTGCAATGTATCAGGGAAAATTTGTTCCAACCTTCTAGAGCTTAGAAATAAAACACATAAAGATACTTTTATTATCTGGATTGATGATAAAGAAATTTTTTTAAATTCTTTAGATTTAATAATTCATGTGCAGAAACATATGCACACAACCACACTTACATTCATTCCACACTAAATCCAAGGTGCCAGATGGTTTAGAAGAACTCATGTTTCACATCCCTTGCTCACAAGGACAATACAAAGAATTACTGAGAATACACTTGGAGACTTTGGGTAACTATTTTTATTAATTTTATATAATAAATGCAAAGTGTTCAGTATTTCAGAGGAGAAAAATCCACAATTGCTTTAATATCTGATAATTAATAAAAGCTTTAGTAAGACATTTGACTTAGGAAGTGAGATGAAAGCTTCGTTAGGATTTATTGTTGTCAAAGGAAGCATTTCACAATCAATAGAAGCATGACGAAAGTATAGGATATTTAAAAGTCATTCCAGTGAGTAGTGATCACAGAGAAAGTTCAGGGCAGGACGTTACAGAACAAAGTCAGTTTGAAATAGGAGAAATTAGTTTTAAATAAACAATTATTAGTTTGAATGATAATTTATAGGCAAATTATTATTTACTCAAGCTTTAAAGGATAGTCGCAAGATCAAGCTTTTCTTTAGCAAGAAATTCGTGCATCTCAACATAGAGTGATATGTAAAGATAAGAGTTTAAAAACAGGGAAAATGATAAAAATTGTGTATTGGTTACTGAGATATGTCAACCTAATGGAATAAAACATAAATTTTTAATAGTAAATGTGAGAAATTAATTTGAAATTTGTATTTACTGATAATATCTGAGACAGGAAAAAATGTATAGGAGAAAAGACATGGTTTTGGTTTCTGTGTTAATAAGCAGAAGGCTAATAATGACATTAGGTAAAATATTATCATTATGTTCTAATTATTCAACAACTCTATGTAGATATAAACCAAAAATAAAATTTTAAGCATCCCCAACCACCAAAATGGATCCTTACTCTCAGCAAAGAGCATTTCAAACTTAATCTGAAAAATTGGTTCAGACAATGATGGGAAGTGGGGTGGTGGGATAGGACATGCCTCATTATACCCTCCTCCCTTTTTGAATTCAGGAAAATCTTAAAAGCACTACCATCAATACAGACCTTAAAGACAATAGAACAGACTCATTACATTTGATAAGAAACATTTACAATCTATATTCTCTCAAGCCTGTTGCCTGACCGCTTTATCTGCATGATAAAACCTTAGTATTCACAGCCCCTTATCTTAACCTAGACATTCTTGTCTATTAATTCTATATCTTTAGACAACAATATAACTCAACCAATTGCCAATAGAAAATCCTTGAATTAGCCTATGACCTGGAAGTCCCGGCTCTCAGTTGTCCTGCCTATTCAGACCAAGTCAATGTATAACTTACATGTATTGATTGGTGCCTAATGTCTCTCTAAATTGTATAAAACTAAGCTGTAGCCTGAGCACTATGGGGAAATGTTCTTAGGATCTCCTGAGGGTTATGTCGCAGGCCATCATTGACTTATATTTGGCTCAGAATAAAACTCTTTAAATATTTTAAAATGTTTGACTTTTTTCATCATAGCAACTTGACATTTGAATATGTGGGGCCTCAGACAAAACTCAGGACACCATAAAACATGCCTGAACTTGAAGGTGAGGTAGCAACAGAGGCCCACTGAATGCCTCTCCAATTTTGAGCTTCTTCTCCAGTGGGACTGGTAAGTCTTCTTGAGCCCTGGACCTCCCTTTGGTTGATAGTCCTTGGTTTATTCTGATTTTTTTTTTCTCCTGGGAAGTTGTCTTTAGAATCCTAATTATAGTTCAGGAGTACATTCTAAAGGGTCCTCTCCATTGTCTTTTCTCCCAAAGATAAGCTCAAATGGCTTGTCTGCACATTTGCATGAGGAGCTGAACTATTATTTTTGTAGATCAATGAGAGATGAGAGACTGAGCTCCTCAGCAATGAAGAGAAAGGACATTTTGCTTCTCCCAGCAAAAGGGGCCTATTTGGAATGTCTAGGGTGTTAAACCTTCAAGATATATAGTGGCCAAACAGAGAACCCCCCCAACACAATGAGTTTAAAAAACTCATCTAGCAAATGCATGTAAGAGCTGATTACTCAGTGTTTGGAGCCCTCATGGAGGTGATACACGTCTGGAGAGAGAAATTAATGAGAAGAGAAAATAAGGAACCAGTTAGGCAGATAGTTAGGAGAAGGTTCTTGGTAGAAGCCCTCCCCCAAAAATAACAGTCTGGAGGAAATCAAGCTGCAAGCGCAGGTAAGGAAGCAAAGTCCAAAGCCTTTGTCTTCTGTGCAACCAGTGAGCTCTGCCTACACACACACGGTGGTCTTCAGTGAGCACATTCCTTTTCTTTTCGGACATAGTCAGATAAAGGAACTTGCACGGGGTGCTTTCCTAAGACAGACCTGTAGCTGTATAGATAAGGAAAGTTACACAGAACCAGACACGTCCGCAGTGACACAGAGTCAATAAGCAAAATAAAACAACATGCAGTAACTCAGGCTAAGGACCTGCATGCACACTAGAGGGAAGAGGTGGAGCTAACAAGAATTTGTATGTATGCAAATAAGACATCCAGTCCTAACCAGTTTTTCATGCCTTATGCACACAAAACACTGTGACTCATTAGCTTTTATTTTTGTATATAAAAGTCTGCATTCAACTGTGAAATGACAACCCTCTCAGTCTTCCTCTTCACAGTAGTCAGCTTTTCTCTTTCGCTTATTAAACTTCTCTTCCAACATTACCATTGGTGTCCACAATCCTTAAATTTTGGGTCTTGAGACAAAGAACTCCTGGTGATACTTCAAACAACAAGACTGCTCCAGTGACCCTAGGCTGCTTCACTGTAAAAGGTAAAGTAGAAGTTCCTTTTCAAAGACTTTTCTCCCCATCTAATTAAGAATAAATAGTAAGTTCTCTTAGAAGCAAAACTTATTCAAAGACCTGTGCTGACATTTTTAAATATCTGCTAGCCGTAATAAAGAAATCAATGTACTTTATGTTCTTAGCTCCTACAATGTAGCCTAAATATTTACTCTGGCATGCTCATACTGGTCAAAGCAAGCATTAGGATATAGTCTGTTCCTCTTCCTTATTTGAAGGTATTTTTTTTTTAGGGGGTGAGGGATAGGTCACTTACTTTTTTCTTTTATATATATATATTTTTAATTTATTGTGGTTTTAATTTTTTAAATTATCCTTTAAGTTCTAGGGCACATGTGCACAACGTGCAGGTTTGTTACATATGTATATATGTGCCATGTTGGTGTGCTGCACCTGTTAGCTGCACCCGTTAACTCGTCATTTACATTAGGTATGTCTCCTAATGCTACCACTCCCCCCTCCCCCCACTCCACTAACTACTGGCTCTGGTGGATGATGTTCCCTGTGTTCAAGTGTTCTCCTTGTTCAATTCCCACCTGTGTGTGACAACATGCATTGTTTGGTTTTCTGTCCTTGCGACAGTTTGCTCAGAATGGTGTTTTCCAGCTTCATCCATGTCCTTGCAAATGACATGAACTCATCGTTTTTTATGGCTGCTTATTATTTCATGATGTATATGTGCCACATTTTCTTAACCCAGTCTATCATTGATTGACATTTGAGTCGGTTTCAAGTCTTTGCTATTGTGAATAGCACCACAGTAAACATATGTGTGCATGTGTCTTTAAAGCAGCGTGATTTATAATCCTTTGGGCATATACCCAGTAATGGGATGGCTGGGTCAAATGGTATTTCTAGTTGTAGATCCTTGAGGAATTGCCACACTGTCTTCCAAAATGGTTGAACTAGTTTACAGTCCCACCAACAGTGTAAAGGGGTACCTATTTCTCCACATCCTCTCCAGCACCTGTTGTTTCCTGATTTTTTAATGATTGCCTTTTAACTGTTGTGAGATGGTATCTCATTGTGGTTTTTGATTTGCATTTCTCTGATGGCCAGTGATGATGAGCATTTTTTCTTGTGTCTTTTGGCTGCATAAGTGTCTTCTTTTGAGAAGTGTCTGTTCATATCCTCTGCCCACTTTTTGATGGGGTGGTTTGATTTCTTCTTGCAAATTTGTTTAAGTTCTTTGTAGATTCTGGATATTAGCCCTGTGTCAGATGGGTAAATTGTAAAAATTTTCTCCCATTCTGTCAGTTGCCTGTTCACTCTGATGGTAGTTTCTTTTGCTGTGCAGAAGCTCTTGAGTTTAATAAGACACCATTTGTCAACTGTGGCTTTTGTTACCATTGCTTTTGGTGTTTTAGTCATGAAGTCCTTGCCCATGCCTATGTCCTGAATGGTATTGCCTAGGTTTTCACCTAGGGTTTTGATGATTTTAGGTCTAACATGTAAGTCTTTAATCGATCTTGAATTAATTTTTGTATAAAGTGTAAGGAAGGGATCCAGTTTCAGCTTTCTACATATGGCTAGCCAGTTTTCCCAGCACTGTTTATTAAATAGGGAATCCTTTCCCCATTTCTTGTTTTTGTCAGGCTAGCCAAAGATCAGATGGTTGTAGATGTGTGGTATTACTTCTGAGGTTTCTATTCTGTTCCATTGGTCTGTATCTCTGTTTTGGTACCAGTACCATGCTGTTTTGGTTACTGTAGTCTTGTAGTATAGTTTGAAGTCAGGTAGCATGATGCCTCCAGCTTTGTTGTTTTGGCTTAGGATTGTCTTGGCAATGCCGGCTCTTTTTTGCTTCCATGTGAACTTTAAAGTAGTTTTTTCCAATTCTGTGAAGAAAGTCATTGGTAGCTTGATGGGGATGGCATTGAATCTATAAATTACTTTGGGCAGTATAGCCATTTTCACAATATTGATTTCTCCTATCCATGAGCATGGAATGTTCTTCCATTTGTTTGTGTCCTTTTATTTCGTTGAGCAGTGGTTTGTAGTTCTCCTTGAAGAGGTCCTTCACATCCCTTGTAAGTTGGATTCCTAGGTATTTTATTCTCTTTGAAGCAATTGTGAATGGGAGTTCACTCATGATTTGGCTCTCTGTTTGTCTGTTCTTTGTATATATGAATGCTTGTGATTTTTGCACATTGATTTTGTATCTTGAGACTTTGCTGAAGTTGTTTATCAGCTTAAGGAGATTTTGGGCTGAAATGATGGGGTTTTCTAACTTTGCAATCATGTCATCTGCATACGGGACAATTTGGCTTCCCCTTTTCTTAATTGAATACCCTTTATTTCTTTCTCCTGACTGATAGCCCTGAACTTCCAACACAACATTGAACAGGAGTGGTGAGAGAAGGCATCCCTGTCTTGTGCCAGTTTTCAAAGGGAATGCTTCCAGTTTTTTCCCATTCAGTATGATATTGGCTGTGGGTTTGTCATAGATAGCTATTATTCTGAGATACATCTCATCAATACCTAGTTTATTGAGAGTTATTTGAAGATACTTTTAACCTTTCTCAACATTCTTCAAGTTACATCCTCCTTCCTTTGTTCTCCTTTGACTTTTGCTCTTTTATAAAGTTCTAAGTTGTTAGCCAGTCAGGACAAATACAGAATGTGAGGTCCTATTCCTGCCAATAGAAACTGGACACAGCAGTGAGGTGGACACATCAAGTTTTGAATGACCCTGTCTCCTTTGTTCAGTGTACTGTTGTGGCAAAACAGCTGGTGCATTCACTCTTTCTGCAGAAAGTTAAAAAAAATGGCCTTGCTGAAGAAATAAATTTATTTTCAAGTGCTACTTCTTTATGGCACTGAAGAACAAGCATTTCAAAGATTCACTAAGACATGTAAGAAGGCAGAAACAACTTAACATTAAAACATGTGGGGTCTCACTTACAATCATCACACATTGATGCACCACACAAAAAACCCTAGGCCACAGCTTGGTTCCTCCTTTTAAGAACAAAAAGTGGGAAAAAATTTAAGAATGAGGAAAGACAAGGAGAAAAACTCCTTTGCAGCAATTTTTTGGTTTCGTGGGGCTTCCATGTGTAAGTGTTTGTGTAAAATGGAGAAGTTTGAGGGCATTCCACGTCTAATGGTTTAGGACCACCCCCCAGTGCTGTCTTATGGAGTTTTCAGAAAATCTGGTTGTTTAAAAGTGTGTAGCAGCTCCCCTCCACCTTCCCCCTACTCTGGTCAGTAGGACATATTGGCTTCCCCTTCACCTTCTCGGAATTATAAGTTTTCTTAGGCCTCCTCAGCCATGGTGCCTATACAACCTGGGAAACTGTGAGTAATTTAAACCTCTTTTCTTCATAAATTACCCAGTCTCAGGTAGTTCTTTACAGCAATATGGAAAAAATATGAGAATAAAGTAATACAGAAGATGTGAGAACAATGTGACAACAAACTAATACAAGAAACTAGAGAGGTGAGGCATTGCTATAAAGATACCTGAAAATGTGGAAGCAACTTTGGAGCTGGGTAATGGGCAGAGGTTGGAACAGTTTGGAGGGCTCAGAAAAAGACAGGAAGATGAGAAAAAGACAGGCAGATCCACAGGGCCAGAGCTGCCCAAAGCCTTGAGAGCCCTCCCATTGCATCCGTGTGCCCTGGATGGGAGACATGGAGTCAAAGGAAACTATTTTGAAGCTTTAAGATTTAATGAGTGTCCTGCTGGGTTTTGGAGTTGCCTGGGGCCTGTAGCCCCTTTGTTCTAATAACTTGCAATTTCTTTATCAATACTTGCTGCTTCACCTTACACTCTTATTTTATGAAGATGGCTTCTTAAACTCATGAATCAATCTCTACTAGTGTCAAACTTTTGATCTGCAGAATCCTCATCTCTCAGCCTTCATAGAATTAAAGAGAGTTAGGGCCTTGCTTTGGATTAGGCTTTGGTTTCAGGGAATGTTGAGAATAATTTGATCTTCTATCCAGACCACTAAAATTTTCTCCGTATCAGCAATACGCCTATTTCCCTTTCTTATCTTTTATGTGTTCACTGGAATAGCACTGTTAATTGCTTTAAATTTTTTTTCTTTTGCATTTGTAACTTGGCTAACTGGCAAGCAGTCTAGCTTTCTGCCTATCCAGGTTTTGACCTGCCCTCTTTACTAAGTTTCATTTCTAGCGTTTGATTTTACGTGAGTGATGTTCAACTCTTCCTTTCACTTGAACAAGTAAAGGCCATTGCAGAGTTATTAATTGGTCCAATATTGTATTGTTATGTCTCAAAAAATTGGAAGGCTCAAAGAGAGGGAAAAAAGATGAGAATGGCCATTTGGTGGAACAGTCAGAATATACACACTTACCAATTATGTTTGCAGTCTTATATGGGCGTGGATTATGGTACCCCCCAGCCCTCTGCCAAATTATAATAGTAACATCAGAAATCATTGATTGCAGATTGTCATCAGAGATATAATAATAATAAATAAAGTTAAAATGTTGTGAAAATTACCCAAATATGACACAAAAACACAAAGAAAGCACATACTGCAAAAATAACACCAATAATCTTGCTGGACACAGGGTTGCCAGAAACCTTCAACTTTTTTTAAAAACAGTAACTGCAAAGCTCAATAAAAGCAAAGAACAGTAAAATGAGGTATGCCTGTCTATTACACTTTTTATTCTGTTTAATCTCTTATATTCTTAGTGGCATATCTAGTTGAAGTTTTAATTTTTGTGCTTGATTTGTTAAAGATATAAATGATCTCATTTGCCTTACTAAAATTTTTGAAATCCTTACAAATTTTAAAAGGGTATATTTGCAAATTAATTGCAATTTTAAAACAAGTATATAAAAGAAAAATTAAGTATTATTGCCATTATGTGTATATAACTTTTTTTTTTTTTTTTTTTTGAGACAGAGTCCTGCTCTGTCATCCAGGCTGGAGTGCAATGGCCAGATGTCGGCTCATGGCAACCTCAGCCTTCCAGGTTCAAGCAATTCTCCCACCTCAGCCTCCAGAATAGCTGAGATTACAGGTGCACACCACCATGCCTGGCTAATTTTTTCAGTAGAGATGGGGTTTCACCACGTTGGTCACGCTGGTCTCGAACTCCTGTCCTCGTGATTCACCCGCCTTGGCCTCCCAAAGTGCTGGGATTACATGCATGAGCCGCTGTACCTGGCCCCATTATGTGTATATATTTAGAATGCAAAATAATTTATTTGGTATGTGTTTAAAATTTTTTTAGTAATTAATACTGATTTATACTTTGATGTTCGTCATTTTATTGTAATCTAGAGAGAGCTGTTCATATTTGTTCTAAGGCTGTCTATTCTCTTTAAATAAATGCAGTGATTGGCTAACATGTTTTGAAGGTGGGAAGCCATCTGCAGAGCTGAGCCTGCATACACTGGGAGGCTCCCTTTGCTCTCTGAAGCTGACCACCTGTAGCATAGAAGACTTGCTGCTTCTCAGTAATAGTTTCTCATAAGACTTTCCTTGGCCTTCAATTTGGCATTGTCTTTTGAGATAACTGGAATCAGAATCTCATTGTTCTTTGGCATGTTTTCTCCTGATCACCTATGCTGCCCTCACAACATTGTCCAGGGATACTCTGTTGTTTTTCTAGGGAACTCAAAGAATAGAGTCCTAAAACCCATGGGAATCATGGAAAGGAGGCGAGAGAAAGAATATTTGTAATGAAAGGGTCATGTTTTCGTATGTTATCAGAAGGGAAGGCAGAAAAATTTACATTTCTCCTATATATATAGACAATATGTGTTTCTTTTCATATCAAATAAAGGCAGGTGTTCCAAATTTTGCTGTGTATTGAAACAGTCTTGGGAGCTTTTGACAAGAATGATGCCCATTTTGCATACCAATGAAAACAGATTTTGGAATTAAGAGCCAGATTTTGTGTTTTATAAAGATCTCCAGCAGATTCCAATGTGCAGTACATTGGAAACACTAGGTTAAGGTCTGGATAAAGAGTGAACATAGTTATTACTTTCGTTGGTATTTAATTATCAGTCATTCCATTAGTTATTATCTAAATTAAATACAAGCTGTCTGTGTATATCAAATCTACATACAGTTTCCATCAGAGTAGTGGAAAACTGAAAAAAAAAAAAAAACAAATAGAGTTATTCCAATGTGTTAATACTTCACAAAATGGTGGCACTTCTTGTTTCCATGACACGTGTACATGAATTTAGTCACAATCTCTTTTTATATTATTTTAATCTATCTCAACAGTGTCACCTATTTACCAGTCTGCGAATGAGTATATGTGCTATCTCTTTTCATAAACAACTTGTGGAGGGAAGTATTTTTGCATTATGAGTGTCTTGCTCTTTTCTTCCACTTCATATTTTATTCTGTGTGTTTTATCCATTCTATTTATAAGCAGCAATTATCTCTTTAAAATCTATTTTGCTTTATCTTCAAGTTTTGCTTTCCTCAAAGGGAAATAAGTTTTAAATTATCGTTATTATTTGTTTTTTATGTACAAATGTTCTAATAAGGCTACATTAGTATGCTATTATATATGATTTCTTAGATTGAATTTACCAGAAATGGTGCTACATGACTTTCATACATTAATTTAATACTTAATAGATTCATGGGACAAGTATTATTATTGAACTGTATATTAATAGGCTCAACTCTCTTTGTCACATGCCATTATAGGCCTTTAGTCAACTTCTCAATGTAAGAAACAAAATAAATTACACAAGAATGGTTGAGATCATAGACCTGAACACCACAAGCAGATTTTCCATATTACTTATTGCTACTTCTTCATCAATTTCTCATCTGATTTCCTCTAAATGATTTTAAAGAATACTCTGTATTTAATGATTTTATGTATACATTTTATCTACTAATATTTCAGCTATGCTGTTTTTATAGTTATTTAATACTTACATATTAGTATTTTGGAATCTTACCAGTTAGCCAAACATTTATATGTTTCTACAAAAAAAGAGAAATTTTAAATTCCAGACTACTCAGCTATAACTAAACCTTTGGAGCATGTTCACATTAAGTTGAGCATGGTCTGAAGACACTTAAATCAAATTATAACCCCACTTATTAATACAAATATAAAGTTCTATATAAATTGTTTTAATTAAAATCAAATAATGGCCAAATGGATTATTATATCATCACCAAAACTATGCCATTTTTATTTTTTCTAATTGCAAGAATTTCTTGGGATATCTTCTAGTCTTTTTAAATTACATGAAATATTACAAACTGACAAAATAGTATAAAGTACTTAAATAAGTGCCTATAGTCTCACTACCTAATATAGAACATAAGAGTGTATTGCCTTGTTGTCAGTACATATCCTTTGAAAGTGATATGTGGTGTGTACGTAGAGGGAGATTGATGTTGGCAGAATAGGAAACCCACGTTCCTTTCCTCCTCACAGAGAGATGGACTTAACAAATATATATATATATATATACCAAATTGCCTTTATGAAAATACTCCAAAACAAGTTCAAAGATTTCAGCACCCCAGGCAAGAGCAAAGCCAAGAAGAACTTCATTGAAATTGCTAAGAAATTTCACAGAATTGGCTCACTATAGCGTACAGCCAGTACAGCATGGCACAGTTAGGAGAAAATTCCCTAGCCATACCTTCTCCCACAGGAAAGAAAGAGAAGAGTAAAGTGTGTTTTAATGTTCTAGTTTTTGGAGGGGCTGCACAAGGGGCTGGTTTCTAACACCTAACTCAAAGAAATCACAGGAACTAGCAGAATTCAGATGCCTGTGATCTACTGAGAACAAAACCATGTGTGGCAGTGTTAAAAAGGCTGCCCTACCACAGAATGACAGCACAGGGAGAAATAGACTGCAAACTCCTAAAGATGAAATTAAAAAAGAAAAAAGTTTATCTGAGTAATTATGTACAGAAGCTGAGAGAAGACACATTCCCAGAAAAGGTTTGAGAGACCTGCAGAATCTCTAGCTGGGCTGACTGGTGAAGACAGTCCTTTGTATCAAGCTAAGTAGTAAATAATGGGAGATGCAGCTATTTTTTCAAATATCCAAATTGCAGCAAAAGAACACAAGGCAGCAAGGCATACGTACACACACACACACACACACACAAACACACACATACACACAAACACACACACCACTAAACCATGGCCCAATGAAGGGACCAAAATAAACTTCTAGAAAATAACCTCAAGGAAATGAAGATCTATGAATTATTTGTCAAATTATTCATAATTATCATTTTAAAATACTCAATTAGCAAAGAGAGAACACAACTATATAAAATAATAAAAATAGTGCATATGAAAATAAAAATATTAACGAAAAGGTAAAACTCTATAAAAAAGAAGCAAACAAAAATTCTGGAGCTGAAGAATACAGTAACTGAATTTTTAGCATTCACTAGAGGATCACACAAGAAGACTTTATCAAACAGATAAAAAATATACACACTTAAGAACACAGGTTATTTGAAATTATTCAGGAAGGGGAGCAAAAATTCAAAGAAAAAATTCACAATAAAAAAGTGAAGTCAGCCTAAGCAACTTAAAATACACCATCAAGCTAACCAATAAAGCATTATAAGAGTCCTAGTAAGAAAAGAGTAAAATATTGGGGCAGAGATTATATTTGAGAAAAATAATGAACAAAAAATTACCAATTTTGCAGAGCGTAATAGACATACAAATTCAAGAACAACTCAGTGAAGTTCAAATGGGAATAATCCAAAGAAGTCTGCAACAATGCAGAAGGTAATGTTTCAGAAGTCACAGCCAAAAAGAAAATCTTGAAAGCAGCAAGAAAAAAGGGACTTACCACATGTAAAGAAACTCCCATAAGATTATCAATAAGATTCTCAGCAAAAATCATGCAAACCAAAAATAAGTGAGATAATATTCTCAAAGTGCTGCAAGGAAATTAAAAAAAAATTTCAAACAAGAATAACATCTGGCAAACTTGTCCTTCAAAAATCATAGAGGAGTGAGAATTTCCCAGGTGTAGAAAAAAAAATGATGAGGGATATAATCAACGCTAGACTTAGAAGAAATATTAAAAGGAGTCTGTCAGACTGAAATGAAAGTATGTTGGGCAGGCCAGGCACAGTGTCTCATGCCTGTAATCCCAGCACTTTCAAAGGCTGAGGTGGGCAGATCACCTGAGTTCAGGAGTTTGAGACCATCCTGGCCAACGTGGTGAAACCCTATCTCTACTAAAAATACAAAATTAGCTGGGCATGGTGGCAAGCACCTTTAATCCCAGCTACCTGGGATGCTGAGGCAGGGGAATCACTTCAACCTGGGAGGCGGAGGTTACAGTGAGCCGAGATTGCAAAATTGAACTCTAGCCTGGGCAAAAAGAGTGAATTCCATCTCAAAAAAAAAAAAAAAAAAAAAAAAAATAGTATGCTAGGCAAAAGCACAGAAAAATAAAAACTTCACTAGTAAAGGAAAATATATAATCAAATATAGAGTTCTGTAGTTAATGTTGGTGCATAAATTACTTTTAGTTCTGATATGCAACTTAAAAAACAAAAGCATAAAATAGCTATAAGTGTACACAAATTAATAACAATATAAGAAGATATCTTCAGTGATATTAAGAATATTAAGTGGGGATGGGTGATGTAAAGGGACAAAGTTTTATATGTGATTGAAGTAAAATTATAAACTTTAAAGTTTTTTTCATTTCATTTAAATAGTTTGTTATAATTTTAAAATGCTTCATGTAATCCTCATGCTAAACACAAACAATACACATAAAAGATGCAAAAAAGGTTGTGAAGAAGGAATCAAAACTTATGCATACAGCAAAAATTTGTAGTATGAGAAAATGTTATAGCAAAAAATAACCATATTACAAATGATGAAACATCTCAAATAAGCAACCTACCTTTACACATCAAGGAACTAAGAAAGGGAAAACTAAGTCTAAAGTTTGCATAAGAAAGCTACCTTTTCCATAAAACAGAAAATAATGAATGTTAAAGAGAGTGTAGACAAATAGTAAGTCTTGGGCCCTGTCTATAGGAATAAAAAATGGTGAAGTCACTATGGAGAAGAGTATGAAGCTACTTGAAATAAAACAGAATTAGCATATTGTCGAACAGTGTCACTTCGGGGTATTTTTCCAAAAATAATAAAAATCAGGATCTTGAAAATATATTGACAGACCCATGTTGTGTGCAGAATTATTCATGATAGTCAATGCTGGGCTTCCTAATCCTTCTTCATATGTATCTGGCAGCACATCAGGACTGAGAGACAACATGTCTTTTGTATAGAGGCTGGAGAAATCTTTAAAAAATTAAAAATTACACCCTAAACAAAAAAGAAAGTCTGATTTCATAGTCCATTAAAAAATCAATGTCTGGTTTTCAAAAGAAATTATGAAGTGTATAAAGAAACATGAAATTACTGCCCATTCAAAGTAACAAAATAAACTTACAAAAACAATTTCTGAGAAAGCAGAGACACTGAAATCACTACACAAATGATTTTAAAATAACTGTCTTAAATGTGTCTAAATAACTAAAGGAATCAATAGACCAAGACAAGAAAACAATGAATGAACAAAATGATATCAATCAAGAAAAAGAAATTAAAGAGGAAACCAAAAGGAAATTCTGGAGCTGAAAAGTACAATAATGGAAGTGAAAAATTTACTGGAAGGTTTCAAAAGCAGATATTAGCAGATAGAAGAAAGAATTGGCAAACCTGAAGAAAGAGTCATTGAAATTATTCAGTCAGTTAAAAAAAAAGGAAAACAAATAAACAGAACCTAAGAAAATTGTAGGGTATTATCAAATAAACCAAAATATACACTGTGGGAGTCTGAGAATGAGAAGAAGCAAAGAAAAGGATGCAAAGACTATTTCAAAAACTACTTGCAGAAAATAAGAAAAACGTAATAAAGTGCATAAATCTACAAATCCAAGAAGCTCAACAAACCCCAAGTAGGATTACCTCAAAAAGATCCTCACTAAGACACATTATAATCAAGATGCTCATAGTCAAAAGAGTAAGAGAAACTTGAAAACAGGGAAGTGACTCTTCATAAATAAATCATTTTTTGTAAGATTACCAGACAATTTCTTATCTGAAACATTGGAGCCAAGAAGCGGTGGACTGACATAATTGAAGTACTGAAAAAAAAATGTTAATAAAGAATTGTACATCCAGAAAAACTGTCCTTCAAAAGTTAGATAGAAATTAGGACGTTTTCAGATTTTTAAAATGCAGAGAAAGTTTACTATTACCATACCTGCCCTGCAAAATATGCTAAAGAAAATATTTAGTTCTAAATAAAAGGCTGCTGGGCAGCAATGTAAACACATGTAAAGGAATAAAGATGTGTAGTGAAGGTAAATTCATAACAATTATAAAATATAATATTTTTGTAATTTTGGTTGTGATTCTACTTTTTTTTTCATAATTTAGAAGACAATTGCTTAAAAGACAATTAGTAATCCATGTTATTAGGCACACAATATACAGAGATATAATTTGTCACATCAGTAACAGAAAAAGAAGAGTGATGGAACTATATAGCAGTAGAGTTTTTATTCTGTTAATGTTAATAACCAATAAGTCAGAAAAGAAATCACAAAGGTAATTATAAAATACTTTAAAATCAATAAAAACACAACATGTCAAAACTTTGGAGATGCAGTGAAAGCAATGCTCAGAGGAAAACTTATACCTATAAATACCTATATTAGAAAATGATTAGGGGAAAAAAACTGATTTTCTATATATTCACTCACAACACAGAATTTCCAGCCACCAATATGTGGATGTTTTACCTTCACAACAATTCAATTTAATTCTCAACTGACAACTGTTTTTCCTACAATTTAATTCAAGTATGCCACTATCTACATGGCAATAGCATGAGATGCCACAAGTAAAGGGCTTAATCTCACTGGTCTTCAATCCAGACGCCAGTTGCAAGTAGTGAGTCTCCAGGCTATCCATTAACTACTGACTGGCTTGGCTACAAATTATGACCCCATTCTCAGGGTGAATAATTTACTAGAGTGACCCACAGGATCTTTCCAGGGGCTGGGCTCTAGCATTATCCAATATTGCTTAGACTGCCTGACACAGTTCGCTAAAGCCTCACTATCTTTCCAGCCTGACTCTCATTTTTGGTTTATTTCCTGGAAGAAAATTTCCTATAATTATATTTTCCCTGAATGCTACTCCTCACTAAAAACAAATTCAGGCATTCCCAGGATAGAGAAGATGGCACTCATCTCTCCTAAGACACTTTTCCATTTCATGAACCAGTATTGGTCAATCCACCAAGCACATTGTTTCCTCTGTATATCAATAACCTGAGTAAAGTTAGAATACATGTTTTGCACCCCAAAATGTTAGATGCCCCATAATAAGTACAGATAAGGGGTAGTCATAGAAAAATGTAATTTCATTTGTATGCCAAAAGGCCTCCCATATCCTTCCTTATTTTAGGGTGGAGCTGTTTCCCAGGGGAACTCAGATTCAGCATAAAATGTCCACTGCTTAATTCTGCCAGAAACCCATTGCTTTTGCATTCACATTTGTGGATAACTTTCTCTCCATAAATCAAAGTTAATGTGTTTGTGATTAGCACACTGTGGCTGCTGGGTGGGCTGTCATTGTTCATTATAAAGCTTCTAAGCATTTTGTGATCAAAATGTACAGTTATGCAGTGATCTGTCTTCTGAGAGTCATAAAAAAACACCATTTAAAATTCTAGTAGACAGCAAGTCCCTACATTTTCTTCCAGGAAATAAAGAAAAAAAATGACATCTTCTTTAGCAGAGACAGCCTGAAAAATAGGAGTCAAAAAACTGCCTATTTACTAGAGTTCCTTTTAGTTATTAACAGTTGATCCAGTTCATTAACATATAGTACAACCAGAGTGTCTCCCAGATTAACATCACGCACTTTTACAGGCTGCTGTTTCACTTTGTCGGGTTCCAAAAGCGCAGCTGATCTTGGCAAACATACAGCTTCACAATTCCAGACATCTAGTATAATTGTGCTAAGAGATCATATTATGCTCTTGCTCTGAGCCTTTCTGGAGATAATAATATATTGTTGTATTACCTTCATTGCATAACACACTTATTCATTCCTTTAACCTCAGCGATGATTTCTCTTTCCCTCCATCTGTCATTTATTTTTACCCCAAATTTTCTACTACTAGAAGTGTTGTGAGGTCCACCCACTGGGCTAGCCCTGATTGCTGGCAGCAATCCTAGTCTAGAAAGTTTTTTCCTTCCAGTCTACTACCATTTATATAGTATATGGTTATATAAATACAGAAACCATGGTCTATCCTGACCACGATTCAACATAGTAGTATTTACTGTTAGTTCCAACCTTGCCAGATACGGTGAATGCACCACAGTCAACTTTATCAGGTCCTTAAAAATTCTGACACAAAGGTTTAAAGTTATAGTTGCAAATTCTGGTTTAGGGATTATCCTTGCTTCTGGCATGAACACTTGCATCCCTGGTCTTGGGACCACTGTGAGAGGTGCAAAAAAAAAAAAAAAAAACTTGAGATGATCTGATGGAGAAATATATAGTTGCACCAGCATCCTCCTCATTCCCTCTTTCCCAGAGACTCCAGAAAAGTAGGGGTATGTATGGAGTAGATATCCTTTGTTAGTAGGAATCCCCCTTCATGTTGAATTGAGCACACACTTATGAAGGCATGTAGGCCCATCCTTCATGTCTGTATATCCTTCTGATTTAGATAGTATCTTACATCATTTATGCTGCTTTACAAAATACCTGAAGCTGGGTAATTAATAAAGGATGAATATTTTTTTTTCACAGTTGTGGAGGTCAGGGGTCTAAGATCAAGGACCAAGCAGGTCCAGTGTCTAGTGAGGGCTGCTCTCACTTCCAAGATAGGGCCTTGTCCCTTTGTCCTCAAATGGTAAGAGAGACTTATGGGACAAACTCACCCTCAAGCTTTTATATAAACACTACTCTATTTATGAGTGTAAAACCTCCATGACCTAATTATCTCCTAAGTGCCCCACCTCTTAATATTGTTGTGTTGCCAATTAAGTGCCACCATAAATTTTGGCGGGCAAGCCACATTCCAACCATAGTAGAAAGCAAATGTGTTAACTTTAAATTTAAATTATGTACTAAACCATTACTCTGAGAATGATATGCAACATGATATTTTAATTGAGGTAATATCTCTGCCAACTCCTGGACATGATGGCTGTACAGTGTGTCTGTACTGTGTGCAAAAAGCTAATCTCAAAGTGTTTCTATTCACTTACTAAACAATGATCAATACAGAAGACTTCTGTGACCAAGTGTTAATGTATAAAGGGTGTTCCCCACACATCAAATAAGGAATCACTTCTGCAGTAGACAGCAACTGGGTGTCCTCCAACTCAATTCTGACAATGTTCGGGAGATAGCATCAGATTCCACAGGTTAGGGGCTCAGACAAACAAGACACTCCTCAATGCCAATTAGTAGCCCCAGTATGTTTTACCTATGCTTTGACCAACTAGCTACAAATCAGCATTCCCCCAACTCCGTCCTTGGTTTTGATCAATTTGCTATTGCATTTCACAGAACTCAATGAAATACATTTATCAGTTTATTATAAAAATTATTACATGTGATACAGGTACAGTGGAAGGGGTGTGTAGCTTCTGTGCCCTCCTGAGATGTGCCATTCTCCAGGAAACTCCATGTGCTTAGGCATCTGGAAACTCTATGAATGCTGTACTTTTGAGTTTTTTTTTTCTTTTAAGCCTTCATTATGTACGCATGATTGATTAAACCATTGGCCATTGGCGATCAACTTAACCTTTAATTTCTCTATCATCCCTGGAGGTTGAGGGATGGAGATGAAAGTCGCAACTCTCTACTCCTGCTTGGGTCTTTCCAATGACTGTCCTTCATTTCGAAGTTACATAGGAATTGCCAGCCATCAGTCAATTAATTAGCTTACAAAAAAATATCATTTTGGAGATTCTACTGATTTTAGTAATTGTATGCTGGGAAAGTGGGTGGAAGACCAAATACATGTTTTACAATATCACACCAACCACTCAATTTTTCTTACAATATCACTTTTCCTGAACTTTGTGAATGTCTTTTTCATTGTGATGATATGCCACACATTACCTCTAAAGATAGAATACATTTTGCAAAATGAGAGGTATGTAAATATACTCATTGATGTTAACATATGTACTACATTTGAACTTTGAACTTAAGTTTCAATATTAATTCTACTCAGGTTGCAGCAAAATCTCAATTCACTGAAATGTAGCATAAAGCCACATACTAAATACCTACAGGTTAAACATCTTTTTCCTCAAAAAGCTACATAGCTATATAAACAAAAAAGATTGGACAGGATAATTAGAGTTTTAAATCTCCAAACTTTTCGGTCTGCCTTGACTGACAGCAGGTGTCCTCTGCCCAGTGATATTCCTTGGAGGGACACATGGAGCTGAGCACATGGAATACTCGATAAGAAATATCTTGATGATGTGGCAAGTTAGGGTTTTTTACTAGCCGGGTACTGGGGATTGTTGTTACTTCTCACATTCTTTGGTTCAAAAAAAATAAACTGGGTTACATGATTAGAGTTCCGTCATTTTTCTTAAATGTTTCTTTGCCATATTCTGAACTTTCAATTGAGAAGAGGCCATGCATTTATCAGTATAGCTAATTTCACATGGGTATTGATATAAATTATTAATTGAGTTTAAGGCCAAAAAATTTTGGGCCTAAAAATTCTCCTACACAAGGCCATCATAGTAAATAGTCAAAAACAGGATGAATCATCTTTTGTAATATTTTGAAAACACATACTACAGCATGCCCATCACTTAAAGCAATTAACTTTATATTGGTAGATAGATTAACTAAAAGCTAAAATATGACATCTTCTGTCATTAAAAATGTCCTTCTGGTCCAAAAGAGGGAGGTCAGTGTAGGGTGTTATCACCTCCACAAGTAGAATGCATAAGTCTGGAACTAAGAAGTGGAAGTAGCCCCTTATGATATTACCAGCAATAGATGTTGTAGTAATTTTTTTTCCAGTCTCCAAGACCTTAGGGTTTAGTAGGTTCCAAGGGCCTGTTGTCTGAAGAAGAAATGCGTTGTTCAGGAAGTAAATGCACTATTCTGTTAAACTGGAAGCTGAACCTGTCCTTTCTTCTCTTCCTGAACTGATAGGCCAAAAAAGAAATTAACAAGAATGTCAGGATGTTGGGGCACAATGAACACAGAACACTATTTTCAATCCAGAAGACTCACTGAATGCTTCTTAATACTATAGTGTTCAATATTAGTTAATAGAAAGCTGTGGCAACCCATTGTGGACATTACCACTAAGAACTTGAATTAGATATCTACTCCCTTTTCTTGCCCTTTAGACTTAGGGCTGTTAACAGCTCCCAAAGTTGCTAGTTCCAAAATTCTACATTATCCTTTGATGGTTTCCTGCACAGATATTTAAAATATTCAGCAACAGTTAATTATTTAACTTTTTTTATTAAAACATTTGCAAAGTACTAAAAAGAAGAAAATGCTGTAAAAGGCATTAAAATACTATGTGGGCTTCTGTCCTTTACACAAAATGTATGACTATAGTTAGACTCTGCTGTAGATAATCATGTGTCTGGTGCTCTGTTTAATGACACTATGGTCCAATGATGGCTAGTGAATGCACAAAGCCCTAAATCCTTCCCCAAATCACAAATGTTTCACTGTAAGTATATGAAATGTTAAAGATATACACACAAAAAAATAATAAAATAAAAAAAGTATTATTTTATCATTAACTGTGTTTGTTCTCATAAGGTCAAGTGCACATTTCTCTGGGAAAATGATGAATATTTTTCATCTGTATGTAACTGCTACTTACATCACCTAACACAAATCCAAGTTTGACTACCAGAGACCAAACCATTAAAGTAATTAACCTAAGTTCTAAACAAAGCTGTGGTGACAAATTACATCACTATATGTCTTTGTAATTAGTTGTTAAACTGTACACACAAAATGAGTATTTTTTGTAAATTTTACTTCAATAAAGATGACATAAAAATAAAAAGTGCATTTATTTAAAAATTCTATCTATACCATTATAAAGCCCACCATTTTTTTTCTAATTTGTAAATGGAAAGATCTCACAAGCTAAACTTGGAAACATGCTCATAATCTTTGTGAAGGAAATGTCTTCTTACATATCAAATCATTTATAAAGGCAGATCCTAAGTGGATCCTAAGTGAAAACTAAGAGTGCAGGTTTTCCATAGCTTTTTTCTCATAAACTCATGTTAGTTCAGAGATAATGGTTAGATGTTTTACCCAGCAATTAACACTAAAGAAATACCATCCAGTGTCTTAGTCCATTTGTGCTGCTATAACAAACTAGAACACATTGGGTAATATAAAAAAAAAATAGAAATGTATTTTTCACAATTCTGGAGGCTGAGTAGTGCACGATCAAACCTGCAGCAGGTTTATCATGTAGTGATAGCTGTTTTCTGCTTCCAAAAACCGTGCCTTATTTTGACATCCTCTGAAAAGAAGGAATACTGTGTTCTTACATGGTGTAAGTTAGAAGGGTAAAAAGGCTAAACGCTGCATCAAGCTTCTTTTATATCGGCCTTAGTTACATTCACTTGCAAGAAACCCTCTTGTCCTAATTACCTCTTTGAGGCCCCACTTCATCACACCATCACATTGGCCATTGTTTCAATATGAAGAGTAGTGTGCACTAAGTTCTTATTTATGTAGATTGGAGTTACTTAACAAAGGCACTTATTTTCTTACAAAACAGCAAAGAGGTGTAAACTCTCTCTGACCCTCATTGTTTTGAGAGATGTGAAAGAAATATTTACTGAAACGGAATCTGAAAAGTCTACATAGAAGGAAAGTAAATCAATATAATAATAATTATACCAGACACAGAAGGGGTTTACAAGTGATCCTGGAAGTTATGGATTATCTCTTCTTCATGCTTTCCAGGAAAAAAAGCTTATCTTTATCATCAGTTTCTAATGACTATAATCCATTTCCTTGAATTGTTTACTTGCCTACTGATACAATTTGGATATTTATCCTCACCTAAATATTATGTTGAATAGTAATTGCCAATGTTAGAGGTGGGGCCTGGTTGCAGGTGTCTGGATCATGGGGGCGGATGCCTCATAGCTTGGTGCTGTCCTCACAAGAGTGAGTTTTCATGTAAGATCTGGTTGTTTAAAAGTATTCAAGATGGATTAAAGACTTAAATGTTAGACCTAAAACCATAAAAAACCTAGAAGAAAACCTAGGCGGTACCATTCAGGACATAGGCAAAGGCAAGGACTTCATGTCTAAAACACCAAAAGCAATGGCAACAAAAGCCAAAATTGACAAATGGGATCTAATTATACTAAAGAGCTTCTGAACAGCAAAAGAAACTACCATCAGAGTGAACAGGCAACCTACAGAATGGGAGACCATTTTTGCAGTCTACTCATCTGACAAAGGCCTTTTTTTTTTTTTTCCAAATAAAAAACCCAGTTCTGGGAGATTCTGTATGTTCTATGACAAATTATAATCTTGGCCATAACTTACAGATAAATTCTGAAGTAAAATTTAAAATAAATCTCAGAAGTTACTTCATAAAAAGCAATAATACAAAATAAGGCACATATAATATTTTAAATTATTCTCAAGAGTAAGAGTTCCCATTGGCTATATTGTTTTTAAATCAAGAAATGGAACTGAGGAGATTTTTGACCAATAAATCTTCTTAGGTAAAAAACTGAAATAAAATGCCTGGGGTGAAGCCAACTTGATTATGGTGGGTAAACTTTCAGATTTGCTGCTGGATTCGGTTGGCTACTATTTTAATGAGGATTTTTGTGTCAATGTTCATCATGGATATTGGCCTGAGGTTTTATTTTTTTGTTTGTATCTCTGCCAGGTTTTGGTATGAGGATGATGCTGGCCTCAAAGAATGAGATAAAGAGAAGTTTCTCTTTTTCAAATTTTTGGGAATAGTTTCAGTAGAAGTGGTAGTTAGACTTTCTTGTTGAATTGAATTCTTTACCATTATGTATTGTCCTTCTGTTTTTATTTAAATTTATTTTTCATTTCAATAGGTTTTTAGGGAACAGGAAGTGTTTAGTTAAATAGATTAATTCTTTAGTGGTGACTTCTGAGACTTTGGTGCACCCATCAGCAGAGCAGTATACACTGTACCCAATGCATAGTCTTTTCTGCCTTACCCCCTCCCATCCTTTCCCCCAAGTCTCCAAATCCAATGTACCATTCTTATATATTTGCAACCTCATAGCTTAGCTCCCCTTGTGAGTGAGAGCATATGACATTTGGTGTTCCATTCCTGAGTTACTTCACTTAGAATAATAGTCTCTAATTCTATCCAGGTTGCTGCTGTCAATGCCATTATTTCATTCGTTTTTATGGCTGAATAGTATTCATATCTATATGTATGAATATATACATATTTATATATATATTTATGTATATAAAAATATAAAGCTTATCCCCTAAATTTTCTGCCACTTGCAAGGCAACCAGCAGCAGTCAGCAGTCAGCAGTTGGTTGCCAGTCTTCCACAGCAGTCAAGGTTGGATTCAAAAGTAACATAATGTCCTTTCAGGAGAGTTTAAATACTTGGGTTAAATTCTGCAAAGCCTCTATATGCCTGTCAGTGTCATCTGAAAACCTGCCAAGATCCCCTCTTAATTTGTGTTAAGTCCTGTAAAGAAAAGGGACCTGGAACTTAATGGAGCCACATTGACCAGGCGCCTATTGTAGTGGCAGAAGCAAGACTTGGACCTGCCTAAAATAAGTATTTCAACGGTGCCACAAGTTTGGCAGAGAACCTGGGTAGGGTGGAATGGAGGGAGTTACCTCCCTTACTAGAGGTACCTCTAGTGTTTGCTTCCCTAGTTCCTTGAAATTGCCCTTTGCAGCCTTTCCTGAGATGGCCACTAGGAAGGCTGAATCCATCCTACAACATTGGTAAAGGTCCAGATTACCCTGTAAGGCAAAGAATGCCTGCATGTATGAGGCCTTGGACCATTTGCCCTTATGTTTACAGAAAAGGTCCAGCTGCAGGATGCTACTGAAATTAATCTTTCCTGAGGCTGTATTCTCTTTTCTGCAGAAGATAATCGGGCCACACCTTTGTACAAAGGAATATGACGTGCTTTTCTCCAGAATCTGAGGGTCAAAAAGTCCCAGTGACTCAGGATACATTACAGAGGAGTGTAGCATAAAGATGATTGGTTATCCATCTAAAAGAGACGGGAAAAAGTGTCCCTTAGTCCCTCTCTGTCTTCCAGGGAAAACCCAGTGTGTGTGATGGAGAGAAGAAAAGTGTCCTCTTTTTCCTTCCATTCTTATATCGCTGAGTCTGGCGACTCTGTGTACCACCCATGAATGAGAATGCAACCTCCACCCATGTAGCAGGCAGGCCTGGTGTGTAGGAATATTTTCACTTACTTATGTGCTACCCTCCCACTGTTAGTAACTTGAGGGTTCCCTAGACCTCATCTATACCATAGATGCAAGCATAACCTACATCGAAGAAGTGGAAAGGCCTAGCAGGCATAGATAGTTCTAGCCTTCCACTGTAACTGCCTCCAGGTCCCTTGATCTAGTTTTTCTTATTATAACTTCAAACCTAAGCTTGAAATACAATTTGTTAAGAAAAAACAATAGGGCCTCAAGAAGATGTATGAACCCATTAAATTAAGTCCCAGGGGGCCCTCGCCAAATTGCAGCCAGCACCCTGCCGAGCAGCTCTTCCACTGCTTCCCTGTCATAAGCAGAATTCTAAGGTGAAGCTGTGGAACTAGGTCCTCCTCACCAAAGACCTGGGAACTGGGGAGTTGGCCTAACACGATAGCTCCCAAGAGGAAAAAAATCAATCTCTCACATAGAAAAGCTGCCTCTATTTGCAGGACTTAGTTAACTCCTGATAGGGTGGAAGAAATAGAAAAAAAAAAAAAGCTGAAGTGCAGGGGAGGAGAAGGTGCCTTGGGGTAAAAGCCTCCTGCCCTATGCAAATGGGTTCTTTCAACAGGGACAAAAAAAAATAAAACAACAACAACAACAACAAAAAAACCTCTTAATTGTTACATACGCCTTGTTTCTAAGAATAGACAGATAGCACATTATTCTGTTTTGCTCTCCTGATGACTAAGCCAAATGCTTATCCTACCCAGTAATATTATCTCTGTGGTTTGCAACAACACCCTTTACTTAGTATGTAAAGAAGAGAATATCAGCCACAGCAGTCTTTGAAACAAAACAAAACAAAACAAAAAAGAAAATGCAATAGGAAAGGCTGGGGATAGTAATGCCTACACCCTAACAGGCAGGCAAGGACTGGAGTTATTCCCAAGGCCTTTGGATGACACCGATGTGTATAGCCTCAGCCAGGTACCCTCAGTTGCCATAGGACCTTCTTCTACTCAGACATGATGGCTAGACCTCCATGAAGGGAAACTGGTTTGGAACAGAATCAACATTTCCAGCACCCAAGGGAGACAGGGGATTGACAGTGTTCTCCCCAGCAAGCCTGTCCACTGTGTCTTAAGTCTGACAGCCATGCTCGTCACTTTTAACTGGCAGACAGAGGCCCAGTGTTTTTCTTTCATTTTGGCTATTGTGGAGTTTAGGGACTCTGAAAAAAAAGAAGTCTGCTTTTATTCACTTTATTTTGCATCCATCCTACAGCATTGGCAAATGTCCAGGTTACCCTATAAGGCAAAGATAGCCTGCATATATGAGGCCATGGACCATTTGCCCTCACAGATTCTGGAGGAGCTCCCCAGAAATGTCTCAGGATCCTCTGGGTGTCACCCCAGCAGCTAGAAACCACTGTGGCCGGCAGTGCCTCTGCTTGAGTTTGCTTGCACCTGCTGGGCTCTTTCCACAAACTTGTCTTGGCAGGCTACACTCAGCTCTTACTGCTGGCCCAGATCCCACACCTGCCAAGGGCAAGCCAGGTGTAGAACAGTGACTGGTGTGTAAACAAGGGAGCACAGGGTCGCTAGGCATGCTGACTGCTGTGGTGGGGTGGGTAGCTCAAGGCACCAGCACAGGATCTGGCTTCATGTGATGCTGTGGCTGGACTAGACTTACTGTAAGCAACAGAGAGAGGGAGGGCTACAGTTTTACATCCCCTTTAGCTGCTGCCCACAGGTGATGAGATGGCCAGGAAAGGGTTACAGCTCCTTTCACTCCCACCATTAAGCAGGTCACAAGTTCTTGTCTTGTGACCAGGAAGAATGAGGTTACACAGACAACAGGATGGTGAGCAAGGCTTTACTGAGTGACAGAACAACTCACAGCAGAGAGGAGACCTGAAGTGGGTAGCTCCTATCTTATAGGGAGTTCATCCCAATGAGCGTCTGAGTCTGGCTGTGTCTGGAGTTTTTATGGGTTCAGAAGTGATGAAGTTCATGCTGATTGGTCAATAGACAGCCATGGGTGGGCCTGGAAAATCCACCATCCAGTTGGTAAAGACATTGAGGGAGTTCTCACTCATGATGGTGGGCTTCACCCTGAACTGTCAGTCCAGCCCTAAGGCTTCAAGCTGTCCCTGGCTTAAAGGTGGAGTTTCACAAGGGACCCACCCATTTCCACCTAGGAACCTATCTGCCTCCCACCAGTAACAAAGGTATTCATAATAGCCTTGAGAATCCTCTGTCTTTCTATGGCATCAGTTATAATATCTCTCATCTTTTCCTAATTGAGCTTATTTGGATCTTCTCTCTTCTTTTCTTTGTTAATCTCACTAATGGTCTATCAATTTTATTTATTTTTTCAAAGAACAGGATTTTGTTTCATTTATCTTAGGTATTGTTTTACTTACTTCAATTTTGCTTAGTTCTGCTCTGATATTTGCTATTTCTTTTCTTCTGCTGGGTTTGGGTTTAAATTATTCTTTGTTTCTCCAGTTCTGCAAGGTGTGACCTTAAATTGTCTATTTGTTCTCTTTCAAATTTTTGATGTAGGCATTTAATGATGTTAAATTTCCTCTTAGCACCACTTTTCCTGTATTCCAGAGGTTTTGATAGGTTGTGTCACTATTACCATTCAGTGCAAAGAATTTTTAATTTTTTTTTGTTGGTTTTTGTTTTTCGTTATTTGTTTTCTCTTTTTTGAGACAAAGTCTCGCTGTGACACCCAGGCAGGAGTGCAGTGGTGCGATCTCAGCTCACTGTAAGCTCTGCCTTCCGGGTTCATGCCATTCGCCTGCCTCAATCTCCTGAGTAGCTGGGATTACAGGCGCCTGCCACCATGCCGGGCTAAATTTTTCTATTTTTAGTAGAGACAGGGTTTCACCGTGTTAGCCAGGATGGTTTCGATCTGCTTTCCTTTTGATGGTTTTAGTTCTAACATTTAAGTCTTTAATCCATCTTGAATTAATTTTTGTATAAGGTGTAAGGAAGGGATCCAGTTTCAGCTTTCTACATATGGCTAGCCAGTTTTCCCAGCACCATTTATTAAATAGGGAATCCTTTCCCCATTGCTTGTTTTTGTCAGGTTTGTCAAAGATCAGATGGTTGTAGATATGCGGCATTATTTCTGAGGGCTCTGTTCTGTTCCATGGGTCTATATCTCTGTTTTGGTACCAGTACCATGCTATTTTGGTTACTGTAGCCTTGTAGTATAGTTTGAAGTCAGGTAGCATGATGCCTCCAGCTTTGTTCTTTCGGCTTAGGATTGACTTGGCAATGTGGGCTCTTTTTTGATTCCATATGAACTTTAAAGTAGTTTTTTCCAATTCTGTGAAGAAAGTCATTGGTAGCTTGATGGGGATGGCATTGAATCTATAAATTACCTTGGGCAGTATGACCATTTTCACCATGTTGATTCTTCCTATCCATGAGCACAGACTGTTCTTCCATTTGTGTCCTCTTTTATTTCATTGAGCAGTGGTTTGTAGTTCTCCTTGAAGAGGTCCTTCACTTCCCTTGTAAGTTGGATTCCTAGGTATTTTATTCTCCTTGAAGCAACTGTGAATGGCAGTTCATTCATGATTTGGCTCTATGTTTGTCTGTTCTTTGTGTATATGAATGCTTGTGATTTTTGCACATTGATTGTGTATCCTGAGACTTTGCTGAAGTTGCTTATCAGATTAAGGAGATTTTGGGCTGAGACAATGGGGTTTTCTAGATATACAATCATGTCATCTGCAAACAGGGACAATTTGACTTCCTCTTTTCCTAATTGAATACCCTTTATTTCCTTCTCCTGCTTGATGGCCCTGGCCAGAACTTCTAACACTATGTTGAACAGGAGTAGTGAGAGAGGGCATCCTTGTCTTGTGCCAGTTTTCAAAGGGAATGCTTCCAGTTTTTGGACATTCAGTATGATATTGGCTGTGGGTTTGTCATAAATAGCTCTTATTATTTTGAGTTACATCTCATCAATACCTAATTTATTGAGAGTTTTTAGCATAAAGGGTTGTTGAATTTTGTCAAAGGCCTTTTCTGCATCTATTGAGATAATCATGTGGTTTTTGTCATTGGTTCTTTTTATTTGCTGGATTACATTTATTGATTTGTGTATGTTGAACCAGACTTGCATCCCAGGGATGAAGCCCACTTAATCATAGTGGATAAGCTTTTTGATGCTTTATTGGTTAGCTTGATGGTGTCTTATAAGTTGCTTAGGCTGACTTCACTTTTTTATTGTGAATTTTTTCTTTAAATTTTCGCTCCCCTTCCTGAATAATTTCAGATAACCTATGTTCTTAAGTGTGTATATTTTTTATCTGTTTGATAAAGTCTTCTTGTGTGCTCCTCTAGTGAATGCTAAAAATTCAGTGATTGTATTCTTCAGCTCCAGAATTTTTGTTTGGTTCTTTCTTTATAGAGTTTTATCTTTTTGTTAATATTTTCATTTTTATATGCACTATTTTTATTATTTTATATAGTTGTGTTCTCTCTTTGCTAATTATTTTAAAATGATAATTATGAATAATTTGACGAATAATTCATAGAACTTCATTTCCTTGAGGTTATTTTCTAGAAGTTTATTTTGGTCCCTTCATTGGGCCATGGTTTAGTGCTCTGTGTGTGTGTGTGTGTGTGTGTGTGTGTGTGTGTGTGTATGTATGCATTGTTGCCTTGTGCTCGTTGGCTGCAATTTGGATATTTGAAAAAATAGCTGCATCTCCCATTATTTACTACCTAGCTTGGTACAAAAGACTGTCTTCACCAGTCAGCCCAGCTAGAGATTCTGCAGGTCTCTCAAACCTTTTCTGGGAATGTGTCTTCTCTCAGCTTCTGTGTGTAATTACCCAGTTAAACTTTTTTTTTTTTTTTAATTTCATCTTTAGGAGTTTGCAGTCTATTGCTCCCTCTGCTGTCATTCTGTGGTAGGGCAGCCTTTTTAACACTGCCACTCGTGGTTTTGTTCTCAGTAGATCACAGGCATCGGAATTCTAGTTCCTGTGATTTGAGTTAGGTGATAGAAACTAGCCCCTTGTGCAGCCCCTCCAAAAGCTAGAATATTAAAACATGCTTTAATCTTCTCTTTCTTTCCTGTGGGAGAAGGTATGGCTAGGGAATTTTCTCCTACCTGTGCCATGCTGTACTGGCTGTACTCTATAGTGAGCCAATTCTGTGAAATTTCTTAGCAATTTCAATGACGCTCTTCTTGGCTTTGCTCTTGCCTAGGGTGCTGAAATCTTTGAACTTGTTTTGGAGTATTTTCATAAGGGCAATTTGGTCTATATATGTATATATTTCTTAAGTCCATTTCCCTGTGAGGAGAAAAGGAACATGGCTTTCCTATTCTGCCAACATCAGTCTCCCTCCACCTATACACCACATATCACTTTCAAAGGATATGTACTGACAACAAGGCAATACACTCTTATGTTCTATATTAGGTAATGAGACTATAGGCACTTATTTAAGTACTTTATACTATTTTGTCAGTTTGTAATATTTCATGTAATTTAAAAAGACTAGAAGATATCCCAAGAAATTCTTGCAATTAGAAAAAATAAAAATGGCATAGTTTTGGTGATGATATAATAATCCATTTGGCCATTATTTGATTTTAATTATAATAATTTATATAGAAATTTATATTTGTATTAATAACAACAGGGTTATAATTTGATTTAAGTGTCTTCAGACCATGCTCAACCTAATGTGAACATGCTCCAAAGGTTTAGTTATAGCTGAGTAGTCTGGAATTTAAAATTTCTCTTTTTTTATAGAAACATCTTATATAAATGTTTGGCTAACTGGTAAGATTCCAAAATACTAATATGTAAGTATTAAATAACTATAAAAACAGCACAGCTGAAATATTAGTAGATAAAATGTATACATAAAATCATTAAATACAGAGTATTCTTTAAAATCATTTAGAGGAAATCAGATGAGAAATTGATGAAGAAGTAGCAATAAGTAATATGGAAAATCTGCTTGTGGTATTCAGGTCTATGATCGCAACCATTCTTGTGTAATTTATTTTGTTTCTTACATTGAGAAGTTGACTAAAGGCCCATAATGGCATGTGACAAAGAGAGGTGAGCCTATTAATATACAGTTCAATAATAATACTTGTCCCATGAATATATTAAGAATTTAAATTAATGTATGAAAGTCATGTAACACGATTTCTGGTAAACTCACTGTAAGAAATCATGCATAATAGTATACTAAGGTAGCCTTATTAGAACATTTGTACATAAAAAACAAATAATAACGATAATTTAAAACTTATTTCCCTTTGAGGAAAGCAAAACTTGAGGATAAAGCAAAATAGATTTTAAAGAGATAATTGCTGCTTATAAATAGGATGCATAAAACACACAGAATAAAATATGAAGTGGAAGAAAAGAGCAAGACACTCATAATGCAGAAATACTTCCCTACACAAGTTGTTTATGAAAAGAGATAGCACATAGAGTCATTTGCAGACTGGTGAATAGGTGACACTGTTGAGATAGTTTAAAATAATATAAAAAGAGATTGTGACTAAATTCATGTACACCTGTCATTGGAAACAAGAAGTTCCAAAAGTTTGTGAAGTATTAATACACTGGAATTACTCTTTTTTTTTTTTTTAGTTTTCGCCTACATTGATGGAAACTGTATGTAGATTTGATATACACAGACAGCTTGTATTTAATTTAGATAATAACTAATAGAATGACTGATAATTAAATATCAATGAAAATAATAACTATGTTCACTGTTTATCTAGACCTTAACCTAGTGTTTCCAATGTACTGCACATTGGAATCTGCTGGAAATATTTATAAAACACAAAATCTGGCTCTTAATTCCAAAATCTGTTTTCATTGGTATGCAAAACGGGCATCATTCTTGTCAAAAGCTCCCAAGACTGTTTCAATACACAGCAAAATTTGGAACACCTGCCTTTATTTGATATGCAAAAAACACATATTGTCTATATACATAGGAGAAATGTAAATTTGTCTGCCTTCCTTTCTGATAACATATGAAAACATGACGCTTTCATTAAAAATAGTCTTTCTCTCTCTTCCTTTCAATGATTCCCATGGGTTTTAGAAATCTATCCTTTGAGTTCCCTAGGAAGAGAACAGAGTAACCTGGGAGAGTGTTGTAGGGGCAGCATAGGTGGTCAGGAGAAATCCTACCAAAGGCCAATGAGATTCTGATTCCAGTTATCTCAAAAGACAATGCCAAATTGAAGGCCAAGGAAAGTCTTATGAGAAACCATTACTGAGAAGCAGCAAGTCTTCTATGCTACAGGTGGTCAGCTTCAGAGACCAAAGGGAGCCTCCCAGTGTATGCAGGCTCAGCTCTCTGGATGGCCTCCCACCTTCACAGCATCTTAGCCAATCACTGCATTTATTTAAAGAGAATAGACAGCCTTAGAACAAATACAAACAGTTCTCTCTAGATTACAATAAAATGACTAACATCAAAGTACAAATCAGTATTATTTAAAAATTTTTAAAGACATACTAAATAAATTATTTTGCATTCTTAATAATATACACATAATGGGGCCAGGTTTGGTGGCTCACGCCTGTAATCCCAGCACTTTGGGAGGCCAAAGCAGGCGAATCACGAGGTCAGGAGTTCGAGACCTGCCTGACCAATAGGGTGAAACCCGGTCTCTACTGAAAAAATTAGCCGGGCATGGTGGCACGCACCTGTAATCTCAGCTACTCAGGAGGCTGAGGCGGGAGAATCGCCTGAACCTGGAAGGCGGAGGTTGCCATGATCTGAGATCTGGCCATTGCACTCCAGCCTGGATGACAGAGTGGGACTCTGTCTCAGGAAAAAAAAAAAAAAAAGGAAAAGAAAAAAAATTATATACACATAATGGCAATAATAATTTTTCCTTTATATAGTCGTTTTAAAATTGCAATTAATTTGTAAGTATGCCCTTTTAAAATTTGTAAGGATTTCAAAAATTTTAGTCAGGCAATGGAGATCATTTATATCTTTAACAAATCAAGCACAAAAATTAAAACTTCAACTAGATATGCCACTAAGAATATAAGAGATTAAACAGAATTAAAAGCGTAATAGACAGGCATACCTCATTTTCTGTTCTTTGCTTTTATTGAGCTTTGCAGTTATTGTTTTTTAAAAAAATTTGAAGGTTTCTGGAAACCCTGCATCCAGCAAGATTATTAGTGTTATTTTTTTCAGTATGTGCTTTCTTTGTGTTTTTGTGTCATATTTGGGTAATTTTCACAACATTTTAACTTTATTATTATTATATCTGTGATGACAATCTGCAGTCAATGATTTCTGATGTTACTATTATAATTTGGCAGAGGGCTGGGGGGTACCACAATCCACGCCCATATAAGACTGCAAACGTAGCTGATAAGTGTGTATATTCTGACTGTTCCACCAAATGGCCATTCTCATCTTTTTTCCCTCTCCTTGGGCCTACCTATTTTTTGAGACATAACAATACGATATTAGACCAATTAATAACTCTGCAATGGCCTTTACTTGTTCAAGTGAAAGGAAGAGTTGAACATCACTCATGTAAAATCAAACGCTAGAAATGAAGCTTAGTAAGGAGGGCAGGTCAAAACCTGGATAGGCAGAAAGCTAGACTGCTTGCCAGTTAGCCAAGTTACAAATGCAAAAGAAAAAAAATTTAAAGCAATTAACAGTACCATTCCAGTGAACACATAAAAGATAAGAAAGGGAAATAGGCGTATTGCTGATACGGAGAAAATCTTAGTGGTCTGGATAGAAGATCAAATTATTCTCAACATTCCCTGAAACCAAAGCCTAATCCAAAGCAGAGCCCTAACTCTCTTTAGTTCTGTGAAGGCTGAGAGATGAGGATTCTGCAGATCAAAAGTTTGACACTAGTAGAGGTTGATTCATGAGTTTAAGAAGCCATCTTCATAAAATAAGCGTGTAAGGTGAAGCAGCAAGTATTGATAAAGAAATTGCAAGTTATTAGAACAAAGGAGCTACAGGCCCCAGGCAACTCCAAAACCCAGCAGCACACTCATTAAATCTTAAAGCTTCAAAATAGTTTCCTTTGACTCCATGTCTCCCATCCAGGGCACACGGATGCAATGGGAGGGCTCTCAAGGCTTTGGGTAGGTCTGGTCCTGTGGATCTGCTTGTCTTTTTCTCATCTTCCTGTCTTTTTCTGAGCCCTCCAAACTGTTCCAACCTCTGCCCATTACCCAGCTCCAAAGTTGCTTCCACATTTTCAGGTATCTTTATAGCAATGCCCCACCTCTCTAGTTTCCTATATTAGTTTGTTGTCACATTGTTCTCACATCTTCTGTATTCCTTTGTTCTCACATTTGCTGTAAAGAACTACCTGAGACTGGGTAATTTATGAAGAAAAGAGGTTTAAATTACTCACAGTTTCCCAGGTTGTATAGGTACCATGGCTGAGGAGACCTCAGAAAACTTATAATTCTGAGAAAGTGAAGGGGAAGCCAATATATCCTACCTGACCAGAGTAGGAGGAAGGTGGAGGGGAGCTGCTACACACTTTTAAACAACCAGATCTTCTGAAAACTCCATGACAAGACAGCACTGGGGGGGTGGTCCTAAACTGTTAGATGTGGAATGCCCTCTAACTTCTCCATTTTACACAAACACTTGCAAATAGAAGACCCATGAATCCAAAAAAATTGCGCCAGAAGAATTTTTCTCCTTGTCTTTCCTCATTCTTAAATTTTTTTCCCACTTTTTGTTCTTAAAAGGAGGAACCAAGCTGTGGCCTAGGGTTTTTTGTGTGGTGCATCAATGTGTGATGATTGTAAGTGAGACCCCACATGTTTTAATGTTAAGTTGTTTCTGCCTTCTTACATGTCTTAGTGAATCTTTGAAATGCTTGTTCTTCAGTGCCATGAAGAAATAGCACTTGAAAATAAATTTAATTTCTTCAGCAAGGCCATTTTTTTTTTTTGCTTTCTTCAGAAAGAGTGAATGCACCAGCAGTTTTGCCACAAGATTACACCGAACAAAGGAGACAGGGACATTTATAACTTGACACATCCATCTTACTGCTGTGTCCAGTTTCAATTGGCAGGAATAGGACCTCACATTCTGCATTTGTCCTATTTGGCTAGCAACTTAGAACTTTATAAAAGAGCCAAAGGCAGAGGAGAACAAAGGAAGGAGGATGTAACTTGTGGAATGCTGAGAAAGGTTAAAAATACCTTCAAATAACTCTCAATAAACTAGGTATTGATGGGATGTATCTCAAAATAATAAGAGCTTTTTATGACAAACCCACAGCCAATATCATACTGAATGGGAAAAAACTGGAAGCATTCCCTTTGAAAACTGGCACAAGACAGGGATGCCCTCTCTCACCACTCCTATTCAACATTGTGTTGGAAGTTCTGGCCAGGGCAATCAGGCAGGAGAAAGAAATAAAGGGTATTTAATTAGGAAAAGAGGAAGTCAAATTGTCCCTGTTTGCAGATGACATGATTGCAAAGTTAGAAAACCCCATCATTTCAGCCCGAAATCTCCTTAAGCTGATAAGCAACTTCAGCAAAGTCTCAGGATACAAAATCAAAGTGCCAAAATCACAAACATTCATATACACAAAGAACAGACAGAGAGCCAAATTATGAGTGAACTGCCATTCACAATCGCTTCAAAGAGAATAAAATACCTAGGAATCCAACTTACAAGGGATGTGAAGGACCTCTTCAAGGAGAACTACAAACCACTGCTCAATGAAATAAAAGAGGGTACCAACAAATGGAAGAACATTCCATGCTCATGGATAGGAGAAATCAATATTGTGAAAATGGCCATACTTCCCAAGGTAATTTATAGATTCAATGCCATCCCCATCAAGCTACCAATGACTTTCTTGGCAGAACTGGAAAAAACTACTCAAAAGTTCACATGGAAGCAGAAAAGAGCCGGCATTGCCAAGACAATCCTAAGCCAAAACAACAAAGCTGGAGGCATCATGCTACCTGACTTCAAAGGATACTACAAGCCTACAGCAACCAAAACAGCATGATATTGGTACCAAAACAGAGATATAGACCAATGGAACAGAACAGAACCCTCAGAAGTAATACCACACATCTACAACCATCTGATTTTTGACAAGCCTGACAAAAATAAGGAATGGGGAAAGGATTCCCTATTTAATAAATGGTGCTGGGAAAACTGGCTAGCCATATGTAGAAAGCTGAAACTGGATCCCTTCCTTACACCTTATACCAAAATTAATTCAAGCTGGATTAAAGATTTACATGTTAGACCTAAAACCATCAAAACCCTAGAAGAAAACCTAGGCAATACCATTCAGGACATAAGCATGGGCAAGGACTTCATGACTAAAACACCAAAAGCAATGGCGACAAAAGCTACAGTTGACAAATGGGATCTAATTAAATTAAAGAGCTTCTGCACAGCAAAAGAAACTATCATCAGAGTGAACAGGCAACTGACAGAATGGGAGAAAATTTTTACAATCTACCCATCTGCCAAAGGGCTAATATCCAGAATCTACAAAGAACTTAAATTTACAAGAAGAATCAAACCACCCCATCAAAAAGTGGGCAGAGGATATGAACAGACACTTCTCAAAAGAAGCCATTTATGCAGCCAACAGACTCATGAAAAAATGCTCATCATCACTGGCCATCAGAGAAATGCAAATCAAAAACCATAATGAGATACCATCTCACAACAGTTAGAAAGGGAATCATTAAAATGTCAGGAAACAACAGGTTCTGGAGAGAATGTGTAGAAATAGGAATGCTTTTACACTGTTGGTGGGACTGTAAACTAGTTCAACCACTGTGGAAGTCAGTGTGGCAATTCCTCAAGGATCTACAACTAGCAATACCATTTGACCCAGCCATTCCATTACTGGGTATATTCCCAAAGGATTATAAATAATTCTGCTTTAAAGACACATGCACACGTATGTTTACTGTGGCACTATTCACAATAGAAAAGACTTGGAACCAACCCAAATGTCCAACAATGGATTAAGAAAATGTGGCACATATACACCGTGGAATACTATGCAGCCATAAAAAACGATGAGTTCATGTCCTTTTTAGGGACATGGATGAAGCTGGAAAACACCATTCTGAGCAAACTATCACAAGGACAGAAAACCAAACAATGCATGTTGTCACACATAGGTGGGAATTGAACAAGGAGAACACTTGGACACAGGGTGGGGAACACCACACACCGGAGCCTGTAGTTAGTGGAGTGGGG
This sequence comes from Homo sapiens, assembly GCF_000001405.40. Taxonomy (NCBI): domain Eukaryota; kingdom Metazoa; phylum Chordata; class Mammalia; order Primates; family Hominidae; genus Homo; species Homo sapiens. The sequence goes on along the minus strand of NC_000004.12, from coordinate 69,310,754 downwards.
GGAGGGGGGTGTGGTAGTATTAGGAGATATACCTAAGGTAAATGACGAGTTAAGGGGTGCAACTAACAGGTGCAGCACACCAACATGGCACATGTATACATATGTAAGAAATCTGCACGTTGCGCACATGTACCCTAGAACTTAAAGTATAATAAAATAAATAAATAAATAAAAATTTAAAAAAAGAAAAAATAAATGACCTATCCCTCATGCAAAAAAAAAATACCTTCAAATAAGGAAGAGGAACAGGCTATGACCTAATGCTTGCTTTGACCAGTATAAGCATGCCAGAGTAAATATTTAGGCTACATTGTAGGAGCTAAGAAGACGAAGTACATGAATTTCTTTATTACGGCTAGCAGATATTGAAAAATGTCAGCACAGGTCTTTGAATAAATTTTGCTTTTAAGAGAAGTTACTATTTATTCTTAATTAGATGGGGAGGAAAGTCTTTGAAGAGGAACCTCTACTTTTCTATTTACAGTGAAGCAGCTTAGGGTCACTGGAGCGGTCTTGTTGTTTGAAGTATCACCAGGAGTTCTTTTCTCAAGACCCAAAAAATTAAGGATCATGGACACCAATGGTACTGTTGGAAGAGAAGTTTAATAAATGAAAGAGAAAAGCTGTCTGCTTTGAAGAGGAAGCCCAAGAGGGTTGTCATTTGACAGTTGAATGCAAAGACTTTTATATACAAAAAAAAAAAAAACTAATAAGGCAGAGTGTTTCATGTGCATAAGGCATGAAAAACCAGTTTGGACTGGATGTTTTATTTCCAAACATATGAATTATTGTTAGCTCCACCTCTTCCCTCTAGTGTGTATGCAGGTCCTTAGCCTGAGTTACTGCATGTTGTTTTATTTTGCTTATTGACTCTGTGTCACTGCGGACGTGTCTGGTTCTGTGTAACTTTCCTTATCTATACAGCTACAGGTCTGTCTTAGGAAAGCACCCTGTGCAAGTTCCTTCATCTGAGTATGTCCGAAAAGAAAAGGAATGTGCTCACTGAAGACCACCGTGTGTGTGTAGGCAGAGCTCACTGGTTGCACAGAAGACAAAGGCTTTGGACTTTGCTTCTTATCTGCGCTTGCAGCTTGATTTCCTCTAGACTGTTATTTTTGGGGGAGGACTTCTACTGAGAACCTTGCCTTAACTATCTGCCTAACTGGTTCCTTATTTTCTCTTCTCTCATTAGTTTCTCTCTCCAGATGTCTATCACCTCCATGAGGGCTCAAAACAGTGAGTGATCAGCTCTTATATGCATTTGCTAGATGAGTTTTTTAAACTCATTTTGTTGGGGGGGTTCTCTGTTTGGCCACTGTACATTATGAAGGTTTAACATCCCAGACATTCCAAATAGGCCCCTTTGGCTTGGATGAGCAAAATGTCCTTTCTCTTCATTGCTGAGGAACTCAGTCTCTCATCTCTCACTGATCTACAAAAATAATAGTTCAGCTCCTTATACAAATGTGCAGACAAGCCATTTCAGCTTATCTTTGGGAGAAAAGGAAATGGAGAGGACCCGTTAGAATGTACTCCTAAACTATAATTAGGATTCTAAAAGGCAACAGCTCAGGAGAAAAAAAAAACATTCAGAATAAACCAAGGACTATCAACCAAAGGGAGGTCCAGGGCTCAAGAGGACTTACCAGTCCCACTGGAGAAGAAGCTCAAAATTGGAGAGGCATTCAGTGGGCCTCTGCTGCTACCTTAGCTTCAAGTTCAGGCATGTTTTATGGTGTCTCGAGTTTTGTCTGAGGACCCACATATTCAAATGTCAAGTTGTTATGGATGGAAAGAGTCAAACATTTTAAAATATCTAAAGAGTTTTATTCTGAGCCAAATATGAGTCAATGATGGCCTGTGACATAACACTCAGGAGATCCTAAGAACATTTCCCCATAGTGCTCAGGCTACAGCTTAGTTTTATACAGTTTAGAGGGACATTAGTCATCAATAAATACATGTAAGTTAAACATTGACTTGGTCTGAATAGGCAGGACAACTGAGAGCGGGGGCTTCCAGGTCATAGGCTAATTCAAGGATTTTCTATTGGCAATTGGTGGAGTTACATTGTTGTCTAAAGATATAGAAGTAATAGACAAGAACATCTAGGTTAAGATAAGGGGCTGCGAATACCAAGGTTTTATCATGCAGATAAAGCGGTCAGGCAACAGGCTTGAGAGAACATAGATGGTAAATGTTTCTTATCAAACGTAATGAGTGTGTTCCATTGGTTTTAAGGTCTGTGTTGATGTTAGTGCTTGTAAGATTTTCCTGAATTCAAAAAGGGAGGAGGGTATAATGAGGCATGTCCTATCCCACCACCCCACTTCCCATCATTGTCTGAACCAGTTTTTCAGATTAAGTTTGAAATGCTCTTTGCTGAGAGTAAGGATCCATTTAGGTGGTTGGGGATGCTTAAAATTTTATTTTTGGTTTACATCTACATAGAGTTGTTGAATAATTAGAACATAATGATAATATTTTACCTAATGTCATTATCAGCCTTCTGCTTATTAACACAGAAACCAAAACCATGTCTTTTCTTCTATACATTTTTTCCTGTCTCAGTTATTATCAGTAAATACAAATTCCAAATTAATTTCTCACATTTACTATTAACAATTGATGTTTTATTCCATTAGGTTGATATGTCTCAGTAACTAATGTACAATTTTTATCATTTTCCCTGTTTTTAAACTCATCTTTATATATCACTCTGTGTTGAGATGCAAGAATTTCTTGATAAAGAAAAGCTGGATCTTGTGACTGTCCTTTAAAACTTGAGTAAATAATTATTTGCCTATAAATTATCATTCAAACTAATAATTTTTTATTTAAAACTAATTTCTCCTATTTCAAACTGACTTTGTTCTGTAACGTCCTGCCCTGAACTTTCTCTGTGATCACTACTCACTGGAATGACTTTTAAATATCCTATACTTTTGTCATGCTTGTATTGATTGTGAAATGCTTCCTTTGGCAACAATAAATCCTAACGAAGCTTTCATCTCACCTCCTAAGTCAAATGTCTTACTAAAGCTTTTATTAATTATCAGATATTAAAGCAATTGTGGATTTTTCTCCTCTGAAATACTGAACACTTTGCACTTATTATATAGAATTCATATAATTACCCAAAGTCTCCAAGTGTATTCTCAGTAATTCTTTGTATTGTCCTTGTGCGCAAGGGATGTGAAACATGAGTTCTTCTAAACCATCCAACACCTTGGATTTAGTGTGGAATGAATGTAAGTGTGGTTGTGTACATACGTTTCTGCACATGAATTATTAAATCTAAAGAATTTTTAAAAATTTCTTTATCATCAGTCCAGATAATAAAAGTATCTTTATGTGTTTTATTTCTAAGCTCTAGAAGGTTGGAACAAATTTTCCCTGATACATTGCAACATTGCATTTCTTTTTGATATCTTCAATAAATGTGAAGCTAGCAACCAACCAATGAACTTTATTTACTCTTAAAATATTAATTTTTAACTTCTGTTCTTATATTGTCATTTCAATTTCATGCTTAGTAACTACAAAACTATTGCAGATGTGTGTGTGAGGGAAATGTAATCATGAGGTCCCAGAAGTCAGCTTTGGTATTTCTGCTCCTGCAACTCTTCTGTGCTGGCTGTGGATTCTGAGAGAAGGTCCTGGTGTGGCCCTGTGACATGAGCCATTGGCTGAATGTCAAGGTCATTCTAGAGGAGATCATAGTGAGGGGCCATGAGGTAACAGTATTGACTCACTCAAAGTCTTTGTTAATTGACTACAGGAAGCCTTCGGCACTGAAATTTGAGGTGTCCATATGCCACAGGACAAAACAGAAGAAAATGAAATATTTGTTGACCTAGCTCTGAATGTCTTGCCAGGCTTACCAAATAGTTATAAAATTAAATGTTTTTTTGTTGAAATAAGAGGAACTTTAAAAATGATGGGTGAGAGCATTATCTTCAATGAGACACTCATGAAGAAGCTACAGGAAACCAACTACGATGTAATGCTTAAAGACCCTGTGATTCCCCATGGAGACCTGATGGCTGAGTTGCTTCCAGTCCCTTTTGTGCTCACACCTAGAACTTCTCTAAGAGGCAATATGGAGTGAAGCTGTGGGAAACTTCCAGCTCCACTTTCCTATGTACCTGTGCCTATGACAGGATTAACAGACAGAATGACCTTTCAGGAAAGATTAAAAAATCCAATGCTTTCAGTTTTGTTCTACTTCTGGATTCAGGATTATGACCATCATTTTTGGGAAGAGTTTTAGAGTAAGGCATTAGGCAAGAGATTCTTGTTTTATTTTTAATTTAATTATCAAAATAAATATTTTTAAAAACTGCCATACATCGTCTATGACACATATATGCAGGTTAATGAGTTTTTATTATAGAAAATGTTGTAGCTGTTCTTCATAAAGAAAGTAGATTTGTTCTAAGTGTAAGATAACCTACTTCCTTAATACCAGTAATAAACTTACAAATGATCATCATTAACAAGGAGATTATATTTTGTATTTCCTCCAAATAGCCCAAATCTACATCGCATATTTTTGAAGAATCATTGATTGTTACTTTTATTGTTATACCATTTCTATTGAAACAAGATGCTAATCATTCTTTTCTCTCTCATCAAAAATTTCAAAAAAAAATCTTTAGAAAGTCGTCTTTGAATTATTTTTTCAAGAGTGGTTAAATGGAAACATTTTCTAGAATTCTCTAATTTCTTAGTTGATTACTTCACAAAAACTTGATAAAATATTATAAAAAGTTAAACGACTTTTGGTCTTGTGGTGCAAGAGATACAATTTTTACTTTACTGATATATATCCATTTGACTTATTTTTATTTCTTTGCTTTACTAATAAAAAGTTGTTTTGCTTTGCAGTTTTCATACACAGTTGTGATCAGAGCTGGTCAATGCAAGACATGATTTTAATCCAAATATGTCTGAGAAATATGTAGAAACATGAACAAAGGAACAATCATAATAGACACTAAATTATTGTTTAATGTATTCCACTGAATTCTAATACATAGATTGTTTTGCAGAACTAATATTCAGAGGATCCCACTTCAAATGTCCTTAGCCTTAGACATGTTTTGAAATTACATGTATTGATTTGCTCTATTTAATTGTGTATTCAGTAAGCTGTGCCTAGCTTAACATTTTATTTCCATAAGTTCTTAAGCGTAGACATATTTCATTTTATTATCCTTTGCTTTATTGTGCTTCACAGAAATTGCAATTTACAAATTAAAGTTTTTTTATTATACTTTAAGTTTTAGGGTACATGTAAAACGTCCAGGTTAGTTACATATGTATACACGTGCCATGTTGGTGTGCTGCAGCCACTAACTCGTCATTTAGCATTAGGTATATCTCCTAATGCTATCTCACTACCCCCCCCCCCCCACAGGCACCGCTGTGTGATGTTCCCCTTCCTGTGTCCATGTGTTCTCATTGTTCAATTCTCACCTATGAGTGAGAACATACGGTGTTTGGTTTTTTGTCCTTGTGATAGTTTGCTGAGAATGATGGTTTCCAGCTTCATCCATGTCCCTACAAAGGACGTGAACTCATCATTTTTTATGGCTGCATAGTATTCCATGGTGTATATGTGCCACATTTTCTTAATCCAGTCTATCATTGTTGGACATTTGGCTTGGTTCCAAGTCTTTGCTATTGTGAATACTGCCGCAATAAACATATGTGTGCATGTGTCTTTATAGCACCATGATTTATAATCCTTTGGGTATATACCCAGTAATAGGATGGCTGGGTCAACTGGTATCTCTAGTTCTAGATCCCTGAGGAATTGCCACACTGACTTCCACAATGGTTGAACTAGTTTACAGTCCCACCAACAATGTAAAAGTGTTCCTGTTTCTCCACATCCTCTCCAGCACCTGTTGTTTCCTGACTTTTTAATGAACGCCATTGTGACTGGTGTAAGGTGGTATCTCATTGTGGTTTTGATTTGCATTTCTCTGATGGCCAGTGATGATGAGCATTTTTTCATGTGTCTTTTGGCTGCATAAATGTCTTCTTTTCAGAAGTGTCTGTTCATATCCTTTGCCCACTTTTTGATGGGGTTTTTGTTTTTTTTCTTGTAAATTTGTTTGACTTCATTGTAGATTCTGGATATTAGCCCTTTGTCAGATGAGTAGATTGCAAAAATTTTCTCCCATTCTGTAGGTTGCCTGTTCAATCTGATGATATTTTCTTTTGCTGTGCAGAAGCTGTTTAGTTTAACTAGATCCTGTTTGTCAATTTTGGCTTTTGTTGCCATTGCTTTTGGTGTCTTAGACATGAAGTCATTGCCCATGCCTATGTCCCGAATGGTATTGCCTGGTTTTCTTCTAGGGTTTTGATGGTTTTAGTTCTAAGATTTAAGTCTTTAATCCATCTTGAATTAATTTTTGTATAAGGTGTAAGGAAGGGATCCAGTTTCAGCTTTCTACATATGGCTAGCCAGTTTTCCCAGCACCATTTATTAAATAGGGAATCCTTTCCCCATTTCTTGTTTTGTATGGTTGTGGATGTGTGGTATTACTTCTGAGGTTTCTGTTGTGTTCCATTGGTCTATATCTCTGTTTTGGTACCAGTACCATGCTGTTTTGGTTACTGTAGCCTTGTAGTATAGTTTGAAGTCAGGTAGCATGATGCCTCCAGCTTTGTTCTTTTGGCTTGGGATTGACTTGGCAATGTGGGCTCTTTTTTGATTCCATATGAACTTTAGAGTAGTTTTTTCCAATTCTGTGAAGAAAGTCATTGGTAGCTTGATGGGGATGGCATTGAATCTATAAATTACCTTGGGCAGTATGGCCATTTTCATGATATTGATTCTTCCTATCCATGAGCATGGAATGTTCTTCCATTTGTTGGTATCCTCTTTTATTTCATTGAGCAGTGCTGTGTAGTTCTCCTCGAAAAGGTCCTTCACAGCCCTTGTAAGTTGGTTTCCTGGGTATTTTATTCTCTTTGAAGTGATTGTGAATGGGAGTTCACTCATGATTTTGCTCTCTGGTTGTCTGTTATTGGTGTATAAAAATGCTTGTGATTTTTGCACATGGATTTTGTATCCTGAGACTTTGCTGAAATTGCCTATCAGCTTAAGGAGATTTTGGGCTGAGATGATGGGGTTTTCTAGATATACAGTCATGTCATCTGCAAACAGGGAGAATTTGACTTCCTCTTTTCCTCATTGAATACCCTTTATTTCCTTCTCCTGCCTCATTGCCCTGGCCAGGGCTTCCAACACTCTGTTGAGTAGGAGTGGTGAGAGAGGGCATCCCTGTCTTGTGCCAGTTTTCAAAGGGAATGCTTCTAGCTTTTGCCCATTCAGTATGATAATAGCTGTGGGTTTGTCCTAGGTAGCTCTTATTATTTTAAGATACATCCCATCAATACCTGATTTATTGAGAGTTTTTTAGCATGAAGCGTTGTTGAATTTTGTCAAAGGCCTTTTCTGCATCTATTGAGATAATCATATGGTTTTTGTGATTGGTTCTGTTTATATGCTGTATTATGTTTATTGGTTTGAGTATCTTCAACCAGCCTACCAGCCTTGCATTCCAGGGATGAAACCCACTTGATCATGGTGGATAAGCTTTTTGGTGTGCTGCTGGATTTGGTTTGCCAGTATTTTATTGATGATTTTTTCATCGATGTTCATCAGGGATATTGGTCTAAAATTCTCTTTTTTTGTTGTGTCTCTGCCAGGCTTTGGTATCAGGATGATGCTGGCCTCATAAAATGAGTTAGGGATGATTTACTCTTTTTCTATTGATTGGAATAGTTTCAGAAGGAATGCTACCAGCTCTTCCTAGTACCTCTGGTAGAATTTGGCTGTGAATCCATCTGGTCCTGGACTTTTTTTGGTTGGTAAGCTATTGATTATTGCCTCAATTTCAGAGCCTGTTATTTGTCTATTCAGAGATTCAACTTCTCCCTGGTTTAGTCTTGGGAGGGTGTATGTGTCGAGGAATTTATCCATTTCTTCTAGATTTTCTATTTTATTTGTGTAGAGGTCTTTATAGTATTCTCTGATGGTAGTTTGTATTTCTGTGTGATCAGTGGTGATATCCCCTTTATCATTTTTTATTGCATCTATTTGATTCTTCTCTCTTTTCTTCTTTATTTGTCTTGCTGGCGGTCTATCAATTTTGTTGATCTTTTCAAAAAACCAACTCCTGGATTCATTGATTTTTTGAAGGGATTTTGTATCTCTATAATCTTCAGTTCTGCTCTGATCTTAGTTATTTCTTGCCTTCTGCTGGCTTTTCAATGTGTTTGCTCTTGCTTCTCTAGTTATTTTAATTGTGGTGTTAAGGTGTCAATTTTAGATCTTTCCTGCTTTCTCTTGTGGGCATTTAGTGCTATAATTTTCCCTCTACACACTGCTTTGAATGTGTCCCAGAGATTCTGGTAGGTTGTGTCTTTGTTCTCATTGGTTTCAAAGAACATCTTTATTTCTGCTTTCATTTCGTTATGTACCCAGTAATCATTCAGGAGCAGGTTGTTCAGTTTCCATGTAGTTGAGCGGTTTTGAGTGAGTTTCTTAATCCTGAGTTCTGCTTTGATTGCACTGTGGTCTGAGAGACAGTTTGTTATAATTTCTGTTTTTTTACATTTGCTGAGGAGTGCTTTACTTCCAACTATGTGGTCAGTTTTGGAATAGGTGTGGTGTGGTGCTGAGAAGAATTTATATTCTGTTGATTTGGGGTGGAGAGTTCTGTAGATGTCTATTAGGTCTGCTTGGTGCAGAGCTGAGTTCAATTCCTGGATATCCTTGTTAACTTTCTGTCTCGTTGATCAGTCTAATGTTGACAGTGTGGTGTTAAAGTCTCCCATTATTATTATGTGGGAGTCTAAGTCTCTTTCTACGTCTCTAAGGACTTGCTTTATGAATCTGGGTGCTCCTGCATTGGGTGCATGTATATTTAGGATAGTTAGCTCTTCCTGTTGAATTGATCCCTTTACCATTATGTAATGGCCTTCTTTGTCTCTTTTGATCTTTGTTGGTTTAAAGTCTGTTTTTATCAGAGACTAGGATTGCAACCCCTGCATTTAAAAAAAAATATTACCCAATAGGCTATACAGCGATGCCAATACATAATGCCAAGTTGCAAGGCATGGATAATGGGAGAATGTGAGATGACTCTCTAATGGGTATAAAGCTTCCTTTTGAAGTGAAGAAAACCACTTTGGATCTAGATAGTGGTGGTAGTGGCACGACATTTCAAATGTGTTACATGCCAAGGAATCATACAGATTAAATGCTTAAAGTGTATAATTTTGTGGTGTGAAATTCATATATCAATTATTTAAAAAAAAAACTATTACCTGACCAGATTTGATCGACCAAGAGGCCATATAGTTTGTCAGTCCTTGGTTTATGCTCCAAGTTTAATTCCCACATGCTTGAAATAGTAAATGTGGGCATTTTTATCATTTGCATTAGAGACATAGCATGTTTTGAAACTATAATGTATTATGCAATTATATGAACACTAAAATTATTGCGGAAATTTTTTGACTTGTTTAATGATAATAGTACAAATATTATTTTGCTGTATACACAATTGTTAGTGCTTTGCAATATTAATGAATTTGTTCTTTAAATAACACATGATATTGATAATGTGATGACAAATCTTGCCATTCCTTTAGTGAGATAGCTAAGGCAAATAAAGTTCAAGTAACTTTTCCAGTCCCACATCGTTATATAGTGGTTTCTAAGACTTGAATCAAGGCCATCTGGATCCAGAGTGCCAGCTCTTAACCACCATGTTATATTGACTCTCCTATTCGGGGTACAGATATTTTCCAAGTGTAGTATCGCAGTTTCCTGTTATGTAGATATATATAAATTGTAATTTTATTACAAATGTATAGTTTAAAATATGTAGAATTATTATTCCAGGTGTGTATCACTGCATAACAAATAGTTTTCAAATGTAGGGCCTTAAAACAACTGTAATCATTTTATTATCATGTCTCGGAATCTGTATGTTAGGTGGGCTCAGTTATGTGATCCTTCACAGAGCTTCTTAGGTAGCTACTTTTCTGTGGTGCCTGGGTCTATAATTATCTGAAGATCATTCACTTACATACTTAGAGATTCGTGTTGAAAGGCTCAAAGTGCTAGTGGGCTACCAGGATTCCTTAAGCATATATTTGTGTCTCTCTACAAATTGTCATTTATTATGGGGACTACAGGTTGAGTTATTTAGTAATAGTGAGCGAAACAAAAAGACATGAAAAGAAGAAACAGAAAGTGCGAAAGAGAAACAGAGGGAGAATATGCTGTGTTTCCAGCAGTGCTTTGAAAGTTTAGCTGCATTATTTTCATTACACTCTTTTTGTTGAGACAGTTACAAACTTTGCCAAACTTCAAAGGGAGGGAATATTAATTGATAGGAAAATTGTCAATGTATCTATAGTCATGTCTCAAAATAACAACAAATATAACCCTTTGAAGAAGGCAGCAGAAATTATTAAACTATTGTATAATTCATAAAATATTAAAAATAGTACAATAAAAAATATTAAAATTACATGTATTTAGGTTTCTACAATTATTGCAATTTTTAAACATTTTATTTATTCATACATATTTTCAAAAATAGAACAAATGTCCTAAAAACAAGCTGCAAGTGGATAAAATAATATATGAGAAATATTGTCAAGTTTTTTGAATGACACTAGCGAATTAATAATGTGATGTCACATTTTGAAACTTCCTGTCTTAAATGGATGTGTTTATTTCACAAATTAAACTTTAAATATGATAATTAACACATGAAAACTTTCTGAAAAGTTAAACATTGCAGAATTATATAGAATAAAAATGTAAATTCTCATCCTTGTAGTTACATGTGTTTTTTGAGATTCTTTCTTCTTTTTACCAGTTTACATATATTTTATTTCATTGCAAAAAATAATTTTTTGTTTTTCTGGAAACTACTTTTTCTGTTTAGCAAAGTGATAGTCAGCCTGTTTTCTGCAATGGCTCCCCTCATACATTTGTTGGAGGTACATGTGTTCAGTGGCTGAAAGCCATTTAAGTGCTGGAGGAATCATTCTGTTCATACATGTGCTGATGTGCATGGATTTTTCATGACAGATTCCTAAATGTAGAACTTCAGTTTCAAATGGCATATTTACATTTTATTTAAAAGGGTTATTTCAAATTATACTCCCTCAAAATAGATTTCTCAGGTTTTTATAGGGTGCAAATCTTCTGTATGACATCAATTTGTTGGCATTAATTCTATTTTACTGAGCATCAGTAACTTTTTAATCTTTTATTCTTATGGGCCATTTTTACTTTGAATTGCTTCTTCATATTTTAATCACTTTTTAATTAGATTGTTTGTCAGTTTTGGTTAGTGATTTGTAGTTCTCACTGAACAATGGATACCAATCTTTTGTTATGTGTGTCATAGGATAGGTTTTATGTGAATTAATTCAGATTTATAAGCATGATAAAACAACATTATTAATCTTTGGCACTATATAAGTTCTGTGTTTCTTTATATCTGTATTAATTCCTAGATTATTTGTATAAAATTTTCTATAATCTCTCTATCTCATCAATGTTTTAGTGTGTGTGTATATGTATATTACATGATTTATCTATGTCTATATAATTATAAAGATACATATATGTATACATATATGTTTTTAATCAGATCTTATGCTGTAGAATATTTTTGTGAGAAGTGGTTAATGGCAAGACTTTTTAGTGACAAAGACAACTGGGTTTCTGTTAATCTGGACTAGTTTGATCATAAAGTGCTTCCCTGATGTGTAGACTAAAGGAGATTTTTGGCTTGATTTAGCTATTTTCCACAAAATTTATAAACTTTTTGGTATCCTTTGTATATATTTTTTGACTTACTAGAAATTTATGTGTCCGTACTACATTTATAGGAGGAATGAATCAAAAATCTATGTGGAAAATAATAAAACAGATATTATCATTTAAAGTATAGCTATGTAGAATAATAATTATTTCAATCTGTCTTCAAAATACACATTGAATTTCACAGGATATCTATTAGCTAGTTAATTGATGCTGTGTCTTGTTTTAAAAGAAATGGACATATATATGTACCTGTATATTTAGCAAGATTGAAAATTCACTAAGTCCCTTTAGAGTGTAATTTCTATATTATCACAACCTAAAATAAAGGATTTACATTTCTTACTACAAGTCAAATATGATAATAAAACTCATATCAAATTTAGGATTTTTTTTCTAGTTCTCTTAAGCATGATGATGGTGTTTTGATGAGAATTGAAATGGATTTATAGATTTCTTTTGGCAATGTGTTCATTTTCACAAAATTGATTCTACCCATCCATGAGCATGGGATATATTTCCATTTGTTTGTGTCATCTACGACATTTTTCAGCAGTGTTTAGTAGTTTTCTTTGTAGAGTTCTTTCACCTTCTTGGTTAGGTAGATTCCTTAGTAATTTGTTTTGTTTTTCTTTTTCTTTTGCAACTATTTTCAAAATGGATGAGTTTTTTATTTGATTCTCAGTTTTGAAACCTGCATAGCCAAAGAAAGACTAAGAAAAAGAACAAACCTACAGGCATCACATTACCCAAAGTATTACAAGGCATATTACAAGTTACCAAAACAACATGGTATCAGTATAAAAACAGGCATATCGATCAATGGAACAGAAGAGAAATTCCAGAAATAAAGACAAGTACTTACAGCCCACTGAACTTTGACAAAGCAAACAGAAACATAAAGTGGGGAAATGACACCCTATTCAACAAATGGGGCTGGAATAATTGGCAATCCCCATGTAGAAGAATGAAACTGCATCTTTGTCTCTCCCTTATAAAAAGTCAACTCAAGATGGATCAAATAATGAAATCTAAGACCTGAAACAATAACAAATTCTAGAAAGTAACATTGGAAAAACTCTTCTAGACATTAGGTTAGGCAAAAACCTCATGACCAAATATCCAAAAGCAAATGCAACTAAAGCAAAGATAAAGAGTTGTGATTTAATCAAACTAAAAACTTCCGCCAGCAAAAGAAATAATCATCTGTGTAAACAGACAACTCACAGAATAGTGGAAAATATTCATGAACTATTTATCTGACAAAGGACTAATGTCCAGAATCTTCAAATGGCTAAAAAAAAGCAAAAACCCACCAAAAAGTAGCCTAATGTAATAAATAGACAATTCTTAAAAGAAGATATATAAATGGCCAACATATATGAAAAAATGCTCAACTTCACTAATTATCAGGAAAATGCAAATCAAAACCACAATGCAATACCACTATACTCCTGAAAGAATGAATATAATTTAAAAATCCAAAAATAATAAAATGTTGGCATAGATGTGGTAAAAAGGGGACAGTTTTATGCTGCTATGGGAATGTAAACTAGTACAAGTAATATGGAAAACCATATGAAGATTTCTATAAGAAATTACAGTAGAAGTACAGTTTGATCCACCTATCGCACTACTGTGTATCTTCCCGGAGGAAAGAAAATTTTTATATGAAAAAGACCCACACACATACATGTTTGCAACAGTACTATTCGCAATTAAAAAAGAAAAAGAATGGAACAAGCCTAAATGCCCATCAACCAACCAATAAGTGGATAAAGAAAATGTGGTATACATACAAACACACACACACAGATGTTGCAGGAAGTCAGGGATCCCGAATGGAGGGACTGGGTGGAGCTGAGGCAGAGGAACATAAATTGTGAAGATTTCACTTTAATATGGACATTTATCAGTTCCCAAATAATACCTTTAGAATTTCTTATGCCTGTCTTACTTTAATATCTTAATGCTGTTATCTTCATAACCTGAGGATGTACATCACCTCAGGGCCACTGTGATAATTGTGTTAACTGTACAAAGTGCTTGTAAAACATGTGTGTTTGAACAATAAGAAATCAGTGCACCTTGAAAAAGAACAGAATAACAACAACATTTAGGGGACAAGGGAAGACAACCATAAGGTCTGACTGCCTGTGAGGTGGGGCAAAAAGAGCCATTTTTTCTTCTTTCAGAGAGCCTATAAATGGACGTGCAAGTAGGGAAGATATCGCTAAATTCTTAGCCTAGCAAGGAATATTAATATTAGTAATCTGGGAAAGGAATGCATTCCTGGGGGGAGGTCTATAAACAGCCACTCTGAGAATGTCTGTCTTACGTGGTTGAGATAAGGACTGAGGTATGTCCTGGTCTCCTGCAATACCCTCAGGCTTATTAGGGTGGGGAAAATCTCCACCCTGGTAAATTTGTGGTCAGACCAGTTCTCTGCTCTCGAACCCTGTTTTCTGTTGTTTAAGATATTTATCAACACAATACATGCACCACTGAACATAGACCCTTATCAGTAGTTCTGCTTTGCCCTTTGTCCTGTTCCCTCAGAAGCATGTGATCTTTGTTCTGCCTTTTGTCCTTTGAAGCATGTGATCGTTGTACCTACTCCCTGTTCCTACACAACTCCCCACCCCACCTTTTGAAACCCTTAATAGAAAACCTGCTGGTTTGAGGCTCAGGTGGGCATCATGGTCCTACCAATATGTGATGTCACCCCCGGCAGCCCAGCTGTAAAATTCCTCTTTTTGTACTCTTTCTCTTTATTTCTCAGCTGGCCAACACTTATGGAAAATGGGAAGAACCTACATTGAAATATTGAAGGTGGGTTCCCCTGATACAAACACACACAAACACACACACACACACACGTATACACACGCATATACACTATATATATATATATATATATATATATATATATATACCATGGAATACTACTAAGCTGTAAAAAGAAACAAACTAATGGCATTAACAGCAACTTGCATGAAGTGGGAGAGCATTATTCTAAGTGAAGAAATTCAGGAATAGAAAACTGAACATCGTCAATTGTCACTTCTAAGTGGGATCTAAGCTATAAGGATGCAAAAGCATAAAGATGATGTAATGGGCTCTAAGGATTCAGATGGGAGTGTGGGAGGGGGTGAGGGATAAAGAGTATACATTCAGTGCAAGGTACACTTCTCACATGATATGTGCCACGTAACCTCAGAAATTACCACTAAAAAACGTATGCATCTAATCAAACACCACCTGTTCCCAAATAACTATTGAAGTAATTAAAAATATCAGAATAAAATCAACGAGAAAAATATCTTTAAATATCTGGAAAAAATAGAATTTGCTCATGAAACCAAAGATGTGGCAAAACAGTTCAATTTTACAGTAGGAAGCAGGTAACAGTGGCTATATTTCTAATTTCACATAATTTCCACTGAGAAATGACTTATGCTCTTAAAACAGTAAACATTTGGCCATCAATTTTAGCAAAAAATGTGACAATGAAGCTGCATGCAGTGTAAAAGTAAAGCAATACTACTTATCTCAAGATATCAAAAGGAAGAGAGAGACTTTTTATACAATTTAACTATGTAATAGTTTCTTTAGCAACAGTTAAAACAACCGAATCCTGTTCAAAATGAAGCCAAATTATTCTGAGTATGTGCAAAACACTACTGATACTGTCAGTAGACTTCTTAATGTTCTTGTGTTTATATAAAATGTGTGAAATGTAGTTAAACTGAGTAATATTTTTATGTAACTTGTGAATTCAAACAACAAATCTCAATATAAGTGCAACAAATTTCAATATGAGCTCATATGGCTTTATATTATTTTTTATTTTCCCTAGTGTTTTCTTCATTGCCACAGAATATTTCTAACCATTACCTGGGTGGTAAATCTCTGAAAAACAAATTTTTACTTGACAAGGTAGATTTTGAAAAGTTTTTTTTTTTGTCACAGGAAGAAAGAAATCTTGCATAACAATCTTTTCTTTCTTGCTGGAATAAACTGATGTCAACCCATCTATCTGGTTTTCCAGCTTCAAATGTCAGACATAACTAATCTCTTTTTCCCTTCTTCCCTTTTCTAGCAAACTTCCAGAAACAAAACAGACAAAACTTTGTGACGACAAATATCACAGTTGCCACACAGGCCAGCAGAAACCCAATCACATCCAAAGAGTGGTACTGGAACCAGGTGAGGTCACGGGCTGCAACTCGAAGGTGTTTGGCTCCTTTGTGGCACATCACAAATTCAATCCAGAAGACTGCTCGATGCAGGGGCTTTACTGGTTGATCATGTTGAATTATTGATAATTTCATAACATTCTCTTTATATCTGAAGGATAAAAATAAAGATACCAACACTGAAAGTAAGTTAACTGGCCTGTATGTATCAAGTCTATGAAAGGCTTTTAAAGTGTCAAATAATTCAAAGTAAATTTGAAAGAATTGACAGAGAATTTGTGTATTTTAATTTGAGTCATCATAGATAGTTGGGCTTTTAAATTGGACTTTTCTCATTGACAAACATTTTTAAAGCAGAAATGGAAGGTCAGGTGAGAAAATTAATTTTTTTCAAGCAGAGAAAATATAAGGCATTTTAATTGTTTTTAATTCTTTAATTTTAAGTTTTTGTGGGTCCATATTAAGTGTATATATTTATGGGGTACATGAGATATTTTGATACAATGTGAAATAATCACATCATGAAAAATAGGATATTCATCCTTTAAGCATTTATCCTTTGTATTATGAACAATCCAATTACACTCTTAGTTCTCAAACAGGCATATGAGTACCTGCTCAACATCATGAGCCATTTTAAGTGCTGTAAGAAAGATTGTGAAAATGCGATGTGAGAATTATCATCTGTAAGTTCCTAAAAAGGAATTTTATCATGGCGAGTGACATACCTCATGGCTTGTCACTTTGCTTTTACATTACTCTTTTGTTTCCTACTGTTTCCCACCCTGTAGCCAGAATGATTTTTTGAAATTAAAGTCAGATTATGGCACTCTTCTGATTAAGATTTTTGCCTGGCTTCTCATTCTTTTAATCATAAAATTCAACTCTGTTATTTGGTCTACAGAACCCTACATTTTAAGACACTGGCAAGCTCTTTTCTAACACTTTTCCCCTGCACATTGTCTTCTAGATTGGCCTTCTAATTTTCTTTAAGCTTCCAAAGGTGTTCTCATCTTAGCACTTTACACATTTTGTTCCTTCTCTCCTGCTCTTGGAGTACTCTTTCTTGCTGCAACCCAAGGCATGCTTCTCTCCCTTTTTGTGGCTTCCCTCTAAGTGTTACCTCTAAGAGAGGCTTTTATTGGCCAAACTGTGATGGAGCCTCTAGAATTTTCTCTATTTTCTGTGCTTATTTTCTATCTGATTCCTAGAATTTTGTAAATGATTTATATATCTCATAAAATATACATTTAAATATAAAACACAAAAGATAAATATACATACACTAAGTGAATAGTTCAAAAATGGAAGATCATCTTGAACATTATCTTGAGGTGAAGATACCAATTTACCTACTGTTCAGGTCGTGGTATAGGCTATCACAATCTGCCTAGAATAACTCCCTTTTTCTGAACCTTTTAGTGACTACTTTTGTCCTCCAACTAAGGATTAGCCTGACTTCGAATCACAACATTAGTTTTGCTTGTTTATGTAATTGAATTATATAATATGTACTCAAAAGTGTCTTTTTCTTTAATGTAGCAGTTCTTGGGTAATTCCATTGCTATGTAGTATTCTGTTGATTGATAAACCACAGATTATGTCTTCATTTTACGATGAATAGATATTTGGGTTGCTAACAATTTTTGAACACTGTTGATAATTCTCTCATGAACACTCTGCTATACAGCATTAGATTTATATATTTATGTATATCTGTTGTGTATATAATTGAGAGTAGAATTGCTGAGATAAAAGTGCATGCATAATTATGATTTACTTCTTGACTTTAAATTTTTTTGAAGTGTATTTTTTTAATTTCCAATATTAAGGATATTTTAGTAATAGTATTTTTAACCTCCGTTATTTCCACTATGGCTGGATCATATAGTCTTCATGATATTGAATCTTTTTATATTTCCTAAGTCTTGATTTATTGCCCACCACATATCACTTCAAGTAAAGATTAACTATTTGACGTACTCCAGGAAAATGTGTCTTCAAGTTGATATATACAATACATATATGTGTATTGTATATGTATATATGTGTTTGTATATCATTTTAGATTGTAAGAATCCATTTGTTAATTGTATTCTTCAAGTGTTTTATGTCCTTACTCATTATTTGCTCTTTTATTAAAAGTCTGTTTAGATTGAGTGAAAGTATTTGTATAATCACATTTAAATCTACCACTTTGTTTTATATTTCTTTTCTATTTGTCCAAGCTGGTTTGTGTTGCTTTTCAATTATTTCCCATCTTCTTTAAACATATATTGATCATTCATTATCCTTCTATTTTCTTTGGGATAAAGTATTTTTAAAGCATTCCTTTAGATGATACCCTCCTTACACAAAAACTTTATTGAGAGTAGTTATAAATGTGGAATTGATGGTAGCTGGACTCCGCAAGGAATTTTTCACATTGTTATCTTTGGGGTGTGAACAAAATCAATTATTAAAACTTTAACTTAAAATTATATTTTTTGTGCTTCAAAGACCATCATCAAAAAGTAAAAAGTTAGTGCACCCAGAATGGGACAAAATATTTAAAAATTATATATCTGATTTGACCCATAATATATAAGTAGTTCTTAAAACTTAATAATAAGACAAATAGAAAAGTTAAAAATGTTCCAAGCGTTGGAATAGACATGTTTTCTAAGAAGATATATGAATGATCAATAAGCACTTATAAATGTTCTCAACATCTTCAGCAGTAATGAAAATGCAATCCAAGACCAGGATGAGAGATCATTTTACACCCACTAAGAAGGCTGTAACAAAAAGACAGACAATAAGGGGTTTGACAACAGTGTGGAGGAATTGGAACCATATTGTACTGCTGATGGTAGTGATGAATGGAACAATTACTTTGGAAAACAGTTTAGCAGTTCTTCATAAACATACAGTTCTCACATGAGGCAGCAATTCCACTTCTGCATCAACCCAAAAGAAAGTAAAACATGTTTATGCAAAGACATGTATAGCAATATTCTTAGTAGCCACAATTGGAAACAATCAAAAGGCCAATGAACTGACAAATGAACAACTAAATTATGACATATCCATACTATAAAATATTACACAAGTGTAAAGGAAATGAAGTATTAAAACACAAAACAATATGAAGTAAAACAAAAACCATAAGAAAAGAACAAAAATTAGGCTAGGTGAAATGTCATTTACACAGCACCTGAGACTGTACGATTCCGTTTATATGAAATATCTAGAGAGAATAACTTATAGAGAAAGAAAACAAATTGGTGTTAGACTAGGACTAAGCAGTTATGAGAAGTGATTTTGGTGTCATTGCAGTTTCTTTTGTGTTGATAAAAATGTTCTAAAATTATATGATGGTGATAGTTTCATGACTCTGTAAACATAGTAAAAACATTTGGATTTTATGGCATAAATAGGTGGATTTTAAGCTATCGAAATTAAATCTCATTTTCAAGTCTGTTAAAATAATGATGATAAAAATTAATTTTTCAGCAAGAAAATAGTTATATTCTGAGTCATTTTAGATATTTAATTAAAACATTTTATAATATTTCAAGTTTATTCTTCCTTTCTACTATGGATTCGTTATGTTAAAATTTTAAGAAATGTATTTTTTATATTATCTATGACATTTTAAAATTATTTTTGTTTAGAAAATTGCTTCACTAACTGGTTACTCATTAGATGTATGGGATTCAAGCACAATTTTTAAATAACAGATAAAAAACAAAGCAGATTTCAGATTGGTTAAATCATTTAAATTCTTTCAAGATTACTCTCTTATAAAAAGGATGAAACTCATGCTCACTATTGAAAAGAGAAGCTATCTACAAATACCACCTAGTGAAAAATACTGTTCTACTCACGAAGGATCATTAATTACTGTCTTCAGTGCATTCAGCAGGTCTGTACTCGACATTGTGTGGAAGTCCAGTCTAACAGCTGCTCCCTTGGCCTTCATGTGAGCAATGTTATCAGGTTGATCCCAAAACAATGGAATGCCTACCATAGGGATCCCATGGTAGATTGCCTCATAGATGCCATTGGCTCCACCATGAGTTATAAAAGCTCTGGTTTTTGGAAGACCTAGGATTGGATGAATTTTAGCAAAATTATTCATAGGAATAAAATGCGATACACAATGAAATGCTCTGAAAGTGACAGTGTTTTCTAGATAACACATTAAACTAATTTGCCATTACTTTTCAGACTTCAGAGGAATAAACACGTACTTGTTTAGGAGATGTAATTGAAGTCTCCGTGGTGTGCATAACTTCAGGGTGCAAAACTGAATACAAGATTTTCAGCGGGACTAATGAAAAGTGCATTCTAGATTTTTTAAATGTGCACAAAAGAGGACAGCAAAGAGATGGGCATGAAATAAAGTTTTATTTTAGGTGCTGTCACAGAGTGTGATATGTGGGGTGTGCAAGGCAGCAGGCAGTGGGTTGGTGGTGGTGCTAGGATTGAGGAAAGACAGGTTACACTTCATCATGAAATGTGTCACTACTTTAAGATTAAGATTAGGAATTTAGTCCTCCAGATAATACAGAGTCACTGGTGATAGAAGAGCTATTATATTTACTGGCATTTGAAATAAACCTGCAGGAGAGGAGAAAACAGGTGTAAAGTTGTAGAAACAGGAGACGGAGAGACAGCCCAGGAAGATACTGAAAAATTCTGTGAGATATAATAGCACCTGAAATAAAGATTATCTCTGATTCTGACCATAAAGTATATGAGTGAATATCATAAAATGCCAGCAATTCTACCATATTCTTTTCCCCTAGGACTGGAAAATAAATACAAAGAAGTTCTTTTTGTTTTCCTATAATAAATATTCAATAAGCATGTTTCAAGATAAACTATTAACATTCTAATGTGCAGTTACTAATATATCCAGTATTTGTTCACCAGAGTGTTACCTAGAAGGTCATTCTGGGGTATCCACTTATACAGCCGAGTATTGAGACCTAAGGCATCTGGTTTATTCCCATCAAATCTCCACAGAACCTGTTACAGTAAAGAGAATATCTTATTCCATGAGTGGAACTCAAAAATTATAGAATGTTAGAACTGTAAAAAGGGTAGGAATGAGATCAAGGGATGTTAGTAAATAAATCTACTCAGAGATTGATGTAAAAACAATACTCACATTTTATTTTCTTAACTTTTATAATGATTTAGATATATAAGAAACCATTATTTTCCAAAATAGTACCGTAGAAAAATAAGATTATCAATGAAAAGTTCAAATATTCAAAAAATTGTTACACTTTTTAAAAAAAGACCTACCTGCGGCCAACCATCACATGAAGTAAAATAACTTAACAGCACGGATCATTAGAGAAATTCAAATCAAAACCATAATGAGATAACATCTCACACTAGTCAGAATGGCCATTATTAAAAATTCAAAAAATATCATGATGTTGGCGAGATTGTATAGAAAAGGAATGCTTATACTCTGTTGGTTGGAATGTAAGTTAGTTCAACCATTGTGGAAGACAGTGTGGCCATTCCTCAGAAACCTAGAGGCAAAAATACCATGAAACCCAGCAATCCCATTACTGGGTATATAAGCAAAGGACTATAACTGGTTCTTTTATGAAGATCCATGAAAATATATGTTAGTTGCAGTACTATTCACAATAGCAAGGACATGCAGTCAACCTAAATGACCATCAATTATGGACTGAATGAAGAAAATATGGCATATATACACTACAGAATATTATGCAGCCATAAAAAAACAAAAATATGTATTTTGCAGGGATAAGGATGGAGCTGGAGGCCATTAGCCTTAGGAAACTAACAGGAATTGAAATCCAAATGTGACATGTCCTCACTTTTGAGTGGAAGCTAAAAGATGAGAACACGTGGATACATAGATGGCAACAACATACACTGAGATGTATAGGATGGTGGAGGGTGGGAGGAAAGAGAGGATCAGGAAAAATAATAAACGAATATTAGTCTTAATACCTGGGTGATGAAACAATTAGTACAACAAAACCCCATGACACAAGTTTACCTATGTAAAAAACCTGCACATGTACTCCTGAACTTAAAAGTTAAAAATAAAAGTTAATTTAATTTAAAAAATAAAAATATTATAAAAAAAGTATAAAAAATTATATGGAGTCATTGTAATTCTAGTGTAATAAAACAGTAACTATTTAGTAATGACCTATATGTTTGTTTTATGTATTTTATATCAGTTTTCATCTCCAAATTTAATTGTAATATATTCATTTGTTTTTGAATAATATGAGAAGTAGTATAAATGTATCTACTTGTCGGTAGGTTATTATATTAGAGCCTGTTGTCCTTTGATTGACAAAATAGCAAGTCTATAAAATAAGCTAATTATAAGAAATAAATAAATGCTGCCAAGGTTTTACGTATAACTTCATTGGAATTACAAATTTTCAAGCACTACTTCCAAGAAAAATTTCAAGTGACAATTTTTGCCACAAATTCAGAATATTACCAGTATCGTTAATTTTGGATTTTTTTTTTTTTTGGCCTAGAAATGAGGAGCCTGTTGGAATCATGAATAAAAATAAAGCTGTTGAATAAACTCAAAATTGTATTTTGCTGAATTTGGTCAACTGATTATTATCACTTAGACAACGTGCTACAAAGCTTTGACAACAGTGATTAATATGTTCTGCTATAGCCAAGACATTCTTATTTTGTTACTAATTTTGAAACTCCAAAGCAATCCTCATAAAGTGAACAATAATTTACAGTGTTTAACTTTTATTTGCTACATCAGTGTTAAAGTAACTCAGGTTTCAGCAAAAAGTTAGAGGTCATTACAAGAAAGCTTTATCAGATAGGAAATTAAAAAGTAATTCACAAATACACAAAGGTCCCTGGTTTATTCTATATAGAAGAAAATACATTCCTACTATGTTCTATGGAGGGGACATCTAAACCTGTTCCCCTGCCTGGCTTCCTTCTGTTTGACTCCTTCCTATATTTCCTACTGCTGCCTCCACTGGGAGGGGTTGTTAATCTGGTAGTTAGTGCTGAGTCCTTGTGGGACCATATTTTATACTGTACAGGATCCACCTTCAGGTCAGGATCCATCTCCATCCTTTCTCTTTCACCTTCCTGCTTCAGGCAGTGTTCTCTATTTGTTGTCACATATTTCACATAAGCATTTGACTTAAAGTACAAACAGAAATAGTACATTCCTTAATTGTAAACATTCACCAAGAGCTTCCAGAGTACAATAAGTAATAGAGGTGGTCCAAGAGTAAGTCAAATCTTCTTCACTCATTAGATACTGCTGAGATTAGGAAAACAGCTTTGAAGAAAATGATCATAAGTCTTCCTTGTATTTCTACAAAGATGCAGTTCTGGATATATATTTTTAGTTGAAAACACTTGAAAGTCATCTAAAGACTACATTAGGCACCATTTTCACTTACCTGAAATATATTGAGTTAATTTCAGCCATATGTATGACTGTTAATATCAGAAATTAAAAATAATCATGGGTCTCAAGTTCCCTTTTGTGGATACATATGGAGTACTGAGTTCCCACTGGTAGTAATAGGAACCACTCATGCATACCAAGGGTAGTAACACCCCCAGGGCCACATGTAACCACTAAGTCTGAGGCACAACTATGACTTGTGTCGGTGGAAGCTACACAAGATATTTAAGACTGTATTTGGCTGTAAAGAGTTCAGTCTAGCCTTAATATTCTTTCTGTGTAGATCTCAAACTTTAACAGCCTCTTTCAGTAGTTTTCCACACCAGTAAGGCACTTTATCTTACCTTTTGTGGGATCTTGGCAAGGGCTGTTGCAATTACGTTGGCCCTTTCTGCTGTCATGTTACTTATCACTGACCCCAGAGAAAACACCACAACACCATTTTCACCAGAGCTCTGTACAAATTCCTCCATTTCCTGTGAAAAAAAATTGTTTAATCACAAAAGAGTATCACCACAGCAGGCACTACTAAAGAATTGGTACCAAATATTAAAGAGAGAAAATCAAGTATTTTGAGGAATTATTGGAGTAAATAATATTTTTTAACTGACTCAATCACTCAGGTTCTTTACAAGAAGATGTTTGAGGTAGTTGGCCTCTGTTAAGGATATTTGTGTAAATATGTGTGTTTATGTAGGTATGTGTCTGCATGTGTGTAATGGAGAAAAGAAATGGAGCTATTACATTGTAGTCAGGGAGATAATGTGAAAAAATATACCCAGACTCTTCACTTATAATACTATAATTACTAATATAAGTTCTTGGAAAAGTGGCACCACTAGGCTTTAATGCTATATTTTTCTTCTACTTAAACACTTGTGTTTATTTCAGGCATGTTTTCTGTAGAATTCTTTTAGTTTGAAGCCATTAGTGATCTACTTCCCTAAATATGAGCACTGAGGAAAAGCTATTCACAGTTGGGATAATTTTATATCTACATTTATGTTCCTCTACAATGCTTTATGCTTCACTTAAAGTTTGTCAGAGTTTTCCAGTAGTTTTTCAAAAAATAAAAAATGAAAATAAAAGCTGGTGGTTAAGAATCACTGACATTCCTGAGTCTAGTATTGTGATTTGGAATTTTTATGACTCAGTCTTGAGAGTCTCATTTATCATACAGAATTGTAGAGTTTATAGTTAGTTGTTGAATAATTGTACCTTTCAGGTTATTGTTTAGGTGGAGCACCTATTGCCCTGAAATCCCACTGTTAAATTGATGTGCTGTTTATAACTGCATGTGAGGAACTCTCATCATCACTTTGTTGTGTCTCAGAGGCAGCACTGGCACCAGAATAGAAGAGGCCACCAGGCCTTTCTGCAGGGGGATCTTGTCTCTCTTTTGAGTAGCTCACGCACACCACATTACACGCCTGGTGAAGATGTGCTTGGCTGCAATTGATTGAGAATTATTCTGACTTGAGTTCCCCAATGTATACCGATATTTAAATTTAAGTATTTTCAGATTTAATCATTGGGGTAAAACTTTTCCAAATGGTTTTTAACAAAACAAAGAAAAAAATGTCTAAATGTGAACAGTGCACCACGTATGGCAGAGCGTTTTTTAAAATATGATTTTTAATCTTACGTTAACGTGAGAGTCCTTGTACTACTATTCCACGTAATACCTGGGGCTTCTAGGTGTTGTGTGTGATTGCAGTTACCTGTAACCACATTTAATGTGACTCGTTTTCAGTGTTTCATCTCACTGGCTTGATATCAGAGCCTTGTTTTTCTACCCAGTGTTGAAGGAATCTAACCTCTGTTTAGAGATTCATCACTGATATTGACGGGTTGTTGCTCCTTTAGTGATAATATTATAAAAATAATACAAAATTAATGTAAGAAATTGTATAAAAGTATGAAAAGCGTTTTAAAAAATAATTTTTCTAAAATTTCTACCTAGAGATATTATTTATAGAAAATATGTATTTTTTTATTATGGATTTTGTCCTATTTATATAGGTCAATGTATACATGTGACACTTATTTAGAAAATTTCAATCTTATTGTATATACATTTTATCCTGCAAAAACTTCCATCTTGTTATATTTATCATTTTCTAACTCATATTATCTGTACTATGGCTGATGGTGTAATTGAATATTTCATTGATAAAATTATTTTAATGCTATCGTATGCAAATAAATTTTAATCATTCTTTCATGTAAGATGTCGGATTAATTCTAATGTTAATTTTGTGAATATTTTCCATAATGTTTAATAGGTACAACTTGATTTTTTTATGATTTCACGTGAATATATTATAAAATTAATAACAATACGCATTTTTAAAACACTTGATGCAGTTTGTCAAGTGTCTTATTCTCTTAAAATATATAGAAATTATCTGAGAATGTAATATATAATTGAAAAGAAAGCAACCTGTGTTAGCAGTTATTTTACATAATAAACAGTTAAATAACTGGTTTCACAACCATTGACTTGCATTCAAAACTTTCTGCAAGTTAATAACAAGACCTAGTATTAGTAATTACCACTATTGTACTACTAGTCAACCTTTTTTCTTGTCCTTTTACACCTCCTACTCTCTTCCTCCTCCAATTTGCACTGTCAGTTTCCCTTAATGTGAATGGGGAAATCTTTCAAGAGTAGTGTAGAGTGGCGCAGATTTTTCATTAGTCTTTACCTCAGCTTTTGTCTCTTGAGAAAGTGACTATATAAAGCCCATACAATTTGCATTAAACATAGATACTGAGTTTTAACAATGGAATAAAATATCAGTTTTATGTAAGCAAAAATGTTCTTTTAAGAGGTTGAGTAATAATGCATTGAAGAAGGCTTACTTTGTACATATGTCTTAAAATGTGATATTAATTTAAAATATATGAGATTTTTCTGTTCCTTCAAAAAGAATATAATCTTATATGCTGACAGAATTTTTTTTCGTATTGAAACTAAGGGCACTATTCAGATACAAGTGGTAGAAATTATTTGTTCTTTATTATACATGCATTGTTCACTATCTCTGTGCTTCTCTGTCAGGCACCTATGATGTTGAGATAAGTTCCCCCAGAAAGCTTTACTGAGTTGCTTGTCATATGGCAGACATCGTCTGCTCTAATAGGGTATGTTTATGATCTAAAATGTAAAATTCTGGGATCTCAATGCAGAAATGATTTAAATACTTTATTAAAGTCAAGTGAACCCTGGGTTTGTCTGCACATATTTAAGGCACACATTTGTATTGTTGAGGAAGTGTTTTATGCTCGAATACTAGTGAAGATCCTTATTACTTACGGTAGAATTTTAGAATTTCAACTGGCTCATTTTACTGTCACAATTGATATGTCTAATTTTAATCAAGTCCACAGGGTATCTGTCATATATGACTTTGCAAGAGAATATAACCTTGATGTGCTGAATAATCTGGTTCTCTTAAATGAGGAATGATATCTCAAGTGACTTGCACATGTTAAGTAGTTAGTAGTATTGGTAATAATAACAAAATAACCATAATTGCAAAATTAATAACATTTCTGAGTCACTGACTATATCCCAGAGACATTTTAAGTGTTTTGTCTGTTTTAATATTTCTTCCACACAACACAATATGAAGTTGGCACTATTTTAGCAAATGTAGGCATAATTATTTCTATCAACTTTCTAGTCCACTTTTCCATCATCTTCTACCTGAATCCATGGAAAATTTCCTAAATGGTTGGCTCTTTACAGTGTGGCCCTTCTGTAATTTAATCCATTGAATATCTTGGAGGCTCTTCTTAAAAAAGAGAATCGTTTCATATATATTTATTTCTTAACTCTTTTTAGTAGTTTTTCAATGTTCTTAATAAATATTTCCACTCCTAATATGTATCTGGCTCTAATTTACCTCTTAGTATGATCTAGATTCTTAATCATTCCCTAAAAACAAAACCTGAGGACTTGAGAACTGTCCTGACCACTTTATCTGCTTTCCCTTTTTGTCTGCCTCTCCCCGCCATTCTTTTACCTATTTCTGCATATTGTTCAGCTCTCATCTTACTAATCCATGACTCCAGGATACTTTCTATTATCTCCACTGATGCTTTCTTGATATTGGGTTTTTCCTTGAGATAATAGTTTTTTAAAACATTTTCATTAGTTACTTTTCTATATTTCAAAGTAGAATGTAAGGTATGTGCAGACGGAAACTGTCTATTTTTTTTCTCTGAAATTTCTGCACTTACTTGTGTTTTGTGCTAATCCCTTTATAAATATTCTTTGAATGAATGACAAATACCTCCTTAGGTGTTGCATAATCAAGACTTTAATCAACCCTATTTTCAAAGTCTCCTTACTATTCCTCTCTATTTGTAATATGCATAAAACTCACATACATGTGATGGTATTAACATATACATGAGTTTCTATTTGGTATCTGCTTTACACCACCTACTTCCCATCTTTCTTTCAGTGTAAGTCAAACATTTTGAATGAAGGCTATAGACTCATTTCTACTGAAACTTCGAAGCCAACAAAATAAAACCAACGAAAGTATGTTTACCTTAGGTAGGGGTTTGGCAGGTTTGCAGTGGAGTCCTCCAACAAAATCAATGTTTGGTAAGAATGGATGAGGAAATTGAAAACTCCAGGAGTTTCGCATAAGCCATATGTCAGCTTTCCCCATTGTCTCAAATAAGGTAGTGGGTCTTCCTGACAGGAATAAAGAAAAGAAAAAGTGGATGATGTAAGATAATTACTTTACATAACTTTCTGAAAGGGGTTAGAATTATGTAGGCAAAGATGTAGGTAAAGTTTGTGTGCTTTGAAAAATATATACATATATTCATGTATATGAATAATATATTTTTATGTATTATATATTTTGTCCATGTTTATTTATAAGAAAGGCAAAGTGGTGGGAGAATTATGAAGTTAAGCGACATCTCTAATGTCAAGTCAGTGTACTCACAATTATTAAAATAAGTCATAGAAAATTAAACATCAATTTATTTTCTCTTTAAAGCTTCAATAGTTGCATATAGATATTTAAACAACTCTTTGAGCTCCATAATCAATTAATTCTACTGTACCCATAAAACCAATTTTCTAACAGTCCAGTTTACACAACTCCTTAAGCTAATCCTTTTATCTTTGGTTCTTCAAGTGAACTCGGACTATTTTGAGAGTATGGCAGAAATCCTTGTACCAACTACTCATTTGGATTTGAGCTAAGATCTTAATAATATTATCATTTAAGTAAATATATTTGTAAATTATAGCTAGAAATTTTTGAGAAATTATTGAAATAGAGATCTGTACTCAACCTTAATCTGTCTCATATTTTTAAATAAAGAGACATAGTTTCAAATAAACTATATAGATATAACAACCTTCACACTTCAACAAGATAATTGGACTTTAAATGAATGAATTCCAATTCTTTAGTGAAGGAGTATAGAAACATTAGAAACTTCAAATTACCCTGATTAACTTTTGCATCTGAGATGTGGACATTATCTCTCTCTACTGTGAAGGAAACCTTCTGGAAACATGGGAATATCTTTTAATACCTAAAAAAGAAAACTGAGGTTTACAAGGAAAACTTTCTGCAGTTATATAGATAGTTGTAGAAAAATGTGTAATTACTCATTCTAAATCTATGCATTCAGTAAGATGTTACTTGATGGATTTCACTGTTTTTAAGATCTAAAACATTATATAGTAAAACAGATGTGTAATTGCTTAAAGTCTTAGGTGTACTAATATATAGGTTTATGATTTCCTGGGGTGTTCTGTATGAGTGATGGCCACAGGGTTTTAACAGACCTTATAATTTAAGCTTTTCTATAATGTTTGTGAGATTGATAGATCATCTTGTATTTTCATTTCATAAATTCACTTACCAAAAACTCCACTTCCCTGACTTTATGGCTTTATATAAGCTCTGCTTCAAAGACACAAATAAGTTAGATCTTCAAGTTCCCGATTAAACAAATTCTTACCTAAAACTTCACTGTAAAACTGATCCCACTTCTTCATATCACACATTTGGAACCAAAAGTCAAAATAAAGCACATAGATCATGTTTTTTACCCTCTCCATGAAAGTCATTTGATCACTTAATTTTGACATAACAACAGGTATGTAGGAAGGAGGGAAAATCAGTCCTCCACTGTGCCTTTCAATTGTGTAGCCAGGAGTGAAGCAGAGACTGTACACAAACGGTATGTTAAGTAGCGCAGCCAGCAGCTCACCACAAGGAAAAAAAGCATCTGCAAAAATGATGTCAAATCTTGACTCTTGTAGTTTTTTCATAACTTTCTTATTTGAAACTACATCTTTACAGAAGTTTCTAAATATGTCATGAAATTCCCACAGGATTTCTTGTTCTTGTGAAAAATATAACCAAAAGCTATCTTTTTGAATGTCTGACCATCTCTTAACCTGTTGCATGATGATATTCTCAAATTCAGTTTTAGTTAAAGATGTAGGATAAACTTCGAGTTTAAGAGTGAATGCGTCATTGGGATCAAAAAGAATGGAAGCTGAAGATGCCAGTACAGTCACCTCATGACCTCTCTGAACAAGCTCTTTCAGGATTGTCTTCATATTCATCCAATGGCTGTATTCACCGGTCCACACCAGCACCTTTCCACAACTCCCAGAGCTAAAGTAACAACCGAGATGTATCAGCAGAAGAACTGAAGTCCACTTCAGAGCCATCCTGGTGCAATGCAATCATTCTTTTCAAGTCACTGTTTCTTTCTCATACTTATATACAGAGATAAATCAATCAAGTTAAAACATAACTCCTTCAATCCAAAGTAAATATATTATAGGAGCATCCTGAGTACATGGATGACAAGGAGACAAAGTTTGATTACTTCATATTTACTCAAGGATGTTTGATGTTTCTTTTATGTTTATATTCGCTGTCATCCACCTAAGATTAATGACCTTGCAAGTACCCTGTTTTATGTAACCTATTTTATAATAGTGTCAAGAATAGTGGCAAGTGAGAGAGTCCTGCAGGGCCCTTGACACAGAGTAAGAGATGAAGTGATCGTACAATGCAAATAGCGTTTTTGAATATCGTGGTTCAAGGAATATCTTGTAAAACTTTGTTGAAGTATAATTCAAATACCATATGATTCATCAATTAGTATTTAAAATTAAGTATTTCCTTGTAAATTCACAGACTTGTGCATCCAACATAACAATCAGTTTTATCTAAAAAAACAAAAAACTCCTGTGTATTAGCTCTCATCTCCCCACCAAATTTCTGCACCCGCCCTGCACTGGGCAACCAGTAATCTAATTTCTGCCTCTAGAAATACACCTATTCAGGCTCTTTCTAAAAGTAAATGGAACGATATAATATGTGGTCTTTTGTGGCTGGCTTCCTTTACTTAGTTTAATGTTTTTAAAGGACCATCCATAGAATAGTGTAAATAAGGACTTCATTTTTATTGCCAAATAGTTATCAGATGCTATTTATAAACACAATTTATTTATTCATTTAATAGTTGATGGATACTGATTTACTTCCACTTTTGGTCATTATGAATAGCATTGTTTAACATTGATGTGCATGATTTCTGTGGACATGTTTTTATTTTTCTTGGGGATATGCCTAGAAAGGCAATTACTGAATTATGTGGTAAATGTAAGTGTAATCTTTTGAGGAATTGCTAGACTTTTTCAGAGTGGGTGAATAATTTTCTATTCTCACCAACAATGTATGAGGGTTTCAATGTCTCCACAACCTTGCCCACCCTTGTCTTTCACATAACCAAAAAGGTTATTTTTTACTTCAATTTATAAACACACTCTAACAGACCCCAAAAAGGAAGGTTTCCTTCCACATATTGGAGGGAAAAGTGAATAAATTAAGTACTAACTTACCTAATACTTCACTGTACAACTGATCCCACTTCTTTCTGTTAAAAATCTCAAATGCAAAGTCAAAATGAAGAAAATGCAACAGATTTTTCACCTTTCTACAAATGTATATTGGTACTAAGTTCTGATATGACAACAGTTACATCAGAAGGAGGTAATGTAAGTCCTCCACAGAGTTCTTGGTACATACTGCCAGTTGTAAATTGATGATTGTAGACCAAATGTATAACAAATGTTTAACAGATTAAGGTGTTCAGATAGCAGCTCACTACTGAGAACTTACATTTGCAAGAATGATATAAATTCTGGAATCTTGTTGTTCCTCATAATTTTCTTGTTCAAAACAGCATACTCACAGAGCTTTTGAACAGTATCAGAACATTCATGATATGTAGTTTTTGCATCTTTGAATCATATGTCAACAATGTACTCTTTGGAAACTTATATGTCCACATCTTGATCAACTTCATAAAAATGAAATCAAGTTCCTTCTGAGTAAAAGATGTGGGATAAACCTCAAATTTAACAGCAGATTGTTGGAATCAATGAGGATGGAAGCTGAAGGTGACAAGCACAGTTACCTCACGGTGTTCTGAGCAAGTTCATCAACTATCAACATTAAATTGATACAAAGACTATTTCATCGGCCACACCAGCACATTCTAACAGGACTCAGAGCTAGAATACAACTGTCAGCATAAGAAACAAAAAAGTCCATTTCTTAGACAACTTGTTAAAATGCTATCTTTCTTTATAACTTTCTCTAACTTGGTACATATCAATATCAATCAATGTCACAATGATTTAAGTATTGACAATAGAGGTTTTGGAAAGCAAGTGAATAAAGAAAAGGATGAATGATTTTGTGTTTGCATGTGTGAATAATAAATTTCATTCTTATTGTAAATGTGGCTGTCTCCAGAACAAGAGATAATTTAATTGTATATGAAGAGTTTCTAGTATAAGAAAGCAGCATTGTGTCAACAATGAGGCAGGGGTGTGATCTATTCTTATTTATCTTAACATTCTCAAATAGACCGTCTTCATTTTCTCTATGTATTCTCACAATTATGATATTAGCATCATTTTGTGTTTCTTGACATTGTTTTTCTGACTATAGATATTCATTTTCTTTTTATCCAAACAGATATGTTTTAAGTACAGTTACAGTTAATTTGCTTCATTTGCAAATATTTTGTCTAAATCACAATATTTTCTTTTTCTGAATATTTGCAGCACTCCTGACATTTCTCACTCTTAGAAAGTATTTGTCTTCTAAATGCCCACTCCTGAACTTGTTTCACAGATTGTCTTGTAATTCAGGTAATTTGTACTTTTAAAAAGTCTCACCAGAAATTTACATCAAAGTAGAATTAGGAAGGAAAAGATGCATGTCACAAAATAGACAAATTTGTTTTTATTCTGTTAATAATCTGTTAACCTGAAATGAGGTAAATCTTTCTTAAAAGGATGTTTGAACACAGTTTCTGAGAAAATATTGCCTACAGAGTGGCAATATTGTTCAATATTTTTAATGTCCTTGAGTGCATGCATTATGTGTCACCCAAATTTTCCTTTTGGGAATATACAAATTACTTTCCAGCTGATGAAGTGATTAACAACTGACATACCTCACCTATAAGCTCTCTCTCTCAGCGCAGCGCTGTTGAAAGCTATCTAGTATAAGGGGACCTTTCCAAGACAGCCCATATCCAATGCCTGGTCATATGTAAGACTTTAAAGGCCCATTCTCCTCATTTCAATGTGGACCAACTCTGAAGGGCTAACTTGTCTTCAGAACTCCCAGTGGGTGAGATGAAACCTATGCTGAGACTGCATGTCTTAGCATGCTCAGGGTGCTATATAGAAAAATACCATACATTGCCTAGCATATAGACAAAAAACATTTATTTGCCACAGTTCTTGAGGCTGAAATTTTCACAATCAAGATGCTGGTATTGGGCATTCCTCCAAGATGGCAGCCCATCACCATGTCTTAATGGGGAAAAGAGATGAATGAGTTCTTGTGAGCAAATTTTGGAATGGAATTAATTCCACTAATGAGGACTCTCCCTTCGTGACCTAAACACCTCCTAAAAGGTTCTGTCTGCTAATACAGTCATTTTGGTTATAAGAATTTTAACATATTAATCTTTGGAACACTCAAACATTCAAACCATTGCACTGAATTATATCCTAATTTGTTCCACAGTCCAGTCTTGCTTCCTACTTTTTCACAGATGTTATTTTCAATAAAACTCCCAAATTAGCTCCCTCAAAAACATATTCAGCTTAGAGTCTACTTCTTGGAAGCTCCCAGAATTTGATAATATGCACCAAGAGACATCAGAAAAAAAGAACAGACAACAAAATGAGATTTTAGAGTTGGATCATTCACTACCAGTTGTAAGGAGAATCCTATCACTATTGGTAGGGAGAACACAAATAGACCCTGGAATGTGATAATTTAAATTTTTCATACTTTCAGTAATGGCAAATTATGATGGTAATCTTTTGAAAGGGAAAGTGTTACTTATTAGGATATATCACAAATGTATCAATATGGGAAAAGTAGAAATTATGACTACAATAGAGGTGAATGTTTTTTTCTTCAGTGTTAATGCTTGGGAGAAAATAATAGAAGAGTGAGGACTAATAACCATCAAATTAAGGCAAACTATGAAAGCCAGAAAAGTCTCCTTGGAAGTGTTCCCAGATAAAGGGGCCTTGATTCAGACACTGAGAGAAGGTTCTCGGATTCCACACAGGAAGGAATTCAAGGTGAGTCACAGAGTGCAGTGAGAAAAGATAGCTCATTGAAAGCTGTGACATTACAGAGTAGGGCATCCTCTGAAGGCAAGGAGTTGAATGCAACACCTTTGTTTCAAGTTTTTCTTATATAGGAGTCTTGTCTGTGTAAAGGACCTATTCACAAAGGTCCCTGGATTTTGTCTGCATCTCCATCTCTGTGCAATTTCTGGGAGACCCCTCTGCCAGTCCACATGTCCTTGAAGGTATGGAGCCCCATCTAGCCAGAATTCCAGATGTCTACAGTGAAAGGAAGCTGTTTACTATTCCTTTCACTCACCCTTCCCTAGAAACAGCTCAGGGTAGAGAACCAGCTGTAGCATTCAGGCACACCATTCAGCGTCCTCAGCCTTCTTTCTCTTCAGCCTCAGTGACTACTTCTTTTCTCCATCCACATTCAGTATTTTCTCTCCAAAGATCTGTTCAAATTATTTTGGTATGAAAAAAAAAACCCTGGTGTTTCCCTGGTGGCAGTGGCACTTCCTGACTGCATCTAGTTGATCATCTTGAACACATTCCTGTGTATATATTCTTTTGAGAATTCTTTCTTGATGTCCCTGCCCCATTTTTTAATGGAGTTATTTGTGTATGTTTTGTTAATTTCTTTAAGTTCCTTAAAGATTTTTGATATTAGATCTTTAACAGATGCATAGTTTACAATTATATTCTCCCATTCTGTAAGTCATCTGTTTATTCTGTTGATAGTTACTTTTGTTGCACAGAGGTTTTTTAGTTCAGTTATGTTCTATTCTCTTGATTTTGTTCTAGGGTTTTATAGTTTTAGGATACTGTACTAGCTTATTCTCATGCTGTTTCTAAATACATACCCGAGACTGGGTAATTTATAAAGGAAAGAGGTTTAATAGATTCACAGTTACACATGGCTTGGGCGGCCTCACCATCATGACAAAAGGCAAATGAGAAGCAATGTTATATAATACTTGGAGGCAGGCAAGAAGCCTTGTGTAGGGAAACTCTCCTTTATAAAACTATAAGATCTCAAGACACTTACTATCATGGGAATAGCATGGGAAAGATGCCCTATGATGATACAATTACCTCTCACCGAGTTCCTCCCACAGCAGGTGGGAATTATGCGAGCTACAATTCCAGATGAAATTTCGGTGAGGACACAGCCAAATCATATCATTCTTGCCTTGGCCCCTTCCAAATATCAGGTCCTCACATATTAAAACCAGTCATGCACTCTCTTCAGTTCCCCCAAAGTCTTAACTAATTTCAGCATTAACTCAAAAGTCCACAGTCCAAAGTCTCATCTGAGATAAGGCAAGTCCTTTTTGCCTATGAGCCTAAAAACAAAAGCAAATTAGTTACTTCCTAGATACAATGAAGAAACAGGCATTGGATAAATACACTCCTTCTAAATGGCAGAAATTGGCCAAGACAAAGGGGCTACAGGCTCCATGCAAGTCCAAAATCCAGGTAAGGCAGTAAAATCCAGGGGCAGTCATTGCCAAAATCATCTTCTTTGACTCCATGTCTCAAATACAGGTCACACTGATATAAACGTTGGGATTCCATGGTCTTGGGCAGCTCAACCCCTTTGACTTTGCAGGGTACAGCCCTCTTCTTGGCTGCTTTCATGGGCTGGCATTGAATATCTGTGGTTTTTCCAGTTGGATAGTCTAAACTGTTTGTTGATGTATCATACTGGGGTCTGAAGGATGGTGACCCACTTCTCATAGCTCCACTGGGTAGTGCTCTGGTGGTGACTGTGTGGGTGTGTTGGGGGTGGGGGGGGGCTCACACCACACATTTTCCTTTCACACTGTGCTAACAGAGTTTCTTCATGATTGTCTCACCCCTGCAGGAAACTTCTGCTTGAACATCCAGGCATTTCCATAAATCTTCTAAAATCTAGGTAGAGGTTCCCAAGCCTCAATTATTGACTTCTGTGTACCCACAGACTCAACACCACATCAAAGCTGACAATCTGCCAATGCTTGGACGTTGCCCCACTGAAGCCATGGCTTGAGCTCTACCTTGGCCACTTTTAGCCACAGCTGAGACACAGGGACTGTGTTCTGACACTGCACAAAGCACCAAGATGCTGGGCCTAGCTCAAAAAGCCATTTTTTTCCTTCTAGGCCTCCCAGCCTGTAATGGGAAGGGCTACAGCCAGGAAGACCTTTGATATGCCCTGGAGACACTTTCTCCATTGTCTTGGCTATTGACAATTGGTTTCTAATTACTTATGCAAGTTTCTGCAGTTAGCTCTAATTTCTCCTCTGAAAATGGGATTTTTCTTTTATACCACATCATCAGGCTATGGATTTTCCAAACTTTTATGCTCTACTTCCCTTTTCAACGTAAGTTCCAATTCCAAACCATATCTTTGTAAATACATAAAATGGAATACTTTTGACTGTACCCAAGTCACCTCTTGAATACTTTGTTGCTTAAAATTTATTCCATCAGATGCTCTAAATCAGCTCTCTCATGTTACAAGATCCACAAATCTCTAGGCCAGGAGGAAAATGCCACAGGTCTTTGCTAAAACATAGCAGAGTCACCTTTGGTCCAGTTATCAACAAGTTCCTTATCTCCATCTGAGACCACCTCTGCCTGGACTTTATTGTCCCTATCACTATCGGTATTTTGCTCAAAGCCATTCAACAAGTCTCTAGGAGGTTTCAAACTTTCCCACATCTTTCTGTTTTCTTCTGAGTCTTCCAAACTATTTCAAACTCTGCCTGTTACCCAGTTCCAAAGTTGCTTCCATATTTCCTGATATCTATACAGCAGTACCCCACTACCTAGTACCAATTTACTGTATTAATCTATTCTCATGCTGTTAAAAAAGACACACCCAAAGCTAATTTATAAAGGAAAGAGTTTTAATGGACTCACAGTTTCACATAACCAGGGAAATCTCACAATTATGGCGGAAGGTGAATGAGGAGCAAAGTCACATCTTACACAGCGGCAGGTAAGAGAGCTTATGTAGGGAAATTCCCCTTTATATAGAACCATTATATCTCATGAGACTTATTTACTATCAAAAAAACAATATGGGAAAGACCCACCCCTATGATTAAATTACCTCTTGCTGGATCCTTCCCACAACACGTGGTAATTGTGGGAGCCACAATTGAAGATGAGATTTGGGTGGGGACACAGCCAAACCATATTAGTTAAACATTTACATCTTTAACTCATCTTCAGTTGGTTTTTGCATATGGTAAAAAGAAGATATCTAGTTTCAGTGTTCTGCATATGGCTAGCCAGTTATGTAGCACCATTTATTGAAGAGTGAGTTATTTCCCCATTGTTTGTTCTTATTGACTTTGTTTAAATCAGATGACTGTAGGTGTAAGGCTTTATTTCTGGGTGCTTTAACTGGTTCCATTGGTCTATGTGTTTGTTTTTGTACCAGTACCAGGCTGTTTCAGTTACTGTAGCCTTGTATTAGAGTGTGAAGTTGGGTATTGTGATGCCTCTGGCTTTGTTTTTGTGCTTAGATCTGTTTTGACTTTTGGGCTATTTTTGGTTTCATAGGAATTTTAGAATTTTTTTTCCAATTGCATTGAAAATGTTCATGGTAGTTTGATAGAAATAGCACTGAGTCAGTAAATTACTTTGGGCAGTATGGTCATTTTAAAAATATTAATTCTTTCTATAATTGAGCATGAAATACATTTCTTTTTGTTGATGCTGTTTCTAATTTTTTCAACAGCATTTTGTAATGTTTAGGGCAGAGATTTCTCACCTCCCTGGTTAGCTGTATTTCTAGGTATTTTATATGTGGCTGTTGTAAATGATAGTGCATTCTTGATTTGGCTCTCAGCTTGGATGTTGTTGGTATAAACAAATGTTACTGATATTTGTGTAACACCAAAGGTTCTTAACTTAGCCACACCAAAGATTTGGTGTGGCGGCAGCCCTCAGTGAGAGAGAGACAGGGATAAACCAAGAGAAAAAAAAGCTGTAGGCTTTGTTGAGCATAGTGACAGTACAAAGCTTCCACAGTGTGGAAGGGGTCCCGAGCGGGTAGCCAGTGTTAGATTTTTTGATCACCTTTTAAACTCTTTTAAGTCGGGAAATACATGTGGCTGGAAGATGTTTCCAGAGAAAGAAACAATGACAATTAACATGTCTTAGGTCTTGAGGAAAACCAGAATTATAACTTAAGTTTTATCTACTTTATAACCTTGCAGTGGCATGGCAAAAGGGACAGAATCTCACAGGATTTTACAAATTGTGTTTACAAGGAATTGGAATTGGGAGCATAGATAAGGTCTGCTGGTCACAGAAAAACTGACTTTTAACATTCCTTTTAGTTTCAGGGGAGGGGGAACGGAGAGAGGGAGGACGGACACAGGTAAGCCTACAGCAAAAGTTTCACTTTTTATAGCTTTCTTGGGGGAAGAAAACACATGCACAAATTCTGATGTTAGGAATGTTTTAAGCATATATCTTCAATATTATTATTCATCCAGGGCCAAAGTAAGTCTGATGTAGGAAATGAGTGAGTTTCGCAGCTTTCTGAGCCCCTACTCAACCCAGGAAGCCCAGCTGGAACCTCCTCAGTCCCCCCTCTAGATAGGACACACCAACTGCTGTTGGGAACTGGGCGGCGGTCATTCTGACTACTTCCTGCTGGTTAGGGGCAAAGAAGGGGACCTGTAGTTGTGGTGTCTTCCAGAGGAGAACTTTTTAGGCCAGTGAGGGACCAGCGGGTGGATCCAGGGGTCCTTGGTAGAAACGTGAGTTGAGCTCATGTGAGGTTCCATGTGTAAGATCATCTGTAGCTTGATGGCCTTGATCCTGGAGGAAACAAATTTGACAAGGAGGTTAAAAATGCAAAGCCCAAAAGCGAATAATAGTTGGATGGCTGTTGCAGGCCTGCAAATGGGAGGATCCAAGGTATCCATTGGTTAAACATATTTCAGGGCCCTGAGTGTTCAAGCTCCTTTTTTCTACTTTCTATTCGTTCTCTTATTTCTTTGACCTTTTCAGTAATGATTCCTGACTGGTTAATGAAATAGCAACATTCTTCTCCTAAGAAGAGGCAGGTTCCTCCTCTTTTGGCAGTTAATAAGTCTAGGGCTCTCCAATTTTGAAGGACTACCACAGTTAGATAATTAAGCTGGCTTTATAGGGTCACTAGAGAGTTGGCAACTCATTCCATGTCATCATTTAATTCTCGTGATAATTTATAATAGAATTGGGTGGAGGAGGTTATGCCTCCAATTCCAGTCCCAAGCCTGCCTAGTATTCCTGCTCCTATAGTAAAAGGGACACTAAGGGCTTGCCTGTGGTGAGATTGGGATATAAGGAGACTTTTTAACTCTTGTTCCATATATATGGACATGGGAGGTGCTAGAAAGGAGAGAAAGCATAGTTCTTTCAGAGTGTCATTTAGGCATGATAGTCTGTGTTATAACAGATGAAAAAAATGCCTGAAGGTAGACAGGTGAAACCTGAGGTCTTGCACTAGTCTCCACTGACTATTTGGTTTTTGTATTCCTAGGATTGGGGTGTTCCAAGGACTGCTACATAATTTTACCAAACCTTGAGCTTTTAAATTTCTAACAATATCCTGTAATCCTTTGAGAGCTTCAGGCCTTAATGGATATTGCCTTTGATAAGGAAAAACGGTGGGGTCTTTTAGCTTGATTTGGACTGGATGAGCATTCTTTGCCCTTCCAAATTATCCTTCTAAGGCCCAGACCTCGAAGTTGATTCCTTCTTCAAGTAGGGGACAACAAATGGGTAATTTGTTCCCCATATTCATGTAGATAATGGCCCCAGCTTTGGCTAATATGTTCTTCCCTAAGAAGGGTATGGGACTTTCAGGCATTATAAGAAAGGCATGTGAAAAGAGCAAAGTCTCCCAACTGCAGCTGAGGAGGCAAGAGAAATACCTGGTTACAGGCTGTCCTAAGATTCCTCGGATAGTAACAGACTTTGGGGACAGTCGTCTGGGGCAAGAGGTTAAAACTGAGAAGGCCGCGCCAGTGCCCAGGAGGAAGTCCACTTCCTGGCCCTCAATGGTCAAACTTACCCGGGGCTCTGTGAGGGTGATGGCATGAGCTAGCGCTTGCCCCAGGCACCCTCAGTCCTGTTGCTGAATCATCTGGGTGGGTGCTTCTGGTCCAGAGGGCCTTCATCCTCTGGGGCAGTGCACCAATTGGACATGGGTGAGGGGGTGGTTTTTTTTTTGTTGTTGAACACTCTTTCTTAAAGTGTCCTTGCAAACCCCACTGATAACAAGCCCTACTAGGCAATTGGCCTCTCCTCTTGATTCTCTCTGAGCCACCAAGGTCTGCCTGTCTGAGGGCCATGACTAAGGCTGCAGCCTTTCTCTTATCTTGCTTTTCCCTTTTGGCCTGTTCCTCTTGGTCCCTCTTATAGAACACTGAGGTTGCCAGGTTTAATAATGTCTCTAAATTTGTTCTGGGCCTAAGGCAGAGTTTTGGAGTTTTCTCCTAATGTCAGCCACTGATTGGGTGATAAGTTTATCCTTTAAAATAAGTTGGCCTTCAACGGAATCTGGAGTTAAGGAGCTGTGCTTTCTTAGGGCCTTCCTTAGCCTTTCTAGAAAAGCAGAGGGGTTTTCCTCCTTTCCCTGTGTAATTGTGGATAGCACTGAGTAGTTCATAGGCTTTTTCCTAGTCTTCCTCAACTCATCTAAAATGCAAGTTTGCAAATGCCTGCAGCTCCAATCTCCATGATGTGAGTCAGTATCCCCAGTGAGGGTTTACACTGGGAACTGCTTGTTGCCCTGTGGGGAATTTTTGCCTCTCCTCCAGGGTCATTCAATCATTTAGCTGGCTAAGGTACCACAGATCCCCAAATTGCCAGGCGGCAGGTAAAGCTGCTTCTTTTTCAGTAGGACTTAAGGGCTGATCAAGAAGCAACTGATATCTGTCCATGTCAGATCAAAGCACCACCCCAATCCTTGCAGGACATCTATATAGTTATCGGGATCATCTGAGAATTTCCCTAAATCTGCCTTTACTTGTTTCAAATTTGAGAGTGAGAAGGGGGCATGCACATGAAGGGGCCCAAATTCTCCTCCTACTGCTTATAAGGGATGTAGTTTGGGTGCCTTATAAGCACCCAAGTTTACGATCTCTTTCCAGTGTGCCTATAACACTTCAGTGGGGCTGGATGGAGGAGAGTCAGTGCGGGAGGAGAGTAGGGCTGAGGGAAGAGGCCCTGAGTATGGAGGCAATTGTGGCCCTC
The DNA here is from genome assembly GCF_000001405.40 of Homo sapiens. NCBI lineage: Eukaryota > Metazoa > Chordata > Mammalia > Primates > Hominidae > Homo > Homo sapiens. The sequence goes on along the minus strand of NC_000004.12, from coordinate 69,269,301 downwards.
TGCCATTTGGGCAAAGCTTGCAGGCTTGGCACAGGGCAGTATTGCCACGAAGGGCAAAGAAAGCCTGTACATAAGGGACTTCACTCCGTTTGTCTTCCTGTTTACAGAAAAGATCTAGTTGTAGAAATGTGTTATAATTAATACTTCCCTCAGGAGGCCAAGTTTCTCCATTTTGTAAGGAATACTGTGGCCAGGCAGTGGTACAGAAGACAATCAGCCGCTTCTTTTTTAAGGTTTCAGGGTTGAATTTGTCCCAGTTATTCAGGATATATCTTAAGGGAGTGTCCGGTTTGGTGCCCATCTGGAATTTTAAACACAGGGATGCCCGCACCTGGGACATCCTGGGACTCATCTTCCCTTACGGCGTCCCCCAAGGGTCAGGTCCAGATGTGCTCAAAGCTCATGGCCACTTTTCCTGAGCCCTCCAACTACTGGATTTAACCATGCTTACCGGCAGGATGGAAACTTCCGTTGTCCCTGCTGTGCACCCACTGACCACTATATGGAGCACAAGAACTGTTGGATTTATTGTGGTCCTTCTGCCAATGCATCCTACCTGTTCCATGGTGGCAAGGCCTGGACCTGAGGCACCACTGATGCCTGCATGCTAAGGCCCAATTTACGTGGGCCTGGCCATAAAATTGTCCTTCAAGGAGAAATCTCTGAATTAGCGACAGGAGGTTTAGTAAGCTTAAAGGAGGTGGTGGATGTTCTCTAGGCCAGGGCTGAGAGAACAGCTGCTGTACTCTAGCCTTCTGTCCCCACTTCCCATCAAAGAAGTAAACCCCTGTCTTATGGCGGTGCCAGTATCCTGTGTCCCAACTGACTATATTTTCTTCCTTCCAATACCAACTATTGAATGGTTCAAATAGCAATTCAATGGCTCTAAGAGCTGTACCCATGCACCACGGATTGTACTTGAGAGGCCCCAACAAGGGGGAAAGTCTATCTGGGGAGCAATGGAGGAAACGCCCTAAGGCTTCTACTATCCACATGAAAATTACAGACCTATCTTTAAATTGTCTTGATGTGGGGGACCATTCACTATGGAGGGGAACTGGCCCTTCAAAATAGCCATGGAACGGAAAAACCTGACTAATCCCTGGAGGGCACCATGAACAGGGATCTTCTGGGCACCATCCCAAGAATTTAAGACTTTTAAATAGAGAATCTTCATCCTGCCTAGTGGGAATAAACTTGCTTGCGAGATGAGGAAAGAAGTCTAGCCGGTGGACATTAGGACCGAGGAGGAAGGGGTCAGAAGATGTGGTGGTCTCACACTCAGTAACCCGTGCAGGGAGAGCCTTTGGAGGGGCCATGGTCTCAAACAGGAAATCTGGGAGACTAGAATGTCCGCTGATAACTCCCAGGTGTATTTCCGGACCACCACGGAAAGTGAAAGAGTATGAACTGGATCCAGACTTACCAACATTCCCAGACCCAAAGGGTCAGGGTTGTTAGCCCTTTTCCAGAGAGCCTGACACCCATGTCTCTAGTCCCAAGGCGGCACTAATCACCTTTAAGTGGCCCAGAGGTGCCCGGTTTAGCCTCTGAATTCTAAGGAAGGACAGGACAGAATTGCAAGCCAAAGAGGTCCGATCGTACTCACTACATGACGATCTAGATGCCTTTCCTGGAGATCCTCCTGGCTGGCTCGCCAAAAATGCCAAAGGTTCTTGCCTTAGCCACGCCAAAGATTTGGTGTGGCAGCAGCCCTTGGTGAGGGTGAGAGAGAGACACGGGTCAACCGAGAGAAAAAAAGCTGTAGGCTTTATTGAGCAGAGTGAGGGTACAAAGCTTCCACAGCATGGAAGGGGTCCCAAGCGGGTAGCCAGTGTTAGATTTTTTGATCTCCTTTTAAACTCTTTAAGGCGGGAAATAAATGTGTTGGGAAGATGTTACGAGAGCGAGAAACAAAGACAATTACCATGTCTTAGATCTTGAGGAAATCCGGAATTGTAACTTAAGTTTTCTCTACTTTATAACCTTGCAGCGGCATGGCAAAGGAGACAGAATTTCACAGGATTTTACAAATAGTGTTTACAAGGAAGTGGAATTGGGAGCATAGACAAGGGCTGCTGGTCATAGAAAAACTGGCTTTTAACACTCCTTTTAGTTTCAGGGGAGGGGGAAGGGAGAGGCAGCAACGACACAGGGAAGCTTACAACTAAAGTTTCGCTGTTTATAGCTTTCTTGGGGAAGAAAACACATGCACAAATTCTGATGTTAGGAATATTTTAAGCATATATCTTCAGTATGATTCATCCAGGACCAAAGTAAGTTCTGATGCAGGAAATGAGTGAGTTTCACAGTTTTCAGAGCCCCTACTCGACCCAGGAAACCCAGCTGGAACCTCCTCTCATTTGTATGTACATTTTTTCTTCTGAAACTTTGCTAAAGTTGTTTTTCAGAAGTAGGAGCTTTTGGACAGAGGCTTTGGGGTATTCTATGTATAAAATAATACCATCTGAGAAGAGAGATAGTTTGTCTTTCCATCTTTCTATTTGGATGACTTTTATTTTTCTCTCTTGCTCTGGATAGGACTTTCAATACTGTACTGAATAGCAATGATTAGAATGGACATCATTGCCTTGTTCCAGTTCTCAACAGGAATCCTTTGAGCTTTTGCGCATTCAGCATGATGTTGACTGTGAGCTTTCACAGATGGCTCTTATTATTTTGGAGTATTTTCCTTTAACACATAATTTGCTCAGGGTTTTTTAGAGTAAAATTGAGACCAAACAATCATAGAAAACATCAACAATATTGAAAGTTTGTTATTTGAAAGAATAACTAAGATTGATTAATTACTAGATAAGGTTAATTACTAGATTAATAAATAAGATTGATTAATTACTAGATAGACTACAAAAGAATAAAAGAGAGATGGTCCAAATGAACACACTCAGAAATGACAATCAAGAGATCATCATCAACCTCAGGAAAAACAAACTACATGCAAAGACCATAATGACCATCTCTATACATACAAACTTAAAAACCTAGAAGAAGCAGATCAATTTCTGGACACCTACATCCTCTCAAAGTTGAACCAGGTAGAAATAGAAACCCTGAACTGACCCAAAATGAGTTCCAAAACTGAATCAGTAATATAAAGTCCAGCAAACAAAAAAGACCTGATTCAGATAAGATTCGCAGCCAAATTCCTTTATACATATAAAAGGAAATACTAGCCATCCTACTGAAACGATTTCAACAAATTGAGGAGGAGGGACTCCTCCTTAACTCATTCTATGAGGCCAAGATTGCTCTGATACCAAAACCTTGCAGAGACACAGGAAGAAAAGAAAACATCAGGCCAATATCTATCATGAATATACACACAAGAATCCTCAACAAAGTACTAATTAATCGAATTCAGCAGCACATCAAAACCTAACTACCACAATCAAGTAGGCATTAATCTTAGGATGCAAGATTCATTAAACATATGCAAATAAATAAATGTGATTCATCACATACCCAGGACTAAAAACAAATACATCATGATCATTTCAATAGATGCAGCAAACACTTTCAAAAAGTTCAACATCACTTTCCTTTTTTGTTTTGAAGCACTCTCAAAGGAAATAGAATTTAATAGTTGTGCTCAAACTTCAGAAGGTGGTGGTAACAGACTACTACTAAGATACATTCATAATCTTGGGAAAAACTATGGCTACTACAAAATGAAACTTGTGTGCTGGAAAGGCCTTGCCAGTGAATGAAAGAGGGAATCAGAAGGCTTATGACAGTGGATATATTAACATAGACATCTTATACAGTGCTGGAAATCTATCAAATATTTGCTGAAGTTATAATGAATGTTCAACATGTCTATCCTCTGAGGACTAGGTCTTTTTGGACTTACCAAACCAATCTCAATGATATGATTTATGATCAGATATTGAAATAATAGAGACCTTCAGAAGGCAGATGGCCATAATAAACATGAGCACTAAGACTGGGGTGTTATCCAGAAAGACCTAATTTAGAAAGCTGTGCACATAGTAATAGAGAAGATAGCACTAGGGACAAAACAGATAGGTGAGCAAGGGAATTTCTCAATCTATAATACCAGAAGAGTTCAAGAATGGATACTAAAAATTTGAGGGCAGCTGTCCTCACTAGAAATCACAGTAAATTGTCAAGGGTCTGGACCTAAGTGTGTTTTCAGACCTGAAATTTATTTATGGGCAAAGACACCAGGCCCCTCAGGGAAAAAAAATCTGTAAAGCCAAATAAACTCACATGCTACTGATTCCATATTTTTTTTTTCCTGAAAGGGACAGCGACATCCCTAGGATAACTGATGATTTCCTCAATTTCCAAAATGCATAATTATGTAGATACACTTTCTCTTTAGAAAAAATGTGAAATTGTATCATTGGTGCCTGGATACAAGTCATTTTAGTGGGAAAGGCCAAGTGGATTGTCTCTGCATTAGTTTCTTGGGCTGCTTAAAATAGAAGTTATTCTCTGATAGCTATCTAAGCCAGAAAGTCAAAATCTGTGTTCTCAGGGTTCATTTGTTCTGGAGGCTCTAAGAGAAAAACAATTCAATGCCTGTCTCTTGGCCTTTATTGGTTGCTGACAATTCTTGGAGTCCCATGGCTTGTGGCTTCTCTCCAACTTCTCTTTCCTCAGCATCATCTTTTCTTTTCTTTCTTCCTAATTTTTTCCTGCCTTTATTCTTTTCAAAAAAATTTATTTGTTTGTTTGTTTTTAATTTTTTGAAGAAATGGTGTCTTGCTATGTTGACTTGGCTGGTCTGGAATTTGGCCTCAAGGGATCCTCCTACCTTTCTCCTTATAAACATATCTGTCCTTGGATTTAGAGCACATCATAAATCCAGAATAAATTTGTCTTGATTTTCTTTTTTTACATACATCTGCAAAGAGCTTTTCTCCAATAAAGTCACTTTAATAGATTCTGGAGGTTACTCACTGGACATATTTTTGGGGAAGACAACTCTTCAATTCACTAGATACATGAAGCTTCTTCATTCCTCCATTACCACAGATGTCAGGTGGCCCAGAAAATGGAAAATGATACTGCATTACATACCTGGGGATTGTGAAAATTAAAGAGCTTAAAGGTATAAAGGATGCAGGATGATGGGCTCCATTACATCTTTGATTAAAAGTCTGACCATTATAAAATCCAACAGATCCTAGAGTCTGGTAGTGGACTCCTGCAATTTCCACCAAGTATTTGCTCCACTGGCATCCCGTGTGTCAGGTAGAGTATCTTTGCTAGACCAGATGAACATTCATATTATTAAAATGGCTGTACTTCTGACAGTGATTAATGGATTTGTTGCAATCTCTATTAAATTCCTATGGTATTTCTTATAGAATTGAAAAAAATCTTTAAATTTATATGAAAACACAAAAGACTGTTAACATTCAAACCTGATTTTTAAAAAAAGCACAAGATGATCTTATATATTACTTTTAAAAAAGCAACTATAAGACTTTATAGAAAAAAGACTTTCTTTTTTTATAGATTAAACTGAGTCTAGTCAGTTTTATTCAAGATTAAATCTGGCTACTTCTTCTTCACCTCAGAATGTTAAAGTTTTTGTAGGGTTATTCAAAAGTAGCTTAATTATGCCCTGTTCTGCATGTACAAGCCAGGAGACATTAAGTTCTGAGACTTATGTCCCAACTTTTTGGGACTGACTTTTGTTCCAATTGTGGGAATTGACATTTGGTCTTTCCTTTCTTCTACAGTCAAAATGTCAGTGGACTCATTTTGATCCGTGCCATCTCTCTCTAAAGAAATATGCTGTTTCCAAACTTTAAACTGTACTTAGCTTGGAAAAGAAGGCCTAGTAACAGAGATAGGAGTTATCATTACATATCTAGCTATCATTACATAATGGAAGCCAGACCTTGTCAACTCAATCCTTTACCAAAATTTTAAACTCATTAATAGATGATTGAAATGATAACATGATTTCCTCTAGTGCTGCTCACAGGCTTCCCACTTTATTTAAGAAAATCCATTATTATAGAGCTTGGGTGATGGATAAAGTAAGGCATTCACTTGGTTTTTTTTATGTTATAGACAGAAGCTGGGTTTCGGTCCATAAGATCAAAATGTCCTCTGTTATTTATATTGATATAACTTTCTGAAAACAGTGCAAGTCAAAATTTGCAGTGTTAAAGGCAACCTGGATTTTGAAATTTTATCTCTTTTTGTGGGAAGTAATTTTAAGAAACAGATATAGAGTTTAAAATTTAAATAAATTTCTGTCTGATCTAGGAAACATTATTTCGCTATATTTGTGTTTTTCTCTGTGAAATATTTGATCATCGATTCAAATAAAAACCACAATACCATTTTCCCCGACATCTCAATGAATTATTTGATTTCTTGTAGAGAAATAATTTGTACATCAATTTAAGAAATGCATCATATAAATTTCAAAAATAGATGCATATAATTTTAATAGCTTTATTGAAGTACAATTGATATAAAAAACCTGCAAGTATTTTATACATATATATATATATATATATAAATGATTGAGTTTGGACATATACATGCACCCATGATGCTGTCATTATAACAGTGAAGGTAATAAACATATCCATCACTTACAAAAGCTCTGTCACTCTTTGTTTTTGATGGTAATAATGCTTGCGATTTACCCTCTTAGCACGTTATTAAGTACACAATACCACATTGTTAACCATAGGCATTATATTGCAGAGGAAATCACTATGCTTATTCATAAGCATAAGTGAAACTTTATACCCACTGAGCAACAACTCCCAATTTCTCTCTCTCCCAAACCCCTGGAAAACACTATTTTATTGTCTGCTTCAATTAGTTTGCCTATTTTACTTAACTAATATAAGTGGAATCATAAAATATTTGTCCTTCTTGAACTTGCTTAATTTACTTAGCATAATATCTTCTAGGTTCATCCATTTTGTCAAAAATGGTATCTTTTGTCAAACCTTGGCAACTGAATTAACATTTCCATTACTTCCATATACAGAGAAACAATTCTAACTGAACTTGTGAAAATAATTATATTGATATTAAATTAAAATGCTTATGAATAGTTTTTGAATTTTTGCAAGATCAGATATGGAGAAAAATCACAAATTTATCTTTAATGAATAAAATATTTAGGATCTTGAAATAATTAGCTATGTGAAATTAATTTGGAGATTTTCAGATTGTTCTACCATGTTTTGATTATTATTGACATAACATGATATATCTTAGTTATATTTCTATATTTACTTTAAAATACATGTTTATATATACATATATACATATACATATATATAGACACTGTGAGTAAGTTAGTGTGTATGTCTTTGTGGGTATGTGTTTTTTTAATGGATTCTCTAGCAGCAGTTATCTAGTGTATGTCATGTCCTAATTAATATTACATCCCAGAAACAACTCCTAAAACTCCTTTGAATTTTTATATTTTCTTTGCCTTCTTTCTAATAAATGCATGTGTGATTGGAACAATACTGTCTGAATTTTTTCATTTTAGCATACTATGTAATAGTATGGTGAAGGGGTGTGAGGACAGGCAGACAGAGATGGGAATAACAGAGAGACAGAGATGGGAATAACAGAGAGACAGAGAGAGAAAGAAAGAAAGAAAGAAAGAAAGAAAGAAAGAAAGAAAGAAAGAAAGAAAGAAAGAAAGAAAGAAAGAAAGAAAGAAAGAGCAAGAAAGAAAGAGAAAGAAAGAAGGAAAGGAAGAGAACTTATCATAGTGCAGCCTTATTTATCTTTGTATCAGGAGAGGCTAGCTCAGGACCTGGCATGAATTGAGCTCATAAAGTGTATATCAAAAGAAATAGGCCACTTATGACATGGATTAGGTCATTCATATTCCAAATTCAGTGTAAGACGTTCAGTCTAGTCTAAATATATATCTTAGGCTTTACAATATAGTAAAATATTGTTACTTTTATACATATGATATAGGTTTAATTTTGAGAACACCCACAATATTTTTTTTAAAATGCTCCTTAAATAAACTTAAAAATATACTTCTACATAAATATAATGTGATGTTAATGATTTTATTATTGAGCTTCCGTTTTTTCTTGTAAAAGAAACTTACAATGATAATACGTAAGTAAAACTGTCAAGATTATACCTACTAGACACATAAAAGCTTGGAATTGAAGAATAATTTTATAATAATCTGGGCTAGGTTATAATTTAAATTTAGAATTATGGTATTCTAAATTCTCAAACAGATATCATGACTATTTCTTAGTGATGGTACTGAATTCAATAGAATTTTAAATGTGCATCATTTCTGTGAGCTGACACAGAGGAATCATGATTAAGTAAATCAAAATAGTACTAATGCTCAATGATATGTGGTAGAGAGAAATATTTAATTTTTAAGTTAGAATTCAGGCATTCAAAAACAGGAATCACAGCAATAACAAAAGAACATAACTGAACTATGCACACCAGATAAACATGAAATTTATTTTGCAAATGTTTTTGCAGTTTAGTCCTTTGCATCAGTTTATATTGTGGGAAAGTAAGGGATCAAGAGCAGCTGAAATGGTATAACATATAGAAATAGCAGAGAATTTTTATTATAAACAGATATAAGCTGAACTTGAAAACACCATTGATAAGAAATTAAAGGGGAATATATGTCCCACTTCTTCCTTTTGTATATAAGACCAAAGCCTAAAATTATGATTCTTTATGGAAATATCTCTCCACTTTTCAGTCATTTGTCAAAAGAAGACGAAAATCAATATTTATTTTTAGGACTACATTACTGCATCATGAACCTACACTTAATTCTGACTCTAGAAACCAAGTGAAACCATTAAGAAATGTAAACAGTGTGCAAATGAAAATAAATGCAATAAAATCACAACCGATATAAAAGGCACAGAGATACTACAAAGAATAAGATACATCAGAAAGGGCTTAGGTGAAAATATAATAAATATTCCTTTTCTAAAATGCTGTGGTAGCAATAGTTTACTACATAGGCTAGAAAAAAAAATTATCAGCATTTCCATACTTACCAAAATGAGTATGAAACCTGAAGCTCACTAAAACAGTATTTTTTTAAACTATTACTATACTACGGTATCATTCAACAACGTTAAAGATTTAATCACAATTTAAATATTAATATTAATGATTAGGATAATAAGCCTTTACTGTGACCTATACTATTCATCCCATTCTGGAAATATACAAGACTAGCAGATCACAAGTTAAATAGACCAAAACCCTCTCAAAACCAAGAACAAACAAATGAAAAATACAGACAAAAACATTCAGCTCTGCATTTAAGGGATGTTTTTCATTAATACTGATGTGCTGCCAGGAATATACAAAGAAGTGGTGAGACACCTGGCATTCCCATGGGAAACCAGAAACAAATATATAAATGAAATGTTGAGAAGCCCAGCCATCAACTGTCCGTAGTAAGTTAAAGGGTCAGCAAAACAAATAAACTTGGCCGCCTATGGCCTGCTCAGTAACTCCTCATTTATTACACACTGTCATACATACTTTCGGATATGTACAGTTTTATTTTTATATTCTATTTCTGACAATTTTATTTGCCTGCCACACCATGAAAGACTCTGCAGTTCTAAAGAAGCTGTAAGGAGAAAGGAATATATATCTTCTGTGAGGGTTTCTTAGTTACTGAAAGTAGGAGAACCTTCACATTAAAAGGAATCTTGGTATGATCAAGCAGGAGGTTTGGTGGAGGTACTAATATGGTTATCTCATGTCCATCAAGCTGGAGTTTTTCTAGAATAACTTTTAAATTGAGTGACTAAAATTCATGGGCTGGACAAGCAATTTCCCAGACTTTCCAGAGTCGAAGAAACACAGATTCAGCAGGAAAAAAAAAAAAAAAAGCCATTCACAGTTTTCATGGCCAACTCTTCCTTTAATTTACTGTGGGCTTAAAATAAGTACAGCAAGCTCATAAGCCAGCAAGCTCATAAGCCACCTTAATCCTAAGTGTGTTTCATGCTTCAATTTCTCAATCAATTGATGGTGAATCAGTCCGGACTTTGGACAGCCTACTTATCTCAATAGTCAAAGTGGAATATAGCTGCCCTCATGGAAAAGATCATCCAATTAAGCAATTTACATAATTACATAAATTACAAATTACATAATTACAAATGACATAAAAGCTTTCTAAAATAATTTTACAGAATAGGAATTTGTGCACTTAAAATTACATGCAATGGAAAGGATTTCTCATTGAGTCTAAGAAAGTTTGCCATAAGACCTTAATTTTTTAATAAGTTGTTTTGCTTTGGCTTCTTTAGATGTATTGGAATGTTCATGTGGACACCATATTTCACTTTGTTTATCTTAATGTTGGGAAAATAGAAAGTGTATATGTTGAGAATGCATACTCTACTATTGGTATTTTTTTGGTCAAAATGTATATTTTATTTTGAAATGTTAAATAGTGCTTATAGGCTGAATCATGGCTCATTACTCCGAATTCGTTTGTTTGTGATCTAACACCCAGTTCCTCAGAATAGGACTACATTTGGAGTCAGGGCCATTAAGGAAAAATTTAAAATGAGGGCATATAGAGGACATCTTATATGGACATAAGGACAAACACAGAGAAGAAAGTCTATGTAAGGAGGGCAACCATCTACAAACCAATCATGGAGACTTTAGAAGAAGCCAACACTGTTAATCATACCTTGATTACACACTTCTAGCCTCCTGAATTGTGAGAAAATATGTTTCTTGTTGTTTAAGCCACCAAGTCTGTGGTACTTTATTATAGCAGCCCTAGCCAACTAACAGAGTGGTATATAGAAATACACTTGAAGTTTGAATGTTGATGTTATATATGAAATGAATTTTGAGAGCATCAGGTATGTATTAAAATATGAAAGAAGGATTATGCACTATTTGGAAGATGATACATACTTTATTATTTAGATATTCTTATCAAATTTGGTCATTTGAGAAAAAAACCTTATATGTTTCCTGGAACATACTGTTTATTTTCTGATTATTCCTTTGCACATTGAATAGCTGTATCCAGATTCTCTTTTATTTTTCATAAATTAGGACTAGCAATAACCATTGACTTTAAATTTATTAATACATTAGCTTGCTCAATAATATAAAAAGATTTTTTGTTCACTTGAGAATATAGAGCTAGGTCCTTTCTTTCTTTCTTTCTTTCTTTCTTTCTTTCTTTCTTTCTTTCTTTCTTTCTTCTTTCTTTTTCTTTATTTTTACTGCACAAGTTCTGGGATACATGTGCAGAATGTGAAGGTTTGTTACATAGGTATACGTATGCCATGGTGGTTTGCTGCATCTGTTGACCCATCCTCTAAGTTTCCTCCCCTCACACCTCACCTCCCAACAGGCCCTGGTGTGTGTTGTTTCCCTCCCTGTGTCCATGTGTCCTCATTGTTCAACTCCCACTTATGAGTGAGAACATGCAGTGTTTGGTTTTCTGTCCCAGTGTTAGCTTGCTGAGGATGACTGTTTCCAGCTTTATTCATGTCTCTGAAAAGGCTTTGATCTCATTCTACTTTTGGCTATGCATTATTTGGTGGTGTCTATGTACCACATTTTCTTTATGCCATCTATCATTGATGGGCATTTGGGTTAGTTCCATGACTTTGCTATTGTAAATAGTGCTGCAACAAACATATGTGTGCATGTGTCTTTAAAGTAGAATGATTTATATTCCTTTGGGTATATACCCAGTAATAAGATTGTGGGGTCAAAAGGTATTTGTGTTTCCAGATCCTTGAGAAATCGCCATACTGTCTTCCACAATGGATCTCAATAGATGGACAAAAACAGGCCTCTGGTAAAATTTAACATCTTTTCATGTTAAAAACTCTCAGTAAACTAGTCGTTGATGGGACATATCTCAAAATAATGAGAGCTATTTGTGACAAACCCATGGCCAATATCACATTGAATGGGCAAAAGCTGGAAGCATTCCCTTTGAAAATAGGTATAAGAAAAGGACGCCCTCTCTCTCCACTCCTATTCAACATAGTATTTGAAGTTCTGGCTAGGGCAATCGGGCAAGAGAAAGAAAAAAAGCGTATTCAAATAGGAAGAGAGGAAGTCAAATTGTTCCTGTTTGTAGATGATGTAATTTTTTATTTAGAAAACCCCATCATCTCAGCCCCCAAACTCCTTAAACTGATAAGCATCTTCAACAGTCTCAGGATACAAAATCAATGTGCGAAAATCACAAGGATACCTTTACACTAACAATAGACAAGCAGAGAGCCAAATCATGAATCAACTCCCATTAACAATTGCTACAAAGAGAATAAAATACCTAGGAATATAGCCAACAAGGGATGTGAATGACCACTTCAATGAGAACTACAACCCACTGTGCAAGGAAATAAGAGAGGATGAAAACAAATGGAAAAACATTTCATCCTCATGGACAGGATGAATCAATATCGTGAAAATGGCCATACTGCCTGAAATAATGTATAGATTCAATGCTATTCCCCTCAAACTACCATTGACATTCTTTGCAGAATTAGATAACAGCTACTTTGAATTTCATATGGAATCAAAGAACACCCTGTATAGCCAAGACAATCCTAGGCAAAAAAACAACATTGGAGACATCATGCTGCCTGACTTTAAACTGTAATACAAGGCTACAGCAACCAAACAGCATGGTACTTGTATGAAAGCAGAGATATAGACCAATGGAACAGAACAGACACCTCAGAAATAACACCACACATCTACCACCATGTGATCTTCAACAAACCTGACAAAAACAAGTAATGAGGAAAGGATTCCCTACTTAATAAATGGTGATGAGAAAACTGGCTAACCATATGCAGAAAACTGAAACTGGACCCCTTCCTCACACCTTATACAGAAATTAACTCAAGGTTGATTAAAGAATTAAATGTAAAACCCAAAACCATAAAAAACATAGAAGAAAATCCATAGAAGAAAATTGTGGGGTCTATGGTAATTTGATTTTAATTTTTTTGAGGAACCTCCATTCTGTTAACTATAGGTGTGTCATTTTTCATTCCTACCAACGATGCACAAGAGTTTCTATTTATATACATTCTCTTCAAAACTTGTTGTTTTTTGGGCTGTGTGTGTGTCTGTGTGTCTGTGTGTGGGTAAATATATGTATTCAAAAATATTCTGAGGTGGCTAATGGTTATGATGTGATAGCTCATTGTAGTTTTGATTTACATTTCTCTAATATTCAGTGATGTTATGCATCTTTTCATATGCTTTTTGGCCATACGTCTATATTTTCTGAATAAATGTGTATTCACGTCTTTGAATTATTTTGAGTTTTTGCTATTAAATTATAGATAATTGTCACATATTTTAAATATAAAACACTTAGCAGATAAGTGGTTTGCCAATATTTTCTCTCTTGTAACCTATTTATTTCTATGGCATCAATTGTAATGTCTTCTCTTTCATTTCTGAATTTTTTTTTTTTTTTTGACTGCGTCTCTGCTCTAACCCAAGGCTGGAGTGCAGCAGCAGCACCATCTTGGCTCACTGAAACGCTCACCTCCCGAGTTCAAGCGATTCTTTCACATCAGCCTCCTGAGTAGCTGGAACTACAGGTACATGCCACCGCACCTGGCTAATTTTTGTAGTTTTAGCAGAGACAGGGTTTCACCATGTTGCCCAGACTGGGCTTCCACTGCTGGGCTCAAGCAATCTGCCTGCCTCAGCATTCCAAACTGCTGGGAATACAAGATTAAACCACCAACCTCAGACTGATTTTGTTATACAACTATTCACTTTTTTTCTTTAGTCAAGAAAACAGTTTCTCAATTTTGTTGATCTTTTCATAAAAAGAAAGGAACAACTCAGTTTTGCTGATTTTTCGCTACTTCCTATTGTATTTATTTTTGCTGTAATCTTTATTACTTTTTTCTTTCTGATAATTTTGGTCAGTTGTTTGATATGTAAAGTTAGATTGTTTTAGATATTTCTTCTTTTTTAACATAGGCATTTACTACTGTAAACTATCGTCATAGTACTGTTTTTGGTACATTCGTAAGTTCAGGTTCCTTTTTTCACTTCTTTTTGTGTATCTTTTACAGCAAGCTTATCCAACCTGCAGCCTCAGGGCTGCATGCAGCCCAGGATGGCTTTGAATATGGCCCAGCACAAACTTGTAAACTTTCTTCAAACATTGTGATTTCTCTTGCGATTTTTTTCCCGGCTAATCAGCTATGGCTAATGTTAGTGTATTTTATGTGTGGTCCAAGGCAATTCTTCTTTTCCCAATATGGTCCAGGGAAGGCAAAAGATTGGACAGTCTTGTTCTATGGGTATATTTTGTGGTTACCATGAGGATTGAATAAAATATTTTATAGTTATAACAGTCCATTTTAAACCCAACAAAAACTTTAATTATATATGAAAACTCTATTCCTTTAGATCTCACATTCCTACTTTATGTTAGTAATATCACTAATTTTATATTTTATGTTGTGTCCCAATTAATATAAATGTAATGTTACTTTTATGCTTTTCTCTTTTAAATTGCATATCAGAATTAAAATTAACTTGTGCATCAACATTAAAAACTTACAGGAATTTATATTTAATTTCTTATTTATCTCTACCAGATAGATTTACACTTTTACATTCATTCATTTTGCTTCCTAGCCTCCCTCATTTCAACTTGAATGACTGCTTTTTGCTTTTCTTGTAGGACAGGTATGGTAATAATTATCTTCTTCTACCTTTTTTTTAACGTGAGTAAGTATTCCATTTTCCATAATTTCTGAATGACAGGCTTGCCAAATGGATGTTTTATGTGGTCGGGTTGTTTTCTTGTTTTTCTTTGAACACTTTGAATATATTATGTCACTTACTTTTGGTTTAAAAAGATATCTGCTGGTATCTTGTTGATAATATATGTGAGTTCCTTTTTATGTCATAATTCATTTTTCTTTTACGGCTTCTGAGATTCTTTGTCTGTGACTTTTGAAAGTTTGATTATAATATTTATTGGTGTAAAATTTTGGAATTGATCTCAGTGTACAGTAGTTGTGTTTTAAAACAATTCTATGTCCATATTCTTCCTCAAATTTGGGAAATTTTCTGCCTGCCATTATTTCTTTAAATAGACTTTTTGTCTCAATCTTTTCCTCTTCTCCCATGAGGGCTCTCAAATGCATAACTAGTCAGGTTAGCAATGTCCCATATGTCTCAGGATTTCACTTTATTATCACATTCTTTTTGCTCTTCTTCCTTAAGTTTCAAATGGTCAATATTTTCAAATTCATGAATTATTTTTTCTAGCAGGTCAAGTCATCTATTGAATTTTTCTAGTAAATTTTTCAATTTTGGTTATTGTATGACTTAGCTCTGGTTTTTTTCTATGCTTTTATGTCTTTGTTGATACTCTTATTTTATATATGCCTTGTATTCCTGATTTTTAGAAACTTGTCTGGGTTATTTTAGGTAATCCAGCATCTTTAATTATTTTTGAAATTTTTGATAGGTATTTAATATATTTTGAATTTTTTGACAGGTAATTAATAAATCTTTGTTTATTCAGGATTGAAAAAAAGGTTTATTTTGTTACTTCAAATAGGCCATGGTTACCAGTGTCTGCATGCTTCACATTTCTTTGTTTACACTTTGAGATTTAAAGAAACATCCACATCTCCCAGTCTTTATGCACTGGCTTAGTGTAGTGGAAAACCTTCATCAATCACCCCAGCTAGAGATGCTGGGAGCTTTGCAAACCATTCCAAGAGCTGTATCTTCTCTGGGCTTTTGAATGTAATTACCAAGTTAAATAGGGTTTTTTGTTTGTTTTCAGGATTTTGTAATATTTTGCTTCACCTCTTGTCATTCTGTAGCAATAATGCAGCTCTTCCGGTACTGCCCAAAACTGCCACACTGCCTTTGTTCCCAGGCATTCAAATGCTGGGGTTTCCATAAGTGATTTAAGTTCGGTGACAGAAATCAGACCCTTGGGAAGTCCTCTAAGGAGACAGAACATTAGACCACATTTCACTCTTTTTTCACTCCTGTGGGAAAACTGATGACTAAAGATTTTTTTCCTGATTGTATAATGCTGTACGGGCTAGGGAAGGATCTATAGAGAGTGTATGGTACAATATTTCTTAGATATTAAAACAAAATTCTTCTTGGCTTTGCTCTTTTCTGGGGTGCTGCAACCTTTTCACTGGTTTCTGAGATTATCACCATGGCAATTTGGTCAATATAATGTTGTCAAGTTTCATTCTGCATGGGGGAACAGGGACAGGGCATTCCTACTCTGCCACCTTTAAAACATCAATTTTGCCACCACACCATGTGCAAATTTTAAAGACAATGTGATGAAAATATGGCAATTTGCTGTTAGTTGTTAGGTCTAGAAGAGAGGCTCTAGGTAATTATTAAAAATTCATTGGAGATTTTTCTTTGTTTGCAATAATTGATATAAAAAACAAAAGATGATATTACAAGAAAATTTCTGAAATTAGATGAGATTAAATATTATTTATTTGGTGACTTTGTATCATTTATTTGACTCTTGTTGGATACTTAGAATCTGCTGTTTAATTTATACACTTTAATATTTATTACACACACATATAGGATTATAATTTAATTTACATCTCCTCACACTATGCTCAACCTAAAGTGAACATGGTCCAAAGGTTTGTTAATAACTTAGTAGTCTGAAATGTAGACTATCTATGTTGGGAGCTTCTAGAGAACAAACCTGAGCAGGTTCCTGGTACGAAAGTGGTGGTTAAGATAGAACATATTACAACTACAAGACCAGTTGTATTCTGATTACAACTGATCTGAAAAGGTAATGCCAGATTGATGAAGGAGAGTCTTATGAGCAATAGCTCTTGAGAGGAAGGGAGTCCCATGTACAATGAATGTCCAACCTAAAAAGCCCCAGAGTGTCAGCAGGCTCAACTCCAGAAATGGCTTCCCACCTGTCACAGCATGTTGATCAATTGCTGTATTTAATTTCAGAGAAAAGATGAGGCTTAAACAGATATAATCAGCTTTTCCTAGATTATGATAATATTGTAAAAGTCAAAAACATATCAGTGTAAAAACTTAACAAATTTTAAAAATCTACTAAATAATTTTATTTACATTTAATTGTATACACACGCAATAAAATATTTATTTCTTTTTATATAGTCATTTTAAAATTGGAATTAATTTATAGATATACTTTGTCAACATGTGTAACAATTTCAAAATTTTCAAAAAGCCAGTTGAGCCAATTTATTCATTTAATAAATCAAGTCCTTAAATTAAAATTTAAATAAGCATGTCACTAAGATTATACGACAGTAAACAAAATGAAAAGTGTAACATATTTGCTTAATTAGTGTAAAGATTATTAAACTATATTTAGTGTAGAGCTTTACTTATCTAAATATTTAATATATACTAATATTTGTTAAGCAGGTATTCTAATATCTTAAATTTTTACCATGTAAGCCATTACTTGATGAATTTGCAATTCTCAAATTTTGAGACCGGAAAGCAGTATACTGATCTTACTTTCAGAACAAGCATCTCTTTATTTTTCTACAGTAAATTATACTTTTGATTATAGAGATAAGAATTATGAGTATTCATCATTTTAAAGAATAGACATTTAAATCAAGTGTACTATCAATTAAAATTTTATAAAATCAGAAATTACAATCACATATTTCTAATGGTTACTTATCTCAAAATAATCTGTTTAACTTGAATATCTTATGGACATTTTCTCCATGTAAGAAAATTTCAGTTTCTTTTATTATTTGAGGACAATAATAAGAACTGTCTATTTATCATCAAGAACACACAAAAAATGTCAGTTAAGTGATGGCAGAAATGTAGGCTATGACATCTAGATGAGGTATGTGGAAATATAGCAAACTATTCTGAGTGTAATGCCCTATCGTCATTTTTAGCAATTCATTGTCTGAGATCAGTAATGCTGGGTATGTAGAAGGGCTTATTTAAATTGAAAAAGAAAAATCATTATGTTACTCATAACAAGCTAATGTCATAGAATGCTTCATTGATTTGTGTGGTTTACTGAATTTTGTGAATTTTACATTTTTTACTTCTTTACATCCATGTGTTTGTGCAAACACCAGGAATCAGCATATTGCAGGTCACCCTATCACTTAAGGTTAGAGAAGTAATGACGTCATGGAAACAGTGATATCAGAAATAGGAAAATTTAGATGTATTCATGTCCTTGTGTCACAAAGTGAGAGAAGAGAGTAAGCACACCTAGGAAAATACAATGAAAGAATGAGATATACTCACAAGTTCATGATCGTGGAATTCTAGGCTACTTAGCTAAGATAAAATATCAGAATAGATAATAAGAAAATAGGAAAGTAACATGTTTTCACTAAATTCTTTGTGTCTGGAATTAACAGGATTACCCCATCATGTCTTCTCTAAATTTGGAAAGACCTATTCCCTCTTTTCTATCTTTCTAGTTTTATTAAATTTTTGACAGGAAAATAAACAACATCTTGTGGCCAAGAATATAGCAGTTGACACACAGGCCAGCAGGAACCCAATCACATCTATAGAGTAGTGCTGGAACCAGGTGAGGTCATGGGCAGCTGACCACAGGTGCTTGGCTCCTTTGTGGCACATGACAAACTCGATCCAGAAGTCTGCCTGATCCAGGGGCTTCACAGGCTGATCATGGTGAATTCTTGATAATCTCATAGCATCCTCTTTATAACTGGAAGGCAAAAACACACATAGAACTTAGAAAGTTGTAGTTTTGTTTTCATAAAAGACAGGTAGATAAACTGTAGTATATGTTATGCAAGCCAAAACTTGTTGAATAAAAGATTGATTCCGGTTGTGACATGAACATTATTGGTTGCATAGGATTAAACAGATATAATGCGGAGAGTGAAAAAGAGTACATTTTTAACAAAATGGGGTAAAGCAAAGATGTGAGTAAAACCTGAATAAGCCAGTTATTAATTTAAACTTAATATTTCCATGAAGATTGACACTCTATGAACTATAATTTCCAGAACTATTCCAATACCAAGGTGATGAATGACTTAATATCGAAGGGAAAAATCCCTTAAAATATCTACCAGCATGATATTTAACATTTTCCGACATAATGTATAATATAATCGATGTTAGATCAGTCTTTACAAGCAGTAGTACTTACGAGGAATCGTTAATGACTGTTCTCAAAACCCTGAGTAAATCTTTGCTTGTCATAGTTTTGAAGTTTATTTCTACAGCTGCTCCTTTGGCCTTCATGTGAGCTATGGCATCAAGCTGATCACCAAATAGGGGAACTCCCACCATAGGGACCTCATGGTAAATAGCTTCATAGATCACATTCATTCCTCCATGAGCGATAAAAGCTTTGGTTTGAGGTCACCTAGTATGCAAAATGGATGAGAAATGGTGAGATACTTTATTATGAATTTTTAAAATAATTTCAGGACTAAAGATGGGAATTATGAGATAACTCCCTGAAGCGTACAGTATTTTCTTTAAAAGGAGAGCACATGGAGCTTTGCTACTAAAGATCATTTCTAACTTAAGAAAAAGAGGCATTAATTCCTTCTGCATATCCTATCACTCTCACCTTAACAATAGAAAGTGTGAGTCTATACAATTTTAGTCAATCTTTTAATTATATCTGCTTCAAAAGTGTAAGTAAAATAAAGTTTTATAATTTTAAATATTTGCTGAATTTGCTCACTGTTTAACATTTATTCATCTTTTCCTCATCTAGTTCATATTTTTACTTTCTCATAGTCCTACCAAGAAGATCATTCTGGGGTATCCCATCATACAGCCGAGTATTGGTTCCTAATGTGGATGGTTTTTTTTCCATTGTATCTCTATAACACCTATGGAAGAAACACATGTATTTCACAGATTGAACCACAGGATATTAGCACTCTAAGGATGTAGATATAGTTATAAATTATAAACTCATTGTACTTCAGGTGTTGGTTGAGACAGGGGTATGTAGAGGTACTGTGTAAACAGTAAAAGACATAGTAGGACTTTTTACAAAAGTCCTTTCAAATAATGTGTACCAGTTGACTATTAAGTATACTATTATTATTTTAATATCAATTAAAATATCTGAGTATGAGAATATCAGTGAATCATTAAAAAGTAATTCAGCACTGGCTACTCAATTTTCTTATAAGAATAAAATATTTTATAAGTACATGATCTCTGTGTCATTTCAAATCATGGAACTATTCTGGTTCTACCATCAAATTTACAGTTCCCCACAGATAAAATTTGCTTTCAATTTTGTGTGTGTTTTGGATAATCGGTTATCTTTTCTTCTCTATTTCCTTCCTGACCTTTGTCTTCTTATATTTATTTGTTTTATTGAAGACGAATGAGCTAGAGAATTACCTATGTTCCATTGTTCTATGATAAATTTTCTTTGGGATTGTGTCTTTTTTTTCCATAATTTTGATTTGTGGGAACTTATAAAAAAATTCATACATTTGAAAAGAAAGGATGGCACAGATGTTTCAAACTACTTAACAGATAATTTCTTAATTAAAATTATGAGATTTCACATTCCTAATTAGTATATTTGCCTTTATTGTGTTTGATGTATTTTAGCTAAATATGAAATAAAACATCTTTTGGATAGTTTATATATAGCACTACCTAAAGTGTGAAATTCTAGAATTACAGTAATAAAGTTAAAATCAGTTAAGTATTATAAATAATTACATAACTGAAATAATTAAGTTACTATAATATAATTGTAATTGACATTTAACTTTGGAAGAAAGCTCTAATTATCGAGAAAGACTACATTAATCTGAGCTTTTATTTCTATGCAAAAGTACCCTGAATACAGTTTTTATGCACTCAAATATGAGAAGGATATTCTTGAGATTGATTCTTCTTTTTCTTTTTTATATCAGTTTTCCTTTTTCTGGCCCTTGGAAATAATACATGTCAGAACTTTTTTGGAATAGTTGGCACATGCCTTTAGATTTCAAATTCTAAAATATGATGTAGGGGCTTGATTTTTTATTTCTATTTTATTATAAATGAACGACAATCAAGAGAGTTGTTTCCAGTAACAACAGCAAGACTGAGTAGGGCAAAAGCCATACTTTCTCATTATGTGAATAGCTGCTTATCAGGAATGGAGGTTTTACTGACCTTCTGTGGGATCTGGGCAAGGGCTGAAGCAATGATATTAGCCTTTTCTTCTATAACATTTGGAAACAGTGACCCCAGAGAAAACAACCCAATATCATCTTCCCCTGAACTCTGGACAACATTTTCCATTTCCGGAAGATAAAAATTTATCTGCATTACAGAGGGGTAATATAACAAAGATTAAAGTAAAGGTTACTTACATTTCTAAAATAAAGAGTTGAGAAATTATTACTGTATAGTTGTATTCTATTCTTATGTTCTGACACACAGAACCATGTAGTCTCTTTATAAGAAAGTCTATGTGTAAAACATATGGCTTAAATACATAATCATTCATTACTAGAAAAGGCACACAATCAAACAGTATATGAAAAGTTTCAGTGACAAGAGTACTTTTCATGTCTGTGTCATGTAGACACAGAATCCTAAAAACAAAATAATTTACTAACATTTACAAATATTATTTGAGGAGTGACATCAGCAAGATGGTGGAATAGAAGACGTCCAGCATCAATCCCTCTTAAAAGTACAACTAGCAACTATTCAAATATAAAAATACCACTCTGAATGCACCAGAGCTCAGGAGAAAAGTGAAAAATCTTATAGGTTCATGGAAATTAAAAAATCCATGACCAGAAAGAAGAAAGGTCATTTGTGCTGCGTCACCCCATTCTCCAAAGCAAAATAGCACCACTCCCAGAAAACTTCCCTGTACCTGCAATTACACAGGTGGAAGAAAATAATTGCAGGTGGACACTAAATCCCCATATGAGTGTGTGAATCACTGTGAGAAGCCTTCTTTGTTCCATCCCACAGGAGGTATTAGGAGCGTCAGAAGGGCTGAACCACCTGGGTTGAATTGGAAGCAAAGAGCAGAAGCACTAATCACGGCAAATGGCAAACAGATCTTGGCAGATGCTTTGCGGTCCTATCAGCAGGGAACTCACACTGATGGGGGCCTAGCCAGCACTACAATAGTACAGGAGGCACAATCCGAGGGAAAGCTAGAATCTTTGGTCAGATTTTACAAATATCCCAGGTGATCATACAGAGCCTTTCTCTGACCCAGAAACAACTATCAGGTTAGTAACTAAGTTCCAGTTATTTCTTAAGCCTTCCCCAACCCAGAAATTACTACAGGTTTGAGTTTAAGTTCTGGCACAACATTATCTTTTTATCACCATGATAAGTCTTCCTCAGACAGGAAAACAATAGCATGGAAGAGATTTAGCTCTGGTGCACTATTTAGGTTCTGTTATCAACTATAAGCTCTCCTCAGAACAGAAAGCATCCTCAGGGCAGCGATTCAAATACAACATTTGAGAATGAAATCAGAAAAATAAAAAATGAAATCCTTGAAATGCAAGATAAAAATTGTTAAACTAAAAACTCACTAGAAATCTTTAACAGCAGACTTGATCAAACAGGAGAGAATCAGTAAGCTCAAAGAAAACATGCAATTACCCAATCAGAGGAATAGAAGAAAAAAGAAATAGTGGCGTTCACAGAAATTATATGACACTATGAAGGGAAATACTGCCATATAATATAAATTTCTAAAGGATATGAGATAGAAAAGAAAGGCCTAGAAAACATACTCAAGATAATAAAGACTCAACATTTTCCAAATTTGGAGAAAGACAATAATATCTGGGAACAGTTAGCTTAGACATCACCCAACAAATTCAACCCAAAAAGTAATTCCCAAAGGTACATTATAATCAAATTACCAAAACTCAAAGAACAAAAAGAATATTGAAAGCAGTAGGAGAGAGAGAAAAACAAAACAAAACAACAACAACAAAACATAACACTTTCAATAGTGGTCCCGAACTGTTTTCAGTGAATTTCCCAGGAAAAACAAACAAACAAACAAACAAACAAAAATCTTTCAGGACAGAAGAGAGTGGGATAATATAGTCAAAATGCTGAAGTAAACAGAAATTTGTAAAACTTTTAATCCAAGAATACTGTACTCTTCAATGAACTTCTTCATATATGAAGAAGTTCATCAAAGAACTTATTCATATATGAAGCCAATACATGATAAACACACAGCTACTACCATCATACTGAGCAGGGAAAGTAGAAAGCTTTCTTTTTTTTCCTAAGATCTGGAAAAAGATAAAGATGCATACTTTCTCCACTCTTATCCAACCTAATACTGAAACGTCTAGCCAGAGTAATTAACCAAGAGAAAGAAATGAAGCACATACAAATCGGAAAGGAAGAAATCAAATAGTTCCTCTTTGCAGATGACATGAACTTATAAAGAGAGAAAACTAAATACTCCATGAAAACACAACATAATGATTGATAAAAAAAATTCAGAAAACTTTTTGAAAAAAAATTATCATACAAAAATTGGTATTATTCTGTACGGAAATAGCTATCTGCAAAAAATTAGAAAAACAATTTCATTTAATATAGCTATAGAATAAAACCCCTAAGAATATGTTTAACCAAGGAGGTATAAAATATCTAGAATGAATATTATAAAACAAGGATGAAAGAAATTTAAAAAGACACAATAATTAGATACATCATGTTCATGAATTGGAAGAATTTGTATTATTAAAATGTACATAGTACCCAAAGGAAACTGCAGATTCTTAACAATCTCTATCAGAATACCATGACATTCTAAACAGAAATGGGGAAAAGCTTTTTTTAAAATTTGTACAGAACTGCAAAAGACCAAGGCCAAAGCAACCTTGACCAAAAAGAACAAAACTGGAGGCATCACACTACCTGATTTCAAAATATATCACCTAGAGGGCTCCCGTTCCAAGATGGCTAGATGCGACCAGCTCCGGTCTGCAGCTCCCACCATGATTGACACAGAAGATGGTTGATTTCTGCATTTCCAACTGAGGTACGTGGTTCATCTCATCGGGAATAGTTGGACAGTGGGTGCAGTAGCCCAAGGAAGACCAGCCGAAGCATGGCGGGGCGTCACCTGAGCTGGGAAGTGCAAGGGCTGGGGAGATTTTCCTTTCCTAGCTGAGAGCCCATGACAGACTGTACCTGGAAAAATGGGACACTGTTGCCCAACTACCGGGATTCTCCCATGGTCTTAGCAACCAACAGACCAGGAAATTATCTCTGGTGCCTGGCTCAGGCATCCCATGCCCACGGAGCCTTGCTCACTGCTAGTGCAGCAGTCTGAGATTGACCTGCCAGGCGGCAGCCTGGCGAGGGGAGGGGCATTCACCATTGCTGAGGCTTGAGTAGGTAAACAAAGTGGCCAGGAAGCTTGAACTGGGTGGAGCCCATTGCAGCTCAGCAAGGCCTACTGCCTCTATAGACTCCACCTCTGTGGGCAGGGCATAGCTGAACAAAAGGCAGCAGAAACTTCTGAGACTTAAATATCCCTGTGTGACAGCTCTGGAGAGAGCAGTGGTTCTCCCCACAGAGGGTTTGAACTCTTGAGAATGGACAGACTGCTCTTCAAGTGGGTCCCTGAACCCCGTGTAACCTAACTGGAAGACACCTCCCAGTAGGGGCTGACAGAAACCTCATAAAGGTGGATGCAGTTAGTACACACACAACATTTATAATTAAGTTTGCTGTTTTATATCAGAAGAGCTCAAGGTGCCCCAAAGCTAGTAAACATGGAACCATCAAAGATCACTGATCTCAGATCACCATAACAGATATAATAATGAAAAATTTGAAAAAGCATGATAAATGCCAATATGTGATACAGAGTCAAAAAGTACACACTTGCTGTTGGAAATATTATGCCAAATTGATTTGCTTCATTCAGGGTTTTCAAAAACACTTAATTTGTATATTACAATTTCTGTGAAGCACAGTAAAGCAAAGTATAATAAAATGAAATATGCCTATACATAAGAACATATGGAAATAAAATGGTAAGCTAGGCAGAGCTTACTGAAAACAAAATTAATTAGGGCAAATCAATACATGTAAATTCAAATCATGTCTAAGGCTAAGGACATTTGAAGTGGGATCCTCTGAATATTAGTTCTGTGAAACAGTCTATGTATTGGAATTCAGTGGAATATATTAAACAATATTTTTAGAGTCTATTATGATTGTTCCTTTGTTCATGTTTCTACATATTTCTCAAACAGAGTTGGATCAAAAACATGTCTTTCATTGACCAGCGCTGGTCACAACTGTTTATGAAAATTGTAAAGCAAAACAACTTTTTGTCAGTAAAGCAAAGAAATAAAAATAAGTAAAATGGATATAAATCAGTAAAGTAAAAATTCTATCCCATGCCCCACAAGACCGAAAGTCATTTAACTTTTTATAATATTTTTTCAAGTTTTTGTGAAGTAATCAACTAAGAAATTAGAGAATTCTAGAAAATGTTTCCATTTAACCACTCTTGAAAAAATAATTCAAAGAGGACTTTCTGAAGATTTTTTTTTGAAATTTTTGATGAGAGAGAAAAGAACGATCAGCATCTTGTTTCAATAGAAATGGTATAACATTCAAAGTAACAATAAATAATTCTCAAAAATATGAGATGTAGATTTGGGCTATTTGGAGGAAAAACAAAATATAATCTCCTTGTTAATGATGATCATTTGTAGGTTTATTACTGGTATTAAGGAAGTAGGTTACCTTACACTTAGAACAAATCTACTTTCTTTATGAAGAACAGCTACAACATTTTCTATAATAAAAACTCATTAACCTGCATATATGTGTCATAGACGATGTATGGCAATTTTTAAAAATATTTATTTTGATAATTAAAAATAAAACAAGAATCTCTTACCTAATGCCTTACTCTAAAACTCTTCCCAAAAATGATGGTCATAATCCTGAATCCAGAAGTGGAAGAAAACTGAAAGCATTGGATTTTTCAATCTTTCCTGAAAGGTCATTCTGTCTGTTAGTCCTGTCATAGGCACAGGTACATAGGAAAGTGGAGCTGGAAGTTTCCCACAGCTTTGTTCCATATTGCCTCTTAGAGAAGTTCTAAGTGTGAGCACAAAAGGGACTGCAAGCAACTCAGCCATCAGGTCTCCACGGGGAATCACAGGGTCTATGAGTGCTACATCGTAGTTGGTTTCCTGTAGCTTCTTCATAAGTGTCTGATTGTAGATAATGCTCTCACACATCATTTTTGAAGTTCCTCATTTCAACAAAAAACATTTAATTTTATGACTGATTGCCACGCTGGTAAGCCTGGGAAGACATTCAGAGCTAGGTCAACAAATATTTCATTTTCTTCTGTTTTATCCTATGGCATATGGACCACCTCAAATTTCAGTGCAGAAGGCTTCCTGTAATCAATTAACAAAGACTTTGAGTGAGTCAATACTGTTACCTCATGGCTCCTCACTATGATCTCCTCTAGAATGACCTTGACATTAAGCCAATGGCTCATGTCACAGGGCCACACCAGGACCTTCTCCCAGAATCCACAGCCATCACAGAAGAGTTGCAGGAGCAGAAATACCAAAGCTGACTTCTTGGGCCTCATGATGACATTTCCCTCACACAATGATCTGCAATAGTTTTGTAGTTACTAAGCATGAAATTGAAATGACAATATAAGCACAGAAGTTAAAAATTAATATTTTAAGAGTAAATAAACTTCATTGGTTGGTTGCCAGCTTCACATTTATTGAAGATATCAAAAAGAAATGCAATGTTGCAATGTATCAGGGAAAATTTGTTCCAACCTTCTAGAGCTTAGAAATAAAACACATAAAGATACTTTTATTATCTGGATTGATGATAAAGAAATTTTTTTTAAATTCTTTAGATTTAATAATTCATGTGCAGAAACATATGCACACAACCGCACTTACATTCATTCCACACTAAATCCAAGGTGCCAGATTGTTTAGAAGAACTCATGTTTCACATCCTTTGCTCACAAGGACAATACAAAGAATTACTGGGAATACACTTGGAGACATAGGTAACTATTTTTATTAATTTTATATAATAAGTGCAAAGTGTTCAGTATTTCAGAGGAGAAAAATGCACAATTGCTTTAATATCTGATAATTAATAAAAGCTTTAGTAAGACATTTGACTTAGGAGGTGAGATGAAAGCTTCATTAGGATTTATTGTTGTCAAAGGAAGCATTTCACAATCAATAGAAGCATGACGAAAGTATAGGATATTTAAAAGTCATTCTAGTGAGAAGTGACCACAGAGAAAGTTCAGGGCAGGATGTTACAGAACAAAGTCAGTTTGAAATAGGAGAAATTAGTTTTAAATAAACAATTATTAGTTTGAATGATAATTTATGGGCAAATTATTATTTACTCAAGTTTTAAAGGACAGTCGCAAGATCAAGCTTTTCTTTAGCAAGAAATTCTTGCATCTCAACATAGAGTGATATGTAAAGATAAGAGTTTAAAAACAGGGAAAATGATAAAAATTGTATATTAGTTACTGAGACATGTCAACCTTATGGAATAAAACATAAATTGTTAATAGTAAATGTGAGAAATTAATTTGAAATTTGTATTTACTGATAATATCTGAGACAGGAAAAAATGTATAGGAGAAAATACACGGTTTTGGTTTCTGTGTTAATAAGCAGAAGGCTAATAATGACATTAGGTAAAATATTATCATTATGTTCTAATTATTCAACAACTCTATGTAGATGTAAACCAAAAATAAAATTTTAAGCATCCCCAACCACCTAAATGGACCCTTACTCTCAGCAAAGAGCATTTCAAACTTAATCTGAAAAACTGGTTCAGACAATGATGGGAAGTGGGGTGGTGGGATAGGACATGCCTCATTATACCCTCCTCCCTTTTTGAATTCAGGAAAATCTTACAAGCACTACCATCAACACAGACCTTAAAGACCTTAAAGACAATAGAACAGACTCATTACATTTGATAAGAAACATTTACAATCTATATTCTCTCAAGCCTGTTGCCTGACCGCTTTATCTGCATGATAAAACCTTGGTATTCACAGCCCCTTATCTTAACCTAGACATTCTTGTCTATTAATTCTATATCTTTAGACAACAATATAACTCAACCAATTGCCAATAGAAAATCCTCGAATTAGCCTATGACCTGGAAACCCCTGCTCTCAGTTGTCCTGCCTATTCAGACCAAGTCAATGTATAACTTACATGTATTGATTGATGACTAATATCTCTGTAAATTGTATAAAACTAAGCTGTAGCCTGAGCGCTATGGGGAAATGTTCTTAGGATCTCCTGAGGGTTATGTCGCAGGCCATCATTGACTCATATTTGGCTCAGAATAAAACTCTTTAAATATTTTAAAATGTTTGACTCTTTTCATCATAACAACTTGACATTTGAACATGTGGGGCCTCAGACAAAACTCAGGACACCATAAAACGTGCCTGAACTTGAAGCTAAGGTAGCAACAGAGGCCCACTGAATGCCTCTCCAATTTTGAGCTTCTTCTCCAGTGGGACTGGTAAGTCCTCTTGAGCTCTGGACCTCCCTTTGGTTGATAGTCTTTGGTTTATTCTGAATTTTTTTTTCTCCTGGGAGGTTGTCTTTTAGAATCTTAATTATAGTTCAGGAGTACATTCTAAAGGGTCCTCTCCATTGCCTTTTCTCCCAAAGATAAGCTCAAATGGCTTGTCTGCACATTTGCTTGAGGAACTGAACTATTATTTTTGTAGATCAGTGAGAGATGAGAGACTGACCTCCTCAGCAATGAAGAGAAAGGACGTTTTGCTCCTCCAAGCCAAAGGGGCCTATTTGGAATGTCTAGGGTGTTAAACCTTCACCATACAGAGTCGCCAAACAGAGAACCCCCCCAACACAATGAGTTTAAAAAATTCATCTAGCAAATGTATGTAAGAGCTGATCACTCAGTGTTTGGAGCCCTCATGGAGGTGATACACATATGGAGAGAGAAATTAATGAGAAGAGAAAATAAGGAACCAGTTAGGCAGATAGTTAGGGCAAGGTTCTTGGTAGAAGCCCTCCCCCAAAAATAACAGTCTGGAGGAAATCAAACTGCAAGCGCAGGTAAGGAAGCAAAGTCCAAAAATAAGTCTGGAGGAAATCAAACTGCAAGCACAGGTAAGGAAGCAAAGTCCAAAGCCTTTGTCTTCTGTGCAACCAGTGAGCTCTGCCTATACACGATGGCCTTCAGTGAGCACATTCCTTTTCTTTTTGGTCATACTCAGATAAAGGAACTTGCACAGGGTGCTTTCCTAAGACAGACCTGTAGCTGTATAGATAAGGAAAGTTACACAGAACAAGACACATCCGCAGTGAAACAGAGTCAATAAGCAAAATAAAACAACATGCAGTAATTCAGGCTAAGGACCTGCATGCACACTAGAGGGAAGAGTTGGAGCTAACAAGAATTTGTATGTATGCAAATAAGACATCCAGTCCTAACCGGGTTTTCATGACTTATGCACATGAAACACTCTGCCTCATTAGCTTTTATTTTTGTATATAAAAGTCTGCATTCAACTGTGAAATGACAACGCTCTCGGGCTTCCTCTTCACAGTAGATAGCTTTTCTCTTTTGCTTATTAAACTTCTCTTCCAACATTACCATTGGTGTCCACAATCCTTAATTGTTTGGGTCTTGAGACAAAGAACTCCTGGTGATACCTCATACAACAAGACTGCTCCAGTGACCCTAGGCTGCTTCACTGTGAAAAGTAAATTAGAAGTTCCTTTTCAAAGACTTTCCTCCCCATCTAATCAAGAATAAATAGTAACTTCTCTTAGAAGCAAAATTTATTCAGAGAAGTGTGCTGCACTTTTAAATATCTGCTAGCTGTAATAAAGAAATCTATGTACTTTATGTTCTTAGCTCCTACAATGTAGCGTAAATATTTACTCTGGAATGCTTATATTGACCAAAGCAAGCATTAGGATATAGTCTGTTCCTCTTCCTTATTTGAAGGTATTTTTTTTTTAGGGGTGAGAGATAGGTCATTTACTTTTGTCTTTTATATTTTTATTTTTTTAAATTTATTTTTTTTTTATTTTTTAAATTATAATTTAAGTTCTAGGGCACATGTGCACAACGTGCAGGTTTGTTACATATGTATATATGTGCCATGTTGGTGTGCTGCACCTGTTAGCTGCACCCGTTAACTCGTCATTTACATTAGGTATATCTCCTAATGCTACCACTCCCTCCTCCCCCGACTCCACTAACTACAGGCTCTAGTGCGTGATGTTCCCTGTGTCCAAGTGTTCTCCTTGTTCAATTCCCACCTATGTGTGAGAATATGCATTGTTTGGTTTTCTGTCCTTGCGATAGTTTGCTCAGAATAGTGTTTTCCAGCTTCATCCATGTCCTTGCAAATGACATGAACTCATCATTTTTTATGGCTGCATAGTATTCCATGGTGTATATGTGCCACATTTTCTTAGCCCAGTCTATCATTGATGGACATTT
This sequence comes from Homo sapiens, assembly GCF_000001405.40. Lineage (NCBI taxonomy): Eukaryota > Metazoa > Chordata > Mammalia > Primates > Hominidae > Homo > Homo sapiens. The sequence continues at coordinate 69,238,716 of NC_000004.12, read as the reverse complement.
GAGTTGGTTCCAAGTCTTTGCTATTGTGAATAGCACCACAGTAAACATACGTGTGCATGTGTCTTTAAAGCAGCGTGATTTATAATCCTTTGGGCATATACCCAGTAATGGGATGGCTGGGTCAAATGGTATTTCTAGTTGTAGATCCTTGAGGAATTGCAACACTGTCTTGCACAATGGTTGAACTAGTTTACAGTCCCACCAACAGTGTAAAAGAGTTCCTATTTCTCCACATCCTCTCCAGCACCTGTTGTTTCCTGACTTTTTAAGGATTGCCTTTCTAACTGTTGTGAGATGGTATCCAATTGTGGTTTTTGATTTGCATTTCTCTGATGGCCCGTGATGATGAGCATTTTTTCTTGTGTCTTTTAGCTGCATAAATGTCTTCTTTTGAGAAGTGTCTGTTCATATCCTCTGCCCACTTTTTGATGGGGTGATTTGATTTCTTCTTGTAAATTTGTTTAAGTTCTTTGTAGATTCTGGATATTAGCTCTTTGTCAGATGGGTAGATTGTAGAAATTTTCTCCCATTCTCTCAGTTGCCTGTTCACTCTGATGGTAGTTTCTTTTGCTGTGCAGAAGCTCTTTAGTTTAATTACATCCCATTTGTCAACTGTGGCTTTTGTTGCCATTGCTTTTGGTGTTTTAGTCATGAAGTCCTTTCCCATGCTTATGTCCTGAATGGTATTGCCTAGGTTTTCATCTAGGGTTTTTATGGTTTTAGGTCTAACATTTAAGTTTTTAGTCCATCTTGAATTAATTTTTGTATAAGGTGTAAGGAAGGGATCCAGTTTCAGCTTTCTACGTATGGCTAGCCAGTTTTCCCAGCACCATTTATTAAATAGGTAATCCTTTCCCCATTTCTTGTTTTTGTCAGGCTTGCCAAGATGAGATGGCAGTAGATGTGTGGTATTACTTCTGAGGGTTCTGTTCTGTTCCATTGGTCTGTATCTCTGTTTTGGTACCAGTACCATGCTGTTTTGGTAACTGTAGCCTTGTAGTATAGTTTGGAGTCAGGTAGCGTGATGCCTCCAGCTTTGTTCTTTTGGCTTAGGATTGTCTTGGCAATGCCGGCTCCTTTTTGCTTCCATGTGAACTTTAAAGTAGTTTTTTCCAATTCTGTGAAGAAAGTCATTGGTAGCTTGATGGGGATGGCATTGAATCAATAAATTACTTTGGGCAGTATGGCCATTTTCACAATATTGATTCTTCATATTCATGAGCATGGAATGTTCTTCCATTTGTTTGTGTCCTCTTTTATTTCATTGAGCAGTTGTTTGTAGTTCTCCTTGAAGAGGTCCTTCACATCCCTTGTAGGTTGGATTCCTAACTATTTTATTCTCTTTGAAGCAATTGTGAATGGGAATTCAGTCATGATTTGGCTCTCTGTCTGTTATTGCTGTATAAGAATGCTTATGATTTTTGTACATTGATTTTATATCCTGAGACTTTACTGAAGTTGTTTACCAGCTTAAGGAGATTTTAGGTGAGACAATGGGGTTTTCTAGATACAGAATCATGTCATCTGCAAACAGGGACAATTTGACTTCCTCTTTTCCTAATTGAATACCCTTTATTTCCTTCTGCTGCCTAATTGCCCTGGCCAGAATTTCCAACACTATGTTGAATAGGAGTGGTGAGAGAGGGCATCCCTGTCTTGTGCCAGTTTTCAAAGGGAGTGCTTCCAGTTTTTGCCCATTCAGTATGATATTGGCTGTGGGTTTGTCATAGATAGCTCTTATTATTTTGAGATACGTCCCATCAACACCTAATTTATTGAGAGTTTTTAGCATGAAGGGTTGTTGAATTTTGTCAAAGGCCTTTTCTGCATCTATTGAGATAATCATGTGGTTTTTGTCTTCGGTTCTGTTTATATGCTGGATTACATTTATTGATTTGCGTATATTGAACCAGGCTTGCATCCCAGGGATGAAGCCCACTTGATCATGGTGGATAAGCTTTTTGATGTGCCGCTGGATTTGGTTTGCCAGTATTTTATTGAGGATTTTTGCATCAATGTTCATCAAGGATATTGGTCTAAAATTCTCTTTTTTGGTTGTGTCTCTGCCCAGCTGTGGTATCAGGATGATGCTGGCCTCATAAAATGAGTTAGGGAGGATTCCCTCTTTTTCTATTGATTGGAATATTTTCAGAAGGAATGGTACCAGTTCCTCATTGTACTTCTGGTAGAATTCGGCTGTGAATCCATGTGGTCCTGGACTCTTTCTTGTTGGTAAGCTATTGATTATTGCCACAATTTCAGATCCTGTTATTGGTCTAATCAGAGATTCAACTTCTTCCTGGTTTAGTCTTGGGAGTGTGTATGCGTTGAGGAATTTATCCATTTCTTCTAGATTTTCTAGTTTATTTGCATAGAGGTGTTTGTAGTATTCTCTGATGGTAGTTTCTATTTCTGTGGGATTGGTGGTGATATCCCCTTGATCATTTTTATTGTGTCTATCTGATTCTTCTCTCTTTTTTTCTTTATTTGTCTTGCTAGTGGTCTAAAAATTTTGTTGATCCTTTCAAAAAACCAGCTCCTGGATTCATTAATTTTTTAATAGCAAAAACTCAATTAAAATGATTCAAAGACTTGAATACACATTTATTCAGAAAATATAGATGTATGGCCAAAAAGCATATGAAAAGATGCTTAACATCACTAAATATTAGAGAAATGTAAATCAAAACTACAATGAGCTATCACATCATAACCATTAGCCACCTCAGAATATTTTTGAATACATATATTTACCCACACACAGACACATGCATAGCCGAAAAAACAACAAGTTTTGAAGAGAATGTATATAAATAGAAACTCTTGTGCATTGTTGGTAGGAATGAAAAATGACACACCTATAGTTAACAGAATGGAGGTTCCTCAAAAAAATTAAAATCAAATTACCATATGACCCAACAATTTTCTTCTATGGATTTTCTTCTATGTTTTTTATGGTTTTGGGTTTTACATTTAATTCTTTAATCAACCTTGAGTTAATTTCTGTATAAGGTGTGAGGAAGGGGTCCAGTTTCAGTTTTCTGCATATGGTTAGCCAGTTTTCTTATCACCATTTATTAAATAAGGAATCCTTTCCCCATTGCTTGTTTTTGTCATGTTTGTTGAAGATCAGATGGTCATAGATGTGTGGTGGTATTTCTGAGGTGTCTGTTCTGTTCCATTGGTCTATATCTCTGCTTTTGTACAAGTACCATGCTGTTTGGTTGCTGTAGCCTTGTATTACAGTTTAAAGTCAGGCAGCATGATGTCTCCAATGTTGTTTTTTTGCCTAGGATTGTCTTGGCTATACAGGGTGTTCTTTGATTCCATATGAAATTCAAAGTAGCTGTTTTCTAATTCTGCAAAGAATGTCAATGGTAGTTTGAGGGGAATAGCATTGAATCTATTCACTACTTCAGGCAGTATGGCCATTTTCACGACATTGATTCATCCTGTCCATGAGGATGAAATGTTTTTCCATTTGTTTTTGTCGTCTCTTATTTCCTTGCACAGTGGGTTGTAGTTCTCATTGAAGTGGTCATTCACATCCCTTGTTAGCTATATTCCTAGGTATTTTACTCTCTTTGTAGCAATTGTTGATGGGAGTTGATTCATGATTTGGCTCTCTGATTGTGCATTGTTAGTGTAAAGGTATCCTTGTGATTTTCACACATTGATTTTGTATCCTGAGACTTTGCTGAAGTTGATTATCAGTTTAAGGAGTTTGGGGGCTGAGATGATGGGGTTTTCTAAATAAAAAATTACATCATCTACAAACAGGAACAATTTGACTTCCTCTCTTCCTATTTGAATACACTTTTTTTCTTTCTCTTGCCTGATTGCCCTAGCCAGAACTTCAAATACTATGTTGAATAGGAGTGGAGAGATAGGGCGTCCTTGTCTTGTACCTATTTTCAAAGCGAATGCTTCCAGCTTTTGCCCATTCAATGTGATATTGGCTATGCATTTGTCACAAATAGCTCTTATTATTTTGAGATATGTCCCAGCAATGACTAGTTTACTGAGAGTTTTTAACATGAAGAGATCTTAAATTTTACCGGAATCCTGTTTTGTGCATCTATTGAGAACCATTGTGGAAGACAGTATGGCGATTTCTCAAGGATCTGGAAACACAAATACCTTTTGACCCCACAATCTTATTACTGGGTATATACCCAAAGTAATATAAATCATTCTACTATAAAGACACATGCACACATATGTTTATTGCAGCACTATTTACAATCGCAAAGTCATGGAACTAACCCAAATGCCCATCAATGATAGATGGGATAAAGAAAATGGGGTACATAGACACCAACAAATACTGCACAGCCAAAAGTAGAATGAGATCAAAGCCTTTTCAGAGACATGAATAAAGCTGGAAACAATCATCCTCAGCAAGCTAACACTGGGACAGAAAACCAAACACTGCATGTTCTCACTCATAAGGGAGAGTTGAACAATGAGGACACATGGACACAGGGAGGGAAACAACACACACCAGGGCCTGTTGGGAGGTGAGGTGTGAGGGGAGGAAACTTAGAGGATGGGTCAACAGATGCAGCAAACCACCATGGCATACGTATACCTATGTAACAAACCTTCACATTCTGCACATGTATCCCAGAACTTGTGCAGTAAAAATAAAGAAAAAGAAAGAAGAAAGAAGAAAGAAAGAAAGAAAGAAAGAAAGAAAGAAAGAAAGAAAGAAAGGACCTAGCTCTATATTCTCAAGTGAACAAAAAATCTTTTTATATTATTGAGCAAGCTAATGTATTAATAAACTTAAAGTCAATGGTTATTGCTAGTCCTAATTTATGAAAAATAAAAGAGAATCTGGATACAGCTATTCAATGTGCAAAGGAATAATCAGAAAATAAACAGTATGTTCCAGGAAACATATAAGGTTTTTTTCTCAAATGACCAAATTTGATAAGAATATCTAAATAATAAAGTATGTATCATCTTCCAAATAGTGCATAATCCTTCTTTCATATTTTAATACATACCTGATGCTCTCAAAATTCATTTCATATATAACATCAACATTCAAACTTCAAGTGTATTTCTATATACCACTCTGTTAGTTGGCTAGGGCTGCCATAATAAAGTACCACAGACTTGGTGGCTTAAACAACAAGAAACATATTTTCTCACAATTCAAGAGGCTAGAAGTGTAATCAAGGTATGATTAACAGTGTTGGCTTCTTCTAAAGTCTCCATGATTGGTTTGTAGATGGTTGCCCTCCTTACATAGACTTTCTTCTCTGTGTTTGTCCTTATGTCCATATAAGATGTCCTCTATATGCCCTCAATTTAATTTTTTCCTTAATGGCCCTGTCTCCAAATGTAGTCCTATTCTGAGGAACTGGGTGTTAGATCACAAACAAACGAATTCGGAGTAATGAGCCATGATTCAGCCTATAAGCACTATTTAACATTTCAAAATAAAATATACATTTTGACCAAAAAAATACCAATAGTAGAGTATGCATTCTCAACATATACACTTTCTATTTTCCCAACATTAAGATAAACAAAGTGAAATATGGTGTCCACATGAACATTCCAATACATCTAAAGAAGACAATGCAAAACAACTTATTAAAAAATTAAGGTCTTATAGCAAACTTTCTTAGACTCAATGAGAAATCCTTTCCATTGCATGTAATTTTAAGTGCACAAATTCCTATTCTGTAAAATTATTTTAGAAAGCTTTTATGTCATTTGTAATTATGTAATTTGTAATTTATGTAATTATGTAAATTGCTTAATTGGATGATCTTTTCCATGAGGGCAGCTATATTCCACTTTGACTATTGAGATAAGTAGGCTGTCCAAAGTCCGGACTGATTCACCATCAATTGATTGAGAAATTGAAGCATGAAACACACTTAGGATTAAGGTGGCTTATGAGCTTGCTGGCTTATGAGCTTGCTGTACTTATTTTAAGCCCACAGTAAATTAAAGGAAGAGTTGGCCATGAAAACTGTGAATGGCTTTTTTTTTTTTTTTTTTCCTGCTGAATCTGTGTTTCTTCGACTCTGGAAAGTCTGGGAAATTGCTTGTCCAGCCCATGAATTTTAGTCACTCAATTTAAAAGTTATTCTAGAAAAACTCCAGCGTGATGGACATGAGATAACCATATTAGTACCTCCACCAAGCCTCCTGCTTGATCATACCAAGATTCCTTTTAATGTGAAGGTTCTCCTACTTTCAGTAACTAAGAAACCCTCACAGAAGATATATATTCCTTTCTCCTTACAGCTTCTTTAGAACTGCAGAGTCTTTCATGGTGTGGCAGGCAAATAAAATTGTCAGAAATAGAATATAAAAATAAAACTGTACATATCCGAAAGTATGTATGACAGTGTGTAATAAATGAGGAGTTACTGAGCAGGCCGTAGGCGGCCAAGTTTATTTGTTTTGCTGACCCTTTAGCTTACTACGGACAGTTGATGGCTGGGCTTCTCAACATTTCATTTATATATTTGTTTCTGGTTTCCCATAGGAATGCCAGGTGTCTCACCACTTCTTTGTATATTCCTGGCAGCACATCAGTATTAATGAAAAACATCCCTTAAATGCAGAGCTGAATGTTTTTGTCTGTATTTTTCGTTTGTTTGTTCTTGGTTTTGAGAGGGTTTTGGTCTATTTAACTTGTAATCTGCTAGTCTTGTATATTATATTTCCAGAATGGGATGAATAGCATAGGTCATAGTAAAGGCTTATTATCCTAATTATTAATACTTAATATTTAAATTGTGATTAAATCTTTAACGTTGTTGAATGATACTGTAGTATAGTAATAGTTTAAAAAAAATACTGTTTTAGTGAGCTTGAGGTTGCATACTCATTTTGGTAAGTATGGAAATGCTGATAATTTTTTTTCTAACCTATGTAATAATCTATTGCTACCACAACATTTTAGAAAAGGAATATTTGTTATATTTTCACCTAAACCCTTTCTGATGTATCTTACTCTTTGTAGTATCTCTGTGCCTTTTATATCGGTTGTGATTTTATTGCATTTATTCTCATTTGCACACTGTTTACATTTCTTAATGGTTTCACTTGGTTTCTAGAGTCAGAATTAAGTTTAGGTTCATGATGCAGTAATATAGTCCTAAAAATAAATATTGATTTTAGTCTTCTTTTGACAAATGACTGAAAAGTAGAGAGATATTTCCATAAAGAATCATAATTTTAGGCTTTGGTCTTATATACAGAAGGAAGAAGTGGGAAATATATTCCCCTTTAATTTCTTATCAATGGTGTTTTCAAGTTCAGCTTATATCTGTTTATAATAAAAATTCTCTGCTATTTCTATATGCTATATCATTTCAGCTGCTCTTGATCCCTTACTTTCCCACAATATAAGCTGATGCAAAGGACTAAACTGCAAAAACATTTGCAAAATAAATTTCATGTTTATCTGGTGTGCATAGTTCAGAGTTATGTTCGTTTGTTATTGCTGTGATTCCTGTTTTTGAATGCCTGATTTCTAACTTAAAACTAAATGTTTCTCTCTACCACATATCATTGAGCATTAATACTATTTTGATTTACTTAATCATGATTCCTCTATGTCAGCTCACAGAATTGATGCACATTTAAAATTCTATTGAATTCAGTACCATCACTAAGAAATAGTCATGATATCTGTTTGAGAATTTAGAATACCATAATTCTAAATTAAAATTATAACCTAGCCCAGATTATTATAAAATTATTCTTCAATTCCAAGCTTTTATGTCTCTAGTAGGTATAATTATGACAGTTTTACTTATGTATTAACATTGTAAGTTCCTTTTACAAGAAAAAAAGGGAGGCTCAATAATAAAATCTTTAACATCACATTATATTTATGTAGAAGTATATTTTTAAGTTTACTTAAGGAGCATTTTAAAAAAAATATTGTGGGTGTTCTCAAAATTAAACCTATATCATATGTATAAAAGTAACAATATTTTACTATATTGTAAAGCCTAAGATATATATATATATTGTAAAGCCGAAGGTATATATTTAGACTAGAATGAAAGTCTTACATTGAATTTGGAATATGAATGACCTAATCCTTGTCATAAGTGGCCTATTTCTTTTAATATACACTTTATGAGCTCCATTCATGCCAGGTCCTGAGCTAGCCTCTCCTAATACAAAGATAAATAAGGTTGCACTATAATAACTTCTCTTTCTTCCTTTCTCTCTTTCTTTCTTTCTCTCTTTCTTTCTCTCTTTCTTTCTTTCTCTCTCTGTCTCTCTGTTATTCCCATCTCTGTCTCTCTGTTATTCCCATCTCTGTCTGCCTGTCCTCACACCCCTTCACCATACTATTACATAGTATGCTAAAATGAAACAATTCAGACAGTATTGTTCCAATCATACATGCATTTATTAAAAAGAAGGTACAGAAAATATAAAAATTCAAAGGAGTTTTAGGAGTTGCTTCCGGGATGTAATATTAATTAGGACATGACATACACTAGATAACTGCTACTATAGAATCCATTAAAAAAACACATACCCACAAAGACATACACACTAACTTACTCACAGTGTCTATATTTATATATGTATATGTATATATGTATATATAAACGTATTTTAAAGTAAATATAGAAATATAACTATGATATATCATGTTATGTCAATAATAAAACACAGTAGAATAATCTGACAATCTCCAAATTAATTTCACATAGCTAATTATTTCAAGATTCTAAATATTTTTATTCATTAAAATAAAGATAAATTTGTGATTTTTCTCCATATCTGATCTTGCAAAAATACAAAAATTATTCATAAGCATTTTAATTTAATATCAATATAATTATTTTCACAAGTTCAGTTAGAATTGTTTCTCTGTACATGGAAGCAATGGAAATGTTAATTCAGTTGCCAAGGTTTGACAAAAGATACCATTTTTGACAAAATGGATGAACCTAGAAGATATTATGCTAAGTAAATTAAGCAAGTTCAAGAAGGACAAATATTTTATGATTCCACTTATATTAGTTAAGTAAAATAGGCAAACTAATTGAAGCAGACAATAAAATAGTGTTTTCCAGGGGTTTGGGAGAGAGAGAAATTGGGAGTTGTTGCTCAGTGGGTATAAAGTTTCACTAATGCTTATGCATAAGCATAGTGATTTCCTCTCCAATATAATGCCTATGGTTAACAACGTGGTATTGTGCACTTAATAATGTGCTAAGAGGGTAAATCGCAAGCATTATTACCATCAAAATGAAAGAGTGACAAAGAGAGCTTTTGCAGGTGATGGATATGTTTATTACCTTCACTGTTATAATGACAGCATCATGGGTGCATGTATATGTCCAAACTCAGCCATTTATATATATATATATATATATATATATATATATATATATATATATATATGTATGTATAAAATACTTGCAGGTTTTTTATATCAATTGTACTTCAATAAAGCTATTAAAATTATATGCATCTATTTTTGAAATTTATATGATGCATTTCTTAAATTGATGTACAAATTATTTCTCTACAAGAAATCAAATAATTCATTGAGATGTCTGGGAAAATAGTATTGTGGTTTTTATTTGAACTGATGATCAAACATTTCACAGAGAAAAACACAAATATAGCGAAATAATGTTTCCTAGATCAGACAGAAATTTATTTAAATTTTAAACTCTATATCTTATTCTTAAAATTACTTCCCACAAAAAGAGATAAAATTTCAAAATCCAGGTTGCCTTTAACACTGCAAATTTTGACTTGCACTGTTTTCAGAAAGTTATATCAATATAAATAACAGAGGACATTTTGATCTTATGGACCGAAACCCAGCTTCTGTCTATAACATAAAAAAAACAAGTGAATGCCTTACTTTATCCATCACCCAAGCTCTATAATAATGGATTTTCTTAAATAAAGTGGGAAGCCTGTGAGCAGCACTAGAGGAAATCATGTTATCATTTCAATCATCTATTAATGAGTTTAAAATTTTGGTAAAGGATTGAGTTGACAAGGTCTGGCTTCCATTATGTAACGATAGCTAGATATGTAATGATAACTCCTATCTCTGTTACTAGGCCTTCTTTTCCAAGCTAAGTACAGTTTAAAGTTTGGAAACAGCATATTTCTTTAGAGAGAGATGGCACGGATCAAAATGAGTCCACTGACATTTTGACTGTAGAAGAAAGGAAAGACCAAATGTCAATTCCCACAATTGGAACAAAAGTCAGTCCCAAAAAGTTGGGACATAAGTCTCAGAACTTAATGTCTCCTGGCTTGTACATGGAGAACAGGGCATAATTAAGCTATTTTTGAATAACCCTATAAAAACTTTAACATTCTGAGGTGAAGAAGAAGTAGCCAGATTTAATCTTGAATAAAACTGACTAGATTCAGTTTTAACCTATAAAAAAAGAAAGTCTTTTTTCTATAAAGTCTTATAGTTGCTTTTTTAAAAGTAATATATAAGATCATCTTGTGCTTTTTTAAAAAATCAGGTTTGAATGTTAACAGTCTTTTGTGTTTTCATACAAATTTAAAGATTTTTTTCAATTCTATAAGAAATACCATAGGAATTTAATAGAGAATGCAATAAATCCATTAATCACTGTCAGAAGTACAGCCATTTTAATAATATGAATGTTCATCTGGTCTAGCAAAGATACTCCACCTGACACACGGGATGCCAGTGGAGCAAATATTGGTGGAAATTGCAGGAGTCCACTACCAGACTCTAGGATCTGTTGGATTTTGCAGTGGTCAAACTTTTAATCAAAGATGTAATGGAGCCCATCATCCTGCATCTTTTATACCTTCAAGGTCTTTAATTTTCACAATACCCAGGTATGCAATGCAATTTTATTTTCCATTTTCTGGGCCACCTGACATCTGTGGTAATGGAGGAATGAAGAAGCTTCATGTATCTAGTGAATTGAAGAGTTGTCTTCCCCAAAAATATGTCCAGTGAGTAACCTCCAGAATCTATTAAAGTGACTTTATTGGAGAGAAGATCTTTGCAGATGTATGTAAACAAAGAAAATCAAGACAAATTTATTCCGGATTTATGATGTGCTCTAAATCCAATGACAGATATCTTTATAAGGAGAAAGGTAGGAGGATCCCTTGAGGCCAGGAATCCAAGACCAGCCAAGTCAACATAGCAAGACATCGCTTCTACAAAAAATTAAAAGCAAACAAATTTTTTTGAAAAGAATAAAGGCAGGAGAAAATTGGGAAGAAAGAAAAGAAAAGATGATGCTGAGGAAAGAGAAGTTGGTGAGAAGCCATAAGCCATGGGACTCCAAGAATTGTCAGCAACCAGTAAAGGCCAAGAGACAGGCATTGAATTGTTTTTCTCTTAGAGCCTCCAGAACAAATGAACCCTGAGAATACAGATTTTGACTTTCTGGCTTAGATAGCTATCAGAGAATAATTTCTATTTTAAGCAGCCCAAGAAACTAATGCAAAGATAATCCACTTGGCCTTTCCCACTAAAATGACTTGTATCCAGGCACCAATGATATAATTCACGGTTTTTCTAAAGAGAAAGTGTATCTACACAATTACGCATTTTGGAAATTGAGGAAATCACCAGTTATCCTAGGGATGTCACTGTCCTTTTCAGGAAAAAAAAAAAAAATATGGAATCAGTATCATGGGAGTTTATTTGGCTTTACAGAATTTTTTTCCCTGAAGGGCCTGGTGTCTTTGTCCGTAAATAAATTTCAGGTCTGAAAACAAACTTAGGTCCAGACCCTTGACAGATTACTGTGATTTCTAGTGAGAACAGCTGCCCTCAACTTTTTAGTATCCATTCTTGAACTCTTCTGGTATTACAGATTGAGAAATTCCCTTGGTCACCTATCTGTTTTGTCCCTAGTGCTATCTTCTCTATTACTATGTACACAGCTTTCTAAATTAGGTCTTTCTGGATAATACCCCAGTCTTAGTGCTCATGTGTATTATGACCATCTCCCTTCTGAAGGTCTCTATTATTTCAATATCTGATCATAAATCGTATCAGTGAGATTGGTAAGTCAAAAAAGACCTATCAAAGGATAGACATGTTGAACATTCATTACAACCAGCAAATATTTGATAGATTTCCAGCACTGTATAAGATGTCTATGTCCAACAACGATAGACTGGATTAAGAAAATGTAGCACATATACACCATGGAATACTATGCAGCCATAAAAAATGATGAGTTCATGTCCTTTGTAGGGACATGGATGAAATTGGAAACCGTCATTCTCAGCAAACTATCGCAAGGAAGGTAAACCAAACACCACATGTTCTCACTCATAGGTGGGAATTGAACAATGAAAACACATGGACACAGGATTGTGGTAGTTAGGTTTTGATGTGCTGCTGAATTCGATTAATTAGTACTTTGTTGAGGATTCTTGTGTTATATTCATGATAGATATTGGCCTGATGTTTTCTTTTCTTCCTGTGTCTCTGCAAGGTTTTGGTATCAGAGCAATCTTGGCCTCATAGAATGAGTTAAGGAGGAGTCCCTCCTCCTCAATTTGTTGAAATCGTTTCAGTAGGCTGTCTAGTATTTATTTTTATATGTATAAAATAATTGGGCTGTGAATCTATCTGAATCAGGTCTTTTTTGTTTGCTGGACTTTATATTACTGATTCAGTTTCGGAACTCATTTTGGGTCAGTTCAGGGTTTCTATTTCTACCTGGTTCAACTTTGAGACGATGTAGGTGTCCAGAAATTTATCTGCTTCTTCTAGGTTTTTAAGTTTGTATGCATAGAGATGGTCATAATGGTCTTTGCAGGTAGTTTGTTTTTCCTGAGGTTGATGATGATCTCTTGATTGTCATTTCTGAGTGTGTTTATTTGGATCATCTCTCTTTTATTCGTTTGTAGTCTATCTAGTAATTAATCAATCTTATTTATTCTTTCAAATAAAAAACTTTCAGTATTGTTGATGTTTTCTGATTGTTTGGTCTCAATTTTACTCTAAAAAACCCTGAGCAAATTATGTATTAAAGGAAAATACTCCAAAATAATATGAGCCATCTGTGAAAACTCACAGTCAACAGCATACTGAATGGGCAAAAGCTCAAAGGATTCCTCTTGAGAACTGGAACAAGGCAATGATGTCCATTCTAACCATTGCTATTCAGTAGGGTATTGGAAGTCCTAGCCAGAGCAAGAGAGAAAAATAAAAGGCATCCAAATAGAAAGAGGGAAAGACAAACTATCTGTCTTCTCAGATGGTATTATTTTATACACACAAAACCCCAAAGCCTCTGTCCAAAAGCTCCTACTTCTGAAAAACAACTTCAGCAAAGTTTCAGAAGAAAAAATGTATGTACAAATGAGAGGAGGTTCCAGCTCGGTTTCCTGGGTCAAGTAGGGGCTCCGAAAACTGTGAAACTCACTCATTTCCTGCATTAGAACTTACTTTGGTCCTGGATGAATCATATTGAAGATATATGCTTAAAATATTCCTAACATCAGAATTTGTGCATGTGTTTTCTTCCCCAACGAAGCTATACACAGAGAAACTTTAGCTGTAAGCTTCCCTGTGTCTTTGCTCCCTCTCTCCCTTCCCCCTCCCCTGAAACTAAAAGGAATGTTAAAAGCCAGTTTTTCTATGACCAGCGGCCCTTGTCTGTGCTCCCAATTCCACTTCCTTGTAAACACAATTTGTAAAATCTTGTGAGATTCTGACTCCTTTGCCATGGTGCTGCCAGGTTATAAAGTAGATAAAACTTAAGTTACAATTCTGGTTTTCCTCAAGATCTAAGACATGTTAATTGTCTTTGTTTCTGGCTCTGGTAACATCTTCCCACACATGTATTTCCCGCCTTAAAGAGTTTAAAAGGTGAGCGAAAAATCTAACACTAGCTACCCGCTTGGGACCCCTTCCACGCTGTGGAAGCTTTGTACCATCACTCTGCTCGATAAAGCCTACAGCTTTTTTTTTTTTTCTCTCGGTTGATCCGTGTCTCTCTCTCACCCTCACCAAGGGCTGCTGCCACACCAAATCTTTGGCGTGGCTAAGGCAAGAACCTTTGGCATTACATTTTTGGTGAACCAGCCAGGAGGATCTCCAGGAAAGGCATTTACATCGTCACGTGGTGAGTATGATCAGACCTCTTTGGCTTGCAATTCTGTCCTGTCCTTCCTTAGAATTCAGAGGCTAAACCGGGCACCTCTGGGCCACTTAAAGGTGATTAGCGCGGCCATGAGACTAAAGACACCGGTGTCAGGCTCTCTGGAAAAAGGCTCTCTAACAACCCTGACCCTCTGGGTCTGGGAATGTTGGTAAGTCTGGATCCGGTTCATACTCTTTCACTTTTCATGGTGGTCCGGAAGTACACCTGGGAGTTATCAGCAGACATTCTAGTCACCCAGATTTCCTGGTTGAGACCATGGCCCCTCCAAAGGCTCTCCCTGCAAGGGTTACTGAGTGTGAGACCACCACATCTTCTGACCCCTTCCTCCTGGGTCCTAATGTCCGCCGGCCAGACTTCTTTCCTCATCTCGCAAGCAAGGTTATTCCCACTAGGCAGGATGAAGATTCTCTATTTAAAAGTCTTAAATTCTTGGGATGGTGCCCGGAAGATCCCTGTTCATGGTGCCCTCCGAGGATCAGGCATGTGTTTCCGTTCCATGGCCATTTTGAAGGGCCAGTTCCCCACCATAGTGTATGGTTCCCCACATCAAGACAATTTAAAGATAGGTCTGTAATTATCATATGGATAGTAGAAGCCTTAGGGCATTTCCTCCATTGCTCCCCAGATAGACTTTCCCCCTTGTTGGGACCTCTCAAGTACAATCTGTGGTGCATGGGTACAGCTCTTAGAGCCATTGAATTGCTATTTGAACCATTCAATAGTTGGTATTGGAAGGAAGAAAATATAGTCAGTTGGGACACAGATTACTGGACCACCGTAAGAGAGGGGCTTACTCCTTTGATGGGAAGTGGGGACAGAAGCCTAGAGTACAGCAGCTGTTCTCTCAGCCCTGGCCTAGAGAACATCCACCACCCCCTTTAAGCTTAATAAGCCTCCTGTTGCTAATTCAGAGATTTCTCCTTGAAGGACAATTTTATGGCCAGGCCCACGTAAATTGGGCCTTAGCATGCAGGCATCAGTGGTGCCTCAGTCCCAGGCCTTGCCACCCTGGAACAGGTAGGATGCATTGGCAGAAGGACCACAATAAATCCAACAGTCCTTGTGCTCCATTTAGTGGTCAGTGGGTGCACAGCAGGGACAACGGAAGTTTCCATCCTGCCGGTAAGCATGGTTAAATCCAGTAGATGGAGGGCTCAGGAAAAGTGGCCATGAGCTTTGAGCACATCTGGGCCTGACCTGTGGGGGACGCCCTAAGAGAAGATGAGTCCCAGGAATAACCAGCGGTGCGGGCATCCCTGTGTTTAAAATTCCAGATGGGCACCAAACCGGACACTCCCTTAAGATATATCCTGAATAACTGAGACAAATTCAACCCTGAAACCTTAAAAAAGAAGTGGCTGATTGTCTTCTGTACCACTGCCTGGCCACAGTATTCCTTACAAAATGGAGAAACGTGGTCCCCTGAGGGAAGTATTAATTATAACACATTTCTACAACTAGATCTTTTCTGTAAACAGGAAGATAAATGGAGTGATGTCCCTTATGTACAAGCTTTCTTTGCCCTTCGTGACAGTACTGACCTGTGCCAAGCCTGCAAGCTTTGCCCAAAGGACAGAGGGCCACAATTGCCTCCATACTCAGGGCCTTTTCCCTCAGCCCTACTCTCCTCCTGCACTGACTCTCCTCCATCCAGCCCCACTGAAGTGTTAAAGGTGCATCGGAAAGAGAACTTAAACTTGGGTGCTTATAAGGCACCCAAACTATGTCCCTTATAAGCAGTAGGAGGAGAATTTGGGCCCATTCATGTGCATGCCCCCTTCTCACTCTCAAGATTTGAAACAGATAAAGGCAAATTTAGGGAAATTCTCAGATGATCCTGATGACTGTATAGATGTCCTGCAAGAATTGGGGCAGTCCTTTGATCTCACATGGACAGTTATCAGTTGCTTCTTGATCAGACCTTAAGTCCTACTGAAAAAGAAGCAGCTTTAGCAGCAGCCTGGTAATTTGGGGATCTATGGTACTTTAGCCAGCTAAATGATTGAATGACCCTGGAGGAGTGGCAAAAATTCCCCACAGGGCAACAGGCAGTCCTCAGTGTAGACCCTCATTGGGATACTTACTCAGATCATGGAGACTGGGGCCGCTGGCATTTGCAAACTTGCATTTTAGATGGGTTGAGGAAGACCAGGAAAAAGCCTGTGAACTACTCAATGCTATCCACAATTACAAAGGGAAAGGAGGAAAACCCCTCTGCTTTTCTAGAAAGGCTAAGGAAGGCCCTAAGAAAGCACAGCTCCTTAACTCCAGATTCCGTTGAAGGCCAACTTATTTTAAAGGATAAACTTATCACCCAATCAGTGGCTGACATTAGGAGAAAACTCCAAAACTCTGCCTTAGGCCCAGAACAAATTTAGAGATATTATTAAACCTGGCAACCTCAGTGTTCTATAACAGGGACCAAGAGGAACAGGCCAAAAGGGAAAAGTGAGATAAGAGAAAGGCTGCAGCCTTAGTCATGGCCCTCAGACAGGCAGACCTTGGTGGCTCAGAGGGAATCAAGAGAGGAGAGGCCAATTGCCTAGTAGGACTTGTTATCAGTGCGGTTTGCAAGGACACTTTAAGAAAGAGTGTTCAACAAAAAACAAACCACCCCCTCACCCATGTGCAATTGGTGCACTGCCCCAGAGGATGAAGGACCTCTGGACCAGAAGCACCCACCCAGATGATTCAGCAACAGGACTGAGTGTGCCTGGGGCAAGCGCCAGCTCATGCCGTCACCCTCACAGAGCCCCAGGTAAGTTTGACCATTGAGGGCCAGGAAGTGGACTTCCTCCTGGACACTGGTGTGGCCTTCTCAGTTTTAACCTCTTGCCCCAGATGACTGTCCTCAAAGTCTGTTTCTATCCGAGGAATCTTAGGACAGCCTGTAACCAGGTATTTCTCTCGTCTCCTCAGCTGCAATTGGGAGACTTTGCTCTTTCACATGCCTTTCTTGTAATGCCTGAAAGTCCCACACCCTTATTAGGGAGGGACATATTAGCCAAAGCTGGGGCCATTATCTACATGAATATGGGGAACAAATTACCCATTTGTTGTCCCCTACTTGAAGAAGAAATCAACTTCGAGGTCTGGGCCTTAGAAGGACAATTTGGAAGGGCAAAGAATGCTCATCCAGTCCAAATCAAGCTAAAAGGCCCCACCATTTTTCCTTATCAAAGGCAATATCCCTAAAGGCCTGAAGCTCTCAAAGGATTACAGGATATTGTTAGAAATTTAAAAGCTCAAGGTTTAGTAAAAATATGTACCAGTCCTTGGAACACCCCAATTCTAGGAATACAAAAACCAAATAGTCAGTGGAGACTAGTGCAAGACCTCAGGTTTCACCTGTCTACCTTAAGGCATTTTTTTCATCTGTGATATCACAGCCTATCATGCCTAAATGGCACTCCGAAAGAACTGTGCTTTCTCTCCTTTCTAGCACCTCCCATGTCCATATATACTGAACAAGAGTTACAAAGTCTCCTTATACCCCAATCTTGCCACACGCGAACCCTTATTGTCCCTTTTATTGTAGGAGCCAGAATACTAGGCAGGCTTGGGACTGGAATTGGAGGCATAACCTCCTCCACACAATTCTGTTATAAATTATCACGAGAATTAAATGATGACATGGAATTAGCTACCGACTCTCTAGTGACCCTACAAAGCCAGCTTAATTCTCTAACTGTGGTAGTCCTTCAAAATCGGAGAGCCCTAGACTTATTAACAGTTGAAAGAGGAGGAACCTGCCTCTTCTTAGGAGAAGAATGTTGCCATTTCATTAACCAGTCAGGAATCATTACTGAAAAGGTCAAAGAAATAAGAGAATGAATAGAAAGTAGAAAAAAGGAGCTTGAACACTTAGGTCCCTGAAATATGTTTAACCAATGGATACCTTGGCTCCTCCCTTTTGTAGGCCTGTGACAGCCATCCTACTATTACTCGCTTTTGGGCCTTGCATTTTTAACCTCCTTGTCAAATTTGTTTTCTTCAGGATCGAGGCCATCAAGCTACAAATAGTCTTACACATGGTTGAGACAATCATGAAGAAACTCTGTTAGCACAGTGTGAGTGCAAAATGTGTAGTGTGAGCCCCCCCACCCCCAACACACCCACACAGAGAGTCACCACCAGAGCACTACCCAGTGGAGCCGTGAGAAGTGGGCCACCGTCCTCCAGACCACAGTATGATACATCCACAAACAGTTTAGACCATGCAACTGGAAAAACCACAGACATTCAATGCCAGCCCATGAAAGCAGCCAAGAGGAGACCTGTACCCTGCAAAACTAAAGGGTTGAACTGCCGAAGAC
Organism: Homo sapiens; assembly: GCF_000001405.40. Classification (NCBI taxonomy): domain Eukaryota; kingdom Metazoa; phylum Chordata; class Mammalia; order Primates; family Hominidae; genus Homo; species Homo sapiens. Next base: position 69,220,247 of record NC_000004.12, on the reverse strand, counting down.
CATGGAATCCCACCGCTTATATCAGTGTGACCTGTATTTGAGGCATGGAGTCAAAGAAGATCATTTTGGCAATGACTGTCCCCTGGATTTTATTGCCTTACCTGGATTTCGGACTTGCATGGAGCCTGTAGCCCCTTTGTCTTGGCCAATTTCTGCCATTTAGAAGGAGTGTATTTATCCAATGCCTGTTTCTTCATTGTATCTAGAAAGTAACTAACTTGCTTTTGTTTTTTAGGCTCATAGGCAAAAAGGACTTGCCTTATCTCAGATGAGACTCTGGACTGTGGACTTTTGAGTTAATGCTGAAATTAGTTAAGACTTTGGGGAACTGCAGGATTGGTTTTGAAATGTGAGGACCTGATATTTGGAAGGGGCCAAGGGAAGAATGATATGATTTGGCTGTTCCCTCACCGAAATTTCATCTGGAATTGTAGCTCCTATAATTCCCAGCTGTTGTGGGAGGAACTTGGTGAGAGGTAATTGAATCATTGTAGCGCATTTTTCCCATGCTATTCCCATGATAGTGAATAAGTGTCTTGAGATCTTATAGTTTTATAAAGGAGAGTTTCCCTACACAAGTCTTCTTGCCTGCCTCCATGTATTACATAACATTGCTTCTCATTTGCCTTTTCTCATCATTGCGAGGCCTCCCAAGCCATGTGTAACTGTGAATCTACTAAACCTCTTTCCTTTTAAATTACCCAGTCTCGGGTATGTCTTTAGTAACAGCATGAGAAAACGCTAGTACAGTATCATAAACTATAAAACCCTAGAACAAAATCAATAGAAGAGAACATAACTGAACTAAAAAGCCCCTGTGCAACAAAAGTAACTATCAACAGAATAAACAGATGACTTACAGAACGGGCGAATATAATTGTAAACTATGCATCTGATAAAGGCCTAATATCAAAAATCTATAAGGAACTTAAACAAATTAATAAAACATACACAAACAACTCCATTAAAAAATGGGGCAGGGACATCAAGAAAGAATTCTCAAAAGAATATATACACAGGAATGTGCTCAAGATGATCAACTAGATGCAGTCAGGAAGTGCCACTGCCACCAGGGGAACACCAGGTTTTTTTTTTCATACCAACATAATTTGAACAGATCTTTGGAGAGAAAATACTGAGTGTGGATGGAGGAAAGAAGTAGTCACTGAGGCTGAAGAGAAAGAAGGCTGAGGACGCTGAATGGGGTGCCTGAATACTACAGCTGGTTCTCTACCCTGAGCGGTTTCTAGGGAAAGGTGAGTCAAAGGAATAGTAGACAGCTCCCTCTCACTATAGACATCTGGAATTCTGGCTAGATGGGGCTCCATACCTTCAAGGACATGTGGACTGGCAGAGGGGTCTCCCAGAAATTGCACAGAGATGGAGCTGCAGACAAAATCCAGGGACTTTTGTGAATAGGTCCTTTACAGAGACAACTCCTATATAAGAAAAACTTGAAACAAAGGTGTTGCATTCAACTCTTTCCCTTCAGAGGATGCCCTACTCTGTAATGTCATAGCTTTCAATGAACTATCTTTTCTCACTGCACTCTGTGACTCACCTTGAATTCCTTCCTGTGTGGAATCCGAGAACCTTCTCTCGGTGTCTGAATCAAGGCCCCTTTATCTGGGAACACTTCCAAGGAGACTTTTCTGGCTTTCATAGTTTGCCTTAATTTGATGGTTATTAGTCCTCACTCTTCTATTATTTTATCCCAAGCATTAACTCTGAAGAAAAAAACATTTGCCTCTATTGTGGTCATAATTTCTACTTTTCCCATATTGATACATTTGTGATATATCCTAATAAGTAACACTTTCCCTTTCAAAAGATTACCATCATAATTTGCCATTACTGAAAGTATGAAAAATTTAAATTATCACATTCCAGGGTCTATTTGTGTTCTCCCTACCAATAGTGATAGGATTCTCCTTACAACTGGTAGTGAATGATCCAACTCTAAAATCTCATTTTGTTGTCTGTTCTTTTTTTCTGACCTCTCTTGGTACATATTATCAAATGCTGGGTGGCTCCAAGAAGTAGACTCTAAGCTGAATATGCTTTTGAGGAAGATAATTTGGGAGTTTTATTGAAAATAACACCTGTGAAAAAGTAGGAAGCAAGATTGGACTATGGAACAAATTAGGATATAATTCAATTCAATGGTTTGAATGTTTGAGTGCTCCAAAGATTAATATGTTAAAATTCTTATAACCAAAATGACTGTATTAGCAGACAGAACCTTTTAGGAGGTGTTTAGGTCACGAAGGCAGAGTCCTCATTAGTGGAATTAATTCCATTCCAAAATTTGCTCACAAGAACTCATTCATCTCTTTTCCCCATTAAGACATGGTGACGGGCTGCCATCTTGGAGGAATGCCCAATACCAGCATCTTGATTGTGAAAATTTCAGCCTCAAGAACTGTGGCAAATAAATTTTTTTTGTCTATATGCTAGGCAATGTATGGTATTTTTCTATATAGCACCCTGAGCATGCTGAGACATGCAGTCTCAGCATAGGTTTCATCTCACCCACTGGGAGTTTGAAGCTAAGTTAGCCCTTCAGAGTTGGTCCACATTGAAATGAGGAGAATTGGCCTTCAAAATCTTACATATGACCAGGCATTGGATATGGGCTGTCTTGGAAAGGTCACTTTATACTAGATAGCTTTCAGCAGTGCTGTTCTGAGACAGAGAGCTTATAGGTGAGGTATGTCAGTTGTTAATCACTTCATCAGCTGGAAAGTAATTTGTATATTCCCAAAGGGAAAATCTGGGTGACACATAATGCATGCACTCAAGGACATTAAAAATATTGAACAATATTGCCACTCTGCAGGCAATATTTGCTCAGAAACTGTGTTCCAACATCCTTTTGAGAAAGACTTATCTCATTTCAGGTTAACAGATTATTAATAGAATAAAAACAAATTTGTCTGTTTTGTGACATGCATCTTTTCCTTCCTAATTCTACTTTGATGTAAATTTCTGGTGAGACTTTTTAAAAGTACAAATTACCTGAATTACAAGACAATCTGTGAAACAAGTTCAGGAGTAGGCATTTAGAAGATAAATACTTTCTAAGAGTGAGAAACATAAGGAATGCTGCAAATATTCAGAAAAATAAAATATTGTAATTTAGACAAAATATTTGCAAATGAAGCAAAGTAACTGTAATTGTACTTAAAACATATCTGTTTGGATAAAAAGAAAATGAATTTCTATGGTCAGAAAAATAATGTCAGGAAACATGAAATGATGCTAATATCATAATTGTGAAAATACATAGAGAAAATGAAGACGGTCTATTTGAGAATGTTAAGATAAATAAGAATAGATCACACCCCTGCCTCATTGTTGACACAATGCTGCTTTCTTATACTAGAAACTCTTCATATACAATTAAATTATCTCTTGTTCTGGAGACAGCCATATTTACAATAAGAATGAAATTTATTATTCACACATGCAAACACAAAATCATTCATCCTTTTCTTTATTCACTTGCTTTCCAAAACCTCTATTGTCAATACTTAAATCATTGTGACATTGATTGATATTGATATGTACCAAGTTAGAGAAAGTTATAAAGAAAGATAGCATTTTAACAAGTTGTCTAAGAAATGGGCTTTTTTGTTTCTTATGCTGACAGTTGTATTTTAGCCCTGAATCCTGCGAGAATGTGCTGGTGTGGCCGATGAAATACAGTCTTTGTATCAATTTAATGTTGATACTTGATGAACTTGCTCAGAACACCATGAGGTAACTGTGCTTGTCACCTTCAGCTTCCATCCTCATTGATTCCAACAATCTGCTGTTAAATTTGAGGTTTATCCCACATCTTTTACTCAGAAGGAACTTGATTTCATATTTATGAAATTGATCAAGATGTGGACATATAAGTTTCCAAAGAGTACATTGTTGGCATATGATTCAAAGATGCAAAAACTACATATCATGAATGTTCTGATACTGTTCAAAAGCTCATTGAGTATGCTGTTTTGAACAAGAAAATTATGAGGAACAACAAGATTCCAGAATTTATGTCATTCTTGCAGATGTCAGTTCTCAGTAGTGAGCTGTTATCTGAACAGCTTAGTCTGTTAAACATTTGTTATACATTTGGTCTACTATCATCCATTTACAACTGGCAGTATGTACCAAGAACTCTGTGGAGGACTTACATTACCTCCTTCTGATGTAACTGTTGTCATATCAGAACTTAGTACCAAAACACATTTGTAGAAAGGTGAAAAATCTGTTGCATTTTCTTCATTTTGACTTTGCATTTGAGATTTTTAACAAAAAGAAGTGAGATTAGTTTTACAGTGAAGTATTAGGTAAGTTATTATTTAATTTATTCACTTTTCCCTCCAATATGTGGAAGGAAACCTTCCTTTTTTGGGTCTGTTGGAGTGTGTTTATAAATTAAAATAAAAAATAACTTTTTTGGTTATGTGAAAGACAAGGGTGGGCAAGGTTGTGGAGACATTGAAACCCTCATACATTGTTGGTGAGAATAGAAAATTATTCACTCACTCTGAAAAAGTCTAGCAATTCCTCAAAAGGTTATATTTACATTTACCACATAATTCAGTAATTGCCTTTCTAGGCATATCCCCAAGAAAAATAAAAACATGTCCACAGAATTCATGCACATCAATGTTAATCAATGCTATTCATAATGGCCAAAAGTGGAAGAAAATCAATATCTATCAACTTATAAATGAATAAATAAATTGTGTTTATAAATAGCATCTGATACAATTTGGCAATAAAAATGAAGTCCTTATTTACACTATTCTACGGATGGTCCTTTAAAAACATTAAACTAAATAAAAGAAGCCAGCCACAAAAGACCACATACTATATTGTTCCGTTTACTTTTAAAAAGATCCTGAATAGGTGTGTTTCTAGAGGCAGAAATTAGATTACTGGTTGCCTAGTGCAGGGTGGATGCAGAAATTTGGTGGGGAGATGAGAACTAATACACAGGAGTTTTTTGTTTTTTTAGATAAAACTGATTGTTACGTTGGATGCACAAGTCTGTGAATTTACTAGGAAATACTTAATTTTAAATACTAATTGATGAATCATATGGTATTTGAATTATACTCCAACAAAGATTTACAAGATATTCATTGAACCACGATATTCAAAAATGCTGTTTGCATTGTACAATCATTTCATCTCTTATTCTGTGTCAAGGGCTCTGCAGGACTCTCTCACTTGCCACTGTTCTTGACACTATTATAAAGTAGGTTACATAAAACAGGGTACTTGCAAGGTCATTAATCTTAGGTGGATGACAGTGAATATAAACATAAAAGAAACATAAAACATCCTTGAGTAAATATGAAGTAATCGAACTTTGTTTGTCTCCTTGCCATCCATGTACTCAGGATGCTCCTATAATATATTTACTTTGGATTGGAGGAGTTATATTTTAACTTGATTGATTTATCTCTGTATATAAGTATGAGAAAGAAACAGTGACTGGAAAAGAATGATCGCATTGCACCAGGATGACTCTGAAATGGACTTCAGTTCTTCTGCTGATACATCTCAGTTGTTACTTTAGCTCTGGGAGTTGTGGAAAAGTGCTGGTGTGGGCCGCAGAATACAGCCATTGGATGAATATGAAGACAATCCTGAAAGAGCTTGTTCAGAGAGGTCATGAGGTGACTGTACTGGCATCTTCAGCTTCCATTCTTTTTGATCCCAATGATGCATCCACTCTTAAATTTGAAGTTTATCCTACATCTTTAACTAAAACTGAATTTGAGAATATCATCATGCAACAGGTTAAGAGATGGTCAGACATTCGAAAAGATAGCTTTTGGTTATATTTTTCACAAGAACAAGAAATCCTGTGGGAATTATATGACATATTTAGAAACTTCTGTAAAGATGTAGTTTCAAATAAGAAAGTTATGAAAAAACTACAAGAGTCAAGATTTGACATCGTTTTTGCAGATGCTGTTTTTCCCTGTGGTGAGCTGCTGGCTGCGCTACTTAACATACGGTTTGTGTACAGTCTCCGCTTTACTCCTGGCTACACAATTGAAAGGCACAGTGGAGGACTGATTTTCCCTCCTTCCTACATACCTATTGTTATGTCAAAATTAAGTGATCAAATGACTTTCATGGAGAGGGTAAAAAATATGATCTATGTGCTTTATTTTGACTTTTGGTTCCAAATGTCTGATATGAAGAAGTGGGATCAGTTTTACAGTGAAGTTTTAGGTAAGAATTTGTTTAATCGGTAACGTGAAGATCTAACTTATTTGTGTCTTTGAAGCAGAGCTTTTATAAAGCCATAAAGTCAGGGAAGTGGAGTTTTTGGTAAGTGAATTTATGAAATGAAAATACAAGATGATCTATCAATCTCACAAACATTATAGAAAAGCTTAAATTATAAGGTCTGTTAAAACCCTGTGGCCATCACTCAAACAGAACACCCCAGGAAATCATAAACCTATATATTAGTACACCTAAGAATTTAAGCAATTACACATCTGTTTTACTATATAATGTTTTAGATCTTAAAAACAGTAAAATCCATCAAGTAACATCTTACTGAATGCATAGATATAGAATGAGTAATTACACATTTTTCTACAACTATCTATGTAACTGCAGAAAGTTTTCCTTGTAAATCTCAGTTTTCTTATTTAGATATTGAAAGATATTCCCATGTTTCCAGAAGGTTTCCTTCACAGTAGAGAGAGATAATGTCTACATCTCAGATGCAAAAGTCAATAAGGGTGATTTGAAGTTTCTAATATTTCTATACTCCCTAACTAAAGAATTGGAAATCATGCATTTGAAGTCCAATTATCTTGTTGAAGTGTGAAGGTTGTTATATCTATATAGTTTATTGAAACCATGTCTCTTTATTTAAAAATATGAGACAGATTAAGGTTGAGTACAGTTCTCTATTTCAATAATTTCTCAAAATTTCTAGCTATAATTTACAAATATATTTACTTAAATGATAATATTATTAAGATCTTAGCTCAAATCCAAATGAATAGTTGGTACCAGGATTTCTGCCATACACTCAAAATAGTACAGAGTTCACTTGAACCAAAGATAAAAGGATTAGCTTAATGAGTTGTGTAAACTGGACTGTTAGAAAATTGGTTTTATGGGTACAGTAGAATTAATTGATTATGGAGCTCAAAGAGTTGTTTAAATATCTATATGCAACTATTGAAGCTTTAAAGAGAAAATAAATTGATGTTTAATTATCTATGACTTATTTTAATAATTGTGAGTATACTGACTTGACATTAGAGATGTCGCTTAACCTCATAATTCTCCCACCACTTTGCCTTTCTTATAAATAAACATGGACAAAATATATAATACATAATAATATATTATTCATATATATTTATATATTTTTCAAAGCACATAAACTTTACCTACATCTTTGCTTACATTGTTCTAACCTTTTTCAGAAAGGTATGTAAAGTAATTATCTTACATCATCCACTTTTTCTTTTCTTTATTCCTGTCAGGAAGACCCACTACCTTATTTGAGACAATGGGAAAAGCTGACATATGGCTTATGCGAAACTCCTGGAGTTTTCAATTTCCTCATCCATTCTTACCAAACGTTGATTTTGTTGGAGGATTCCACTGCAAACCTGCCAAACCCCTACCTAAGGTAAACATACTTTTGTTGGTTTTATTTTGTTGGCTTCGAAGTTTCAGTAGAAATGAGTCTATAGTTTTCATTCAAAATGTTTGACTTACACTGAAAGAAAGATGGGAAGTAGGTGGTGTAAAGCAGATACTAATTAGAAACTCATGTATATGTTAATACCGTCACACGTATGTGAGTTTTATGCATATTACAAATAGAGAGGAATAGTAAGGAGACTTTGAATGTAGGGTTGATTAAAGTAAAATGTTGATTATGCAACACCTAAGAAGGTATTGGTCATTCATTCAAATAATACTTATAAAAGGATTAGCACAAAACACAAGTAAGTGCAGAAATTTCAGAGAAAAAAAATAGACACAGTTTCCGTCCCCACATACCTTACATTCTACTTTGATATATAGAAAAGTAATTAATGAAAATGTTATAAAAAACTATTATCTCAAGGAAAAACCCAATGTCAAAAAAGCATCAGTGGAGATAATAGAAAGTATCCTGGAGTTACTGATTAGTAAGATGAGGGCTAAAAAATATGCAGGAATAGGTAAAAGAATGAAGGGGAGGGGCAGACAAAAAGGGAAAGCAGATAAAGTGGTCAGGACAGTTCTCAAGTCCTCAGGTTTTGTTTTCAGGGAATGACTAAGAATGAGATGATACTAAGAGGTAAATTAGAGCCGGATACATATTAGTAGTGGAAATATTTCTTAAGAGTATTGAAAAACTACTAAAAAGAGTTAAGAAATAAATATATATGAAACGATTCTCTTTTTTAAGAAAAGCCTCCAAGATATTCAATGGATTAAATTACAGAAGGGCCACACTGTAAAGAGCTAACCATTCAGGAAACTTTCCATGGATTCAGGTAACAGATGATGGAAAAGTGGACTAGAATGTTGATAGAAATCATTAGGCCCACATTTACAGAAATAGTGCCAACTTCATATTGTGTTGTGTGGAAAAAATATTAAAACAGACAAAACACTTAAAATGTCTCTGGCATATAGTCAGTGACTCAGAAATGTTATTAATTTTGTAATTATGGTTATTTTGTGATTATTACTAATACTACTAACTACTTAACATGTGCAAGTCACTTGAGATATCATTCCTCATTTAAGAGAACCAGATTATTCAGCACATCAAGGTTATATTCTCTTGCAAAGTCATAGATGACAGATACCCTGTGGACTTGATTAAAATTATACATACCAATTGTGACAGTAAGATGAGCTAGTTGAAATTCTAAAATTCTACCATAAGTAACAAGGATCTTCACCAGTATTCCAGCTTAAAACTCTTCCTCAACAATATAAATGTGTACCTCAAATATGTGCAGACAAACCCAGGGTTCACTTGACTTTAACAAAGTATTTAAAATCATTTCTGCATTGAGATCCCAGAATTTTACATTTTAGAGCATAAACATACCTATTAGAGCAGATGATGTCTGCCTTATGACAAGCAAATCAGTAAAGCTTTCTGGATGAACTTGTCTCAACATCATAGGTGCCTGACAGAGAAGCACAGAGATAGTGAACAATGCATGCATAATAAAGACGAAATAATTTCTACCACTTGTATCTGAATAGTGCCCTTAGTTTCAATATGAAGAAACTTCTGTCAGCATATAAGATTATATTCTTTTTGAAGGAACACAAGAACCTCACATATTTTAAATTAATATCACATTTTAAGACATATGTACAAAGTAAGCATTCTTCAATGCATTATTATGCAACCTCTTAAAAGAACGTTTTTGCTTACATAAAACTGAAATTTTATTCCATTGTTAAAACTCAGTATCTCTGTTTAATGCAAATTGTATGGGCTTTATATAGTCACTTTCTCAAGAGAGAAAAGCTGAAGTAAGACTAATGAAAAATCTATGTCACTCTACATTACTCTTGAAAGATTTCCCCATTCACATTAAGGGAAACTGACAGTGCAAATTGGAGGAGGAAGAGAGTAGGAGGTGTAAAAGGACAAGAAAAAAGGTTGACTAGTAGTACAATAGTGGTAATTACTAATACTAGGTCTTGTTATTAACTTGCAGAAAGCTTTGAATGCAAGTCAACGGTTGTGAAACCAGCTATTTAACTGTTTATTATGTAAAATAATTGCTAACCCAGGTTGCATTCTTTTCAATTATATATTACATTCTCAGATAATTTCTATATATTTTAAGAGAATAAGACACTTGACAAACTGCATCAAGTGTTTTAAAAATGCGTAGTTATTAATTTTATAATATATTCACGTGAAATCATAAAAAAATCAAGGTGCACCTATTAAACCTTATGGAAAATATTCACAAAATTAACATTACAAGTAATCCAACATCTTATATGAAAGAATGATTAAAATGTATGTGCATACAATAGCATTAAAATAATTTTATCAATGAAATGTTCAATTACACCATCAGCCATAGTACAAATAAAGTGAGTTGGAAAATGATAAATATAACAAGATGGAAGTTTTCGCAGGATAAAATGTATATACAATAAGATTAAAATTTTCTAAATAAGTGTCACATGTATACATTGACCTATATAAATAGGACAAAATCCATAATAAAAAATACATATTTTCTATAAATAATATCTCTAGGTAGAAATTTTAGAAAAATTATTTTTTAAAAAACTTTTCATACTTTTATACAATTTCTTACATTAATTTTGTATTATTTTTATAATATTATCACAAAAGGAGAAACAACCAGTCAATATCAGTGATGAATCTCTAAACAGAGATTAGATTCCTTCAACACCTAGTAGAAAAACAAGGCTCTGATATCAAGCCAGTGAGATGAAACACTGAAAACGAGTTACATTAAATGTGGCTACAGGTAACTGCAATCACACGCAACACCTAGAAGCCCCAGGTATTACGTGGAATAGTAGTACAAGGACTCTCACGTTAATGTAAGATTAAAAATCATATTTTAAGAAAACACTCTGCCATATGTGATGCACTGTTTACATTTAGACGTTTTTTTCTTTGTTTTGTTAAAAACCATTTGGAAAAGTTTTACCCCAATGATTAAATCTGAAAATACTTAAATTTAAATATTGGTATACATTGGGGAACTCAAGTCAGAATAATTCTCAATCAATGGCAGCCAAGCACATCTTCACCAGCAGTGTAATGTGGTGTGTGTGAGCTACTCAAAAGAGAGACAAGATCTCTCCTGAAGAAAGGCCTGGTGGCCTCTCCTATTCTGGTGCCAGTGCTGCCTCTGAGACACAACAAAGTGATGATGAGAGTTCCTCACATGCAGTTAGAAATAGCACATCAATTTAACAGTGTGATTTCAGGGCAATAGGTGCTCCACCTAAACAAAAACCCAAAAGGTACAATTATTCAACAACTAACTATAAACTCTACAATTCCATATGATAAATGAGACTCCCAAGACTGATTCATAAAAATTCCAAATCACAATACTAGACTCAGGAATGTCAGTGATTCTTAACCACCAGCTTTTATTTTCATTTTTTATTTTTTGAAAAACTACTGGAAAACTCTGACAAACTTTAAGTGAAGCATAAAGCATTGTAGAGGAACATAAATGTAGATATAAAATTATCCCAACTGTGAATATCTTTTCCTCAGTGCTCATATTTAGGGAAGTAGACCACTAATGGCTTCAAACTAAAAGAATTCTACAGAAAACATGCCTGAAATAAACACAAGTGATTTAGTAGAACAAAAACATAGGATTAAAGCCGAGTGGTGCCACTATTCCAAGAACTTATATTAGTAATTATAGTATTATAAGTGAAGGGTCTGGGTATATTTTTTAACATTATCTCCCTGACTACAATGTAATAGCTCCATTTCTTTCCTCCATTACACACATGCAGACACATACATACATATACACACATATTTACACAAATATCCTTAACAGAGGCCAACTATCTCAAACATCTTCTTGCAAAGAAACTGAATGATTCAGTTAAAAAATATTATTAATTCCAATAATTCCTCAAAATACTTGATTTTCTCTCTTTAATATTTGGTACCAATTCTTTCAGTAGTGCCTGCTGTGGTGATACTCTTTTGTGATGAAACAATTTTTTTTTCACAGGAAATGGAGGAGTTTGTACAGAGCTCTGGAGAAAATGGTGTTGTGGTGTTTTCTCTGGGGTCAGTGATAAGTAACATGACAGCAGAAAGGGCCAATGTAATTGCAACAGCCCTTGCCAAGATCCCACAAAAGGTAAGATAAAGGGCCTTACTGGTGTGGAAAACTGCTGAAAGAGGCTGTTAATGTTTGTGATCTACATAGAAAGAATATTAAGAGTAGAGTGAACTCTTTACATCCAAATACATCCTTAAATATGCTTATGTTGCTTCCACCAACACAAGTAATAGTTGTGCCTCAGACTTAGTGGTTACATGTGGCCCTGGGGGAGTTACTACCCTTGGTATTCATGAGTGGCTCCTATTAGTATCAGTGGGAACTCAGTACTCCGTAGGTATCCACAACAGGGAACTTGAGACTCATGGTTATTTTTAATTTCTGATATTAAGAGTCATACATACTGCTGAAATTAACTGAATATATTTCAGGTAAGTGAAAATGGTGCCTAATGTAGTCTTTAGAATGACTTTCAAGTGTTTTCAACTAAAAATATATATCCAGAACTGCATCTTTGTAGAAATACAAGGAAGACTTATGATCATTTTCTTCAAAGCTGTTTTGCTAATCTCAGCAGTATCCAATGAGTGAAGAAGATTTCACTTACTCTTGGGCCACCTCTATTACTTACCGTACTCTGGAAGCTCTTGGTGAATGTTTACAATTAAGGAATGTACTATTTCTGTTTGTACTTTAAGTCAAATGCTTATGTGAAATATGTGACAACAAATAGAGAACACTGCCTGAAGCAGGAAGATGAAAGAGAAAGGATGGAGATGGATCCTGACCTGAAGGTGGATCCTGTACAGTATAAAATATGGTCCCACAAGGACTCAGCACTAACTACCAGATTAACAACTCCTCCCAATGGAGGCAGCAGAAGGAAATATAGGAAGGAGTCAAACAGAAGGAAGAGAGGCAGGGGAACAGGTTCAGATGTCCCCTCCATAGAACATAGTAGGAATATATTTTCTTCTGTATAGAGTAAACCAGGGACCTTTGTGTATTTGTGAATGACTTTTTAATTTCCTATCTGATAAAGCTTTCTTGTAATGACCTCTAACTTTTTGCTGAAACCTGAGTTACTTTAACACTGATGTAGCAAATAAAAGTTAAACACTGCAAATTATTGTTCAGTTTGTGAGGATTGCTTTGGAGTTTCAAAATTAGTAACTTAAAATAAGAATGTCTTGGCTATAGCAGAACATATTAATCACTGTTGACAAAGATTTGTAGCACGTTATCTAAGTGTTAATAATCAGTTGACCAAATTTAGCAAAGTACAATTTTGAGTTTATTCATTAGCTTTATTTTTATTCATGATACCAAAAGGTTCCTCATTTCTAGGCCAAAAAAAAATCCAAAATTAACAATAATGGTAATATTCTGAATTTGTGTCAAAAATTGTCGCTTGAAATTTTTCTGGGAAATAGTGCTTGATAATTTGTAATTCCAATGAAGTTATACATAAAATCTTGGCAGCATTTATTTAGTTCTTATAAGTAGCTTATTTTATAGACTTGCTATTTTGTCAATCAAAGGACAACAGGCTCCAATATAATAACCTACCGACAAGTAGATACATTTAAACTACTTCTCATATTATTCAAAAATAAACGAATACATTACAATTAAATTTGGAGATGAAAACTAATATAAAATACATAAAACAAACATACAGGTCATTACTAAATAGTAACTGTTTTATTACACTAGAATTACAATCACTCCATATAATTTTTTACACTTTTTTTGTAATATTTTTATTTTTTAAATTAAATTAATTTAACTTTTATTTTTAACTTTTAAGTTCAGGAGTACATGTGCAGGTTTTTTACATAGGTAAACTTGTGTCATGGGGGTTTGTTGTACTGATTGTGTCATCACTCAGGTATTAAGACTAATATTCGTTTATTATTTTTCCTGATCCTCTCTTTCCTCCCACCCTCCACCCTCCAATACATCTCAGTGTATGTTGTTGCCATCTATGTGTCCACGTGTTCTCATCTTTTAGCTTCCACTCATAAGTGAGGACATGTCACATTTGGATTTCAATTCCTATGTTAGTTTCCTAAGGCTAACGGCCTCCAGCTCCATCCTTATCCCTGCAAAATACATATTTTTGTTTTTTTTATGGCTGCATAATATTCCGTAGTGTATATATGCCATATTTTCTTTATTCATTCCATAATTGATGGTCATTTAGGTTGACTGCATGTCCTTGCTATTGTGAATAGTACTGCAACTAACATATATTTTCATGGATCTTCATAAAAGAACCAGTTATAGTCCTTTGCTTATATACCCAGTAATGGGATTGCTGGGTTTCATGGTATTTTTGCCTCTAGGTTTCTGAGGAATGGCCACACTGTCTTCCACAATGGTTGAACTAACTTACATTCCAACCAACAGAGTATAAGCATTCCTTTTCTATACAACCTCGCCAACATCATGATATTTTTTGAATTTTTAATAATGGCCATTCTGATTGGTGTGAGATGCTATCTCATTATGGTTTTGATTTGAATTTCTCTAATGATCTGTGATGTTATTTTTCTTCATATGATGGTTGACTGCAGGTAGGTCTTCTTTTAAAAAGTGTAACAATTTTTTGAATATTTGAACTTTTCATTGATAGTCTTATTTTTCTATGGTACTGTTTTGGAAAATCATGGTTTCTTATATATCTAAATCATTATAAAAGTTAAGAAAATAAAATGTGAGTATTCTTTTTACATCAATCTTTGAGTAGATTTATTTACTAACATCCCTTGATCTCATTCCTATGCTTTCTACAGTTCTAACATTCTATAATTTTTGAGTTCCACTCATGGAATAAGATATTCTCTTTACTGTAACAGGTTCTGTGGAGATTTGACGGGAATAAACCAGATGCCTTAGGTCTCAATACTCGGCTGTACAAGTGGATACCCCAGAATGACCTTCTAGGTAACACTCTGGTGAACAAATACTGGATATATTAGTAACTGCACATTAGAGGGTTAATGAAACATGCTTATTGAATATTTGTTATAGGAAAACAAAAAAGAACTTCTTTGTATTTATTTTCCAGTCCTAGGGGAAAAGAATATGGTAGAATTGTTGGCATTTTATGATATATAATCACATTCTTTATGGTCAGAATCAGAGATAATCTTTATTTCAGGTGCTATTATATCTCACAGAATTTTTCAATATCTTCCTGGGCTGTCTCTCTGTCTCCTGTTTCTACAATTTTACACCTGTTTTCTCCTCTCCTGCAGGATTATTTCAAATGCCAGTAAATATAATAGCTCTTCTATCACCAGTAACTCTGTATTTTCTGGAGGACTAAATTCCTAATCTTAATCTTAAAGTAACGACACATTTCATGATGAAGTGTGACCTGTCTTTCCTCAATCCTAGCACCACCACCAACCCACTGCCTGCTGCCTTGCATACCCCGCATATCACACTCTGTGACTGTAGTTAAAATAAAACTTTATTTCATGCCCATCTCTTTGCTGTCCTCTTTTGTGCACATTTAAAAAATCTAGAATGCACTTTTCATTAGTCCAACTGAAAATCTTGTATTAAGTTTTGCAGTCTGAAGTCACACACACCACATAGCTTTCAGTTACATCTCCTAAACAAGTACGTGCTTTTTCATCTGAAGTCTGAAAAGTAATAGCAAATTAGTTCAATGTGTTATCTAGAAAACACTGTCACTTTCAGAACCTTTCATTGTGCATCTCATTTTATTCCTATGAATAATTTTGCTAAAATTCATCCAATCCTAGGTCATCCAAAAACCAGAGCTTTTATAACTCATGGTGGAGCCAATGGCATCTATGAGGCAATCTACCATGGGATCCCTATGGTGGGCATTCCATTGTTTTTTGATCAACCTGATAACATTGCTCACATGAAGGCCAAGGGAGCAGCTGTTAGATTGGACTTCAACACAATGTCGAGTACAGACCTGCTGAATGCACTGAAGACAGTAATTAATGATCCTTTGTGAGTAGAACAATGTTTTTCACTAGGTGGTATTTGTGGACAGCTTCTCTTGTCAATAGTGAGCATGAGTTTCATCCTTTTTATAAGAGAGTAATCTTGAAAGAATTTAAATGATATAACCAATCTGAAATCTGCTTTGTTTTTATCATCTATTATTTAAAAATTGTGTTTGAATCCCATACATCTAATGAGTAACCAGTTAGTGAAGCAATTTTCTAAACAAAAATAATTTTAAAATGATATAGATAATATAAAAAATACATTTCTTAAAATTTTAACATGAATCCATAGAAGAAAGGAAGAATAAACTTGAAATAATATAATAAAATGTTTTAATTAAATATCTAAAATGACTCAGAATATAACTATTTTCTTGCTGAAAAATTAATTTTTATCATCATTATTTTAACAGACTTGAAAATGAGATTTAATTTCGATAGCTTAAAATCCACCTATTTATGCCATAAAATCCAAATATTTTTACTATGTTTACAGTCATTAAAGTATCACCATTATATATATAATTTTAGAACATTTTTATCAACACAAAAGAAACTGCAATGACACCAAAATCACTTCTCATAACTGCTTAGTCCTAGTCTAACACCAATTTGTTTTCTTTCTCTATAAGTTATTCTCTCTAGATATTTCATATAAATGGAATCATACAGTCTCAGGTGCTGTGTAAATGACATTTCACATAGCCTAATTTTTTGTTGTTTTCTTATGGTTTTTATTTTACTTCATATTGTTGTGTGTTATAATACTTCATTTCCTTTCCACTTGTGTAATATTTTATAGTATGGATATGTCATAATTTAGTTGTTCATTTGTCAGTTCATTGGCCTTTTGATTGTTTCCAATTGTGGCTACTAGGAATATTGCTATACTTGTTTTTGCATAAATATGTTTTACTTTCTTTTGAGTTGATACTATAAGTGGAATTGCTGCCTCATGTGAGAACTGTATGTTTATGGAGAACTGCTAAACTGTTTTCCAAAGTACTTGTTGCATTCATCACTACCATCAGCAGTACAACATGGTTCCAATTCCTCCACATTGTTGCCAGACCTCTTATTTTCTTTTTGTTACAACCTTCTTAGAGGGTTTAAAATGATCTCTCATCCTGGTCTTGGATTGCATTTTCATTACTGCTGAAGATGTTGAGAATCTTTATATGTGATTGTTGACCATTCATATATCTTCTTAGAAAACATGTCTATTCCAATGCTTGGAACATTTTTAACTTTTCTATTTGTCTTATTATTAAGTTTTAAGAACTATTTATATATTATGGGACAAATCAGATATATACTTTTTAAATATTTTGTCCCAATCTTGGTGCACTAACTTTTTACTTTTTGATGATGGTCTTTGAAGCACAA
The DNA here is from genome assembly GCF_000001405.40 of Homo sapiens. NCBI lineage: Eukaryota > Metazoa > Chordata > Mammalia > Primates > Hominidae > Homo > Homo sapiens. Next base: position 69,203,044 of record NC_000004.12, on the reverse strand, counting down.
AAAATATAATTTTAAGTTAAATTTTTAATAATTGATTTTGTTCACTCCCCAAAGATAACAATGTGAAAAATTACCTGCGGAGTCCAGCTACCATCAATTCAGCATTTATAACTACTCTCAATAAAGTTTTTGTGTAAGGAGGGTATCATCTAAAGGAATACTTTAAAAATACTTTATCCCAAAGAAAATGGAAGGATAACGAATGATCAATGTACCTTTAAAGAAGATGGGAAATAATTGAAAAGAAACACAAACCACCTTGGACAAATAGAAAAGAAACATAAAACAATGTGGTAGATTTAAATGTGATTATACAAATACTTTCACTCAATCTAAACAGACTTTTAATAAAGGAGCAAATAATGAGTAAGGACATAAAACATTTGAAGAACACAATTAACAAATGGAGTCTTACAATCTAAAATGACATACACACATATATACATATACAATACACATGTATGTATTGTATATATCAACTTGAAGACACATTTTCCTAGAGTACGTCAAATATTTAATCTTTCCTTGAAGTGATGTGTGGTGGGCAATAAATCAAGACTTACGAAATATAAAAGATTCAATATCATGAAGACTATATGATCCAGCCATATTGGAAATAAAGGAGGTTAAAAATACTATTACTAAAATATCTTTAAATTTTGGAAATTAACAAAATACACTTCAAAAAAATTTACAGTCAAGAAGTAAATCATAAGTTTGCATGCACTTTTATCTCAGCAATTCTACTCTCAATTATATACACAACAGATATACATAAATATATAAATCTCATGCTGTATAGCAGAGTGTTCGTGACAGAATTATCAACAGTGTCCAAAAATTGTTAGCAACCCAAATATCTATTCATCATAAAATGAAGACATAATCTGTGGTTTATCAATCAATGGAATGCTACATAGTAATGGAATTACCCAAGAACTGCTACATTAAAGAAAAAGACACTTTTGAGTACGTATTATGTAATTCAATTACATAAACAAGCAAAACTAATGTTGTTATTCGAAGTCAGGCTAATCCTTAGTTGGAGGACAAAAGTAGTCACTAAAAGGTTCAGAAAAAGAGAATTATTGTAGGCAGGTTGTGATAGCTTATACCAGGACCTGAACAGTAGGTAAATTGGTATCTTCATCTCAAGATAATGTTCAAGATGATCTTCCATTTTTGAACTATTCACTTAGTGTATGTATATTTATCTTTTGTGTTTTATATTTAAATGTATATTTTATGAGATATATAAATCATTTACAAAATTCTAGGAATCAAATAGAAAATAAGGACAGAAAATAGAGAAAATCCTGGAGGCTCCATCATTGTCCAGTAAAAGCCTCTCTTAGAGGTAACACTTAGAGCCACAAAAAGGGACAGACACATGCCTTGGGTTGTAGCAAGAAAGAATACTCCAAGAGCAGGAGAGAAGGGTCAAAACGTGTAAAGTTCTAAGATGAGAACACCTTTGGAAGCTTAAAGAAAATTAGAAGGCCAATCTAGAAGACAGTGTGCAGAGGAAAAGTGTTAGAAAAAAGCTTGCCAGTGTCTTACGATGTAGGGTTCTGTAGACCAAATAACAGAGTTGAATTTTATGATTAAAAGAATGAGAAGCCAGCCAAAAATCTTAATCAGAAGAGTGCCATAGTCTGACATTAATTTCAAAAAATCATTCTGGCTACAGGGTGGGAAACAGTAGGAGACAAAAGAGTAATGTAGAAGAAAAGTGACGAGCTATGAGGTATGTCACTCACCTTGATAAAATTCCTTTTTAGGAACTTACAGATGATAATTCTCACATCGCATTTTCATAGTCTTTCTTACAGCACTTAAAATGGCTCATGATGCTGAGCATGTACTCATATGCCTGTTTGAGAACTAAGAATGTAATTGGATTTTTCATAATACAAAGAATAAATGCTTAAAGGATGAATATCCCATTTTTCATGATGTGATTATTTCACATTGTATCAAAACATCTCATGTACCCTATAAATATATACACTTAATATGGACCCACAAAAACTTAACATTAAACAATTAAAAGCCAGTTAAAATGCCTTATATTTTCTCTGCTTGAAAAAAATTAACTTTCTCACCTGACCTTCCATTTCTGCTTTAAAAATGTTTGTCAATGAGAAAAGTCCAATTTAAAAGCCAAACTATCTATGATAACTCAAATTAAAATACACAAATTCTCTGTCAATTCTTTGACATTTATTTTGAATTATTTGATGCTTTAAAAGCCTTTCATAGACTTGATATGTACAGGCAAATTAACTTACTTTCAGTGTTGGTATCCTTATTTTTATCCTTCAGATATAAAGAGAATATTATGAAATTATCAAGAATTCAACATGATCAACCAGTAAAGCCCCTGGATCGAGCAGTCTTCTGGATTGAATTTGTCATGCCCCACAAAGGAGCCAAACACCTTCGAGTTGCAGCCCATGACCTCACCTGGTTCCAGTACCACTCTTTGGATGTGATTGGGTTTCTGCTGGCCTGTGTGGCAACTGTGATATTTATCATCACAAAGTTTTGTCTGTTTTGTTTCTGGAAGTTTGCTAGAAAAGGGAAGAAGGGAAAAAGAGATTAGTTATGTCTGACATTTGAAGCTGGAAAACCAGATAGATAGGACAACTTCAGTTTATTCCAGCAAGAAAGAAAAGATTGTTATGCAAGATTTCTTTCTTCCTGTGACAAAAAAAAAAAAAAAAAAAAAATTTTCAAATCTACCTTGTCAAGTAAAAATTTGTTTTTCAGAGATTTACCACCCAGGTAATGGTTAGAAATATTTTGTGGCAATGAAGAAAATACTAGGAAAATTAAAAAATAATATAAAGCCATTTGAGCTCATATTGAAATTTGTTGCACTTATATTGAGATTTGTTGTTTGAATTCACAAGTTACATGAAAAAATTTACTCAGCTTAACTATATTTCACACATTTTACATAAACACAAGAACATTAAGAAGTCTACTGACAGTATCAGTAGTCACATCCTCAGAATAATTTGGCTTCATTTTGAACAGGATTCTGTTGTTTTAACTGTTGCTAAAGAAACTATTACATAGTTAAATTGTATATAAAGTCTCTCTCTTCCTTTTGATATTTTGAGATAAGTAGTATTCCTTTACTTTTACACTGCATGCAGCTTCATTGTCACATTTTTTGCTAAAATTGATGGCCAAATGTTTACTGTTTTAAGAGCTCATGTCATTTCTCAGTGGAAATTATGTGGAATTAGAAATATAGCCACTCTTACCTGCTTCCTACTGTAAAATTGAACTGTTTTGCCACATCTTTGGTTTCATGAGCAAATTCTATTTTTTCCAGATATGTAAAAATATTTGTCTGGTTGATTTTATTCTGATATTTTTAATTACTTCAATAGTTATTTGGGAACAGGTGGTGTTTGATTAGATGCGTACGTTTTTTAGTGGTAATTTCTGAGGTTTTGTTGCACATATCATGTGAGAAGTGTACCTTGCACTGAATGTATAGTCTTGTATCTCTCACCCCCTCCCGGCCTCCCATCTGAATCCTTAGATCCCATTACATCATCCTTATGCCTTTGCATCCTAATAGCTTAGATCTGACTTAGAAGTGACAATTGATGATGTTCAGTTTTCTATTCCTGAATTTCTTCACTTAGAATAATGCTCTCCCACTTCATGCAAGTTGCTGTTAATGCCATTAGTTTGTTTCTTTTTACAGCTTAGTAGTATTCCATGGTGTATATATATACGTAGTATGTATATGCATGTGTATATATATATGTGTGTGTGTGTGTGTGTGTGTATCAGGGGAACCCATGTTCAATATTTCAATGTAGGTTCTTTCCATTTTCCATAAGTGTTGGCCAGCTGAGAAATAGAGAAAGAGTATAAAGAGAGGAATTTTACAGCTGGGCTACCGGGGGTGACATCACCTATTGTTAGGACCGTGATGCCCAGCATAGCCTCAAACTAGCAAGTTTTCTATTAAGGGTTTCAAAAGGTGGGGTGAGGGGGTGTAAGAACAGGGAGTAGGTACAAAGATCACATGCTTCAAAGGGCAAAAGGCAGAACAAAGATCACATGCTTCTGAGGGAACAGGACAAAAGGCAAAGCAGAACTACTGATAAGGGTCTATATTCAGTGGTGCATGTATTGATAAACATCTTAAACAACAGAAAACAGGGTTCGAGAGCAGAGAACTGGTCTGACCACAAATTTACCAGGGTGGAGATTTTCCCCACCCTAATAAGCCTGAGGGTACTGCAGGAGACCAGGGCATACCTCAGTCCTTATCTCAACCACATAAGACAGACATTCCCAGAGTGGCTGGTTTTAGACCTCCCCCCAGGAATGCATTCCTTTCCCAGAGTACTAATATTAATATTTCTTGCTAGGCTAAGAATTTAGCGATATCTTCCCTACTTGCAAGTCCATTTATAGGCTCTCTGAAAGCAGGAAAATACGGCTGTTTTTGTGTGATCCCACAGGGAGTCAGACCTTACGGTTGTTTTCCCTTGTTCCCTCAAAATTGCTGTTATTCTGTTCTTTTTCAAGGTGCACTGATTTCATATTGTTCAAACACACATGTTTTACAAGCAATTTGTACAGTTAACACAATTATCACAGTGATCCTGAGGTGACATACATCCTCAGGTTATGAAGATAACAGGATTAAGAGATTAAAGTAAGACAGGCATAAGAAATTAGAAAAGTATTATTTGGGAACTGACAAAGGTCCATATTAAAATGAAATCTTCACAATTTATGTTCCTCTGCCACAGCTCCAGCCAGTCCCTCCATTCAGGGTCCCTGACTTCCCACAACATCCCTCCCTTTCTTTTTATATAAATGTGCCATGGTGCAAAGTCTTGTTTGTTCTCTAGGTTTTGACACGGGAATCTTTGACTGGTCCAGCACACTAAAAACAAGTCGATTAAACAGAGAAATATTATTCCAAAATTTACTACCGTGGAGCCCCCAGTAGACTTAATCCAAGTCGTGGGGTTTAGTCCAGAAATACTTTCTGCCACCTGATCTAACGCCTCAGCTCCAGACACAATGGGTAAATGAGCTTGAGAGGCTTCAGAAATTTGTTTCTTTAATTTAGTTATGTCCAAGAATAAATTATCTTCCCTACCCAGAAGGTGTCCTTTGACCATTTTCCATGAATGATCAGTCTCATTGTAGGAATATGGTGTGATACAGAAATCAGAAGTATTCAAATCACACTGCATTTGCATGTGATGTTCGAGACTCATCAGCTGATTTCCAAGCCAAATAACAGACTGTCTTAAATCATTAATTTGATTAGCTAATTTTTGATCAATGTCTTGTTGAGAATTCCACATTTGGGTGGAATTGACTTGCTAATCATTGACAAAATGAGCTGTTTGAATAGATTGGTATAATGCCACTCCAGCAGTGGTTGCCAGTGCAGTGACTCTGATTAGGCCCATGATCACAGCGAATGAAGTGAAAACAAATCTCTTAGATCTTTTGAGAATTCATTGTAACACTTCATTAATTAAATGTACTGAGGGGGAAGATTCCCAAGGTCTGGGTAAAGTTACCAGTATCCAGATTCCTTCTCGAGCTCAAACTAACATTTTACTTTTCCTGGAGTCAAAACACAAGTTAACACAAGTGTATAAATGACAATTAGTGCATTGGACAGTTTGATTGTTTGTCCAAATTTTGATATTTCCCATTAACAGCATGTAAGGAAGCTTAACACAACACTGTATAGAAAAATACAACTTGGAGGTAAAAAAAGCAGAATGTTTGAATCTACACTGATACTGAGGGAAAGGAGTGGCTGTGGCCACGCCCAATGTTCTCTGCCATAAAGAAGGAATCCAAGGTGCCTGGGGATGCTGAAGAGGTAGAGGAGCATACCTGGGTTGAGAAGAATCATCATAATGCCAATTGGAGTCCCATAAAGGGGGATCGGCATCAAACAGAGGAAAAGGGTTCAAACGGGATTTATCATGGGGTTCATAATCACGGATGTGAGGGGCAGTAATTGGGACAACAGACAGAAAATTTTCTCCTTCCCATACTCGCAGTCTGGACATGGCAATATCCAGTTTCCAAATTTCTGAGTGTTCTGGGCTCAGAAAGGGGAATATCATATGAGGCCTCAGGTGAGTAATGCCTTTATCTTCCCATTTTAAGGGAAAGAATGAGCTGAACCTCCTATGCAAAGTAGGATGATGATCCTCTTCCTTCCAATAAGAAATAAAATAAGTAGCCTCCAGGCATTCCCTTCCATCAGAGGAGCAATTGTTTTTTAAATAGCCCTTTGGTGCCCACTCTATTACTAAACCATGAGTCATTTTTTAATAATACTGTATGTGAGTGAACACAATCTTCCCAATTTAAAGTTTTAGATGGGCACTCAAAATTTTTAGGACATTGTTTTCCTACAGGTTTATATTGATGGTATGGGGTATCTCCTATTACTCCCCTTTTCATTTGTCTTAAAGAAGAAAGGGAGGTGCCGGAGACCAAATGTCCCCATTCCCCTGTAGCTAATATCTCCAGAAGATAAGCAGCCCAGACTTGAGTTTCTAAATGGATACTACCAGGTGCATGTGTGAGGCACAGGGGAGGGTACTTATAACCCATAGTAACATTAAACGCAGTGCTTTCTTCTCCTGGTTGAGTGGGACAACAGTCATCTGTAGCTATGGGGCATCACAGTCCTACTGATATGTGATGTCACCCCCCATGACCCAGCTGTAAAATTCCTCTCTTTTTACTCTTTCTCTTTATTTCTCAGCCGGCCAACACTTATGGAAAATAAAAAGAACTTACATTGAAATATTGCAGGTGGGTTCCCCCGATACATGCACACACACACATATATACACACATATATCATTACTTTAGATTTCCACAGGAGCATCCATTTAGGTGAGAGGTTGAATAAGTGGAGGAAAAGGCACTTAAGCCCAGTAGGAATAATTCTGTGAAGCAGATCATTCAGGGGGGAAACTGGTGACACAGAAAGTATAAAGAAGAGAATTATTAAATGAAACCTATTGGAAGTGAGATCCAGTGCTGAAGGAGGAAGAGAAGAACAGAGGGACGTTATTTTCAGGCTAATAGAAATGGTGAGATTTTTAGGTTCATAAGGAGAAAAAGAAAGGGAATTAGGAGAAGTGGGATTGGTTAGAGGGATCTCCGTTGCCATTAGGGAGGATTGAACCAGACCCATTTTGATTTGGCATGCCAGTTTTTGAGAAGTCAGCACAGATCTCACCAGGTAGGAGGGTGGTCTCCGACGCGGACGTCTCTTCCCTGTGGTTTTGTCAGTATTCACACGAAGTCTTCTAGTGGGCAATCAGACCGGTGACTGATGATCTCCTGGTGAAACAAAAGCATATCCTCTTCCCCATGTTATAATTGTTCCAGATTCCCAGGTATTGATCTGGGAGTTTTTCCATAACACTGGCTTGCTTTCATTTAGGGAGAATTTTTTGCCTGTATAATGGTGTTCAGCTATAGTCAGGGTATTGACTTTAGGAACATTTAGAAAGTTTAAAGTAAACAATGCTCAATGTAATTGAGCATGAGGAGTGGTTGAATTATGATTTAAAACCAGCCTTGTCTTTTTTTATAGTGACTTGAAGAGGTTTAGTAATTCCTTCATGTTTTGGACCGAGACCGATTCCAGGAACAAACGTCATGTTTTCCATTATATATAGACTGGGAACACTATAAGAGCTATGTGGAATATTAATTGCAGCCCCCCATTGTTCCAGCTAATCTCTGCCTCAAAGATTAATGGGGATTGGTGTGATATAAGGCTGAATTGTACCTTTTGACCATCAGGGCCAGTGCAAGGCAAGATAAATGTGCTCTGGTGAACTTCATCAGCTTTTCCAACCCCTACTTATCCCATGTTAGTGGGATGTTTAAGCCAGAAGGAAGGCCATACATTAGAGGAAATAATAGAAACATCAGCCCCAGCATCCACTATGCCCTCAAACCTTTTTCCTTGAATGTGTATGGTGCAGGTGGGCCATTGTTTAGAAATTACTTTAATCCAATAAGCGGCTTTTTCACTGTTGGAGCCTATCCCAGAGCCCCCTGTCTTATCTCCTTTGTTTAAAACAATATTAGGTAATAAAAGTAATTGAGCAATTGACTCACCAACTGGAATGGAAACAGGAACCTTGGCAGACACCATAAGTTTAATCTCATCAGAGGAATCAGAATTAATGAGACCAGTAGGAACTATGATACCTTTAGCAGAGGTGGATGTCCTACCTAACACCAGGCCCATGGAACCTTGAGGTAAAGGGCCAGTGACCCCTGTGGGGACAATTAAAAGACAAGAATTAGGTAGTAAATTTAGAGGAATGGTACTATGGAGATCAACCACCCTGCCCCCTACTGTGGAGGTAGACAAGCAGTGTACTGTGACAGAAGAAGAGGCTGGGACCCATCTGGGTTTGCTGTAGGTAAATTTGTTTGTACTGGGGGCTGCGTTAGGACCGCTTCAATTGGAAATGCAACATTGGTCTGAGTCTGAGGTGTGCCATTTGATATTGGGGCCTGGGACTAGCCCTGCTTCCCATTTCCCTGATTCTGTGGCAAGGGATTTCCATCTGTATCAGACTTAGAGTGGCAAGTACTTGCCCAATGTTTACCTTTATGACAATGAGGGCAAACAGTAGCAGGAGCTTTTGGCCATGTTTGTTGAGCTGGCATGGTAGCTTTTAAGTTTTAAACACTGCAAATTTTTTGAGTATGAACAAGTTGACCATGATTATAGCAGGCTCCAAGAAAAGAATCAGTCAAGCCAGTTTAGTTGCCGTCCTTCATGGCCCATGCCCACAGAATAGCTTTGTGGGTCTCTGATCCAATGCCTTCACAAGCTTTAATATATGCAGGCAACACCTCATGATCAGGTAAATTTTCTCATTGGATGGAACGCATGGCCATTATACACTCACGGTTCACATTCTCAAAAGCTAACATTTGAAGGAGAATACCTCGAACGTGCTCATCAGAGACAGATTTTTGAACAGCGTCTTGTTATTTAGCCAAAAAATCAGGATGAAATTCATTGTGACCCTGTTTAACAGTAGTAAAAGAAACAGGAGCTTGGCTTAGGGTGTGAAATTTATCCCAAGCTCTCATACACACCTTTGTTACTTGTTCCATGGTGAGAGCATCAACGCCTAATTGGGTGGTAGTGTCAGAGTAATTACTGGAGCCTGTGAAATGAGCCTGAGTAATTAGAATGCCATCAGCCTGATTTAGCTGAGCCTGTAGACAGGCCTCCTCTGACCACCAGGTATGGAATTGTAAATGCTGAGATGGAGTTAGAACAGCTTTTGCCAAGAAGTCCCAGTCTAAAGGAAGCAAAATGACCTCAGTACAAAGAGTCTGTAATACCATTTTAACATATGTAGAAGTAGGAGCATACTGAGTACAAGCATCCTTGAATTCTTTTAAAAAGGTAAGATTGAGTGGCACATATCGACACACTTGTACCCCTTGAGCATTAGGAGATTCCAGCACAACTGGATAAGCCCACGCGTCTAATCCACTTGTTTCTTTATTCTGGAGTAATAAGCATTGCATGAAAGTTTCAAGAACAGGCACATGAGATGGAGTTGGCATATAAGTGACAGAAAAAGTATGTGTAGACAAGGCAAACTGAGGTTGAGGAGGTCGGACTGGTATAAGAGTGTGAGAAAGAGGCATTGGGGGAGCAGAAGAGGCAGAAACATACTGGTGATTATTGGCCCAATCCTGTGCAACCAGAGTGGCAGGGGCATCCACGTGTGAAGAAGGGTACAGAGAAGCAGGTTGAGTGGATGGCAAAGTGACCGGTTGAGGGACCAAAATTACAGGAGGGTGAGGGGCTGCAGTGGATGGGGGAGGACTTGCAGAATTACAGGTAAATTGTGGTTTGGTCCTAGAGTGATTAGATGGCTCTGGAGGCTAAGACTGCAAAGAGTTGGAGAGGGAAGAGTTAGTGTAGATATGGTCCCAGGCTGTCCAAGTCGGGGCTGTGGGAGCTACAAATACTGGCTCTTCATGAAAAGAAATAAGATCATCAGGGGGAACGTTAAGCCAAAGTCACCGGAGTTAGATATTGAATCCTCAACATCATCAGGTGGAGGAAAAGTAGGCAAGGGAAGAGGCTGAGCAGATAACGAATGCCAAGTGGGAGAGAAAAGCTGAGGAAGAGGTAGAGGGTCACCAGATTCAGAAAACTGTGGTAACTGCAGGGGGTCACAGGATTGGTATGTCATTAGGACAGCACGTACCAAGGTCCAATCACCCCAAACAGTGATGGGAACATAATTTCCCATCAGGACCAGTTCCTGGAATTTTGCACCAACATGATCCCATAGTTCCACATCTAATGTTCGCTTTTCAGGAAAACAAGGACTGTAGTCCTCCACTGCCCTGAATATGGTGACCATATTTTCCATGGGCACTCAAACTCCTCCCTGTTTTAACAAGAGTTTAATATAGCAGAAATAAGCATAATGTTTAGACTCCATGTGACCCATAGTTACCCCAGACAATACTCAGACAACTCACCAATTGTCAGGGAGCTGAACAAGCATTTCTGTGGACCAGAGAGATGAACGTTTCTCCTCATCTACCAAAGGGAATCAGCTTCCCACATGCAGTTAGGAAAAAGAAAACTATGTTGGTGTGCCAACTATTGGGGGAACCCACCCCCAATATTTCAATGTAGGTTCTTTCTATTTTCCATAAGTGTTGGATGGCTGAGAAATAAAGAGAAAGAGTACAAAGAGAGGAATTTTACAGCTGGGCTGCCGGGGGTGATATCACATATTGCTAGGACCGTGATGCCCACACACCAGTAAGTTTTTGTTTAAGGGTTTCAAAAGGGGAGGGGGTATATGAACAGGGAGTAAGTACAAAGATCACATGCTTCAAAGGGCAAAAGACAGAACAAAGATCACATGCTTCTGAGGGAACAGGACAAAGGGCAAAGCAGAACTACTGATAAGGGTCCAACAGAGATCACAAGGCAAACTGCAAAAGCAGAACTACTGATAAGGGTCTATGTTCAGTGGTGCATGTATTGTCTTGATAAACATTTTAAACAACAGAAAACAGGGTTCGAGAGCAGAGAACCGGTCCATATTAAAATGAAATCTTCACAATTTATGTTCCTCTGCGTCAGCTTCAGCCAGTCCCTCCATTTGGGTCCCTGACTTCCTGCAACATCTGTGTGTGTGTGTATGTATGTATACCACATTTTCTTTATCCACTTATTGGTTGGTTGATGGGCATTTAGGCTTGTTCCATTCTTTTTTTTTTAATTGCAAATAGTGCTGTTGCAAACATGTATGTGTGGGGGTCTTTTTCATACAAAAATTTTCTTTCCTCTGGGAAGATACACAGTAGAGTGATAGGTGTATCAAATTGTACTTCTACTGTAATTTCTTATAGAAATCTTCATATGGTTTTCCATAGTAGTTGTACTAGTTTACATTCCCATAGCAGCATAAAAGTGTCCCCTCTTTACCATATTCATGCCAGTATTTCATTATTTTTGGATTTTTAAATTATATCCATTCTTGCAGGAGTATACTGGTATTGCATTGTGGTTTTGATTTGCATTTTCCTGATAATTAGTGAAGTTGAGCATTTTTTCATATATGTTGGCCATTTATATATCTTCTTTTAAGAATTGTCTATTTATTACCTTAGCCTAATTTTTGGGGGTTATTTTTCTCTTGTGGATTTTTTTTTTTTTTTTTTTTTTTTTTTTTTTTTGCCATTTGAAGATTCTGGACATTAGCCCTTTGTCAGATGCATAGTTCATGAATATTTTCCACTATTCTGTGAGTTGTCTGTTTACACAGATGATTATTTCTTTTCCTGGCAGAAGTTTTTAGTTTAATTAAATCACAACTATTTATCTTTGTTTTAGCTGTGTTTGCTTTTGGATTTTTGGTCATGAGGTTTTTACCTAACCTAATGTCTAGAAGAGTTTTTCCAATGTTACATTCTAGAATTTTTTATTGTTTCAGGTCTTAGATTTCATTATTTGATCCATCTTGAGTTGGCTTTTTATAAGGGAGAGACAAAGATGCAGTTTCATTCTTCTACATGGGGACTGCCAATCATTCTAGCCCCATTTGTTGAATAGGATGTCATTTCCCCACTTTATGTTTCTGTTTGCTTTGTCAAAGTTCATTGGGCTGTAAGTATTTGTCTTTATTTCTGGAATCTCTCTTCCGTTCCATTGATTGATATGCCTGTTTTTATACTGATACCATGTTGTTTTGGTAACTTGCAATATGCCTTGTAATATGTTGGGTAATGTGATGCCTGTAGGTTTGTTCTTTTTCTTAGTCTTTCTTTGGCTATGCAGGTTTCAAAGCTGAGAATCAAATAAAAAACTCATCCATTTTGAAAATAGTTGCAAAAAAAAAGAAAAAACAAATTACTAAGGAATCTACCTAACCAAGAAGGTGAAAGACCTCTACAAAGAAAACTGCTAAACACTGCTGAAAAAGGTCATAGATGACACAAACAAATGGAAATACATCCCATGCTCATGGATGGGTAGAATCAATTTTGTGAAAATGAGCATATTGCGAAAAGAAATCTATAAATCCAATTCAATTCTCATCAAAACACCATCATCATGCTTAAGAGAACTAGAAAAAAAATCCTAAATTTGATATGGGTTTTATTATCATATTTGACTTTTAGTAAGAAATGTAAGTCCTTTATTTTAGGTTGTGATAATATAGAAATTACACTCTAAAGGGACTTAGTGACTTTTCAATCTTGCTAAATACACAGGTACACATATATGTCCATTTCTTTTAAAACAAGACACAGCATCAATTAACTAGCTAATAGGTGTGTGGTGAAATTCAATGTGTATTTTGAAGACAGCTTGAAATAATTATTATTATTATACATAACTGTACTTTAAATGATCATATCTATTTTTTTATTTTCCACAGAGATTTTTGATTCATCGCTCCTAAAAATGTAATATGGAAACATAAATTTTTAGTAAGCCAAAAAATATATACAAAGGATACAAAAAGTTTATAAATTTTGTGGAAAATAGCTAAATCAAGCCATAAATATCCTTTAATCTACACATCAGGGAAGCGCTTTATGATCAAACTAGTCCAGATTAACAGAAACCCAGTTGTCTTTGTCACTAAAAAGTCTTGCCATTAATCACTTCTCACAAAAATATTCTACAGCATAAGGTCTGATTAAAAACATATATACATACATATATGTATCTTTATAATTATATAGACATAGATAAATCATGTAATATACATATACACACACACTCAAAAACATTGATGAGATAGAGAGATTATAGAAAATTTTATACAAATCATCTAGGAATTAATGCAGATATAAAGAAACACAGAACTTATATAGTGCCAAAGATTAATAATGTTGTTTTATCATGCTTATAAATCTGAATTAATTCACATAAAACCTATCCTATAACACACATAACAAAAGATTGGTATCCATTGTTCTGTGAGAACTACAAATCACTAACCAAAACTGACAAACAATCTAATTAAAAAGTGATTAAAATATGAAGAAGCAATTCAAAGTAAAAATGGCCCATAAGACATAAAAGATTAAAAAGTTACTGATGCTCAGTAAAATAGAATTAATGCCAACAAATTGATGTCATACAGAAGATTTGCACCCTATAAAAACCTGAGAAATCTATTTTGAGGGAGTATAATTTGAAATAACCCTTATAATAAAATGTAAATATGCCGTTTGAAACTGAAGTTCTACATTTAGGAATCTGTCATGAAAAATCCATGCACATCAGCACATGTATGAACAGAATTATTCCTCCAGCACTTAAATGGCTTTCAGCCACTGAACACATGTACCTCCAACAAATGTATGAGGGGAGCCATTGCAGAAAACAGGCTGACTATCACATTGCTAAACAGAAAAAGTAGTTTCCAGAAAAACAAAAAAGTATTTTTTGCAATGAAATAAAATATATGCAAACTGGTACAAAGAAGAAAGAATCTCGAAAAACACATGTAATTACAAGGATGAGAATTTAAATTTTTATTCTATATAATTCTGCAATGTTTAACTTTCCAGAAAGTTTTCATGTATTAATTATGATATTTAAAGTTTAATTTGTGAAATAAACACATCCATTTAAGACAGGAAGTTTCAAAATGTGGCATCACATTATTAATTCGCTAGTGTCATTCAAAAAACTTGACAATGTTTCTCATATATTATTTTATCCACTTGCAGCTTGTTTTTAGGACATTTGTTCTATTTTTGAAAATATGTATGAATAAATATAACACAATGTTTAAAAATGGCAATAATTGTAGAAACCTAAATTCATGTAATTTTAATATTTTTTCTTGTACCATTTTTAATATTTTATGAATTTTACAATAGTTTAATAACTTCTGCTGCCTTCTTCAAAGGGTTATATTTGTTGTTATTTTGAGACATGACTATAAATACACTGACAATTTTCCTATCAATATTCCCTCCCTTTGAAGTTTGGCAAACTTTGTAACTGTCTCAACAAAAAGAATGTAATGAAAATAATGCAGCTAAACTTTCAAAGCACTGCTGGAAACACAGCATATTCTCTGTTTCTCTTTCGCTCTTTCTGTTTCTTCTTTTCATGTCTTTTTTTTTTCGCTCACTATTACTAAATAACTCAACCTGTATTCCCCATAATAAATGACAATTTGTAGAGAGACACTAATATATGCCTAAGGAATCCTGGTAGCCCACTAGCACTTGGAGCCTTTCAACATGAATCTCTAAGTATGTAAGTGAATGATCTTCAGATAATTATTGACCCGGGCACCACAGAAAAGTAGCTACCTAAGAAACTCTGTGAAGGAACACATAACTGAGCCCACCTAACACACAGATTCTGAGACATGATAATAAAATGATTACAGTTGTTTTAAGGCCCTACATTTGAAAACTATTTGTTATGCAGTGATACACACCTGGAATAATAATTCTACATATTTTAAATTATACATTTGTAATAAAATTACAATTAATATATATCTACATAATGGGAAACTGTGATACTACACTTGGAAAATATCTGTACCCCAAATAGGAAAGTCAATATAACCTGGTGGTTAAGAGCTGGCACTCTGGATCCAGATGGCCTTGATTCAAGCCTTAGAAATCACTATATAATGATGTGGGACTGGACAAGTTACTTGAACTTTATTTGACTCAGCTTTCTCACCAATGAAATGGCAATAGTTGTCATCACATTATCAATATCATGCGTTATTTAAAGAACAAATTAATTAATATTGCAAAGTACTAACAATTGTGTGTACAGCAAAATAAAATTTGTACTATTATCATTAAACAAGTCAAAAAATTTCCACAATAATAATTTTAGTGTTCACATAATTGCATAATACATTATAGTTTCAAAACATGCTAAGTTTCTAATGCAAATGATAGAAATGCCCACATTTACTATTTCAAGCATGTGGGAATTAAACTTGGAGCATAAACCAAGGGCTGACAAACTATGGCCTCTTGGTCGATCACATCTGGTCAGGTAATTGTTTAAAAAAAAATAACGGATATACGAATTTCACACCACAAAATTATACACTTTAAGCATTTAATCTGTATGATTCATTGGCATGTAACACATTTGAAATGTTGTGGCATTACCACCACTATCTAGATCCAAATTAATTTTTTTCACTTCAAAAGGAAGCTTTATACCCATTAGAGCGTCATCTCACATTCTCCCATTATCCATGCCTTGCAACTTGACATTATGTATTGGCATCGTTGTACAGCCTACTGGGTAATATTTTTTTTAAATGCAGCAGTTGCAATCCTAGTCTGTGATGAAAAGAGACTTTAAACCAACAAAGATCAAAAGAGACAAAGAAGGCCATAATGGTAAAGGGATCAATTCAACATGAAGAGCTAACTATTCTAAATATATATGCACGCCATACAGGAGTACCCAGATTCATAAAGCAAATCCTTAGAGTCCTAGAAGGAGACTTAGACTCCCACACAATAATAATGGGAGACTTTAACACCGCACTGTCAACATTAGACTGATCAACGAGACAGGAAGTTAACAAGGATGTCCAGGAATTGTACTCAGCTCTTCACCAAGCAGACCTAATAGACATCTACAGAACTCTCCACACCAAATCAACAGAATATACATTCTTCTCAGCACCACACCACACCTATTCCAAAACTGACCACATAGTTGGAAGTAAAGCACTCCTCAGCAAATGTACAAGAAGAGAAATTATAACAAATTGCACTGTCTCTCAGAACACAGTGCAATCAAAGCAGAACTCAGGATTAAGAAACTCACTCAAAACCGCTCAACTACATGGAAACTGAACAACCTGCTCCTGAATGACTACTGGGTACATAACGAAATGAAAGCAGAAATAAAGATGTTCTTTGAAACCAAGGAGAACCAAGACACAACATACCAGAATCTCTGGGACACATTCAAAGCAGTTTGTAGAAGGAAATTTATAGCACTAAATGCCCACAAGAGAAAGCAGGAAAGATCTAAAATTGACACCGTAACCCCACAATTAAAAGAACTAGAGAAGCAAGAGCAAACAAATTGAAAAGCTAGCAGAAGGCAAGAAATAACTAAGATCAGAGCAGAACTGAAGAATATAGAGACACAAAAAAACCCTTCAAAAAAATCAATGAATCCAGGAGTTGGTTTTTTGAAAAGATCAACAAAATTGATAGCAAGACTAATAAATAAGAAAAGAAAGAAGAATCAAATAGACACAATGAAAAATGATAAAGGGGATATCACCACCGATCCCACAGAAATACAAAGTACCATCAGAGAATAGTATAAACACCTCTACGCAAATAAACTAGAAAATCTAGAAGAAATGGATAAATTCCTCGACACATACATCTCCCAAGACTAAACCAGCAAGAAGTTGAATCTCTGAATAGACCAATAACAGGCTCTGAAATTGAGGCAATAATCAATAGCTTACCAACCAAAAAAATCCAGGACCAGATGGATTCACAGCCAAATTCTACCAGAGGTACAAGGAGGAGCTGATAGCATTCCTTCTGAAACTATTCCAATCAATAGAAAAAAGGAATCATCCCTAACTCATTTTATGAGGTCATCATCATCCTGATACCAAAGCCTGGCAGAGACACAACAAAGAAAGAGAATTTTAGACCAATATCCCTGATGAACATCGATGCAAAAATCCTCAATAAAATACTGACAAACCGAATCCAGGAGCACATCAAAAAGCTTATCCACCATGATCAAATGGGTTTCATTCCTGGGATGCAAGGCTGGTTCAACATACTCAAATCAATAAACATAATACAGCATATAAACAGAACCAATGACAAAAACTATATGATTATCTCAATAGATGCAGAAAAGGTCTTGGACAAAATTCAACAATGCTTCATGCTAAAAAAATCTCAAAAAATCAGGTATTGATGGGATGTATCTCAAAATAATAAGAGCTACCTATGACAAACCCACAGCCAATATCATACTGAATGGGCAAAAACTGGAAACATTCCCTTTCAAAACCGGCACAAGACAGGGATGCCCTCTCTCACCACTCCTGTTCAACATTGTGTTGGAAGTTCTGGCCAGGGCAATCAGGCAGGAGGAAGAAATAAAGCGTATTCTATTAAGAAAACGGGAAGTCAAATTGTACCTGTTTGCAGATGACATGATTGTATGTCTAGAAAACCCCATCATCTCAGCCCCAAATCTCCTTAAGCTGATAGGCAACTTCAGCAAAGTCTCAGGATACAAAATCCATGTGCAAAAATCACAAGAATTTTTATACAGCAATAACAGACAAACAGCCAAATCATGAGTGAACTCCCATTCACAATTGCTTCAAAGAGAATAAAATATGCAGGAATCCAACTTACAAGAGCTGTGAAAGACCTTTTCAAGGAGAGCTACACAGCTCTGCTCAATGAAATAAAAGAGGATACCAACAAATGGAAGAACATTCCATGCTCATGGATAGGAAGAATCAATATCATGAAAATGGCCATACTGCCCAAGGTTATTTATAGATTCAATGCCATCCCCATCAAGCTACTAATGACTTTCTTCACAGAATTGGAAAAAACTACTTTAAAGTTCATATGGAACCAGAAAAGAGCCCACATTGCCAAGTCAATCCTAAGCCAAAAGAACAAAGCTGGAGGCATCACACTACCTGACTTCAAACTATACTACAAGGCTACAGTAACCAAAATAGCATGGTACTGGTACCAAAACAGAGATATAGACCAAAGGAACAGAACAGAACCCTCAGAAGTAATACCACACATCTACAACCATCTAATCTTTGACAAACCTGACAAAAACAAGAAATGGGGAAATGATTCCCTATTTAACAAATGGTGCTGGGAAAACTGGCTAGCCATATGTAGAAAGCTGAAACTGGATCCCTTCCTTACACCTTATACAAAAATTAATTCAAGGTGGATTAAAGACTTAAATGTTAGAACTAAAACCATCAAAACCCTAGAAGAAAACTGGGCAATACCATTCAGGACATAGGCATGGGCAAGGACTTCATGTCTAAAACACCAAAAGCAATGGCAACAAAAGCCAAAATTGACAAATGGGATCTAATTAAACTAAACAGCTTCTGTGCAGCAAAAGAAACTATCATCAGAGTGAACAGGCAACCTACAGAATGGGAGAAAGTTTTTGCAATCTACTCATCTGATAAAGGGCTAATATCCAGAATCTACAATGAACTCAAACAAATTTACAAGAAAAAAACAAACGACCCCATCAAAAAGTGGGCAAAGGATATGAACAGACACTTCTGAAAAGAAGACATTTATGCAGCCAAAAGAAACATGAAAAAATGCTCATCATCACTGGCAATCAGAGAATGCAAATCAAAACCACAATGAGATACCATCTCACACCAGTTAGAATGGCGTTCATTAAAAAGTCAGGAAACAACAGGTGCTGGAGAGGATGTGGAGAAATAGGAACACTTTTACACTGTTGGTGGGACTGTAAACTAGTTCAACCATTGTGGAAGTCGGTGTGGTGATTCCTCAGGGATCTAGAACTAGAGATACCATTTGACCCAGCAATCCCATTACTGGGTATATACCCAAAGGATTATACATCCTGCTGCTATAAAGACACATGCACACGTATGTTTATTGCAGCACTATTCACAACAGCAAAGACTTGGAACCAAACCAAATGTCCAACAATGATAGACTGGATTAAGAAAATGAGGCACATATACACTATGGAATACTACGCAGCCATAAAAAATGATGAGTTCACGTCCTTTGTAGGGACATGGATAAAGCTGGAAACCATCATTCTCAGCAAACTATTGCAAGGACAAAAAACCAAACACCGCATGTTCTCACTCACAGGTGGAAATTGAACAGTGAAAACACATGGAAACAGGAAGGGGAACATCACACAGCGGTGTCTGTTGTGGGGTGGGGGAGAGGGGTGAGATAGCATTAGGAGATATACCTAATGTTAAATGAAAAGTTAATGGGTGCAGCACACCAACATGGTACATGTATACATATGTAACTAACCTGCACGTTTTGCACATGTACCCTAAAACTTAAAGTATAATAAAAAAACTTTAATTTGTAAATTGCAATTTCTGTGATGCACAATAAAGCAAAGGATAATAAAATGAAATATGCCTATGCATAACAACTTATGGAAATAAAATGTTAAGCTAGGCAGAGCTTACTGAATACAAAATTAATTAGAGGAAATCAATACATGTAATTTCAAAACATGTCTAAGGCTAAGGACATTTGAAGTGGGATCCTCTGAATATTAGTTCTGTGAAACAATCTATGTATTAGAATTCAGTGGAATACTTTAAACAATAATTTAGTGTCTATTATGACTGTTCCTTTGTTCATGTTTCTACATATTTCTCAAACATTTTTGGATTAAAATCATGTCTTGCATTTACCAGCTCTGATCACAACGGTGTATGAAAACTGCAAAGTAAAACAATTTTTATCAGTAAAGCAAAGAAATAAAAATAAGTCAAATAGATATATATCAGTAAAGTAAAAATTGTATCTCATGCGCCACAAGACCATAAGTCATTTAACTTTTTGTAATATTTTTTCAAGTTTTTGTGAAGTAATCAACTAAGAAATTAGAGAATTCTAGAAAATGTTTCAATTTAACCACCTCTGTGAAAATAATTCAAAGAGGACTTTCTGAAGATTTTTTTTTGAAATTTTTGATGAGAGAGAAAAGAATGATTAGCATCTTGTTTCAATAGAAATGGTATAACAGTCAAAATAACAATCAATGATTCTCAAAAATATGCGATGTAGATTTGGGCTATTTGGAGGAAATACAAAATATAATCTCCTTGTTAATGATGATCATTTGTAAGTTTATTACTGGTATTAAGGAAGTAGGTTACCTTACACTTAGAACAAATCTACTTTCTTTATGAAGAACAGCTATAACATTTTCTATAATAAAAACTCATTAACCTGCATATATGTGTCATAGACGATGTATGGCAACTTTAAAAAAAATTTATTTTGATAATTAAATTAAAAATAAAATAAGAATCTCTTACCTGATGCCTTACTCTAACACTCTTCCCAAAAATGATGGTCATAATCCTGAATCCAGAAGTGGAAGAAAACTGAAAGCATTGGATTTTTAATCTTTCCTGAAAGGTCATTCTGTCTGTTAGTCCTGTCATAGGCACAGGTACATAGGAAAGTGGAGCTGGAAGTTTCCCACAGCTTCGCTCCATCTTGCCTCTTAGAGAAGTTCTAGGTGTGAGCACAAAAGGGACTGGAAGCAACTCAGCCATCAGGTCTCCACGGGGAATCACAGGGTCTATAAGCGTTACATCGTAGTTGGTTTCCTGTAGCTTCTTCATAAGTGTTTGATTGTAGATAACGCTCTGACACATTATTTTTAAAGTTCCTCTTATTTCAACAAAAAAACATTTAATTTTATAACTGATTGCCAGGTTGTTAAGCCTGGCAAGACATTCAGAGCTAGGTCAACAAATATTTCATTTTTTTCTGTTTTATCCTGTGGCATATGGACCACCTCAAATTTCAGTGCAGAGGGCTTCCTGTAGTCAATTAACAAAGACTTTGAGTGAGTCAATACTGTTACCTCATGGCCCCTCACTATGATCTCCTCTAGAATGACCTTGACATTAAGCCAATGGCTCATGTCACAGGGCCACACCAGGACCTTCTCACAGAATTCACAACTAGCACAGAAGAGTTGCAGGAGCCGAAATACCAAAGCTGACTTCTCGGGCCTCATGATGACATTTCCCTCACACACTGATCTGCACTAGCTTTGTAGTTACTAAGCATGAAATTGAAATGACAATATAAGCACAGAAGTTAAAAATTAATATTTTAAGTGTAAATAAAGTTCATTGGTTGGTTGCCAGCTTCACATTTATTGAAGATATCAAAAAGAAATGCAATGTTGCAATGTATCAGGGAAAATTTGTTCCAACCTTCTAGAGCTTAGAAATAAAACACATAAAGATACTTTTATTATCTGGATTGATGATAAAGAAATTTTTTAAAATTCTTTAGATTTAATAATTCATGTGCAGAAACATATGCACACAACCACATTTACATTCATTCCACACTAAATCCAAGGTGTCAGATGGTTTAGAAGAACTCATGTTTCACATCCTTTGCTCACAAGGACAATACAAAGAATTACTGGGAATACACTTGGAGACTTTGGGTAACTATTTTCATTAATTCTATATACTAAGTGCAAAGTGTTCAGTATTTCAGAGGAGAAAAATGCACAATTGCTTTAATATCTGATAATTAATAAAAGCTTTAGTAAGACATTTGACTTAGGAGGTGAGATGAAAGCTTCATTAGGATTTATTGTTGCCAAAGGAAGCATTTCACAATCAATACAAGCATGACGAAAGTATAGGATATTTAAAAGTCATTCCAGTGAGTAGTGATCACAGAGAAAGTTCAGGGCAGGACGTTACAGAACAAAGTTAGTTTGAAATAGGAGAAATTAGTTTTAAATAAACAATTATTAGTCTGAATGATAATTTATAGGCAAATAATTACTTACTCAAGTTTTAAAGGACAGTCACAAGATCGAGCTTTTCCTTAGCAAGAAATTCTTGCATCTCAACATAGAGTGATATGTAAAGATAAGAGTTTAGAAACAGGGAAAATGATAAAAATTGTATATTAGTTACTGAGACATGTCAACCTTATGGAATAAAACATAAATTGTTAATAGTAAATGTGAGAAATTAATTTGAAATTTGTATTTACTGATAATATCTGAGACGGGAAAAAATGTATAGGAGAAAAGACATGGTTTTGGTTTCTGTGTTAATAAGCAGAAGGCTAATAATGACATTAGGTAAAATATTATCATTATGTTCTAATTATTCAACAACTCTATGTAGATGTAAACCAAAAATAAAATTTTAAGCATCCTCAACCACCTAAATGGACCCTTACTCTCAGCAAAGAGCATTTCAAACTTAATCTGAAAAACTGGTTCAGACAATGATGGGAAGTGGGGTGGTGGGATAGGACATGCCTCATTATACCCTCCTCGCTTTTTGAACTCAGGAAAATCTTACAAGCACTAACATCAACACAGACCTTAAAGACAATAGAACAGACTCATTACGTTTGATAAGAAACATTTACAATCTATATTCTCTCAAGCCTGTTGCCTGACCGCTTTATCTGCATGATAAAACCTTGGTATTCACAGCCCCTTATCTTAACCTAGACATTCTTGTCTATTAATTCTATATCTTTAGACAACAATATAACTCAACCAATTGCCAATAGAAAATCCTTGAATTAGCCTATGACCTGGAAGCCCCTGCTCCCAGTTGTCCTGCCTATTCAGACCATGTCAATGTATAACTTACCTGTATTGATTGATGACTAATGTCTCTCTAAATTGCATAAAACTAAGCTGTAGCCTGAGCGCCATGGGGAAATATTCTTAGGATCTCCTGAGTGTTATGTCACAGGCCATCATTGACTCATATTTGGCTCAGAATAAAACTCTTTAAATATTTTAAAATGTTTGACTCTTTTCATCAATAACAACTTGACATTTGAATATGTGGGGCCTCAGAGAAAACTCAGGACACCATAAAACATGCCTGAACTTGAAGCTAAGGTAGCAACAGAGGTCCACTGAAAGCCTCTCCAATTTTGAGCTTCTTCTTCGGTGGGACTGGTAAGTCTTCTTGAGCCCTGGACCTCCCTTTGGTTGATAGTCCTTGTTTTTTTCTGAATTTTTTTTTTCTCCTGGGAAGTTGTCTTTTAGAATCCTAATTATAGTTCAGGAGTACATTCTAAAGGGTCCTCTCCATTGCCTTTTCTCCCAAAGATAAGCTCAAATGGCTTGTCTGCACATTTGCATGAGGAGCCGAACTATTATTTTTGTAGATCAGTGAGAGATGAGAGACTGAGCTCCTCAGCACTGAGGAGAAAGGACATTTTGCTTCTCCAAGCGAAAGGGGCCTATTTGGAATGTCTGGGGTGTTAAACCTTCACGATGTATAGTGGCCAAACAGAGAACTCCCCCAACACAATGAGTTTAAAAAGCTCATCTAGCAAATGTATGTAAGAGCTGATCACTCAGTGTTTTGAGACCTCATGGAGGTGATAGACGTCTGGAGAGAGAACTAATGAGAACAGAAAATAAGGAACCAGTTAGGCAAATAGTTAGGACAAGGTTCTTGGTAGAAGCCCTCCCCCAAAAATAACAGTCTGGAGGAAATCAAGCTGCAAGCGCAGGTAAGGAAGAAAAGTCCAAAGCCTTTGTCTTCTGTGCAACCAGTGAGCTCTGTCTATTCACGATGGTCTTCAGTGAGCACATTCCTTTTCTTTTCTGACATACTCAGATAAAGGAACTTGCACAGGGTGCTTTCCTAAGACAGACCTGTAGCTGTATAGATAAGGAAAGTTACACAGAACCACACACGTCCGCAGTGACACAGAGTCAGTAAGCAAAATAAAACAACATGCAGTAACTCAGGCTAAGGACCTGCATGCACACTAGAGGGAAGAGGTGGAGCTAACAAGAATTTGTATGTATGCAAATAAGACATCCATTCCTAACCGGTTTTTCATGCCTTATGCACACGAAACACTCTGCCTCATTAGCTTTTATTTTTGTATAGAAAAGTCTGCATTCAACTGTGAATGCTTCCTCTTCATAGTAGACAGCTTTTCTCTTTCGCTTATTAAACTTCTCTTCCAACATTACCGTTGGTGTTCATGATCCTTAATTTTTTGGGTCTTGAGACAAAGAACTCCTGGTGATACTTCAAACAACAAGACTGCTCCAGTGACCCTAGGCTGCTTCACTGTAAAAACTAAAGTAGAAGTTCCTCTTCAAAGACTTTCCTCCCCATCTAATTAAGAATAAATAGTAAGTTCTCTTAGAAGCAAAATTTATTCAAAGACCAGTGCTGACATTTTTAAATATCTGCTAGCCATAATAAAGAAATCTATGTACTTTATGTTCTTAGCTCCTACAATGGAGCCTAAATATTTACTCTGGCATGCTTATACTGGTCAAAGCAAGCATTAGGATATAGTCTGTTCCTCTTCCTTATTTGAAGGTATTTTTTTTGGGGGGGTGAGGGATAGGTCATTTACTTTTTTCTTTTATATTTTTATATTTTTATTTTGTTTTTTAATTTTTTTATTATACTTTAAGTTCTAGGGTACATGTGCACAACGTGCAGGTTTGTTACATATGTATATATGTACCATGTTGGTGTGCTGCACCTGTTAGCTGCACCCATTAACTCCACATTTACATTAGGTATATCTCTTAATGCTACCACTCCCCCCTCCCCCCACTCCACTAACTACAGGCTCCAGTGTGTGATGGTCCCTGTGTCCAAGTGTTCTCCTTGTTCAATTCCCACCTATGTGTGAGAACATGAATTGTTCGGTTTTCTGTTCTTGCGATAGTTTGCTCAGAATGGTGTTTTCCAGCTTCATCCATGTCCCTGCAAATGACATGAACTCATTTTTTTATGGCTGCATAGTATTACATGGTGTATATGTGCCACATTTTCTTAACCCACTCTATCATTGATGAACATTTGAGTTGGTTCCAAGTCTTTGCTATTGTGAATAGTGCCACAATAAACATAAGTTTGCATGTGTCTTTAAAGCAGCATGATTTATAATCCTTTGGGTATATACCCAGTAATGGGATGGCTGGGTAAAATGGTATTTCTAGTTGTAGATCCCTGAGGAATTGCCACACTGTCTTCCACAATGGTTGAACTAGTTTACAGTCCCACCAATAGTGTGAAAGCATTCCTATTTCTCCACATCCTCTCCAGCACCTGTTGTTTCCTGACTTTAATGATTGCCTTTCTAACTGTTGTGAGATGGTATCTCATTGTGGTTTTTGATTTGCATTTCTCTGATGGCCAGTGATGATGAACATTTTTTCATGTGTCTGTTGGCTGCATAAATGTCTTCTTTTGAGAAGTGTCTGTTCAAGTGTCCTCTGCCCACTTTTTGATGGGGTGGTTTGATTTCTTCTTGTAAATTTGTTTAAGTTCTTTGGAGATTCTGGATACTAGCCCTTTGGCAGATGGGTAGATTGTGAAAATTTTCTCCCATTCTGTCAGTTGCCTGTTCACTCTGATGGTAGTTTCTTTTGCTGCACAGAAGCTGTTTAGTTTAATTAGATCCCATTTGTCAATGTTGGCTTTTGTTGCCATTGCTTTTGGTGTTTTAGTCATGAAGTCCTTGCCCATGCCTATGTCCTTATTGGTATTGCCTAGGTTTTCTTCTAGGGTTTTGATGGTTTTAGTTCTAACATTTAAGTCTTTAATCCACCTTGAGTTAATTTTTGTATGAGATGTAAGGAAGGGATCCTGTTTCAGCTTTCTACATATGGCTAGCCAGTTTTCCCAGCACCATTTATTAAATAGGGAATCCTTTCCCCATTTCTTGTTTTTGTCAGGCTTGCCAAAGATCAGATGGTTGTAGATATGTGGTATTACTTCTGGGGTTTTGTTCTGTTCTACTGGTCTTTATCTCTGTTTTGGTACCAGTACCATGTTGTTTTGGTTACTACAGTAGCCTTGTAGTATAGTTTGAAGTCAGGCAGTGTGATGCCTCCAGCTTTGTTCTTTTGGCTTAGGATTGTCTTGGCAATGCCGGCTCTTTTTTGCTTCCATGTGAACTTTAAAGTAGTTTTTTCCAATTCTGTGAAGAAAGTCATTGGTAGCTTGATGGGGATGGCATTGAATCTGTAAATTACTTTGGACAGTATGGCCATTTTCACAATATTGATTCTTCATATTCATGAGCACGGACTGTTCTTCCATTTGTGTCCTCTTTTATTTCATTGAGCAGTGGTTTGTAGTTCTCCTTGAAGAGGTCCTTCACATCCCTTGTAAGTTGGATTCCTAGGTATTTTATTCTCTTTGAAGCAATTGTGAATGGGAGTTCACTCATGATTTGACTCTCTGTTTGTCTGTTCTTTGTGTATATGAATGCTTGTGATTTTTGCCATTGATTTTGTATCTTGAGACTTTGCTGAAGTTGTTTATCAGCTTAAGGAGATTCTGAGCTGAAATGATGTGGTTTTCTAACTTTGCAATCATGTCATCTGCAAAAGGGACAATTTGACTTCCTGTTTTCTTAATAGAATACCCTTTATTTATTCCTCCTGCCTGATTGCCCTGGCCAGAACTTCCAACACAATGTTGAATAGGAGTGGTGAGAGAGGGCATCCCTGTCTTGTGCCAGTTTTCAAAGGGAATGCTTCCAGTTTTTTCCCATTCAGTACGATATTGGCTTTGGGTTTGTCATAAATAGCTATTATTTTGAGATACATCTCATCAATACCTAGTTTGTTGAGAGTTATTTGAAGATATTTTTAACCTTTCTCAACATTCAACAAATTACATCCTTCTTCCTTTGTTCTCCTTTGACTAAAGTTCTAAGTTGTTAGCCAATCAGGACAAATACAGAATGTGAGGTCCTATTCCTGCCAATAGAAATTGGACACAGCAGTAAGATGGACGCATCAAGTTATAAATGACCCTGTCTCCTTTGTTCAGTGTAATCTTGTGGCAAAACTGCTGGTGCGTTTACTCTTTCTGCAGAAAGTTAAAAAAAAAATGGCCGTGCTGAAGCAATTAAATTTATTTTCAAGTGCTATTTCTTTATGGCACTGAAGAACAAGCATTTCAAAGATTCACTAATACATGTAAGAAGGCAGAAACAACTCAACATTAAAACATGTGGGGTCTCACTTATAATCATCACACACTGATGCACCACACAAAAAACCCTAGGCCACAGCTTGGTTCCTCCTTTTAAGAACAAAAAGTGGGAAAAAAATTTAAGAATGAGGAAAGACAAGGAGAAAAACTCTATTGGGGCAATTTTTTGGCTTCATGGGGCTTCCATTTGCAAGTGTTTGTGTAAAATGGAGAAGTTTGAGGGCATTCTACGTCTAATGGTTTAGGACAACCCCCCAAGTGCTGTCTTGTCATGGAGTTTTCAGAAGATCTGGTTGTTTAAAAGTGTGTAGCAGCTCCCCTCCACCTTCCTCCTATTCTGGTCAGGTAGGACATATTGGCTTCCCATTCACCTTCTCAGAATTATAAGTTTTCTGAGGCCTCCTCAGCCATGGCACCTATAAAACCTGGGAAACTGTGAGTAATTTAAACCTCTTTTCTTCATAAATTACCCAGTCTCAGGTAGTTCTTTACAGCAATATGGAACAAATGTGAGAACAAAGTAATACAGAAGATGTGAGAACAATGTGAGAACAAAGTAATACAGAAGATGTGAGAACAATGTGACAACAAACTAATACAGGAAACTAGAGAGGTGGGGCGTTGCTATAAAGATACCTGAAAATGTGGAAGCAACTTTGGAGCTGGGTAATGGGCAGAGGTTGGAACAGTTTGGAGGGCTCAGAAAAAGACAGGAAGATGAGAAAAAGACAGGCAGATCCACAGGGCCAGAGCTGCCCAAAGCCTTGAGAGCCCTCCCATTGCATCTGTGTGCCCTGGATGGGAGACATGGAGTCAAAGGAAACTATTTTGAAGCTTTAAGATTTAATGAGTGTCCTGCTGGGTTTTGGAGTTGCCTGGGGCCTGTAGCCCCTTTGTTCTAATAACTTGCAATTTCTTTATCAATACTTGCTGCTTCACCTTACACTCTTATTTTATGAAGATGGCTTCTTAAATTCATGAATCAACCTCTACTAGTGTCAAACTTTTGATCTGCAGAATCCTCATCTCTCAGCCTTCATAGAATTCAGAGAGTTAGGGCCTTGCTTTGGATTAGGCTTTGGTTTCAGGGAATGTTGAGAATAATTTGATCTTCTATCCAGACCACTAAAATTTTCTCCGTATCAGCAATACGCCTATTTCCCTTTCTTATCTTTTATGTGTTCACTGGAATAGCACTGTTAATTGCTTTAAATTTTTTTTCTTTTGCATTTGTAACTTGGCTAACTGGCAAGCAGTCTAGCTTTCTGCCTATCCAGGTTTTGACCTGCCCTCCTTACTAAGTTTCATTTCTAGCTTTTGATTTTATGTGAGTGATGTGCAACTCTTCCTTTCACTTGGACAAGTAAAGGCCATTGCAGAGTTATTAATTGGTCTAATATTGTATTGTTATGTCTCAAAAAATAGGAAGGCCCAAGGAGAGGGGAAAAAAGATGAGAATGGCCATTTGGTGGAACAGTCAGAATATACACACTTACCAATTATGTTTGCAGTCTTATATGGGCGTGGATTGTGGTACCCCCCAGCCCTCTGCCAAATTATAATAGTAACATCAGAAATCATTGATTGCAGATTGTCATCAGAGATATAATAATAATAAAGTTAAAATGTTGTGAAAATTACCCAAATATGACACAAAAACACAAAGAAAACACATACTGAAAAAATAACACTAAAAATCTTGCTGGATGCAGGGTTGTCAGAAACCTTCAAATTTTTTTAAAAACAATAACTGCAAAGCTCAAAAAAAGCAAAGAACAGTAAAATGAGGTATGCCTGTCTATTACATTTTTTATTCTGTTCAATCTCTTACATTCTTAGTGGCATATCTAGTTGAAGTTTTAATTTTTGTGCTTGATTTGTTAAAGATATAAATGATCTCAATTGCCTTACTAAAATTTTTGAAATCCTTACAAATTTTAAAAGGGTATATTTATAAATTAATTGCAGTTTTAAAACAAGTATATAAAGGAAAAATTAAGTATTATTGCCATGATGTGTATATAAATTTTTTTTTTTTTTTTTTTTAAGACAGAGTCCCGCTCTGTCATCCAGGCTGGAGTGCAGTGATGAGATCTCGGCTCATGGCAACCTCTGCCTTCCAGGTTCAAGCGATTCTCCCACCTCAGCCTTCTGAGTAGCTGAGATTACAGGTGCATGCCACCATGCCTGGCTAATTTTTTCAGTAGAGACAGGGTTTCATCACGTTGGTCAGGCTGGTCTCGAACTCCTGACCTCGTGATTCGCCCACCTTGGCCTCCCAAAGTGCTGGGATTACAGGCATGAGCCTGTCCCCATTATGTGTATATATTTAGAATGCACAATAATTTATATGGTATGTCTTTAAAATTTTTTTAATAATTAATACTGATTTGTACTATGATGCTTGTCATTTTATTGTAATCTCGAGAGAACTGTTTGTATTTGTTCTAAGGCTGTCTATTCTCTTTAATTAAATGCAGTGATTGGCTAAGATGCTGTGAAGGTGGGAGGCCATCCAGACAGCCGAGCCTGCATACACTGTGAGGCTCCCTTTGGTCTCTGAAGCTGACC
Organism: Homo sapiens; assembly: GCF_000001405.40. Lineage (NCBI taxonomy): Eukaryota > Metazoa > Chordata > Mammalia > Primates > Hominidae > Homo > Homo sapiens. Next base: position 69,173,114 of record NC_000004.12, on the reverse strand, counting down.
ACCTGTAGCATAGAAGACTTTATGCTTCTCAGTAATGGTTTCTCATAAGACTTTCCTTGGCCTTCAATTTGGCATTGTCTTTTGAGATAACTGGAATCAGAATCTCATTGGCCTTTGGTATGTTTTCTCCTGATCACCTATGCTGCCCTCACAACATTGTCCAGGGATACTCTGCTTTTTTAACAGGGAACTGAAAGGATAGAGTTCTAAAACCCATGGGAATCATTGAAAGGAGGCGAGAGAAAGAATATTTTTAATGAAAGGGTCATGTTTTCATATGTTATCAGAAGGGAAGGCAGAAAAATTTGCATTTCTCCTATATATATAGAAAATATGTGTTTTTTGCATATCAAATAAAGGCAGCTGTTCCAAATTTTGCTGTGTATTGACACAGTCTTGGGAGCTTTTGACAAGAATGATGCCCATTTTGAATATCAATGAAAACAGATTTTGGAATTAAGAGCCAGATTTTGTGTTTTATAAAGATCTCCAGCAGATTCCAATGTGCAGTACATTGGAAACACTAGGTTAAGGTCTAGATAAACAGTGAACGAAGTTATTATTTTCATTGATATTTAATTAATTATCAGTCATTCCATTAGTTATTATCTAAATTAAATACAAGCTGTCTGTGTATATCAAATCTACATACAGTTTCCATCAAAGTAGTGGAAAACTAAAAAAAAAAAAAAAAAAAAAAGAGTTATTCCAATGTGTTAATACTTCACAAAATGGTGGCACTTCTTGTTTCCATGACAGGTGTACATGAATTTAGTCACAATCTCTTTTCATATTATTTTAATCTATCTCAACAGTGTCACCTATTCACCAGTCCGCGAATGAGTATACGTGGTATCTCTTTTCATAAACAACTTGTGGAGGGAAGTATTTTTGCATTATGAGTGTCTTGCTCTTTTCTTCCACTTCATATTTTGTTCTGCGTGTTTTATCCATTCTATTTATAAGCAGCAATTATCTCCTTAAAATCTATTTTGCTTTATCTTCAAGTTTTGCTTTCCTCAAAAGGAAATAAGTTTTAAATTATCATTATTATTTGTTTTTTTATGTACAAATGTTCTAATAAGGCTACATTAGTGTACTATTATATATGATTTCTTACAGTGAATTTACCAGAAATCATGTTATATGACTATCATAAATTAATTTAATACTTAATAGATTCATGGGACAAGTATTATTATTGAAATGTATATTAATGGGCTCAACTCTCTGTGACACCCTGCCATTATAGGCCTTTAGTCAACTTCTCAATGTAAGAAACAAAATAAATTACACAAGAATGGTTGCGATCATAGACCTGAACACCACAAGCAGATTTTCCATATTACTTATTGCTACTTCTTCATCAATTTCTCATCTGATTTCCTCTAAATGATTTTAAAGACTACTATACATTTAATGATTTTATGTATACATTTTATCTACTAATATTTCAGCTCTGTTGTTTTTATACTTAGTCAGTACTTACATATTAGTATTTTGGAATCTTGCCAGTTAGCCATACATTTATATAAGATGTTTCTATAAAAAAAGAGAAATTTTAAATTCCAGACTACTCAGCTATAACTAAACCTTTGGAGCATGTTCACATTAGGTTGAGCATGGTCTGAAGACACTTAAATCAAATTATAACCCCATTTATTAATACGAATATAAATTTCTATATAAATTATTATAATTAAAATCAAATAATGGCCTAATGGATTATTATGTCATCACCAAAACTATGCCATTTTTATTTTTTCTAATTGCAAGAATTTCTTGGCATATCTTCTAGTCTTTTTAAATTACATGAAATATTACAAACTGACAAAATAGTATAAAGTACTTAAATAAGTGCCTATAGTCTCATTACCTAATATAGAACATAAGAGTGTATTGCCTTGTTGTCAGTACATATCCTTTGAAAGTGATATGTGGTGTGTAGGTGGAGGGAGACTGATGTTGGCAGAATAGGAAAGCCGTGTTCCTTTCCTCTTCACAGAGAAATGGACTTAACAAATATATATATATATATATATACCAAATTGCCTTTATGAAAATACTCCAGAAACAATTTCAAAGATTTCAGCACCCCAGGCAAGAGCAAAGCCAAGAAGAACTTCATTGAAATTGCTAAGAAATTTCACAGAATTGGCTCACTATAGAGTACAGCCAGTACAGCATGGCACAGTTAGGAGAAAATTCCCTAGCCATACCTTCTCCCACAGGAAAGAAAGAGAAGAGTAAAGTGTGTTTTAATGTTCTAGTTTTTGGAGGGGCTGCACAAGGGGCTAGTTTCTGACACCTAACTCAAAGAAATCACAGGAACTAGCAGAATTTGGATGCCTGTGATCTACTGAGAACAAAACCACGAGTGGCAGTGTTAAAAAGGCTGCCCTACCACAGAATGACAGCAGAGGGAGCAAAAGACTACAAACTCCTAAAGATGAAATAGAAAAAAAAAAAGTTTATCTGGGTAATTACATACAGAAGCTGAGAGAAGACACATTCCCAGAAAAGGTTTGAGAGACCTGCAGAATCTCTAGCTGGGCTGACTGGTGAAGACAGTCTTTTGTATCAAGCTAAGTAGTAAATAATGGGAGATGCAGCTATTTTTTCAAATATCCAAATTGCAGCAAAAGAACACAAGGCAGCAAGGCATACATACACCCCCCCCCCCACACACACACACAAACACACACACCACTAAACCATGGCCCAATGAAGGGACCAAAATAAACTTCTAGAAAATAACCTCAAGGAAATGAAGATCTATGAATTATTTGTCAAATTATTCATAATTATCATTTTAAAATACTCAATTAGCAAAGAGAGAACACAACTATATAAAATAATAAAAATAGTGCCTATAAAAATGAAAACATTAACGAAAAGGTAAAACTCTATAAAAAAAGAACCAAGCAAAAATTCTGGAGCTGAAGAATACAATAACTGAACTTTTAGCATTCACTAGAGGAGAACACAAGAAGACTTTATCAAACAGATAAAAAAAAATACACACTTAAGAACATAGGTTATTTGAAATTATTCAGGAAGGGGAGCAAAAATTTAAAGAAAAAATTCACAATAAAAAAGTGAAGTCAGCCTAAACAACTTAAAATACACCATCAAGCTAACCAATAAAGCATTATAAGAGTCCTAGTAAAAAAAGAGTAAAATATTGGGGCAGAGATTATATTTGAGAGAAATAGTGAACAAAGAATTACCAATTTTGCAGAGCATAATAGGCATACAAATTCAAGAACTCAGTGAAGTTCAAATGAGAATAATCCAAAGAAGTCTGCAACAATGTACAAGGTAATGTTTCAGAAGTCATAAGCAAAAAGAAAATCTTGAAAGCAGCAAGAAAAAAGGGACTTACCACATGTAAAGAAACTCCCATAAGATTATCAACAAGATTCTCAGCAAAAATCATGCAAACCAAAAGTAAGTGAGATAATATATTCAAAATGCTGCAAGGAAATTAAAAAAAAAAGTTTTTCAAATGAGAATAACATCTGGCAAATTTGTCCTTCAAAAATCATAGAGGAATGAAACTTTCCCAGATTTAGAAAAAAAAAATGATGAGGGATATAATCAACGCTAGACTTAGAAGAAATATTAAAAGGAGTCCTTCAGATTGAAATGAAAGTATGCTGGGCAGGTCAGGCGCCGTGTCTCATGCCTGTAATCCCAGCACTTTTACAGGCTGAGGTGGGCAGATCACCTGAGGTCAGGAGTTCGAGACAATCCTGGCCAATGTGGTGAAATCCTGTCTCTACTAAAAATACAAAATTAGCTGGGCATGGTGGCAAGCACCTTTAATCCCAGCTACCTGGGATGCTGAGGCAGGAGAATCACTTCAACCTGGGAGGTGGAGGTTACAGTGAGCCAAGATTGCACCATTGCACTCTAGCCTGGGCAAAAAGAGTGAAATTCTATCTCAAAAAAAAAAAGTATGCTAAGCAAAAGCACACAAAAATAAATATTTCACTAGTAAAGGAAAATATATAATCAAATATGGAGTTCTGTAGTTAACGTTGGTGCATAAATTACTTTTAGTTCTGATATGCAACTTAAAAAACAAAAGCATAAAATAGCTATAAGTGTACATAAATTAATAACAATATAAGAAGATATCTTCAGTGATATTAAGAATATTAAGTGGGGATGAGTGATGTAAAGGGACAAAGTTTTATATGTGATTGAAGTAAAATTTTAATCTTTAAAGTTTTTTCATTTCATCTAAAATAGTTTGTTATAATTTTAAAATGCTTCATGTAATCCTCATTCTAAACACAAAGAATACACATAAAAGATAGAAAAAAGGATGCGAAGAAGGAATCAAAAATTATGCATACAGCAAAAATTTGTAGTATGAGAAAACGTTATAGCAAAAAATAACCATATTACAAATGATGAAACATCTCAAATAAGCAACCTACCTTTACCCATCAAGGAACTAAGAAAAGGAAAACTAAGTCTAAAGTGAGCATAAGAAAGGTAACTTTTCCATAAAACAGAAAATAATGAATGTTAAAGAGAATATAGACAAATAGCCTTGTGCCTTATCTATAGGAATAAAATATGGTGAAGTCTCTATGGAGAAGAGTATGAAGCTTCTTGAAATAAATTAAAACAGAATTAGCATATTGTCCAACAGTGTCACTTCGGGGTATTTTTCCAAAAATAATTAAAATCAGGATCTTGAAAATATATTGACACATCCATGTTGTGTGCAGCATTATTCATGATAGTCAATGCTGGGCTTCCTAATCCTTCTTCATATGTATCTGGCAGCACATCAGAACTGACAGACAACATGTCTTTTGTATAGAGGCTGGAGAAATCGTTAAAAAATTAAAAAAAATACCCTAAACAAGAAAGATAATCTGATTTCATAGTCCATGAAAAAATCAATGTCTGGTTTTCAAAAGAAATTATGAAGTATATAAAGAAACATGAAAGTACTGCCCATTCAAAGTAACAAAATAAACTTACAAAAACAATTTCTGAGAAAGCACAGACACTTAAATTGCTACACAAATGATTTTAAAATAACTGTCTTAAATGTGTCTAAATAACTAAAGGAATCAATAGATCAAGACAAGAAAACAATGAATGAACAAAATGATATCAATCAAGAAAAAGAAATTAAAGAGGAAACCAAAAGGAAACTCTGGAGCTGAGAAATACAATAATGGAAGTGAAAAATTTACTGGAAGATTTCAAAAGCAGATATTAGCAGATAGAAGAAAGAATTGGCAAACCTGAAGAAAGAGTCATTGAAATTATTGAGTCAGTTAAAAAAAAGGAAAAGAAATAAACAGAACCTAAGAAAATTGTAGGGTATTATCAAATAAAACAAAATATACACTGTGGAAGTCTGAGAATGAGAAGAAGGAAAGAAAAGATGCAAAGAATATTTGAAAAACTACTTACAGAAAATAAAAAAAAGTAATAAAGTACATAAATCTACAAATTCAAGAAGCTCAACAAACCCCAAGTAGGATTACCTCAAAAAAACCCACACTAAGACACATTATAATCAAGACGCTCATAGTCAAAACAGTAAGAGAAACTGGAAAACAGAGAAGTGACTCATCATAAATACGTCATTCTTGGTAAGATTATCAGCCAATTTCTTATCTGAAACATTGGAGCCAAAAAGCAGTGGATTGACATAATTGAAGTACTGAAAAAAAAGGTTAATAAAGAATTGTACATCCAGAAAAACTGTCCTTCAAAAATTAGATAGAAATTAGGACATTTTCAGATTTTTAAAATGCAGAGAAAATTTACTATTACCATACCGGCCCTGCAAAATATGCTAAAGAAAATATTTTAGTTCTAAATAGAAGGGTGCTGGGCAGCAATGTGAACACATGTAAAGGAATAAAGATGTGTAGTGAAGGTAAATTCATAACAATTATAAAATATAATATTTTTGTAATTTTGGTTGTGATTCTACTTTTTATTTTTTTTATAATTTAGAGGACAATTGCTTAAAAGACAATTAGTAATCCATGTTATTAAGCACACAATATATAGATATAATTTGTCACCTCAGTAACAGAAAAAGAAGAGTGATGGAACTATATAGCAGTAGAGTTTTTATTCTGTTAATGTTAACAACCAATAAGTCAGAAAAGAAATCGCAAAGGTAATTATAAAATACTTTAAAATCAATAAAAACACAACATGTCAAAACTTTGGAGATTCAGTGAAAGCAAGGCTCAGAGGAAAACTTATACCTATAAACCCCTATATTAGAAAATGATTAGGGGAAAAAAACTGATTTTCTGTATATTCACTCACAACACAGAACTTCCAGCCACCAATATGTGGATGTTTTACCTTCACAATGGTTCAATTTAATTCTCAGCTGACAACAACCGTTTTTCCCACAATTTAATTCAAGTAAGCCGCTAGATACATGACAATAGCATGAGATTCCACAAGTAAAGGGCTTAATCTCACTGCTCTTCTTTCCAGACGCCAGTTGCAAGTAGTGAGTCTCCAGGCTATCCATTAACTACTGTCTGGCTTGGCTACAAATTATGACCCCATTCTCAGGGTGAATAATTTACTAGAGTGACCCACAGGATCTTTCCAGGGGCTGGGCTCTAGCATTATCCAATATTGCTTAGACTGCCTGACACAGTTCGCTAAAGCCTCACTAACTTTCCAGCCTGACTCTCATTTTTGGTTTATTTCCTGGAAGAAAATTTCCTATAATTATATTTTCCCTGAATGCTGCTCCTCACTAAAAACAAATTCAGGCATTCCCAGGATAGATAAGATGGCACTCATCTCTCCTAAGACACTTTTCCATTTCATGAACCAGTATTGGTCAATCCACCAAGCACATTGTTTCCTCTATATATTAATAACCTGAGTAAAGTTAGAATACATGTTTTGCACCCCAAAATGTTAGATGCCCCATAATAAGTATAGATAAGGGGTAGTCATAGAAAAATGTAATTTCATTTGTATGCCAAAAGGCCTCCCATATCCTTCCTTATTTTAGGGTGGAGCTGTTTCCCAGGGGAACTCAGATTCAGCATAAAATGTCCACTGCTTAATTCTGCCAGAAACCCATTGGTTTTTAAACTCACATTTGTGGATAACTTTCTATCCATAAATCAAAGGTGATATGTTTGTGATTAGTGCACTGTGCCTTGCTGGGTGGGCTGTCACTGTCCATTATAAAGCTTCTAAGCATTTTGTGATCCAAATGTACAGTTATGCAGTGATCTGTCTTCCGAGAGTCATAAAAAAACACCATTTAAAATTCTAGTAGACAGCAAGTCCCTACATTTTCTTCCAGGAAATAAACAAAAAAAATGATATCTTCTTTAGCAGAGAGAGCCTGAAAAATAGGAGTCAAAAAACTGGCTATTTACTAGAGTTCCTTTTAGTTATTAACAGTTGATCCTGTTCATTAACATATGGTACAACCAGAGTGTCTCCCAGATTAATGTCATGCAATTTTACAGGCTGCTGTTTGACTTTGTCAGGTTCCAAAAGTGCAGCTGATCTTGGCAAACATATAGCTTCACAATTCCAGACATCTAGTATAATTGTGCTAAGAGATCATATTATGCTCTTGCTCTGAGCCTTTCTGCAGATAATAATATATTGTTGGATTACCTTCATTGGATAACACACTTATTCATTCCTTTAACTTAGGCAATGATTTCTCTTTCCCTCCATCTGTAACTTATTTTTACCCCAAATTTTCTACCACCAGAAGTGTTGTGAGGTCCACCCACTGGGCTAGCCCTGATTGCTGGCAGCAATCTTAGTCTAGAAAGTTCTTTCCTTCCAGTCTACCATTTATATAGTATATGGTTATATAAATACAGAACTAATGGGCTATCCTGACCACAATTCAACATAGTAGTATTTACTGTTAGTTAGAACCTTGCCAGATACGGTGAATGCACAGTCAACTTTATAAGGTCCTTAAAAATTCTGACGCAAAGGTTTAAAGTTATAGTTGCAAATTCTGGCTTAGGGATTATCCTTGCTTGTGGCATGAACACTTGCATCCCTGGTCTTGCGACCACTGTGAGAAGTGCAGGAAAAAAAAAGTTGAGATCATCTGAGGGAGAAATGTATAGTTGCACCAGAATCCTCCTCATTCCCTCTTTCCCAGAGACTCCAGAAAAGTAGGGGTATGTATGGAGTAGACATCCTTTGTTAGTAGGAATCCCCCTTCATGTTGAGTTGAGCACACACTTATGAAGGCATGTAGGCCCATCCTTCATGTCTGTATATCCTTCTGATTTAGATAGTATCTTATATCATTTATGCTGCTTTACAAAATACCTGAAGCTGGGTAATTAATAAAGGATGAATATTTTCTTTTCACAGTTGTGGAGGTTAGGGGTCTAAGATCAAGGACCAAGCAGGTCCAGTGTCTAGTGAGGGCTCCTCTCGCTTCCAAGATAGGGCCTTGTCCCTTTCTCCTCAGATGGTAGGAGAGACTTATGGGACAAACTCACCTTCAAGCTTTTATATAAAACACTACTCTATTTATGAGTGTAAAACTTCCATGGCCTAATTATCTCCTAAGGGCTCCATCTCTTAATACTCTTGTGTTGCAGCTTACACTTCAGCATAAATTTTGGAGGGCAAGCACACATTCCAACCATAATAGAAAGCAAATGTTTTAACTTTAAATTATGTACTAAACCATTACTCTGAGAATGATATGCGACATGGTATTTTAATTGAGGTAATATCTCTGCCAACTCCTGGACATGATGGCTGTACAGTGTGTCTGTACTGTGTGCAAAAAGCTAATCTCAAAGTGTTTCTATTCACTTACTAAACAATGATCAATACAGAAGACTTCTGTGACCAAGTGTTAATGTATAAAGGGTGTTCCCCACACATCAAATAAGGAATCAGTTCTCCAGTAGACAGCAACTGGGTGTCCTCCAACTCAATTCTGACAATGCTAGGGAGATAGCATCAGATTCCACAGTTTAGGGGCTCAGACAAACAAGACACTCCTCAATGCCAATTAGTAGCCCCAGTATGTTTTACCTATGCTTTGACCAACTAGCTACAAATCAGCATGCCCCCAACTCCTTCCTTGGTTTTGATCAATTTGCTATTGCATTTCACAGAATTCAGTGAAATACATTTATCAGTTTATTATAAAAATTATTACATGTGATACAGGTACAGTGGAAGGGGTGTGTAGCTTGTGTGCTCTCCTGAGATGTGTCATTCTCCAGGAACCTCCGTGGGTTTAGGTATCTGGAAACTCTATGAATGCTGTCCTTTTGAGGTTTTTTTTTTTTAAGCCTTCATTATGTACGCGTGATTGATTAAAACATTGGCCATTGGCGATCAACCTAAACTTTAATTTCTCTATCCTCCCCGGAGGTTGGGGGATGGAGATGAAAGTCGCAACTCTCTACTCCTGCTTGGGTCTTTCCAATGACTGTCCTTCATTTCAAAGTTACATAGGAATTGCCAGCCATCAGTCAATTAGTTAGCTTACAAAAACACATAATTTTGGAGATTCTACTGATTTTAGTAGTTTTATGCTGGAAAAGTGGGTGGAAGACCAAATACATGTTTTACAATATTACACCAACACTCAATTTTTCTTACAGTATCACTTTTCCTGAACTTCGTGAATGTCTTTTTCATTGTGATGATATGCCACACATTACCTCTAAAGAAAGAATACATTTTGCAAAATGAGAGGTATGTAAACATACTCATTGATGTTAACATATGTACTACATTTGAACTTTGAACTTGTTTCAATTTTAATTCTACTCAGGTTGCAGCAAAATCTCAATTCACTGAAATGTAGCATAAAGCCACATACTAAATACCTACAGGTTAAACATGTTTTTCCTCAAAAAGCTACATAGCTATATAAACAAAAAAGATTGGACTGGATAATAAGAGTTTTAAATCTCCAAACTTTTCTGTCTGCCTTGACTGACAGCAGGTGTCCTCTGCCCAGTGATATTCCTTGGAGGGACACAGGGAGCTGAGCACATGGAATACTCGATAAGAAATACCTTGATGATGATGTGGCAAGTTAGGGTTTTTTACTAGCCAGGTACTGGGGATTGTTGTTACTTCTCACATTCTTTGGTTCAAAAAAAATAAACTGGGTTACATGATTAGAGTTCCGTCATTTTTCTTAAATGTTTCTTTGCCATATTCTGAACTTTCAATTGAGAAGAGGCCATGCATTTATCAGTATAGCTAATTTCACATGGGTATTGATATAAATTATTAATTGAGTTTAAGGCCAAAAAATTTTGCACCTAAAATTTATCCTACACAAGGCCATGGTAGTAAATAGTCACAAACAGGATGAATCATCTTTTGTAATATTTTGAAAACACATACTACAGTATGCCCATCACTTAAAGCAATTAACTTTATATTGGTAGATAGATTAACTAAAAGCTAAAATATGACATCTTCTATCATAAAAAATGCCCTTCTTGTCCAAAAGAAGTAGGTCAGTGTAGGGTGTTATCACCTCCATAAGTAGAATGCATAAGTCTGGAACTAAGAAGTAGAAGTAGCCCCTTATGATATTACCAGCAATAGATGTTGTAGTAATATTTTTTCCAGTCTCCAAGACCTTAGGATTTAGTAGGTTCCAAGGTCCTGTTGTCTCAAGAAGAAATGCATTGTTCAGGAAGTAAATGCACTATTCTGTGAAACTGGAAGCTGAACCTGTCCTTTCTTCTCTTCCTGAACTGATGGGCCAAAAAAGAAATTAACAAGAATGTCAGGATGTTGCCACACAATGAACACAGAACACTATTTTCAATCCAGAAGACTCACTGAATGCTTCTTAGTGCTATCGTGTTCAATATTAGTTAATAGAAAGCTGTGGCAACCCATTGTGGACATTACCACCAAGAACTTGGATTTGATATCTACTCCCTTTTCTTGCCCTTTAGACTTAGGGTTTTTAACAGCTCCCAAAGTTGCTAGTTCCAAAATTCTATATTATCCTTTGATGGTTTCTTGCACAGATATTTAAAATATTCAGCAACAGTTAATTATTTAACTTTTTTTTATTAAAACATTTGCAAAGTACTAAAAAGAAGAAAATACTGTAAATGGCATTAAAATACTGTGTGGGCTTCTGTCCTTTACACACAATGTATGACTATAGTTAGACTCCGCTGCAGATAATCATGTGTCTGGTGCTCTGTTCAATGACACTATGGTCCAATAATGGCTAGTAAATGCACAAAGACCTAAATCCTTCCCCAAATCACTGTGAGTATATGAAATGTTAAAGATATACACACAATAAAAATAATAAAAAGAAAGTATTATTTTATCATTAACTATGTTTATTCTCATAAAGTCAAGTGCACATTTCTCTGCGAAAATGAAGAATATTTTTCATCCATATGTAACTGCTACTTACATCACCTAACACACATCCAAGTTTGACTACCAGAGACCAAACCATTAAAGTAATTAATCTTAAGTTCTAAACAAAGCTGTGGTGACAAATTACATCACTGTATGTCTTTGTAATTAGTTGTTAAACTGTACACACAAAATGAGTATTTTTTTTGTAAATTTTACCTCAATAAAGATGACATACAAATAAAATTGCATGTATTTAAAAATTCTATCTATACCATTATAAAGCCCACCATTTTTTTTCTAATTTATAAATGGAAAGATCTCATAAACTAAACTTAGAAACATGCTTATAATCTTTGTGAAGGAAATGTCTTCGTACATATCAAATCATTTATAAAAGCAGATCCTAAGTGGATCCTAAGTGAAAACTAAGAGTGCGGGTCTTCCATAGCTTTTTCTCATAAACTCATGTTAGTTCAGAGATAATGGTTAGATGTTTTACCCAGCAATTAACACTAAAGAAATACCATCCAGTGTCTTAGTCCATTTGTGCTGCTATAACAAAGTAGAACAGATTGGGTAACATAAAAAAAATAGAAATGTATTTTTCACAATTCTGGAGGCTGAGTAGTGCATGATCAAACCTGCAGCAGGTTTATCATGTAGTGATAGCTCTTTTCTGCTTACAAAAATGGTGCCTTATTTTTGCATCCTCTGAAAAGAAGGAATACTGTGTTCTTACATGGTGTAAGTTAGAAGGGCAAAAAGGCTAAACACTGCATCAAGCTTCCTTTATATGGGCCTTAGTTACATTCACTAGCAAGAAACCTTCATGTCCTAATTACCTCTTTAAGGCCTCACTTCATAACACCATCACATTGGCCATTGTTTCAATATGAAGAGTAGTGTGCATAAAGTTCTTATTTATGTAGATTGGAGTTACTTAACAAAGGCACTTATTTTCTTACAAAAAATCAAGGAGGTGTAAACTCTCTCTGACCCTAATTGTTTTGAGAGATGTGAAAGAAATATTTACTGAAAAGGAATCTGAAAAGCCTACATAGAAGAAAAGTAAATCAATATAATAATAATTATACCAGACACAGAAGGGGTTTACAAGTGATCCTGGAAGTTATGTTTTATCTCTTATTCATGCTTTCCAGGAAAAAAAGCTTATCTTTATCATCAGTTTCTAATGACTATAATCCATTTCCTTTAATTGTTTACTTGCCTACTGATATGGCTTGGATACTTGTCCTCACTTAAATCTTATATTGAATAGCAATTCCCAATGTTAGAGGTGGGGCCTGGTTGGAGGTGTTTGGATCATGGGGGCGGATGCATCATAGCTTGGTGCTGTCCTCACTAGAGTGAGTTTTCATGTAAGATCTTGTTGTTTAAAAGTATGTGACACCTTTCCCCATCCCCAGGTTGACTCTTGCTCCTGCTTTTACCACATGACGTGCCTGCCCCATCCCTCCACTCTTCATTTTCTGCCATGATGGTAGGAGGTCCCGAGACCACCCTAGAAGCCAAGCAGATGCCAGCACCAGGCTTCCTATAAAGACTGCAGAACCATGAGCCAATTAAATTCCATTTCTTTATAAATTACCCTATCCCAGGCATTTATTTCTAGCAATGCAGGAATGGCATAATGCACTTAATTTATTTGTAGTTTAAGTGATATAGGCCTTATATCATGCACTGCCCTAGGGAGAAGAAATGGGCAGTTCTTAGGACTCAGACTGGCTCTGTGGGATTGGGTAAGACATATAATTCTGATCTTTATCAGTAAGGAGAGAGGTATGAAGAGCACATCTATAGGAAAGGTTTTGAAGACTTCCAGAATCTCTGTCAGCCTGATTGAGGAGGCATTTTCCTTCCAAATCAGGTCCATAAATAGTAGAAGAGGTGACTTCTTCCTCAAATACACAGACACCAAAACAAAGATATAAAAAGCATAAAAAATAGGAAAATACGATGCTTCTGATGAAACAAAATAAATATTCAGTAATTAAAAATAAAGAAATTGAGATCTATAAATTATATGGCAAAAAATTCAAAATAATTATCTTAAAAACATCAGTAAGCTACAAATGAACAGCTGAAATAGAAATAAATGAATTCAGGAAAACATTACATGAAGAAAATGAGATATCATTGAGATAGAAACCATAAAAAAAACAAGCAGAAATCCTGGAGCTGAAGAATACAATGCAATAACTGAAATGAAAACATTAAATGAAATTAAATGAAAAATTTAAAATTTCTCTACAGCATTGGTTTTAGTGGTGTCTCTAATACCTGTTTGTACATAAAGTTTTATTGGAACATACCCATGCCCATTCTTTAAAGTATTGTCTGTAGCTGCTTTGCACTACAATGACAGAATATGTGCAGCAGAGTCCATAAGACTTGCAAATCTAAAATATATATTATCTGAGGTTTTACAGGAAAAGTTTCCTGATCTCTGTTTTGCAGTGAAAAAGCTTATTTTTCTTCTAATTTATCTATAAATTTAACACAATATTAATACAAATGTATAGCTAAGTATAATCGTATTAATTGATTAAAGGTTGATTAATACTAATTGTATTAATAATGAGCTAATGAATTCAACTATTTCTATTTAAATTTTATTTAGAGCAAACAAAGCTTTTGGGGGTTATATACATCTCCTGAGCAGTGTACACTGTACCCAATGTGCAGTCTTGTATCCCTCCCTGCTCCTATCCTTTCCCCCAAGTCCACAAAGTCCAATGTATCATATATAAATGAAAAAATGTAAGCTGCTGTATATTTGTAAGAATATTATTCTTAAATATTTTAAAATATCTCCATTAATAACACAGTTGTGTTTATTTGTTTGTTTGTTTTTAATTTTTGTTGGGGTTTTGATTTTGATTTATTGAATTTCTAATGCTGCTGGTATATAAAAATATTTTCAGAATTTGTTTTTCATTTCCCCTTATGTTAGTTAAATATGGTGACAGACAGAATTCCTTCAGGCTAAATAGTAAAGTTAAAGTTATATTCTCTACTTATTTTTACAGATTACAATAAAAAGAATTCTGTCTTGGCCATTACCAAAGTGTTTAGCTGTCTAGTTTGAAATTTCCCTCATAAGATACATACACATACATTTATGCAGCACAGATCTTTTTTTTTTTTCAAATAAAAAACCAAGTTCTGGGAGATTCTGTGTCTTCTATCATGAATTATAATCTTGGCCATAACTTACAGGTACACTCTGAAGTAAAATTTTAAAATAAATCTCAGAAGTTACTTCATAAAAAGCAATTACTTAATACAAAATAAGGCACGTATAATATTTTAAAATATTCTCAAGGGTAAGAGTTCCGCTAGCTATATTGTTTTTAAATCAAGAAATGGAATTGAGGAGATTTTTGACCAATAAATCTTCCTAGGTAAAAAACTGAAATAAAATGCCTGGAGTGAAGCCAACTTGATTATGGTAGATAAACTTTCTGATTTGCTGCTGGATTTGGTTGACTATTATTTTAATGAGGATTTTTGTGTCAATGTTCATCATGGATATTGGCCTGAGGTTTTCTTTTTTTGTTTGTATCTCTGCCAGGTTTTGGTATTAGGATGATGCTGGCCTCAAAGAATGAGATAAAGAGAATTTTCTCTTTTTCAAATTTTTGGGAATAGTCTCAGTAGAAATGGTAGTTAGATCTTCTTGTTGAATTGAATTTTTTACCATTATATATTGTCCTTCTGTTTTTATTTAAATTTGTTTTTCATATCAATAAGTTTTTAGGGAACAGGTAGTGTTTGGTTAAATAAATAAATTCTTTAGTGGTGACTTCTGAGACTTTGGTGCACCCATCAGCAGAGCAATATACACTGTACCCAATGTGTAGTCTTTTCTGCCTTACCCCCCTCCCATCCTTTCCCCCAAGTCTCCAAATCCAATGTACCATTCTTATGTGTTTGCATCCGCATAGCTTAGCTCCCCTTGTGAGTGAGAGTATATGACATTTGGTGTTCCATTCCTGAGTTACTTCACTTAGAATAATAGTCTCTAATTCTATCCAGGTTGCTGCTGTCAATGCCATTATTTCGTTCCTTTTTATGGCTGAATAGTATTCATATCTATATGAAGATATATATATATATTTATACATATAAAAATATAAAGCTCATCCCCCAAATTTTCTGCCACTTTCAAGGCAACCAGCAGCAGTCAGCCATTGGTTGCCAGTCTTCCACAGCAGTCAAAGTTGGATTCAAAAGTAACATAACGTCCTTTCTGGAGTTTAAATACCTGGGTTAAATTCTGGAAAGCCTCTGTATACCTGTCAGGGTCATCTGAAAACTTGGCCAAGATCCCCCCTTAATTTGCGTTAAGTCCTGTAAAGAAAAGGGACCTGGAACTTAATGGAGCCACATTGACCAGGCGTCTGTTGTAGTGGCAGAAGCAAGACTTGGACCTGCCTAAAATAAGTATTTCAACGATGTGGCAAGTTTGGCAGAGAACCTGGGTAGGGTGGAATAGAGGGAGTTAACTCCCCCACTAGAAGTACCTCTAGGATTTGCTTCCCTAGTTCCTTGAAATTGCCCTTTGCAGCCTTTCCTGAGATGGCCACTAGGAGGGCTGAATCCATCCTACAACATTGGTAAAGGGCCAGATTACCCTGTAAGGCAAAGAAAGCCTCCACCTATGAGGCCTTGGACCATTTGCCCTTATGTTTACAGAAAAGGTGCAGCTGCAGGATGGTACTGAAATTAATCCTTCCTGAGGCCAATATTCTCTTTTCTTCAGAAGATAATCAGGCCACAACTTTGTACAAAGGAATATGAGGTGCTTTTCTCCAGAATCTGAGGGTCAAAAAGTCCCAGTGACTCAGGATACATTACAGAGGAGTGTAGCATAAAGATGATTGGTTATCCATCTAAAATAGATGGGAAAAGGTGTCCCTTAGTCCCTCTCTCTCTTCCAGGGAAAACCCAGTGTGTGTGGTGGAGAGAAGAAAAGTGTCCTCTTTTTTCTTCCATTCTTATATCCCCGAATCTGGCGACTCTATGTACCACCCATGAATGAGAGTGTAACCTCCACCTATGTAGCAGGCAGGCCTGGTGTGTAGGAGTATTTTCACTTACCTATGTGCTACCCTCCCACTGTTGGTAACTTGAGGGTTCCCTAGACCTCATCTATACCATAGATGCAAACATAACCTACATCCAAGAAGTGGAAAGGCCTAGCAGGCATAGATAGTTCTAGCCTTCCACTGTTAACTGCTTCCGGGTCCCTTGATCAGTTTTTCTTATTATGACTTCAAACCAAAGCTTGAAATAAAATTTGTTAAAAAAATGCCTCAGGAAGATGTACGAACCCATTAAATTAAGTTCCAGGTGGCCCTCTCCAAATTGCAGCCAGCACCTAGCAGGGCAGCTCTTCCACTGTTTCCCTGTCAGAAGCAGAATTCTAAGGTGAAGCTGTGGAACCAGGTCCTCCTCACTAAAGACCTGGGAACTGGGGAGTTGGCCTAACACGATAGCTCCCAAGAAGAAAAAAATCAATCTCTCACATAGAAAAGCTCCCTTTATTTGCAGTACTTGGACTGCAGGGCTATTGGAGGGCTCAGAAGAAGACACGAAAATGTGGAAAAGTTTGGAACTTCCTAGAGACTTGTTGAATAGCTTTGACAAAAATGCTGATCGTGATATGAACAATAAGGTCCAGGCTGAGGTGGGCTCAGATGGAGATGAAGAACTGGAGCAAAGGTGATTCATTATGTTTTAGCAAAGAGACTGGCGGCATATTTCCCCTGCCTTAGATATTTATGGAGCTTTGAACTTGAGAGAGATCATTTAGGGTAGCTACATAAAGAGGATGTCTAGGCCAAAGGATCTACACAACTACAAGTGGTGTTTTAGGCAAGTATTCTGATTCAAAGTCATGTTTACACACCAGCAGAGAGGAACTGAACCCTGAATATATCTATACATGTGCTCAGAGCATCTCATGGAGTGATTAAAAGATCAAAGAGGTGGGATTTTACTGTGCTTGCTGGAATCCATTTCATAGCTTTATTGGGTCTTTTTACTAAGAAATATATGAGTGTATATATATATATATATATACTCACATATATATATATTCACACATATATATATTCACACATATATATATATATATATATATACACACACACACACACATATATATATATACGAATGGAGCAATACTATCTCCTATTTGTTTCATTTTAACATACCACCTGGTAGTGTGGTGAAGCACTGTAAGGAGGAACAAAGGTGAAAGACACACAAAGACACAGAGAAAGAGAGAGAGTGAGTAAGAGAGAGAGGAAAAAAATTATTAGAGTTACGATTTATTTTTGTATAATGAGGGGTTAGCCTATGACCCAGCATGAGCAGTGCTCATAAAGCGTGTGGTGAAATAAATGCACCACCTGTAGCAGGGGTTAGATTATTCATACTCCAAATTTTATGTAGGTGATTCTTTTCAGTCTGAATATATATCTTAGTTTGGCAGAATATTGAAACATTTTTATTTTATACATATTATATAGATTTAATTTTGAGAAAGCCTGCAATATTTACTGATGAGGTAATTTGTTAAATATTTTAAAAATATACATGTACATAAATCGATATGAATTGACTGATGTTATTACTGATTCTCTGTTTTTTTTTTCTGGTAAAATGCATTTATAGTTACTATATTGAAGTAAAACTAAAATAATTACACTTATACCTAATTATAATTATACCTACCAGAAAAATTAAAGCTGTGAGTTGAAGGGTAATTGTATAGAAATAATCTTGTTTAGGTTGAGATTTGAATTTAGTAATATTCCAAATTTTTAAACTAATAAAATGACTATTTCTTAGTAAATATTTTGAATTCAATTGAATTTTAACTATACATTATTAATGTGTGATGATATCGATGGACTATAACTAAATTGATCAGAACACTATTGATGCTCAGCAACATGATGATACAGATAAAGATTTAACTTTTAAATTATATTTTACTTATTATAGACAGGGATTATAGAAGGAAAGCAAGCACATAACTCTGAATTATGTACATCAGATAAACATAAAATCCATGTTATGATTGTTTATATAATTAAAAATGTTTTGCTTAATCCATGGTGTAAGAAAGTCAGGATACAAGGAGGGCTAAAATTATATACTACATAGAAGTATAGAGGATTTTCAATATAAACAGTTACAAACTGAATCTGAAAGCATTGTTGGTAAGAAAGCAAAGGGGGAGTATGCTTGAAAAACATACAAGGAAAAAATGGAAAAGTCCAAAGCCTAAAATCATGATTCTTTATAGAAATATCCCTACGCTTTTCTGTTGAGTTTCAAAAGGAGAACAAAATTGATATTTATTCCTAGAACTACATTATTGCACCATAAACCTACACTGAATTCTGACTCTAGAAACTAAGTGCAACAATTAAGAATTGTAAACAGTGTGAGAATGTGAAGAAAAACGATGCAATCACAACCCGAGAGAAAGGTACAGAGATACTCCACAAAGTGAGACAGAGCTGAAAGGGTTTCAGTTAAAATATAATAAGTATTTCATTTCTAAAATGTTATGGTCACAATATTCTGCGCCTTAACTACAAAGTATAGTCAATACTTTCACAGTTACTAAAATAATATAATCCTACTGTGCTCAGTTTATCAATATCTTTTTAACTATTTCTATACTGTAATATTACTTTTATAATTTCAAAGATTTAATTACATTTTAAATATAAAATAATAAGGATAATAAACTTTTGCTATGACCTAACACTTACTTATACTACTCACCCTATTCTAGAAATATACAATAAAATAGCAGCTCGCAAGTTATATAGAACAAAATGTAATTAATCTTTGCACATAAGTCATATTGTCTGTCAGTCTGATGTGCTGCCAGTAATACATGAAGGAGTGAGACATCTGCCATTCCCATGGGTAAATTAAAAAGAATATATATAAATGAAATGTCGAGGAGCTCAGCCATCAACTTTCCACATTAAGCTAAAGGGTCTGCAAAAGAGAAATTGAACTTGTGTGCTTACAGCCTGCTGAATGACTCCTCAATTATTACAACACTGTCACTCATATTTTGGAAATTATTTCTCCACTTGTGACAGCTTTATTTCCATGCTGATCATAAAAATGTCAGCAGTTTAAAAGAAGCTGAACACTCTTAAATTAATTGACTACAATTCATGGACCATACAAGTACTTTTCCAGTCCTTCCAGAGTCAAAGAAGCACAGATGCAACAGGAAAATAACATGGAAGCCATTTAGTCTCTATGATCAGCTCTTGGTCTAATTAACCCTGAGCTCAAAACAAGTGCAAGAAGTTCATAACCCAGAATAATCATAACTATGTTTTAAGTTTCAATTTCTCAACCAGTTGACAGTGAGTGAGTCTGAACTTTGCACAATCTATTTACCCTAATGTTCAAAGTTACAAATAGCTGCTTTAATGGAATGGTTAATAGAATTAAACAGTATAGCTCAAATTACATAAAAGCTTCTTAAAAAGTGCTTTTATCAAACAGGAATTCAAACACCTACAACTAAACACAACTGAAAAACTTTCTAATTGAGTCTATGAATGTTCACCTCAGGTCTTAACAGTTTACATAAGATGTTTTTGATTCTGTTCTTTGGATTTGAGTGTTTATTTGAGCAGAATACTTTCTCTCAATGTATTTCTCTTAATGTTGGAATGATAGAAAGTGTATATTTTGACCATGCTTATCTACTATTGATTTGTCAAATCAAAATGTATAGAATTTATTTTGAAACTTTAAATAAGTTAAATGGTTGTTATGGGCTGGATCGTGTGTCTCTCATTCCAAGTTCATATTTGGTGTTCTAACACCCAGTACCTCAGAATACGACTGCATTTGGAAATAAGTCCTTTACTGAAGAAATTAAGGTAAAATAAAGGCACATAGAACCCATCCCATATGAAGATAAGGACATATACAGAAGGGAGACTATGTGAAGACCCTGGAGGAAGACAGCAATCTACAAGACAATGAGAGAGTCCTTAGGAAAAACTAACCCTGTCGGTGACACTGTGATCACACTTCTAGCCCCCCAAATTGTGATAAAATAAATAACTATTGTTTATACCATGTAGTCTGTGATACTTTGTTATGGCAGCCCTAGCAAACTAACAAGAGTGTTATGTAGCAATACACTTAATTTTGAAGGTTGATGTTGCATAGGAAATTAATTTTGAGAAAGTCAAGTATGAATTAAGGTATGAACAAAGCATTATGCACAATTCAAAAGATAATACATATAAAACTGGTTGTATAAAACTGGTTATATATGTTTATCAACTTAGTCATTTCAAAAACACAATACATAATTCCAAGAAAATGTTTTTTTGGTTTATTTTCTGGGAATGCTTTTGCACATTGAACAGTTACCTTCAGATTTTTCCTTAGTTTTTATAGATTTATAGTAGTAATAATCATTATCTTCAAATTTATTAATATATTACTTTGTTCAATCATGGAAAAATATATTTTGTGTGCTTGGGAATATACAGTTAGTTCTTTAATATTATGATAATTTTTGGCCAACACAGAGTTCAAAGTGGGTGAATAATTAAAGAGAGAAGTGAAAGAAAACATACAGAGTTAAACATATATCATCTAGCCTGTTTTTATTCCTTGATTAAGAATATATAGTCAACTTCAAAGAAGTTTTTTTTTAAGTTTAGGGAAAATTAAAAGTGATAACATTTAAAATTTTCAATTTTACATGTAACTATTGAGTAATTGATTGTGGTAAAAACAGGTACTATACAATTTCCCATCGTAACAATGTTTAAATTTACAATTCAGTAATGTTAACTATTTTCACATTGCTGTACAAAAAGTCTCTATAATTTTTCATCTTGCAAAACCCATTGAACAACACCACTTCTACCTTTTGGCAGCCCCTGGCAGCCTCCATTTTATTTTCTGTTTGTATGAATTTTACTAATTTTGATACCACATATAAGTGGACTCACATAGTATTTGTCTTTTTGTGACTGACTTATTTCACATATCATAATAGGCTCAAAGTTCCTCATGTTGTTATATATGACAGAATTTTCTTCTTTTTTCAAGCTAAATAGTGTTCCATTGCATGTATATACCATGTTTTCTCTGTCCTTTCATTTATCGGTGGATACTTGGGTTGCGTTCCTCTCTTTACACTTGTGAATAATGTTGCGAAGAACTTGGATGTGCCAATAGCTTTTCAAAATCTTGCTTTTCATTTGTTCTGGATAATTACCTAGTAGTAATATTGTTGAGCCATATGTAAATTCTATTTTAATTTTCTGACCTATGCGCATATTTGTGTGTGTGTGTGTGTGTGTGTGTGTGTGTGTGTGTGTATAAAGCTATGTGGCAAAGGTGAATATACAGTCCAATATAGAGTTCTCTAACTTTAGAATGTTTTTTATTTATGCATATGTGTGTATATATTATATATATAGGTGTGCATATTTATATTATATATATGTATATCTATGTTATATAGTATATATGTTTATATAGGTATATAATGTGCATTTGTATGTATAAACATATATGTAAACCATCCTAATTGTTATGAGGTGATAGCTCATAACCTATTTAAGAGATGTTTTATATATATATATATACACACACATACATATACACCCTCCTAATGGTTATGAAGTGATAGCTCATTATATTTTTGATTTACATTTCTGTAATGATTAGTGATGTTGAACATATTTTTATATGCTTTTGTCCCATATAATACTTTTTGGATAAATGCATGTTCAAGTTGTTTTTTTCTAAATTGGGTTGTAGTTGCTACATTGTAGAGGTTTTATATATATATACGATTTTGTTTATTCAACTCTTCTCTCTTTTATCTTAAAATCAGTCTAGATACAAACATTTCAATTTTATTGACCTTTTCAAAAACCTGACTCTTAGTTTGGCTGATTTTTTTTTCTATTCTATATGTTACTTATTTCTGTTCTAATCTTTAATGCTTTCTTCCTTCTGATGCTTTTGAGCTTAAAATTATTTTTTCTCGTTTCTTGAGGTGTAAAGTTAGGTTGCTTATATCAGATCTTTCTTCTTTTTTATGTAGGTATTTATCAGAAACTTTCCTCACACCACCGTGCTTGTTAAATCATAAGGGTTTTTTTTTTCTTAGTTCTTTTGTGTATCTTCTATAGGGATATTTTTTAGTTACTTGTGAAGATTACATAAAATATTTTACAGTTATAAAAATGTATTTTGAATTGTTCAAAACATGACTTCAATCACATATGGAAACTCTACTACTATCTTCATTTTATGTTACTGGTGTCACTAATTATATCTTTTTATGTTGTGTAATATTTCTTTTTTCAGATAGACTTATTTAGATAGATTCATAGTTTTTTATGTTTTTGTCTTTCAAATTGTATTCCAAAATTGAAAGTAATTTATACATCAACATTATAAAGCTCTACATTGGACTGTATGTTTACCTTTGCAACAGGGCTTTCTATTTGTATATGCCTTTGTTTTGATATCTACCATCCTTTCATTTAAGCTTGAAGGACAGGGTCTCTTATAGTCAGGTCTTGTAATGACTCTTTTCTTCAATTGGTGTTTTATTTCTTATCGTAGAAAGTATTCAATATTCTATAAATATTGAAAGATATAATTCTGCCAAATAGTAGTCTTGTTTAGCAGGTTTCTTTTTCTTTTTCTTTCAGCACTTTGAATATATCATCTCATTTACTTTTGATTTGGAAGTTTTCTGCTGAGGTTCTTGTTGATACTCTTATTCAAACTCACTTATATGTGATGAGTCATTTTTCTCTTGCGATTTTCAAGATTCTCTCTTTTCTGTGACTTTTGAAAATTTGACTTTAATCCAGTGTTTTCCATATTCCACTATGCATTGGAATCACTGAGACATCTTTTAACAATACAAATTCTTGGCTTTTGAAAGATATTCTTTATTTATTAATATGAGAAATGGGCATTGGTGTTGTTATAATAAAAACTCCCCTATTTTTTTCATGTGTAGCAAAAGTTGGAAACTCCTGTCTTAATCTATCTGATACACATAAAATTTGTATATGCATATTAGAAATGTAAATTTTGCTTTCCTCTCTGATAACTCATATAAACATCAATCTCTCATTAAAAATCCTTTTTTTTCAATATTTCTTTCTTTGTTTTTCATGGGTTTTGGGACTCTAGGCTGGGAGTTCCTTACAAGGAGGTGATAACAATCCTGAGTAGATTCTTGGAAAAGGATGAAATGGTTAGGACAGAACATATTACAAACAGAAGGCCAGTTGGATACTGATTGCTGCTGATCTCAAAACACAATGCCAGAATGATGAAGAATGAAAGTCTTATAAGCAATGGCTCTTTAGTGACAGGGAGTCTCATAAAGGACCACCCAGAGCCCCAGAATGTTAGAAGGCTCAAGTATCGAGATGGCTTCCCACCTATCACAACATCTTAGCCAATTGCTGCATTTAATTACAAAGAAAAAATTACCCTAAAAAGAGATGTAAGCAGCGCTTCCCAGATTATAATAAAATCGTAAAAGTAAAAATACACATCAAAATAAAAATGTAAAAAGTTCTAAATACTTGAAAATAAATTTATTTAATTATTATATTTTAGTATGTGTATTAGTCATATACATGTACCAGAAAAAATATTTACATTTTCTTTTATATAGTCATTTTACAATTGGAATTCATTTGTAAATATACCTTATTAATTTTATAAGTATTTTAAAATTTTCAGTAAGCCAATTAAGGTTATTTATTTATTTAATAAATACAGAACTCAAAACATTAAATAAGCATGTCACTGACTATAAAACACTAAAGAAAATAATAAGTTTAACATATTTTTTAAATTGATGTAAAGATTATTATAATATAAATATTTAATTTAATGTAGAGATTTACCTTGCAACATATTTATTATAATATACCATATATTCTTGGTCATGCAGATTTTCTAATATCTTAAATTCTTGCATGTAAGCAATTATTTAATGAACTTATATATATCTAGAAGCTTGAGACTGAAAAACAACATAATAATCTTAGTTTTAAAGTAAATATCTATTTTCTTTTAGTGAATTATACTTTAATAAATACATATTTAATAAAGACATTTAAATCTTTGTCAAGTAAACGATCAAAGTTTTTTAAAATTAGTATTTTTAATAAAATGTTTCCTGTCGTTACCTCTCCTAAAATAATCTGTTCAACTTGATCACCTTGTTGACATATTCTCTCCCTAAGAAAGGATCACTTACCCTTTTGTTTGAACACATTGATGATAACTATCTCTTTCTCATTGAGGACACAAAAAATATTGGACTAAAGGCAGAAATGTAGGCCATAATATCTAGATGAGTTCTAGAGAAATATACTAAACCTTTTCCAGAGTAATGCACTATCATTATTATCATTACCAATTCATGGTCTAAGCCCAGTACTGTTGGCTATGTAAAATGGCTTATTTTTATCAAAAAGGGAACATTGTTATGTTTTTAATAACAAACTAATATCATAGAACACTTCCATGACTTGTATAGTCTATTGCCTCCTGTGAATTTTATGCTTTTGACTTCTTTACATCTATTGATGTCAGTTCATATTTATGCACTACAGAGGACCAGCATATTGTGAATAAACATATCAACTAAGGTTTAAAAAATGTGACATCATAAAAATAGTGATATCATGAATAGGACATTTTAGAATTGTTAGTGATCTTGTGTCAGCAATGTATTAGAAAAGGATCAAATCGCCTAGGAAAATACAACAAAAGAATGCGACACTCCCCCCCGAGATTAATTGTTTAAATTTCAGGCTATATAGCTAAGATAAAATATTACAGTGGAAAATATGGAAATGGAGAGAAAGTAATGTGTTCTTTTTAAATTATCTGTGGATGAAAAATTATCAAGATTGCTCCATTCTTGCCTTTCCCAAATTTGGAAACATCTATTTCCTCTTTTTCTTCTTTCCTATTTTACCAAATTTTCAACAGAAAAACAAACAAAGTTTTGTGACCAACAATATAGTAATTGCTACGGAGACCAGCCAAAACACAATCACATCCAAAGAGTGGCACTGGTACTAGGAGAGGTTGTGGGCAGCTAGCCAAGGGTGCTTGGCTCCTTTGTGGCGCATGACAAACTCGATCCAGAAAACTGCTCAATCCAGGGGCTTTACAGGTTGATCATGGTGAATTCTTGATAATCTCATAGCATTCTGTTTATAACTGGAAAACAAGAGCACACATGGAAAACAGAGAGTTTTGTTTTGCGTTCATTAAAAAGAAGTAGGTAAACCATAGCATATATTATACAATCCAAAACCTTGTTGAATAAAAGATTGATCCTTGTTGTGATACTAACTTTGTTGGTTGCATAGCACTGAAGAGCTACAGTGGGGAAATTGAAAAAGAAGCATATTCTTAGCAGAATGGGTAAAATGAAGACATAGAAAAATACTTAGTAAGCTGGTCCTTAATTTAAATCTAGTGTTTCCAAGAAGGAAGATTGACACTCTATGCATTACCATTTCCAGGACTTGCAATGGTAAGATGATGAATGACCTGAGATTGAGGGGAAATATCTTTTAAATAGTCTTCAGGTATGGCCCCTGACATTTTCTAGTATGATTATAACATAATCAATGGTAGGTAGATAAGCCTTTTAAGGCAGTAATACTTACAAAGGATCATTAGCAACTGTTCTCAAAGACCTAAGCAATTCTGCCCGTGTAATTGTATTCATGTTCACCTGCACAGTTGCTTATTTGGCTTTCATATGAGAGGTCTTATCAGGCTGATCACCAGACATGGGAACTCCCACCATAGGGACTGCATGGTAAATAGCTTCATGTATCTCATTTATATCACCTTGAGTGATAAAAGCTTGGGTTTGGGGATGACCTAGTGTGGGAACTGAGTGAGAAGTAAGATTTTTATTATCGTATCTTAAAAGAATTTCAGAGACATGTAGGGTAAAAATCTATGAAATAACGCACTGAAGAGGGCAGAATTTTCTACAAAAGTGAACACAAAGGGCATTATTACAAAAGAAATTTGCTATCTTAAGAAAAAGAGGCATTAATTTATTCCTGCATTGCTTGAAATTTACTTGAAAAATAGAAAGTAAGAGTCCAAAAAATTAATGACCAATTTTTTAATTATATATACTTTAAAATTAAAGGTAAAGTAACAGACTATAAATTTTAAATTTTTGTTACATGTATTAGATGTTAGTTATTACATTTTTCCCTCATGAAATTTTTTATTTTTACTTTGTCATAATCTTACCATGAAGATCACTCTGGGATATCCAAACATAGAGCTGAGTATTGCTTCCTAATGTAGTTGGTTTCTTTCCTTGGAATCTCCATAAAACCTGAGGAAGAAAATGTATGCATTCCACAAGCTAAACCACAAGATAATAGTATTTTGAGTTTTCAGAGGTATTATAATTCATACAATCCAATCTATTTCAGATGATATTTGAGACAGGGGTATATAAGATTCCTTTGTAATCACTGGAAGAAATAGTAGGACTGTTTACAGTCACCTTTTAAAAGGGTGGATACCATTCAACTCTTAAGTATACCATTTATTATTTTGTTTATGGCAAACTCAAAGCTTCTATGAGTGAGATTATAAAAATAACAAAAAAATAAAGCAGTGTTGGCTAATTAGTCAGCATATGGAAATTAAATATCCTTATGGACACACAACTTCTGTGTAAATGTAAATCACTTGGCCACTCTAGCTCTATTATCAAATTTACAGTTTCCCAGAGACAAATATTGCTTTGGCTTTGTTCTGGTTTTGGATATTTGGTTGTCTTTTCTCTTTAAGCCTCCTTCTCTCCTTAATTTTATATATTTATTTTTAATTAAAAAAGAAAGAGACAGAAGTTACTTATATTTCATTGCTCAATGTTGAATTTTGTTTGTATTTGTACCTTAGTTACTTTTTTTTTTCTGGAGACCAATATGAAAATCTTACACTTGAAAACAAAGGATTACACAGTTATTCTAAACTCCCAAAAAGAGAATCTCATAATCAAGACTAATTTCACATTCCTAATTAGTTTACTTGCTTTTATTGAGTGTTTTGAAATTTAACTAAACACAAAATTAAAAAAAACCCCTCTAGGCTAGTGTATAAATATCACTAACTAAAGAGAGGAAATCTAGAATTACAGTAATAATAAATTTAATTGAACATCATAAAGTATTACATGCAGATTGTTAGCCTCTAATGTTAAAATCATAATTGGCTTTTAACCATAGAAAACTCCAGTTCATTAGAAAGACTACATAAATCTAAGCTCCTACTTTTATGTTCAAATACACTGAATAGAGTTCCCATACAATCAAATATGTTGAGGATACTACTGAGCATGATTCTTCTCTTTTTTATATTATCCCCCAATTTTTCTGTCCCTTTGAGCTATTACACTTAAGAAGTTTCTTTTGAAGTCATCAGAATAGGTCTTAGGATTTCAAATCCTGCAACGTGAAATAGGGACTTAATGCTTTATTTTTAATTTATTATAAACAAATGACATCCAAGAGAAGTGTTACAAAAGTAATAGCAAAGATCACTAGGAAAATAATCAGTTGTGCCCACATGCACTACCATAATGCTTTCCAAATTGTTACATAAATCTAGTGCCTGCTATGCAAATTGAAAAATGAGATTCAAGTTCCAGGTGGAAAGCCATACTTTCTCCACTGTGTGAATAGCTTCTTATAAGGATTGGAGGTTCTACTGACATTTTGTGGAATCTGAACCAGGGCGGAAGCCATAAGATCAGCCTTTTCTTCTGTAAGGTTTTGCACTACTGGCTCCAGAGAAAACACAACACCATCTTCATCAGAGCTCTGGACAAATTCTTCCATTTCCTACAGAGAAAAAATGTTCTTCATTATAAAGAAGTAATGCCACATAGAATAGTATAGTTTATGCATACTTCTAAAGTAAAACTGTGAAGTTGTCATATATATAGTTATATTGTCCCTATATTCTGAGATGCATTTTAGAATAGAAATGATAAAGTTTGTGTTAGAAACATACGGCTTCAGAACATAATTATTTACTAGAAAGGCACACAACCAAATAATTATACAGAACATTTAAGTGAGAAATGTCCAGCTTGTTTAATATTTGGTAGACATCAAATTCTAAAAACATAATGGTTTGCAAACTCATAAAACTATTTCAACAATATCAAGTGTCAATTTGTTGACATTTTGTGATGTCAACAAAATGATAAAATTTTAGAAACCCAACATCAATTCCCTCACAAAAGTACAACCAGTAGCTATCCAAATACAAAAATGCCACTCTGAATTCACCAGATCTCAAGGCAGAAGGAGAAAACCCGAAGACTCACAGACATGAGAAAACTTATGATTGGTAAGATGATTAATTTTTTTGGACTGTACCACCCCGCTTCCACAAGCCAAAATGACACCACTGTGAGGGAACTTCCTTTCACCTGCAGTTATTGAAATGGGAGGAGGGAATTTCAAGTGGACATTTAATTTCTTCATGGATCTGTAAATTTGAGGGGAAAGCCCACATTTGTCCCACCCCACAGACGGTATTAAGAGTGTTCAGAGGGCTGAACCACCTGGGGTAAATTGGGGACAGGAGATGGAGTAGTAATCACAGTGATCACCACACAGATCTTGGCATCTGCTTTGTGTTCCTAGATACGGGGATGCCACACAGAGGAGTCTCACCAGAACCATAGCACTGCAGGGGGCAAAATCTTAAGGAAGGCCTGAATCTTTGACAAAATTTTACAATTCCCAGGTAGTCATGTGGAGATTTTCCATGACTGGGAAACAAGTATAAGACTTGAAATTAAGTTCCAAGGCTTGTTTAAATGTCTCCCAGATCTAGAAATCACTGCAAGTCTGGGTTTAAGTTCCAGTGCAGCATTTAAGTTCAGATGCTCACAATAAGTCTCCCAAGACTGGAAAACAACATTAAAGCAAATACTGAGTTTTGGTGCAGTATTAAATTCTGGTGGCAAATATTCAGTCCTTGCCTAAACAAAAAGCAACTGGTGGCAAGGAATTAGATTCCAATATTAAGTAGTAAAGGTTGAACAACACAAGAATACACCTATAAAAGTTAGAACATGTGGATATCTCTTTAAGTATGGAAACAGCAATGTACAGATGAAAGGAAATACAACACCGCTAAAAAAACAACAGAACTCACCTAATGCAGTAGAAGAAATAAATGTATATAAAATTTCTGATAGAGAATTCCAGGCACTTTTTTTATAAAAGAGGTCAGGAAACAGAAAATATGAAGTTAAAAAAAATCCTTTGGAATATATTTAAAGATCAACAAGAGAAAATATGGTTTTTTTAAATACAGAAATTGAAAAAGCTTCAGCTAGAATAGCTACAAAAAGAGATGACTGAAATAAATGAAATAAGAGATGAAAAGGACACATAACAACTGATACACAAAAGTACAAAGGATTATAAGAGATTATTGTAAACAAACACCTTCCAACAAATTAAAAGATCTAAATGATATAGATAAATTCTTAGACATGTACATTCAATCAGAATTGACTTATGAAGAAACAGAAGCATGAGGAGAGAAATAATGAGTAATAAAATTGAAGCAGGAATAAAAACTCACATAAAAATGTGCTCATTTCATTCAAAATATTAAAAATCAGTTAAACCATTTTTCTAACTTTTTTCTTCCAAATCATTAAAGAGAATTTAATGTTTTAAAAAATAGTGTTTAATGGCTGGGTAAGGATTACCTTGATACCAAAACCAGAAAGAAGGAGCCAAAAAAATAAAAAATAAATAAAAATACAGAAAAAAAATCTATAGGCCAACTTTTCTGATGAACATAGATGCAAAAATTCTCAACAAATATTAGCCAATCAAATCCAACAGCACATCAAAAAGATTATACACTATGGTGAACTGGGATTTATTTCAGAGATGCAGGGAAGGTTAAACATAAGAAAACCAATGAATAAGAAAAGACATAACATCAAGAGAATTAAGAAAAAATATAATTTTTGTATGTCTTAAAAAAATCTTCTAATATATAACGGAATGATTTTAACAAAAATGCCGTGTTACCAGGATAGGGTAAGCTTGAATGGAGAGTGACTGTCTAATGTGTATCAACATCCTTTTAGGTTAGTGACAATTTTGGATCTAGATAGAAGTGATAATTACACAATATTGTCAATGCCACTGAATTGCTCACTTTTAAATTGTTAAAATAGTACATGTTATTTTATGTAATTTTACCTCAAATATTAAAAAAAATCATGTAAACATGTGGCTGACCAAATTTTGCCCAGAGGACCCAATTGATTTGTCAGCCCTTGGTTAATTAAATTATCATAAATTTAATTCTGACATATTAAAATAACAAATTCTGTCATTTTTATCATTTACATTTGAAATATGATACATTTAAAATACATGAGGCATTTTAGGTAAGGACTCAAATTGTGAACATTTTTCTGTCTACTTAATACTTATTATAATTAATGCAAATTTAATTTGCTACATACAGCAACTGTAGTGCTTTACAAAGTTAATGCATCCAACCTTTCATCAGCCACATGAGGTAGATAATGGCATTGCTCCATCTCCATTTCACTGATGGAGAAGTTGAGGCTTACAGGTGAGGCAATTTGCCAAACCCCACATAATTCTGTAGTGGTTTTGCAGGGACTTGAATCCAGGCTAACTGGATCCAGAGTGCAAGAGCTCTTAACCACCATGCTATGCTGACTCCCCTTTCTGGGTTACAGTTATTTTCAAAATGTTACATTTGTTGTTTTCATTTTCTTGCCTCTATATTAACTGTATATTATTATGAATGCATAATTAAGTTTTTAGAAATATGATTTTAGTTATCTGTCACTTCATAACCAACTCCCTCAAATGTGGGGACTTTGAAAAACAATAAGCATTTAATCAGAAATCTCATAACATGAGTTTTGGGTGGACTCAGCCAGGTGGTTCATACAGAGTATTTCTCAGGTTGTTACTTTCATATGGTGGCTGGAGATGTAATCATCTGAAGGTCATTCATTCACATACTTAGTGATTGATGTCAAAAGACTGAAACTCCTTCTTGACTGAATAATCATGACTTCGTAGTCTCCTCTGTGCGCCCCTCCCCAACTGCCATTTATCATCAGGACTTTGGCTGTAACACAGGGATCCAAAATGTACAGAGGGAGAAAAGAAGAGGGAAGGAAAAAGGACAGAGAGAGAGAAAGAAAGATATATAAATAAAAACAAAGACAGACAGAGACAGAGAGACAGACAGAAATAATGTACTTTTCTAACACAGTCTTCAAAATTATGCTGACACTTCCACCATGCTTTCTTTGCTGAGACAGCGACAAGCCTTACTAAATTTCAAGGGGAGGGACTATGGTTTGATTAGAATGTCACAGTATTTGCAGCCATGTCTCAAAATCACCAGAATATAAGCTGTTGAGTTAGTCAACAGAAGCCACTAAGCAACTAGCAAATTCATTATATATTGACATTAGAAACACAGTAAAATCATAAACGTGTGTGAATTTAAATTTTTACAACTACTGAAACATTTATTATGCATTGTAAAATATTTATTCATAGATATTTTAAATACAAAATAGGTTTCCTATGAACAGGCCTCAAATTAATCATATGGAGTAGAATACTGAGGTGATCATAAGTGGATCAATTCTTTCCCACTTATTCTACTGAATACACATACACATGCACAGGAAAAAATGATGTAGAACAACATATATAACCTAATATAAAATGATGGAAGAGCCAGGCATGGTGGCTCACACCTGTAATCCCAGTATAATGGCAAAAGTTCTTCTTGCCTTAGCCATAGCAAATAATTGGACCGAGAGGGGGAAAAAAAAAGCTGTAGGCTTTATTGAGCAGAGTGACAGTACAAAGCTTCCACAGTGGGGAAGGGGTCCCGAGTGGGTAGCCAGAATTAGAACACGCAGTTGCCTTTTAAACTCTTTAAGGCGGGAAATACATGCAGAGGGAAGATGTTACCAGAGCGAGAAACAAAGGCAGTAAATTATTTTGTGACATGTCTTAGATTTTGAGGAAAACTAGAATTGTAACTTAGGTTTTATCTACTTTCTTGCAGCGGCATGGCAAAGGAGACAGGATCTTACAGGACTTTACAAAGTATGTTTACAAGGAATTGGAATTGGGAGCATAATAAGGTCCACTCGTCACAGAAAAACATTTTAACATTCCTTTTGGTTTTAGTGGAGGGGGAAGGGAGAGAGGGAGAGAGTTCACAGGGAAGCTTACAGGATAATTTTCACTGTTTATAGCTTTCTTGGGGAAGAAAACATATGCATAAATTCTGATGTTAGGAATATTTTAAGCATATATCTTCAGTATTATTCATCCAGGACCAAAGTAAGTCCTGATGCAGGAAATGAGTGAGTTTCACAGCTTTCTGAGCCCCTACTAGACCAAGGAAGCCCAGCTGGCCTCTCCTTTCACCAGCACTTTGGGAAGTCATGGTGGGTGGATCGTCTGAGCTCAGCAGTTCGAGACCAGCCTGGCCAGAATGGTGAAACCCTGTCTCTACTAAAAATACAAAAATTAGCCAGATGTGGTGGCGGGTGCCTGTAATCCCAGCTACTTGGGAGGTTGAGACATGTGAATTGCTTGAACTAGGAGGCAGAGGTTGCAGTGAGGAGAGATTGTGCTCCTGCACTACAGCCTGGGCATTGGAGTGAGATTGTCTCAAAAAGAAAAAATAAAATAAAATAAAATAAAATAAAGAAGGAAGATTGTTTACTGATTGTTAAAATCAAAGGGAATTGTGCAAATAGATTCTTGTAAGAGCTGTGGCAAACTGACTTTTGGGAGGAAAACTTATGAGACGTAGTCCCTAAAATTAGGGAACAAAATTTACTCTGCAGTGTGTAGTGAAGTCCTGTTATGAAATAAATAAGGAAAAAAAATGTGTGAAACTAGAGATCTCCCTAGATTGCAGCAGAGGCAATTGAAAAAATTGTGAAGGGATGATCTTACAATACAGAACATGAGGGATGTTGCAGACAGCAACACCTGTTGAAGATTTCCTCAAGAAAAGTACATGAGGAACTAAGCAGTCACACACAATTGGAAGATTTGCACTCAAGGACTGTAGATAGAGGGAACGATCAGAATGAGATTTTGATTTTCAATTTTTATATTTATTTTTTAAGGCATTGCTCAGTTGTCCAGGTTGGAGTGCAGCGGTGTGATCACAGCTCACTTCAGCCTCAACCTACTAAGCTCAAGTGATTCTTTCACCTCAGCCACCTGAGTAGCTGGGAACACAGGTGCACGTCACCACACCCAACTACTTTTTTTTTATTTTTTGTAGTGATGAGCTCTCGTGGTGTTGTCCATGAGATTTCAAACTCCTGGACCCAAACAATCCTCTCATTTCAGCATCCCAAAGTGTTGGGATTACAGATATGAACCATCATGCCTTTACAAAATGAGATTTTTAAATAAGCATGGTTCAAATGTTCAGAGATGAAAGAGTCACTAACATAAAACAAGAATAGGATGAGGTGAGAAGGATGAGTCCAAAAATAATTAGGTATTTTTAAAATCAGAAATGTGCTCCCTAATTTTATGAAATGTTGGTTGACTACATGAAAGAAAGTGGAACTGGATGCTTGACTGATATAGCCCTCAAGAAGAATCACTTAATGCTCTAGAAATTGCCAGTAAACAGATTAAAATCAAAAAGCGTTGCTTGTTAACACCTTAGATTTAAGCTTTCCTGATTAGCTTTTCTCCCAAAGTTCTCTTGTTTCTAGTTGTTTTCCTGGTCTTAACTACACATTATATGCTTTGTTAAAAGTATTTATTCCCTGATTCAATCTGATTGTCTCAATTTTTATTTTGTTCTGTTCTACCTCTTGCAACCTGCATGTCCTCATTATTATTGATCAATCCATCTGCAATGTTTACCTTATCTAAGGATTATTCATTAATTTTTACTTGTTTACCTGACCTTTATTAATTTTGTTTCTTTGCTAGTCACTCTGAGCCATGGTGATGATGACTTAGGATTCTGGATCTCTTATGAATAACGAATTCATCCTTGATAAAGTCTCTATACTAAAGAAGAATCTAATAAAAAATATCACTTGAAAAAATGAGTGCAGTACATGAACAAAACTCTGATTGGATGATAAACACAAAAAGTGATTAATCAGTTTAATAATTAGGGACTAACAATAAAATCATTGATATATCTTCATATGCTTTTAATTAGTAAAAATTAATATCCATCATAGGTAAAGCACCACATAACTGGTGACTCCAGTGCTGGTTTGTTGGGAGTATGAATAGTGTGATGACAAGTGATGGGTATGCATGGGCCCAGCATAACAAGACTCCCTCTAACCAAGTCTGAGCTAGCAACTACTGAAACAAAAATCCAACCTGCTAGTAGCTCAATTCTTATTATACATTTGGACATCAGGCAAGTGACCACCAGTGAAACTGTGGACTCAGTGCGCCAACTCTAAGCTCATCTTTGTCAGAACCTCTATATGCCCCCACTTTCAGAAATGTTATTTTCAAAAGAAAGTCATGCCTCCTACTCATCCAAATTTTACCAAGATTCAGTGCCCAAGGGTACAACTTTTAGGATAGTAACAAATGAGAAATTTGAAATTTTATGCCTCACCAGTGTTCAATTTACTGTCCCTTGGATGCAAATACAGTTTATGATACTGAATCAGGATCCTGTAAGCATTCCTCCTTTGCCAGCTAGTTGAATGTTAAGCTTCATCAATAGAGGACACTGGAGTAATAGTGACGTGGTTGATGTAGGAGGGCACATCCCTTTCAAGGGCCCACTCTTTAGGTACTCAGTAATGTTTATCATTAATGTTGTAATTTAAGAATATGTATGTAAAAGAATATACTTAAAAATACTAAATAATATGCTTAAAGAATGTAAGAAGAAAACTTCTAATAGCACATTTGTTTTATCTTTTAAGAAATATTGCATTCTGCATAGAAATTAATTCAGAAAACTCCTACATAAACCATTTGTCCTTGACATAGATAGATTCCGCTTCATATGTTATTTTGAAGATTAAATGTACAATTATTTTATTTTTGTGTTCAACTTCTGTGGTGCT
Organism: Homo sapiens; assembly: GCF_000001405.40. Classification (NCBI taxonomy): domain Eukaryota; kingdom Metazoa; phylum Chordata; class Mammalia; order Primates; family Hominidae; genus Homo; species Homo sapiens. The sequence goes on along the minus strand of NC_000004.12, from coordinate 69,137,437 downwards.
TGAATATCCCTGTCTTTAAGCAGCATATTCAAAATTCTAAAAAAATCACAAATATCAAGAATGTTATATCAATTATATCATTCTATGTGATTGCTTAGAGTTTCTCTGTTTAAATGTTTTAACTGCTGAGATATTTAAAAGCTTGTAGAATCAATCTCCAAGAAACAGATACATCATATTATTGCAACTTTTGTAATTCAATTTACTATGACATATTTATGACTCTCCATCAAGTATATCTTCATAGTCACATATTTTCCTAAATATATAGGTACATATCACTTTATGTGAAAAGACTTCTCAAAATAAAACTAGTGAAAGTTATTTGTTCACTCATGGATAGACATAGAATCATGTATCTGCATATATGGTCTAAGAATTTCAAAGAAGATCTATTTTCAGAATATACTTTATTAGGAAAGTATATTCTGATACATTTTCAGAAGATACTTCATTAAGAAAATATAAACAGATTAGAATTTAGCTTTTTGTAGTACATGTTGAGCATCATTATTGCCTCAGACTAACATTTATATATAAGTTTTTCCCTCTTTAAAAAAAAGACATTACTATAATTAAAGCCCATGTATGCATTACTTTTTTTTTCTTTTCTTGCATTTTGTTATTTCTTTCTTTTTAGTGGCATGACTGTATGTTCAAAGTTTAATAAAGTAAAATATTCAGTGTATATTTCTTTTCTAGATATTAAAATAATTTGTTTTATTACCAATTGTAGCTAAAACTATTTTTTCATAGAAAAGATTACTGTAAAAATCTTTTTCATGTGTTAGAAATGATCGTTATGCCTCTCTTCCATCCGATTGTTCAGGTACATCTCTTATCAGACAGAAGAACTGCTTTTAAGTTGGTTTCTTTCTTCTCTGTGATTTGCTTTGCAAACCTTTTTCTGAATCCAGAGGCTGTAATGACCAATATTTAAAGGCAGGATTTGGAGAGCTTTTTGCCATTTATTATGTTTTCTTCAACATAGACTTTAAAAATTATTGCACAGGATATTTGGCTCTTTATTCCATCTACAATTTACTTTTCCATGTTATGAGGGGAGAATAAGTAAATGATTATATATATTTCCGGTTTGTGTATCCTCAGTATTCCAGGTATTTAAGAAGTCAGAAATGTCTGACTTGACAAATTAAGTCCAAGAAATAGTGAGATCTTATTGCAGGAGAGAAATCATGTAACATTATAATCTAGAGAGACTGCACTAAACTTGCTGGACCGTATCTATAATTCCTAACTAAAGGGAATTGTCTCGTATTTTATTTTGTGTATTATTATCCAGTTACAAAGGGTCATTACTAAAGTGAAAATAGTAACTCAAGCACATTCAATGTCTCATGTGGAAAACATCTTTAGTCTTTCTAACCAAGGATTTTACTAGGTTGCATAGTTTTGGATAGGAAGTCAGTCACAACCATCTATAATTTTGAAAGAGAACATTCCCATTAACAAATATTTTGTATTTCATGAAGGATTTGAATTTTAAACTCCCATGTAACACAAAAGACTTGAATAATCACAATGTTAAGAGAGTTGGCCAAGTTTAGCTTAGCTTACATGTGCACTAGGTCATAAATTTGTCTTTAAAGACCACCCTAGCTTTCATGGTAGGTCTTGGCTCAAAATAATGTGATCCTGCCAAACTGAAAAACATACACTGCCTAACCCACCTTGCCTAATAATTTTCATTTATTTCCCACTTAATTTTTATGTAATTTTCCATTTTCATATAACCCACTAGTTCCTTTTTTTTTCCTCAATTTTATTCATATCAGTTTTCTCTTTAAAAGCCAAGCCTCAGTTACCTTTGTCTTAGTTAGAGTTGAGCTCAATTTGTATTGTAGTCTCTATCTCCTACTTCAGTAGGGAGAATAAAATTTGTCTTGCCATTTTTAAGAAGGATCTTGCACTGTTTTTCTTGACAGGGACACATATAATCCGTATCATTGTATTTGTTTATACAGAAGAGTTTTCTTTACCTATGTAACAAACCTGCACATCTTGCACATGTGCCTCTGAACTTACAATAAATGTTGGAAATAAAAAATAAAATAAAATAAAAATAAAAAGAGGTTTCTAAAAATTGCACAGGATATTTGGCTCTTTATTCCATCTACAATTCTCCATGTTATGAGGGGAGAATAAGTAAATGATTATATATATATTTCTGGTTTGTGTATCCTCAGTATTCCAGGTATTTAAGAAGTCAGAAACGTCTGACTTGACAAATTAAGGCCAAGAAATAGTGAGATCTTATTGCAGGAGAGAAATCATGTAACATTATAATCTAGAGAGACTGCACTGTGTTTCTAGAAACACACTACTCCTGACCTCAAATAAACAGCCTGAGTTTCCAGTGAATCTCATTTTTTTTCAGCTTAGAAATATACATAAGCAGGCATTAAAATTGAGTTATTTTAGGTTTTCTGAAATTAAAATTGTATATTACTTAATGTTTAACAAAGAGTAAAATATTTAAATAAATCAGGAAGGCACAAGTCTTGTGAAATATAGAGGAGAATTTTGCCACACCTTGATGAATAGTGGTGGCATTAAATGTCATGACCTTCCCTATCATGCCTGCCTTAGATCTCAAACAGTGCTACTCTCTCTTTTTTTTCTTTCTGGTCTTAACAAACTTTTGATAATCAAACAAGCAACATATTATGACAAAGAGAGTAAAAACTGCCTCGCAGGCCAGCACAACCAGAGAGCAGTACTGGAGCCAGGTGAGGTTGTTCGCAGGTGGCAGCAAGTATTTGGCTCCTTTGTGGCGCATGACAAACTTGATCCAGAAGACTGTTTGGTCCATGGGCTTCATAAGCTGATCATAATGAATGATGGATAACCATATAACGTTCTCTTTACAGCTAAAGGAAAATCAAATAGACATAAACATATAGAATATAAAATATAAATATGTGAAATTTTTGTGTAGATGTTAAAAATTAGTGCCACATAAAAGTGGATGAAAAAATATTTTATTTCCTGGTGGTTACAGAGATTTTGGTTTATGGGTTAGAATTTGTTGGATGCATAAGATTTCAAGATGTGAAAAGAGAATTTAAGAGAGCAAGTATTTCTATCCTAGAAATTAAAATTAGTTAAGTCCAAAGGATAAAAAGAAATCATTTGAGAGTACAGAGGTTGAATTAGCCATTAATGAAATTGTAATGAACCTGGTGTGCAAATTTCAAAATAGTATCAAAGTTTAGAGAAAGGATACAAATCTATGACAAGGTTCAGGTTCATGTCAGGGCAAAGCTGATAAGTTGGCATTGATCAGGAATTAGTATTGACATTGTATTAGTGAATTAGTGATCAAAAGTGTAAAAGTAAATGGCCTTAGTTTGAATCATGAACTGATATCTACTGGTCTTTTTTTTTTTTTTTTTTTGAAAATGTATCTGTTCCTAGTTTTTTTTTTATTGTTAAATTGAATGAATAAGAATGATATCTTGGGATAATTGGTAGAATTATTTTCATCATAAAGAGACTCTCAGTAAATGTTCACTATTATTACAGTTTTTCTTGCATTGTGATTTTAAAATCTACGTGGTGCTTTATATTTTACTTCAAGGCATTGTAGTTCCATTTATTTCGAGTGTTGAAATAATTATGGACTAATAATCAAGGAATAAGGATGAATATAAGTACAAGGCTTAGCAAGTCAAAACCAAAAAGTGCTAAAGCATGGCACTGTAGCAATAGCAATGGAGGTAACTTCTCTTTTTCATATTTAAAAAACAGAGTATGAAGACTGTGTTTTTGAGAGGAGGGAATTAATCCTGATATATATATTTTAATACAATTGGGAAAAACTATAACCAAGAAGTTACATAATACAAACTACCAATATAATACATGTCATTTCATATACATTCAATGGGTATCAACTAATTAAAAATTATCTTTATTTTTCAACACAGCATTATATGTATTAAAATTTATAATATTACCAATATAATGGTAATAGCTAAACTGAAATTAATTTATGTACTGAAGTAATTTAGAAATCCTATATGTCTGGTTTCAGACATTTTGGCTATTAAACAGGAATATTCCAATCTATCTCTTTCAAGCCAATTATTTTTTGATTTTATGAAGCTTCCAAATAAGCAAAAGCAACCACAACCATAAGAACAGAGAATGTGGCTACATTTATAAAGTATGTTCTTTTTCCAATAATCTTTAAAGGCAAATTTGAAGGCTCTAGTTGTTTACAAGTTATCAGTGATGGGATCAAAATGTTAGCATAAAAATTTTGAAAGCATTAAATATAATGGGAATTAGGGATTGATTATGTCAGGCTAATTTACTGAAAATAAATTACAAGAGTTTTAAAAACAAGGAAAAATGGGTAACTAAAGTGAAATGATGGACGTGTTTATTTGCTTCATTATGGTAGCCTTTTGACTAAGTATTTGTATCCCATAATATCACTTTCTATACCTTCAATAGACAAAAAAAAAAAATTAAAGACACATTTGATGAGATCTCATCCTAAAAGGCCCTCATAACTGTGCTGAAAATTAGTCAGTGCAGTAATAATATTCATGCTTCTTTTCTTCAACTTTGTTCTCGGTCTTCCTTATAATCCTTCTGTTACCATCTTCAGCAATTCCTTTTATTTCACTTTTTAGCTACTTTAAAACTTATGTACTATCCTAAAACCTCTGACAAATGTTTCCACTAAAACCACCAAAAAAAACAGATTGTGATACTCACAATGGTTTATTGATGATTGCCTTTAAGAGTTACCAAAAATAAATGTACTCAGCATTGTGTTCACGTTTAGAGTCACTGCTGCTTCTTTGGCCTTCATGTGAGAAGTTATCAATACATGCTATGTAGTTAAAAAAATTACATTCATGAAGAGTCATTAATGACTGCTTTTAATGCATTGAGCAAATCTGTAGTTGACATTGTTTTTGAGTCTACTCTTAACAGCTTCCCCCTCAGACTTCATGTGAACAAACTTGCCGGGTTGATCTGCAAACAAAGGAAGTCCCACCATAGGGGTCCCATGGTAAATCCTCTCATAGGTGTCATTGGCTCCACCATGAGGTATAAAAGCTTTGGTTTTTAGATGACCTAAGTTAAATTTTTGAATAATTATTCGTGATGAGTCTTAAAATTAAAATGAGCAATGCTCAATGAAACGGGCAGTGTTCTCTAGATAACAAATTACTGTAACAGTAAAACTGCATTAAAATTACTTTCAGATCTCAGAGAAAAAATCACCAAGTCCTCTGGGGCGGTTAGTGAAGACTACACATTGAAGAAGTGGTATGTGACTTGAAGAATGAATACAGGATTGTCAAGTGGACAAATAGAGCACACTGTGGATAAGGAAAACTGTATATCCCTCACTCCAGCCCCCCAAAAGCAGGATGCATGCTAGAACATGTTCTCTTAGAGAAATAATGGAGTCACTGAGTGTGATAGGTGATGGTGTCTAGGGCAGCAGGGAGTGGGGTGGTGGTGATGCTTGAAGAGAGGAAGGACAGGCCACACTCCATCACAAAATGTGTTACCACTTCATAATAAAGACTGGGAATTTATTCCCATAGAAAATGCAGTCACTCTATGGCTGTTTATTAAAAATAACAGCAGAAGGGCTGTTATTTTTCAGTTGCATTTGAAATATCTAGCTATTAGGAGAAAGGGTAGATGTAACATTTGAATTAGGAGACAGACAACCCAGAAAATTACTGAAAAATTATTCGTGAGATGTAACTACACTTGAAATAAAGGTAGTTTTTTTCAGGCCATAAAAAATTTGACTGTGTATAATAAAATGCCAACTGTTGTAGCTTATTATATTTTTCCGCAGGACTGGAACATAAATGAAAAAAAGTAAGATTTTATTTTTGAGTTTTTAAATAATAAATGGTGAATCAGAAATTTTCTGTTGTACTATATTTATCCTGATTAGCTGTTGCCTAATTTTTCAAAATATATTCTTCAGAGTCTTACCAAGAATGTTATTCTGGACTACCCACTTGTACAGCCGAGTAATTGTACTAAGGTATCTGAATTCCTGTCATCAAATTTCCATAGATCCATATAGATGAGGGAGCCTACCGATGAGAATACATGGACACATAGATGGCAACAAACACACTGGGACCTTTCAGAGAGTGGAGGGTTTGAGGAGGGAGAGGATCAAGAAAAAATAACTAATGGGTACTTGGCTTAATACCTGGGTGATGAAATAATCTGTACAACAAACCCCCAACACACAAGTTGACCTATATAACAAACCTGCGCTTGTACCCCTGAACTTAAAAATTAAAAAAAAATAAAAAGAAAGAACCTTGTTTTATGAGTCAAATTCAAATTAGAGCATGTCTGTTAGAATTCTAAAAAGGGACCAGGCACGGTGGCCCACGCCTATAATTCCAGCACTTTGGGAGGCCGAGGCGGGTGGATCATGAGGTAAGGAGTTCAAGACCAGCCTGGCCAAGATTGTGAAACCCTGTCTTTAATAAAAATATAAAAAAATTAGCCGGGCATGGTGGCGGGCGCCAGTAATCCCAGCTAGTTGGGCGGATGAGGCAGAGAACTGCTTGAACCCAGGAGGCAGAGGTTGCAGTGAGCGGAGATCGTGCCACTGCACTCCAGCCTGGGTGACAGAGAGAGACTCCGCGTCAAAAAAAAAAAAAAAAAAAAAAAGAGAAAAAAGAAAAGGAAAGGAAGAAAAAAAATTCTAAAAAGATGGAGATTACCTACTTAAATGCTTTCCATATAGTTGATAAAGAAATGAGGACGAGGCAGGTTAAGTAATGAGAACTACTAGAAGACTGAAGTGAACAGAACAACTACATTTCCTTGACTTGATTTTATATTAAATCAGATTAAATAAAATCATGATGTTTTATACATAGTGACTTAGATATTGAGATAATAAATGAAAAATTGAAATATTTAGGCAATCATTAGGCAGACATAATCCCAGTGTAAAGAAGAGTAACAAATTACTAATGGTCAACACCTTTTTTATTAATGCATTTACTACATTCATTTTCATCTTCCAAATATAATGTTAAGCTTTTCATTTCTAAAGCTAAGAAATGGGAGTAAAAGTACTTACATTCACTTGTTTCATAAGTTACATTCTCATATCTGATGATTTACAAAGAAAGCAAATCTATCAATCATCTATGTATAAGAAATATATTAATCTGCTTAAAAAGCACATATAATTTTTTTCTGATTATAAATTATTAAGCACTGTTTCCAAGAAAAAAATTCAAATGACATTTATCACATATATCCAGAATAATATCACATTTGCTACCATTGGAAATTATTTAAATGTAGAAAAGACTGATTGTCAGTTCATTAATAATAGGGCTGTTGAAAATATTCCAAAATCGCGATGATGCTAAATTTCATTCTGCTGGCTCTTAACTCTTCAATGGCACAATCCAAAGCATTGACAGCAGTGGTTTATATGGTCTGCTATAGCTAAGCCATGTAGTACATGCCTAGTACCAACATGTGGTACTGATGTTGGAATTACCAAGCAAACTTCATAAACTAGAGTATAATCTAGCAATCAAGCAATCTTCATAAACTAGAGTATAATCTACAAGTTTTAACATCTACTTGCTATCTGATTTTTAAAGGTAACTACACATTTGCATCAAAAAATTAGTATAGGTGATTATAAGAATGCTATACAGGATATAAAACTAAAAATTGCTTTATAAATATTAAAATATCAAAGTTGTGTTGTACATGTTAGAAAGCTGGTTATTACTATATTGTATGGTGGAAGAAGCATCTGAACCTCTCTCCCTGCCTGGTTTCCTTCTGCACTGTATGCGATGCTCTTTTAGTTTAGCAGTTCTTAGATGGCTTGTGAACAGAGGGCTTTCTGTATCTGGGGTTATTTCCTTGGTGTATCAGAAGAATGGGATTGTCTTGGGCTTGAAGAATGAGTGCAAGGTTTTATTGAGTAGAAGTAGTTCTCAGCACATGGGGGAGCCAGAAAGGGGACGGTTTTCCCCTGGAGTCAGGCTTCTCTCCAATCACTCCAGCAAAACTCCACGTTGTTCTGCCAGTTGATGACCTGCCTGCATGCTCACCTGGACGTCCTCTTGACGTCCAGCTGTTTGTTTCTTCTTCCGCTAATCCACTCCTCTTGACGTCCAGCCACTTGTGTGCTTGCCTTCTAGAGTCTCAGGGTTTTTTATAGGTACATGATGGGGGCACGGCAGGGCAGTGTGGTCTTGGGAAATGCAACATTTGGGCATAAGAGCGGGAGTGCCTGTCCTCACCTAGGTCCCTGGGCACATGTCAAGGGTGGAGCTCTTGCCAGGGACCCACTCTTCTCCTCCCTGCAGTTCCCTGCCTCTCTTCCATATCACTTTATTTGTCCTCCTCCTCCTCCTCCTCCTCTTCCTCCACCTCCTCCTCCTCCTTCTTCAGGACAGGGTCGCATTGTGTTTCTGAAGTTGGAATGTAGTGGTGCAATCATAACTCACTTCAACCTCAAATTACTGGGCTCAATCAATCCTCCTGCCTCAGATTCCTGAGTAACTAACACTATAGGCATTACACCACCATGTCCTGCTATTTTTTTTTTTTTTTTTTTAAGAAATGGGCTGTCTCTAAGTCATCTAGTTTAGTATCAAACTCTTGGGCTCAAGGGATTCTCCCACTTAGGCCTCACAAAGTGCTGGTATTATAGGCATGAGCCACTGTGACTCGCCTTGACTCCTGCTTATATCCCCCTTCTTTCTCAGATGGGAGGTAGCATCAATATACATGTTAGAAGCAAAGTCCTTTGGGGGCACATTTTATACTGCACAGGATCTACCTTAGATCCCCCTCCTTTCTGTTACTTCTTTCTTTCAGACATTGGCAAAGTCCAGTCTTAAGGCAGTTTGGTTTTTCCATTTCTCTAAATCTACCTGGCTGAGTGGGTACTTAGACTCATGAAGGTGAGCCTTCAGTCTCCATTCTCTGAATATCCCTCTGAACAACATACTGAATAGGACTATTTCAAAATTAAGGGAGGTAAAAAGGCCCAGATTACATGGGAAGCCTAAACTCCATGATATATTTCAGATTTTTTTCAATACGTACTTCTTGTTATTGTGCTAGTAAAGTTACCCATTAATACATAACTCCTTTATGATAACATTCGTAGTGTGAACCCCTCAGTAATCCTGTAAACAAAAGTACTAAATGACAGGGTAGAATTTGTTGATATCTGTCACCTGCCTCCAATATCATGATAATACCAAAATGTCACACTGCACCTCTTCATTACCATTCTTTTTTGTTCTTATAAATTCAAGTTATCATTTGGTGTCATTATTTTTTTCAAATTATAAATTGCTTATAACTATTCATATTAAGCAGAATTTCTGTATCATCCATAATGTTAGTACAGTAACTGAAACACAAAGAAGAAATAAGAGGTGGATGGGAATGCTCTTGGTGTGTGAACTGATATGCTCTAAGGTTTCTCTCTTTTTGTATGCGTCTCCCACAGGCAAGTATCAGTTCTCTCTCTCTCTTTTTTTTTTTTTAAGATGAAATTTCACTCTTGTTGCCCAGGCTGGGGTCCAATGGTGCAGACTGGGCTCACTGCAACCTCTGCCCTCTGCCTCCCAGGTTCAAGCAAGTCTCTTGCCTCAGCCTCCTACGTAGCTGGGATTACAGGCATCCACCACCATGCCTGAGTAATTTTTTGTATTTTTAGTAGAGACTGGGTTTCTCCATGTTGGCAAGACTGGTCTCAAACTGCTGAACTCAGGTGATCCACCCGCCTCGGCCTTCAGTTCAGTTTTTGAAGGAGAGTAGACTATCCAAGATTCATTTATTATTAGGTGTATTTTCCAAAGTGTGAAAAAACAGGAGTAAATTCAATAATGAGTATTTGCAATCCAAAACCATTTAATACAATCAAGAATATCTTATCTATTATCATAAACATCCCAGTTGCCTCCTTCTAAAAATTTCTTTCAAATATTAAGACACAATTATTCTACCTTATTAATTCTCTCAAAAGCAAAAATAAATATGTACCATTCAGCATACAAAAGTTACACAGTAAAAGTCAAAGTGTATATATATATATATATATATATATATATATATATATATATATATATATATGGTTGTTAATTGGCCCACTCATTAAATTTACATTTGGTCATCCTTACTCTTAACATGTATATATAAATGTAGGTCACTACAAATTAGAAAAAAATACTTCCACACAATACATGCTTTCTTCATGATATCTTAACCTCATTCAGTTCTCAATCATTGCAAACTTTGATAAACCCACAGTTTGTTGGACAGTTAACATACAAGGCAAACATCACAAATTTCACTAAAAATCTGGGCCAACTCATTGTTTATTTGCCCCCTGAAATGAAAAATAAATTAGAATTGAAGCAGTGTATTGCCGTAACTTACTTTGAAGGTAAATGGGTTCTCCCATATATACAGAACTTAGATTGAAGACCTTGCTGGTAAACTTCAATACAAGGGCTTTTAAAGAGAATTTAATCTTAAACCTTGAGACAGCATAGGACAAACCCTATAAAATTCACTTTCTTTTTCAAAATAAAAAATCCTTTTGAAACTTAATATCTTCAGTTATCAATAGTACTACATTATAAAGCTAGTTTATACAATCCTGCATAGCATTGGTCAAAATGATAAGTCACAATAAAAAAAAATTAAAGCGTTTTACAAACAAGTGAAGTCATTGAAAATAATTTAAGGCCTTGAAGTGAATTAATCAGTCTAACTTAAAGCTGAAGAATAAACCATTAATTATCCATCTGAAATGCAAGCAATATGATTTTTTAGCTTCTGTTCTGTGGACCAAATAACAGAAACAACTCTTCCTTATGGTTTATGGTTTATTTTTAGAATCCTTCTAGACTTGAATGACTAAAAGTCAATTCCATTTTTCAACTGTTCACGGAAGATTTAGGACTGTTTTAGCCGTGTGTGTGGAATGCCAAACTGTGGACACTGTGCAGATGCTAGTGCTCAGAAGGCTTCTGCTGCTAAGTAAGGGTGAGACTGAATCATGGACTTCCACCTTGATGTTTCCATTACATTGGTTGCTTGGTTGCTGTTTCAGTTTTTCTAATCTTTACACCCAAGTTGTTGAAGTACACTGCACCTATTAATAATGTCTATGGCTTTTGCTTTCAACTGTTTTGCAACATGAAAATCTGCAAGGACAAGGGTATCAGCAACATTTTCTACTGAGGGATTACTACACAAAGCTTCCTCACACAAGACCTTCAGCTGTTCCCAGTGCATGTTTGTCTGCACCTGCCAACAAGTTGTCAGCCATTTTGTCAAGGTTTAATCCTTTCACTGTGTTAAGGAATCTCACCATTTCTTTAAAAACATCAGGGTCTAAATCATTTATTTCCACTCAATTCTTTATGCTTTCTTCCATTTCATGTTCAAACATGGCATTAAAAACTAGGGATTCAGGTACAAGCAGATTTATGAGCTTTAAATTCTTGTCCTCTCACTAAAAAACTGCAGTCTATAAATCTTGTGTTTTCCCAGAGATTACCTCAGTCTTCTCCTAGTCGACCCTCAGGCATCTTGAAAGTATTTGTATTAGTATGTCCTGATTTGTTTACTGAATCTTGGATCACACTCATCTTGTAAAATAATGTAAGCTTGTCATCTGGTCAAAGACTATTAGCTTCGTCAAGCAAAAGGTCTCTTCTAATGAATTTTTAAAAATCCCAGCCCTTCCCTTGCACAAATTGATATGCTCTTTTGCTTTCCATTGCTTTTGTTTCTTCCCTTTTAGCATTCAGAAGGGAACATTTGAATTTTGCTCACACTTCACTTTTGGGGCATCTGACTAAAAGCAAATATAAGGACCAAGTAGTCTTTACTTTCATTATCTAATGCTTTTGGGTTTACCCTCAGACACCATTTCATTTTGTCATTTGGGCCAGGTGAAAATTTGGAACTTTTTAACGCCTCACCCATTTCCTCTTGACAAAAACTGAAGTTATTAATTGTCTATGTGTTCAACATTTTACTATTTTGATCTGTGTATAACACTAGCTTTCTACTATGGGACAAGAAGACTTATCTCTAGTTAGAGGTGGGGCAGGTTCCTGAGACATTACCAGTTTATTGCATTCTTTTAGGATTTATGTAATACCCTACAGAGTTGAGTACCTTACCTTAGATATCTCAGAGCATTAGTGTTTGATTTTCCCCAGGAGCATGGTTCAGAAGGGCCACCCTCATGTATTCTCAATGCCTGGACTTGCCCTGGCTGCATCAGCTGTGAGAAGCTGAGGCTGTGCTGGAGGCAGCAGGGTTAATGGCGGCAAGTCCCTGTGGAGGCACCTTCACCAACCCACATTCCTCCTCCCCTGCCCTCTATCCTTCCCTATCTCTCTCTCCTCTTGGTGTCATTCCTTACTGCAATAGAGTTTTGCATCCACATACCTCCTTACTGCTGTTATTGACAAATATATTACATATGTATAAGTTAAATGTTCAGCATTACAAATACGTGTATATGCTTTACACACTTGCTTCTTAAATTTATTAAGAAAGTTGAATAAATATGAATTTATATTATCTGTTAAAATTACATAATTATTCAGGTGTACTTTTTTATTATGTGGAGTTGCACTGCTTTCTGTGTTTATTTACTTTTAGCCTGGAAAACTTTCTTTAGAATTTATTGTGAGACAGATTAGTTAGCAATAACTTCCTGTTTTTGTTTGTTTAGAAATGTATTTATTTCACCATTAATTTTTAAAGATGATTTTGTAGTATAAAGAAATTTTGGTTGGCAGTTTTTTCTTTCATTACTTTGAATATGGCATAGCACTGCCTTAGGGGCAGCATTTTTTCTGATGAGTAGTCAGCTATTAATGTTACCTGAGTTCCCTTATATATGGTTACTTGTTTTTGTTTTTATGCCTTATAATTTTCTTCCTTTAGTTTTCAACCTATTATTATTGCGTCTCTGTTTGGATCTTTTTGTGTTTACTCTAAACTAAGGATTTATAGAACCTCTGAAATTTGTAAATTAGTGTTTTTAAGATAGTTTATGGGACGTTTTGGGGCATTATTTTTGAATATTTTCCAGTGAATCTTTCCCTTCTTCATGTGGTACTCCTACTTTGCATATGTTAGTGTGCTTAAGTGTGTCCCAAAAGTCTATAAGGCTCTGTTTATTTCTCTTCATTCTTTGTTTCCCTGTTCTTTGGATTATATAATCTCTATTGATCTCTCTTCAGCATTTTTTGGCCCTTATTTTTCTTCCTCAAATATGAAACAGAATCCTGCTTGTGCATTGTCTATTTCTGTTATTATATTTTCATTTCAGTATGTTCACTTGGTTCTTTGAAAAATATATAACTTCTATTTATTTCTATATATTCTCGATTGAATGTGACATTGTCATTATACCTTAATTTTCAGCTTTATATGTGATTTCCTTTAGGTCTTTGAGTATATTTATAATGTGTAATTTAAAGTTTTGCCTACTAAATCTACAACTCATCTTTTTTTTTTTTTTTTTTTTTTTTGACAGAGTCTCACTCTATTGCCCAGGCTGGAGTGCTGTGGTATGATCTTGACTCACTGCAATCTCCACCTCCCGGGTTCAAGCAATTCTCCTGTCCCAGCATGCCAAGTAGCTGGGATTATAGGCATGCACCACCAGGCCTGGATAATTTTGTATTTTTAGTAGACGAGGTTTCACCATGTTGGCCAAGCTGGTCTTGAACTCCTGACCTCAGGCCATCCTCCCAACTTGACCTCCCCAAGTGCTGGAATTACAGGTGTGAGCCTCTGCATCCAACCCAACTCATCCCTTTCACAGGCATATTTTATTGCTTATTTTCCCCATATAGCGGTCCCATTTTCCTATTTCTTTATACACCTGTTAAAATTTGTTAAACCCTCAATATTTTAGATAATATATTATAGTTACTCTGGAAATTATACCCCCATCTTCTTTTAATTCTAATTGTTAACTTGTTTGGTGAGGAGATGGATTATTTTAATGAAGTCTCTTTACCTTGCAGTGTTATTTCCTTGGTGTTTCTACTCAGAAAGTGCACCCTTGGTCATTTTCACAAACCCTTGAATAACAGTGGTTTTAATAGGAACACTCTTTGACTCTTTTCTGTTTTTTTGTTTGTTTGTTTGTTTTACATGCTCAGTCTACCTCTTAATCTTCACAAATTATTAGCTGATTGATCTTTTTCTTTTGGTGTTGCCCTTAGGGCATAAATTACTTCATAGTCTGATCTAATAGCATTTAGGCACTTTTGCCTTGATAGATTCTGAGGCATTTCAGGGTGATATGAACACAGGAAACACTGTTCTTTTTCTATCTTTATCTTTTTTTTCTGATTAATTAGCTTTTTTATGGTCTCATTTGCATTACTCATGAAATTACCAACTTCTTTAACTGTTACCAAAAAACCCTTCATATTTTGACAACATGCTTAGGCTTGAATTTCCTTCACATTCTTTCATATAAAGTGAGTTACTCTCATGAAAGCTTTAGAACTCTTTGTTTAATGGTCTGCCTCTTTCCTTGGGAAAAAAGTATCATCAACCTTTGCTCCAGAGCTAGGGGCACTTGCAGGGGCACACTTCTGTTTGTGCCACTAAGAGTAAGGTGCTAGCCTATAGTCTTAATTTGCTTCTTCTCTCATGGAACCTCCATCCTATAAAAGAACTACGGTAATGACTATTTGGTACTCGTTCTTAGTATGCTGTGTCTGAGTAAAACTGTGTTTTGACAATGGCTAAATGAAAGAAGTGAAACTTTTTTCGCCTCTCTTGCCAGAAATTTAGCCTCTGTAACACATAGATGAGGTGTCTGTGTGTGAAAAATTTAAGAAGCTTATTCCCTCCCAAAAAGATAATATAGCCCTCTTGTAGTAGTTTCACAGAGGGTTAGTCCAGTGGTCTTGTCTCCGCCAGCTTGCAGTAAAATTTCTGTCGCACTGAGGGAGGGTAGGCTAGCAAACAAGTCATTGTTTAATGCCACAAGCTCTTGCTGTTTTAAACAACCCTTAGTGTGTTCCTTAATAAATGTTTATTTGCTGCTTGTTTTGAGGGCAATTCCCAGTATATTGTTAAATTTGTTAATTAATTTTATTTTTTAAACCCTTTCTCTGTTTGCCCAGATAATACTTGCTGGCAGTACTTGCAGATGCAGCATTTACCTCGAGATAATTTTGTCACAAAATATCTAGCTTTTATTATTATTTTTTCATTGATTTAGCATACCAACTTTGGAAACAGAAAAAACACATTCAATATTTAGCATTCTATTGTATGAGTGCTATTTCCATTTACAAAATATAGACATTTTCGATCGTTGAAGATGTCAAATCCTGGAAAATATAGCAGGATGTTAACGTTGTTCTCGAGAAGTTGTTGGCTGAAGATTAATTTGATAAATTCAGTTTTTCTAAAATAGATGATTCAGATGATTCTGATGTTAGCTCTGTTTAGAAATAACTCCAAGAAGAGTTTTTATAATGTATGTTCACACTGAAAATGAGTCAGATTTGTTTCAGCCTCAAAGAGTGTATTTATGTAAAATTAGATGAGTGCTGGCTGTGAGTTGCACTATTTTTTTTTTTTTCCTAAACTGGAAAATGGTGAGGAGATGTGGTTTCACAAATTTTCCCAGGCTGGCCTTGAACTCCTGGGCTCAAGTAATCCTCCTTCCTCAGCCTCCTGAGTAGCTGGGAATATAGGTGCATGCCACTGCAGTCAACTTCTCCTAATATCATTAAGTAGTTGTCTCTAAAAACAATTCTCACTATTTATTCTTGTTACATTTTGGAGCTGATTCATTTTATGCTACCAATCTCGAATTGGCTAGGGACATGTTTTCTTCTAAAATGTCTGTCTACCTTCATGTCATAAGTTTGTTCTGCCTCAGCATTCGTTTTTAGGCTTAACATGAGTTGTTTAAGACCTAGTCATAGCTTGTCACTTTTGGCTTTGTTATAACTTCCCTTCCTTGTGTAGTTGTTTGAGATAGAGTCTACTTGTTTCTCACCCTAATGACCCAGAAATGCAATATATCACAGAGGTGATGACCATGATATAACCTATTGATCAATACCAGAGTCATATAATAATTTTCCCCTTCATGTGTATTCCCTTAATCCAGCCATTCTTCTACTCCTGCAGAGAAGCCTAGGAAATAATATCCATGGTCCTTAATAAAAGCTCTCCCACGGGGTTCCCCCTTCCACTTCCAGACAGCTGATTGAGCTCTCTGCCACCTCTGGACTTTCTGTCAGTTTCTTATCATCATCCCTAACGTCACTTAGGAACTATGAGTAATACATTTCTTCTATTTTATGCATTTTGTTCTTCCTTTCTCATTTCAATATATTTTACCTGACTCATATATCTGAAACTCATTTCCTCACCTCCATCAGAGCTTTCCAGGATCTTGGTTTATGGCCATTCTCAAGAAAGAGACTTCAATATAAAATTGGAAAGAACTCATAACAATATAAATCACAACACCTCTGAATATGTTTAATAACAGAGCAATTAGAAACAAAAGTTTAATTTTATACATCATAGAATTACTATTTAGAAACAAATAGGACATGTTAGAAGTAAGAAAAAATAAAACACTTTGTTGAAGTTATATACCTATTTGGATTTTTTTAAAAGCATTACCCAATAGGCTATAGAATGATGCCAACACATAATGCCAGGTTGCAAGGCATGGAGAATGGGAGAATGTGACATGACTGTCTAATGGGTATAAAGCTCCCTTTTGAAGTGAAAAAATTACTTTGGATCTAGATAGTAGTGGTACTGGCAAATGTGCTAAACGCCAATGAATAATGCACATTAAATGGTTTAATTGTATAATTTTGTGGTGTAAAATTCCTATATCAATTATTCTTTAAATAAACAAGTGGCTGACCAGATTTGACCAAGAGACCATAGTTTGTCAGCCCTTGGTTTATGCTACAAATTTAATTCCCATATGCTTGAAATAGTAAATGCTGTCATTTTAATCATTTACATTAGAAACATGGCATGTTTTGAAACTATAATATATTATGCAATTATATGAACACTAAAATTATTATTGTGGAATTTTTTTATTTGTCTAATCAGAGTATTGCAAATTTTATTTTGCTGTACACACAATTGTTAGTGCTTTGCAATATTAATGACTTCGTTCTTTCAGCAACCCCATGATATTGATAATGCGATGACAACTATTGCCATTTCATTGGTGAGGGAGCTGAGGCAAATGAAGTCTCCGTAATTTGTTGAACCCCACGTCATCATATAGTGGTTTCTAAGACTTGAATCAAGGCCATCTGGATCCAGAGTGCGAGCTCTTAACCACCATGTTATGTTGACTCTCTTACTCTGGGTGCAGATATTTTCAAAGTGTAGTATCACAGTTTCCCACTCATGTAGTTATATATTAATTGTAATTTTATTATAAATTTATAATTTAAAATATGTGGAATAGTTATTCCAGGTATGTATCACTGCATAACAAACAGTTTCCAAATGTGGGGCCTTAAAACAACTGTAATCATTTTATTGTCACCTCTCAGAGTCTCTGTGTTAGGTGGGCTCAGTTGTGTGTTCCTTCCACAGAGTTTCTTAGGTAGCTACTTTTCTATGGTGCCTGGGTCTATAATTATCTGAAGATCATTCACTTACATACTTAGTGATTTATGTTGAAAGTCTCAGAGTGCTAGTGGGCTACCAGGATTTCTTAGGCATATATTTATGTCTCTACAAAATTGTCATTTGTTATGGGGACTACAGATTGAGTTGTTGAGTAATAGTGAGAGAAAAAAAGACAAGAAAAGAAGAAACAGAAAGAGAGAAAGAGAAACAGAGAGAGAACATGCTGTGTTTCCACCAGAGCTTTGAATGTTTAGTTGCATTATTTCCATTACATTCTTTGTGTTGAGACAGCTACAAAGTTTGCCAAACTTCAAAGGGAGGGGATATTACTTGATAGGAAAATTGTCAATGGATTTATAGTCATGTCTCAAAATAACAACAAATATAATCTTCCTGAGAAGGCAGAAGTTATTAAACTATTGTATGATTCATAAAATATTAAAAATAGTTAAAGAAAAAATATTAAAATTACATGAATTTAGATTTCTACAATTATTGCAATTTTTAAACATTGTATCGTATTTATTCATACATTTTTTAAAAATAGAACAAATGTCCTAAAAACAAGCTACAAGTGGATAAAAGAGCTGATATATGAGAAACATTATCAAGTTTTTGAATGACACTAGCGAATTAATAATATGATATTACATTTTGGAACTTCCTGTCTTGAATTAATGTGTTTATTCCACAAATTAAATTTTAAATCTCATAATTAATACATGAAAATGTTGTGTAAAGTTAAACATTGCAGATTTGTATAGAATAAAAATTTAAATTCTCATCCTTGGAATTACACGTATTTTTCGAGATTCTTTCTTCTTTGTACTAGCTTACATATATTTTATTACAAAAAATACTTATTTGTTTTTCTGGAAACTACTTTTTCTGTTTCGTAATGTGATAATCAGCCTGTTCTCTGCAATGGCTACATTCAAACATTTGTTGGAGGTACACGTGTTCATTGACTGAAAGCCATTTAAGTGCTGGAGAAATTTAGTTCATTCATGTGCTTATATGCAAGGATTTCTGCATGACAGATCTCTATATATAAAACTTCAGTTTCAAATGGCATATTTACATTTTATTTGAGTGTTATTTCAAATTATACTCCCTCAAAAATAGATTTCTCAGGTTTTTATGGGGTGCAAATCTTCTCTATGGCATTAATTTGTTGGTATTAATTCTATTTTTGTGAGCGTCAGTAGCTTTTTAGTCTTTTATATCTTATTGGCCATTTTTACTTTGTATTGCTTCTTCATATTTTCATCAATTTTTTATTAGATTGTCTGTTTTGGTTGGTGATTTGTAGTTCTCACTGAACAATGGATACCAATCTTTTGTTATGTGTGTTATAGGATAGGTTTTATGTGAATTAATTCAGGTTTATAAGCATAAGACAACATTATTAATCTTTGACACTATATAAGTTCTGTTTTTCTTTATATCTGTATTAATTCCTGGATGAATTGTATGAAATTTTCTATAATTTCTCTATCTTGTCAATGTTTTAGTGTGTATGTGTTTATATATTACATGATTTATCTATGTGTATAAAATTATAAATATACATATATATTTGTTTTTAATCAAACCTTACCCTGGAGAATATTTTTTGTGAGAATTGGTTAATGGTAAGAACTTTTAGTGACAAAGACAAGTAGATTTCTGTCAATCTGGACTAGTTTGATCATAAAGTGCTTCCCTGATGTGTAGATTAAAGGAGATTTATGACTTGATTTATCTATTTTCCACAAAATTTATAAACTTTTTTTATGCTTTGTATATATTTTTAACATGCTAAAAATTTATATGTCCATATTATATTTATAGGAGGGATGAATCAAAAGGCTTTGTGGAAAATAAAAAAAAATGATTATAGTTATGTAGAATAATAATAATTATTTCAAGCTGTCTTCAAAATACACATTGAATTTCACAACATATCCATTAGCTAGTTAATTGATGCTGTGTCTTGTTTTAAAAGAAATGGACATGTATATGTACATGTATGTTGAGCAAGATTGAAAATTCACTAAGTCCCTTTAAAGTGCAATTTCTATATTATCACAACCTAAAATTAAGGACTTACAATTGTTATTAAAGGTCAAAAATGATAATAAAACCCATATGAAACTTAGGATTGTTTTTTCTCATTCTGCTAAGAATGATGATGATATTTTAATGAGAATTGAATTGGATTTATATATTTCTTTTGGCAATATGCTCATTTTCACAAAATTGATTCTACCCATCCATGAGCATGGGCTGTATTTCCATTTGTTTCTGTCATCTATGACTTTTTTGAGCAAAATTTTGTATTTTTCTTTGTAGAGACCTTTCACATTCTTGGTTAGGTATATTTCTAAGGTTTTTTTTTTTTTTTTTTTTTTTTTGCAGCTATTGTGAAAATGGATGAGTTGTTATTTGATTCTCAGCTTTGAACCCCGCATAGCCAAAGCAAGACTAAGAAAAAGAACAAATCTGGGGGCATCACATTGTAATGCCTAAGGTTCTTGCCTAGCCACACCAAAAACTGGTGCGGCAGCTGACCACGGCAAGTGATAGAGACCCGGACCGAGAATGAGCAGTAGGTTTTATCGAGCAGAACAAGAGTACAAAGCTTCCAGAGTGTGGAAGGGGTCCCGAAAGTGTAGGCAGAGTTGGATTATACGATTGCCTTTTAAACTCTTTAAGGTAAGAAATATGTGCAGCGGGTAGATGTTACCAGATGAGAAACAAAGACAATTAACTCTTTGTAACATGTCTTAGATCTTGAGGAAAACCAGAATTGCAACTTAGGTTTTATCTACTTTATGACCTTGCAGCTGTATGGCAAAGGAGACAGGATCTTATGGGACTTTACAAAGGATGTTTACAAGGAACTGGAATTAGGAGTATAGATAAGGCCCACTGGTTACAGAAAAACAGGCAGTTAACATTTCTTTCACTTTAGTTTTCGGGAATGGGGAAGGGAGAGAGGAAGAGAGGACACAGGGAAACTTACAGCAAAATTTTCATTGTTTATAGCTTTCTTGGGGAAGAAAACACATGCACAAATCCTGGTGTTAGGAATATTTTAAGCATTTATCTTCAATATTATTCATCCAGGATCGAAGTAAGTCCTCCTGCAGTAAATGAGTGAGTTTCACAGCTTTCTGAGTCCATACTTGACCCAGGAAGCCCAGCTGGCACCTCCTCTCTACATTACCCATCATGTTAAAAGGCATATTCAAAGTTACCAAAACAACATGGTATCGGTATAAAAGCAGGCATGTAGATCAATGGAACAGAATAGAGAATCCAGAAATAAAGCCAAATACTTACAGCTAACTGATCTTTGACAAAGCAAACGAAAACATAAAGTGGGGAAATGACACCCTATTCAACAAACGGGGCTGAAATAATTGGCAATCCACACGTAGAAGAATGAAACTGCATCTTTGTCTCTCACCTTATAAAAATCAACTCAAGATGGATCACATAATGAAATCTAAACCTTAAACAATAAAAAATTCTAGAAGGTAACATTTCAAAAACTCTTCTAGACATTGGGTTAGGTAAAAACATCATGACCAAAAATCCAAAAGCAAATGCAACTAAAACAAAGATAAACAGTTGTGATTTAATTAAACTAAAAAGCTTCTGCCAGCAAAAGAAATAATCAGTTGTGTAAATAGACAACTCACAGAGTAATTGAAAATATTCAGGAAGTATGCATCTGACAAAGGACAAATGTCCAGAGTCTACAAAGAACTAAAACAAATCCACAAGAGAAAAACAAAACCGTTCAAAAAGTAGGCTAAGGTAATAAATAGACAATTCTTAAAAGAAGATATATAATTGGCCAACACGTATGAAAAAATACTCAACTTCACTATCAGTAAAATGCAAATCAAAAGCACAATGCAATACTGAGAGGTGACAGCATGCTGGCAGTCCTCAGAGCCCTTGCTTGCTTTCGGCACCTCCTCTGCCTGGGCTCCCACTTTGGTGGCACTTGAGGAGCCCTTCATCCCACCACTGCACTGTGGGAGCCCCTTTCTGGGCTGGCCAAGGCCAGAGCCGGCTCCCTCAGCTTGCAGTGAGGTGTGGAGGGAGAGGTGCGAGCGGGAACCAGGGCTGCGTGCAGTGCTTGTGGGCCAGCTGGAGTTCCGGGTGGGCGTGGGCTTGGCCGGCCTCGCACTCGGAGCAGCCGGCCGGCCTTGCCGGCCCGGGAAGTGAGGGGCTTAGCACCCGGGCCAGCGGCTGCGGAGGGTGTACTGGGTCCCCCAGCAGTGCCCGCCCACTGGCGCTGCGCTCGATTTCTCACTGGGCCTTAGCTGCCTTCCTGCAGGGCAGGGCTGGGGACCTGCAGCCCGCCATGCCTGAGCTTCCCACCCCCACCATGGGCTCCTGTGCAGCCCAAGCCTCCCCGACGAGTGCCGCCCCCTGCTCAAGGGCGCCCAGTCCCATCCATCGCCCAAGGGCTGAGGAGTGCAAGCGCATGGCGCAGGACTGGCAGGCAGGCAGCTCCACCTGCGACCCCAGTGTGGGATCCACTGGGTGAAGCCAGCTGGGCTCCTGAGTCTGGTGGGGACGTGGAGAGTCTTTATGTCTAGCTCAGGGATTATAAACACACCAATCAACACCCTGTGTTTAGCTCAAGGTTTGTGAGTGCACCAATTGACACTCTGTATCTAGCTGCTCTGGTAGGGCCTTGGAGAACCTTTATGTCTAGCTCAGGGATTGTAAACACACCAATCAGCACCTTGTGTTTAGCTCAGGGTTTGTGAGTGCACCAGTCAACACTCTGTATCTAGCTGCTCTGGTGGGGCCTTGGAGAACCTGTGTGTCGAAACTCTGTATCTAACAAATCTGATGTGGACATGGAGAACCTTTGTATCTAGCTCAGGAATTCTAAACGCACCAATCAGCGCCCTGTCAAAACAGGCCACTGGGCTCTACCAATCAGCAGGATTGGGTGGGGCCAGATAAGAGAATAAAAGCAGGCTGCCCTAGCCGGCAGTGGCAACCCGCTCCAGTCCCCTTCCACACTGTGGAAGATGTGTTCTTTTGCTTTTTGCAATAAATCTTGCTACTGCTCACTCTTTGGGTCCACACTGCTTTTATGGGCTGTAACACTCAACGAGAAGGTCTGCAGCTTCACTCCTGAAGCCAGCAAAACCATGAGCCCACCGGGAGGAATGAACAACTCCAGACACGCCACCTTAAGAGCTATAACACTCACCGCGAAGGTCTGCAGCTTCACTCCTGAGCCAGCAAGACCAAGAACCCACCAGAAGGAAGAAACTCCGAACACATCTGAACATCAGAAGGAACAAACTCCAGACGCGCCAGCTTAAGAGCTCTAACACTCACCGCCAGGGTCTGCGGCTTCATTCTTGAAGTCAGTGAGACAAAGAACCCACCAATTCCAGACACAATACCACTATACTCCTGCAAGAATGGCCTAATTTAAAAATCCAAAAGTAATACAATGTTGGCATGGATGTGGGAAAAAGGGGACAGTTTTATGCTGCTGTGGGAATGCAAACTAGTACAAATACTGTGAAAAACCATATGAAGATTCCTATAAGAACTAAAAGTAGAAGTACCATTTGATCCAGCAATCCCACTACTGTGTATCTTCCCAGAAGAAAAGTTTTATATGAAAAAGACCCATGCGCATACATGTTTACAACAGCACTATTAGCAATTTTAAAAATATGGAACCAGCCTAAATGCCCATCAACCAACAGGTGGATAAAGAAAATGTGATATATATATATATATATATATACACACACACATAGACATATACAAGTATACACACACACATATACATACTATATATATACACCATGGAATACTACTAAGCCATAAAAAGAAACAAAGCAATGGCATTAACAGCAACTTGTAAGGAGTGGGAGAGCATTATTCTAAGTGAAGTAATTCAGGAATAGAAAATTGAACATCATAAATTCTCACTTACAAGTGGGAGCTAAGCTATGAGGATGCAAAGGCACAAGAAAAATATAATAGGCTCTCAGGATTCAGAGGGGAGGGTGGGAGGGGGTGAGGGATACAAGATTATATACATTGAGTGCAGGGTACACTGCTCACATGATATGTGCACCAAAACCTCAGAAATTACCACTAAAGAACTTACCCATTTAATCAAACACCACCTGTTCCCAAATAACTATTGAAATAATTAAAAATATGAGAATAAAGTCAACCAGATGTATATTTTTAAATATCTAGAAAAAATAGAATTGGCTCATGAAACCAAAGATGTTACAAAATAGTTCAATTTTACAGTAGGAAGAAGGTAAGAGTTGCTGTATTTCTAATTCCCCATAATTTCCACTGAGAAATGACTTAAGCTCTAAAACAGTAAACACTTGGCCATAAATTTTAGGAAAAATATGAGAATAAAGCTGCATGCATTATAAAAGCCAAGCAATACTACTCATCTTAAAATATCAAAAGGAAGAGAGACTTTCTGTACAATTTAACTATGTAATAGTTTCTTTAGCAGCAGTTAAAACAATACAATCCTGTTCAAAATGAAGCCAAATTATTCTGAGTATGTGCAAAACAGTACTGATACTGTCAGTGGACTTCTTAATGATCTTGTGTTTATGTACAATGTGTGAAATATAGTTAAGCTGAGTAAATTTTTTTGTGAGTATACTGTGAATTAGAACAACAAATTTCAATATAAGTTCAACAAATTTCAATACGAGCTCATAAGGCTTTATCTTATTTTTTATTTTCCGTAGTGTTTTCTTCATTGCCACAAAATATTTCTAACCATGAACTGGGTGGTAAATCTCTGAAAAACAAATTTTTATTTGACAAAGTAAATTTTGAAAAGATTTTTTTTTCTTTTTTTTTTTTTGTCTCAGGAAGAAAGAAATCTTGCATCACAATCTTTCTTGCTGGAATAAACTGAAGTAGTCTCACCTATCAGGTTTTCCAGCTTCAAATCTCAGATATAACTAATCATTTTTTCCCTTCTTTGCTTTTCTAGCAAACTTCCAGAAACAAAACAGACAACATTTTGTGACGATAAATATCACAGTTGCCACACAGACCAGCAGGAACCCAATCACATCCAAAGAGTGGTACTGGAACCAGGTGAGGTCGTGGGCTGCAACCCGAAGGTGTTTAGCTCCTTTGTGGCGCATGACAAATTCAATCCAGAAGACTGCTCGATCCAGGGGCTTCACTGGTTGATCATGTTGAATTCTTGATAATTTCATAACATTCTCTTTATATCTGAAAGATAAAAATAAAGACAGTAATGTAGCAGGAAGAGTTACAGACAAAACCCCTCAGACACCGAGTTAAAGAAGGAAGGGTTTTATTCGGCTGGGAGCATCGGCAAGACTCCTCTCTCAAGAGCTGAACTCCCTGAGTGAGCAATTCCTGTCCCTTTTAAGGGCTCACAACTCTAAGGGGGTCTGCGTGAGAGGGTCATGATCGATTGAGCAAGCAGTGGGTACATAACTGGGGGCTGCATGCACCAGTAATCAGAATGGAACAGAACAGGACAGGGATTTTTACAATGCTTTTCCATACAATGTCTGGAATCTATAGATAACATAACTGGTTAGGTCAGGGGTCGATCTTTAACTATCAGGCACAGGGTGTGGCACTGGGCTGTCTGCTTGTGGATTTCATTTCTGCCTTTTAGTTTTTACTTCTTTCTTTGGAGGCAGAAATTGGGCATAAGACGATATGAAGCATGGTCTCCTCCCTAATACTGAAAGTAAGTTAATTTGCCTGTCCATATCAAGTTTACGAAAGGCTTTTAAAGGGCCAAATAATTCAAAATAAATGTCAAAGAATTGACATCGAATTTGTGTATTTTAATTTGAGTCATCATAGAAAGTTTGGCTTTTAAATTGGACTTCTCTCATTGAGAAATATTTTTAAAGTAGAAATTGAATGTTAGCTGAGAAAGTTAATTTTTTTTGAAGCAGAGAAAATATAAGGCATTTTTAATTTGTTTTTAATTGTTTAAGTTTTTGAGGGTACATATTAAGTGTATATATTTATGGGGTATATGAGATGTTTTGATACAATATGAAATAATCACATCATGGAAAATAGGATATTCATCCCTTATGCATTTATCCTTTGTATTATGAACAATCTAATTACACTCTTAGTTCTCAAACAGACATACGGAGAACATGCTCAACATCATGAGCCCTTTTAAGTGCTATGAGAAAGATCGTGAAAATGCAATATGAGAATTATCATCTCTAAGTTCCGAAAAAGTAATTGTGTCATGGTGAGTGACGTGCCTCATAGCTAGTCACTTTGCTTCTACATTACTCTTTTGTCTCCTACTCTTTCCCACCCTGTAGCCAGAATGATTTTTTCAATTAAAGTCAGTTTAAAGCACTCCCCTGATTAAGACTTTTGCCTGGCTTCTCATTATTTTTAGAATAAAATCCAACTCTGTTATTTGGTCTACAGAACCCTACATTTTTAGACACGGGCAAACTCTTTTCCTAACACTTTTCCCCTGCACACTGTCTTCTAGATTGGCCTTCTATTTTACTTTAAGCTCCCAAAGGTGTTCTCATCTTAGTACCTTACACATTTTTTTCCCCTCTCTCCCGCTCTTGGAGTACTCTCTCTTGCTACAACCCAAGGAATGCTTCTCTCCCTTCTTGTGGCTTCCTTCTAATGTTACCTCTAAGAGAGGCTTTTACTGGCCACATTATGATGGAACCACTAGGATTTTCTCTATTTTCTGTGCTTATTTTGCTATTTGAGTCCTAGAATTTTAAAATGCATTATATATCTCATAAAATAAACATTTAAATATTAAATACAAAAGATAAATATTCATACACTAAGTGAATAGTTCAAAAATGTAAGATCATCTTGAACATTATCTTGAGGTGAAGATATCGATTTACCTACTGTTCAGATTGTGGTATAGGATATCACAACCTGCCTAGAATAACTCTCTTTTTCTGAACCATTTAGTCACCACTTTTGTCCACCAACTAAGGATTAGCCTGACTTCGAATAGCATACATTAGTTTGCTTGTTTATGTAATTGAATTATATAATACGTACTCATTAGTGTCTTTTTTTAATGTAGCAGTTGTTGGGTAATTCCATTGCTGTGTAGTATTCTGTTGATTGATAAAGCACAGATTATGTCTTCATTTTATGATTAATAGATATTTGGGTTGCTAACAATTTTTGGACAATATTGATAATTCTGTCATAAATATTCTTCTATATGGTATTAGATTTATTTATACATATCTGTTGGGTATATAACTGGGAGTAGAATTGTTGAGATAAAAGTGGAGACATAGTTGTGATTCACCTCTTGATCTCTAAAATTTAAAGATATGTTAGTTATAGTTTTTATAACCTCCCTTACTTCCACTATGGCTGGATCATATAGTCTTTATGATATTGAACCTTATTATATGTACTAAATCTTGATTTATTGCCCACCACATATCACTTCAGATAACTATTCGACATGCTCTAGGAAAATGTGTCTTCAAGTTGATATATATGATACATATATGTTTATTGTGTGTGTATGTATGTGCGTTTGTATCATTTTACATTATAAGATTCCATTTGTTAATTGTGTTCTTCAAATGTTTTATGTCTTTACTAATTACTTGCTCTTTTCTAAAGTCTGTTTAGATTGAGTGAAAGTATTTGTATAATCATATTTAAATCTACCAATTTGCTTTATATATTTTTTTTCTATTTGTCCAAGCTGGTTTGTGTTCTTTTTCAATTATTTCCTATCTTCTTTAAAGGTATTTTTATCATTCATTATCCTTCTTTTTTTGTGATAAAGTATTTTTCAAGTATTCCTTTAGATGATACCCTGCTTATATAAAAAAACATTATTGATAGTAGCTATAAATGCTGAATTGATGGTAGCTGGACTCCACAAGGAATTTTGCACATTGATATCTTTGGGTTTGAAAAAATCAATTATTAAAAATTTAACTTAAAATTATATTTTTTGTGCTTCAAAGACCAACATCAAAAAGTAAAATTTAGTGCACCCAGAGTGGGACAAAATATTTACAAGTTATATATCTGACATGACCCATAATATATAAATAGTTCTTAAACTTAATAATAAGACAAATAGCAAAGTTTAAAAATGTTCCAAGGATTGGATAGACTGTTTTCAAAGAAGATATATGAATGATCAGTAGGCACGTATGAAGATTCTCAACACCTTTAGCCGTAATGAAAATGCAATCCAAGACCAGGATGAGAGATCATTTTACACCCACTAAGAAGGCTGTAACAAAAAGTCAGGGAATAACAGGTTTGGCAAAAGTATGGAGGAATTGGAACCATGTTGTACTGCTGGTGGTAGTCATGAATGAAACAAGTACTTTGGAAGACAGTTTAGCAGTTCTTCATAAACATACAGTTCCCACATGAAGCAGCAATTCCACTTATAGTATCAACCCTAAAGAAAGGAAAACATGTTTATGCAAAAACATGTGTAGCAATCTTCCTAATAGCCACAATTGAAAACAATCAAAAGGCCAATGAACTGATAAGTGAACAACTAAAATATGACATATCTTTACTAAAAAATATTAAACTGCTATAAAAAGAAATGAAGTATTAAAACACACAACAACATGAATGAAACTAAAACCAGAAAAAAAAAACAACAAAAAATTAGCCTAGGTGAAATGTCATTTCACAACACCCTAAACTGTATGATTCCATTCATATGAAATATCTAAAGAGAATAATCTATAGAGAAAGGAAACAAATTAGTTAGACCAGGGCTAAGCGGTCATAGGAAGTGACTTCTGTGTCATTGCAGTTTCTTTTGTGTTGATAAAAATGTTCTAAAATTATGTAATAGTGATGGCTTCATGGCTCTGTAAACATACTAAATATATTTGGATTTTATAACATAAACAGGGGGGTTTTATGCTATCAAAATTAAATCTCATTTTCAAGTCTGTTACAATAATGATAATAATAAAAGTTAATTTTTCAGCAAGAAAATGGTTATACTCTGAGGTGTTTTAGATATCTAATTAAAATATTTTATTATATTATTTCAGGTTTATTCTTCCTTTCTTCTATGGATTAATTATGTCAAATTTTTAAGAAATGTATTTTTTGTATTATCTATATCCTTTTAAAATTATTTTTGTGTAGAAAATTGTTTCACTAACTGGCTATTCTTTAGATGTATGTGTTTCAAATTCAATTTTTAAATAACTTATAAAAATAAAAGCAGATTTCAGATTGGTTAAATCATTTAAATTCTTTCAAAATTAGTCTCTTATAAAAAGGATGAAACTCACACTCACTATTGACAAGAGAAGCTATCTGTAAATACCACCTAGTGAAAAATATTGTTCTACTCACGAAGGATCATTAATTACTCTCTTCAATGCATTCAGCAAGTCTGTACTCGACATTGTGTTGAAGTCCACTCTAACAGCTGCTCCCCTGGCCTTCATGTGAGCAATGTTATCAGGTTGATCGGCAAACAATGGAATCCCCACCATAGGGATCCCATGGTAGATTGCCTCGTAGATGCCATTGGCTCCACCATGAGTTATAAAAGCTCTGGTCTTTGGATGACCTAGGATTGGATGAATTTTAGCAAAATTACTCATAGGAATAAAATGAGATGCACAATGAAAGGCTCTGAAAGTGACAGTGTTTTCCAGCTAAAACACTGAACTAAATTAAAATTGTGTTTCAGACTTCGGAGGAAAAAACACGTACTTGTACTGGGTATGTAACTGAAGGCTATACGGTGTGTGTGACTTCAGACTGCAAAACAATACAAGATTTCCAGTTGGGCTAATGAAAAATTGCATTCTAGATTTCAAAAATGTGCAAAAAAGAAGACAGCAAAGAGATAGGCATGAAGTGAACTCTTATTTTAAGTGCAGTCACAGAGTGTGATATATGGGGTGGGCAAGGCAGCAGGCAGTGGTTTGGTGGTGGTGCTAGGATTGAGGAAGGACAGGTCACACTTCATCGTGAAATGTATCATCACTGTATGATTAAGATTAGCAGTTTAATTCTTCAGAAAATACAGAGTCACTGGTGATAGAAGAGCTATTATTTTTAGTGGCATTTCAAATAACCCTGCGGGAGAGGAAAAAAACAGGTGTAAAGTTGTAGAAATAGGAGACAGAGAGACAGCCCAGGAAGTTATTGAAAAATTTTGTGAGATATAATAACACCTGAAATAAAGATTCCCCCGATTCAGACTATAAAGAATGTGGGTGTATATCATAAAATGCCAAAAATTATAATGTATTCTTTCTCCCTTAAGACTGGAAAATCAATATAAAGAAGTTACATTTTGTTTTTCCTTAACAAATATTCAATAAGCTTGTTTCATGATGAACTATTAACACTCTAATGTGCTGTTACTAATATATTCAGTATTTGTTCACCAGAGTCTTACCTAGAAGGTCATTCTGGGGTATCCACTTGTAGAGCCGAGTATTGAGACCTAAGGTATCTGGTTTATTCCCATCAAATCTCCACAGAACCTGTTACAATAAAGAAAATATTTTATTCCATGAGTGGAATTCAAAAGTTATAGAATGTGAGAACTGTATAAAGAGTAGGAATGAGATCAAGGGATGTTAGTAAATAAGAACTACTCAAAGACTAATGTAAATAGAATACTCACATTAATTTTCTCAACTTTTATAATTAGTTAGGTATATAAGGAAATCATGATTTTCCAAAATAGTACCTTAGAAAAAATCAGATTATCAATGAAAATTTCAAGCATTTAAAAAATTGTTACACCTTTTAAAAGAAAACCTACGTGTGGCCAACCATCATATGAAAAAAAAAAAGAAAAAAGCTTAACATCATTAGAGAAATGCAAATCAAAACCATAATGAGATAGCATCTCACACCAGTCAGAATGGCTATTATTAAAAACTCAAAAAATATCATGATACTGGTGAGGTAGTATAGAAAAGGCTTGCTTATAATCTGTTGGTGGGAATGTAAGTTTGTTCAACCATTGTGGAAGACTGGCGATTCCTCAAAAACCTAGAGGTAAAAATACCATGAAACCCAGCAATCCCATTACTGGGTATATAACCAACGGACTATAAATGGTTCTTTTATAAAGACCCATGCACAGGTGTATTAATTGCAGTACTTTTCACAATAGCAACGACATGGAATCAACCTAAATGCCCATTGATTATGGGCTGAATAGAGAAAATATGGTACATATACACTACAGAATATTATGCAGTCATAAAAAAGAACAAAATTATGTATTTTGCAGGGATATGGATGGAGCTGGAGGCCATTATCCTTAGCAAACTAACAAAGGGATGGAAATATAAATATGGCATGTCCTCACTTATAAGTGGAAGGTGAAAGATGAGAACATGTGGACAAATAGACAGGAACAACATACACTGTGGTGTATTGGAGGGTGGAGGGTGGGAGGATCAGGAAAAATAATTAACTGATTTTAGCCTTAATATCTGGGTGATGAAACGAACAGTACAATAACCCCCCATGACACAAGTTTACCTATGTAAAAAAACTACACATGTCCCCTTGAACTTAAAATAAAAGTTACAAATAAAAGTTAAATTAATTTAATTTTTTAAAATTAAAAATATTCTAAAAATGTATAAAAATTTTAGCTATTCCTTATAATTCTAGTGTAAAAAATAGTAACAATTTTGTAATGACCTGCGTGCTTATTTTGTTTTATGTATTTTATATTAGTTTTCATTTTCCAAATTTAATTTTAATGTATTCATATCTTTTTGAGTAATTTGGGAAGTAGTTCACATGTATCTACTTGTGTGTAGGTTGTTATATTAGAGCCTGTTGTCCTTTGATTGACAAAATAACAAGTCCATAAATAAGCTACTTATAAGAAATAGATTAATGCTGCAAAGGTTTTATGTATAACTTCATTGGAATTATAAATTATCAAGCACTACTTCCAAAATAAATTTCAGGTGGTTATTTTTGACACAAATTCAGAGTATTATCAGTATTTCTAATTTTGGATATTTTTCAGCATAGAAATGAAGAATCTGTTGGTGTCATGAATAAAAACACAGCTGTTGAAAAAACTCAAAATTGTATCTTGCTGAATTTGGTTAACTGATTATTAACACTGAGACAACGTGCTACAAAGCTTTGACAATAGTGATTAACATGTTCTGCTATAGCCAAGACATTTTATGTTTAAGTTACTAATTTTGAAACTCCCAAGCAATCCTCATAAACTAAACAATAATTTACAGTGTTTAACTTTTATTTGCTACATCAGTGTTAAAGTAACTCAGGTTTCAGCAAAAGTTGGAAGAGGTCATTACAAGAAAGCTTTATCAGGCAGGAAATTAAAAAGTAATTGACAAATACACAAAGGTCACTGGCTTATTCTATATAAAAGATAATATATTTCTACTATATTTTATAGAGGGGGTATCTGAAGTTGTTTCTGTGCCTGGCCTCCTTCTGTTTGACTCCCTTCTATATTTCCTTCTGCTTCCTCCATTGGGAGGAGTTGTTAATCTGATAGTGCAGAGTCCTTGTGGGGCCACATTTTATACTGCACAGGGTCCACCTTCAGGGCAGGATCCATCTCCACCCTTTCATCTTCCTGCTTCAGACATTGGCTGGGCGCAGTCCAGCAGGGCAGGCTTTTTCTCTTTCTCTAAATCTATCTGGCTATGTGGGTACTTGGGATAGTTGTCTGTCCGCCTAGGCTGTTCTGTCTCTGAATAGTACCCTGAACATTACTCAGATACACCTCTTCCAAAATGTACAGGAAGTACAAGAGGCTGGATTACATGCCAAGACTAAATTGCATGATGCATGTCAGACTTTTTGAAATACCTGCTATTGTTATTGTGGTAGTGAAGTTACCCATTAAAATGTAACTTTTTCTGATAACACCTGTAGTGTGTACAGTGCCCTAAGGAATTCTTAAACAAAAGGGTCAAATGACAGGGGCAGAATTTGGTGATATCTCTTACCTGACCCCAATATCATGGCAATACCAAAACTTCACCTACATTTCTTGAATAAATTTATTCTTGATCATACTATTAATGCCAAATTTATTATCAATGAAAAACACCCTCTGTATTATTTTAGCATCGTTAATGTATATTTTTGATTTTGAACTAATATCTGAGAAAATTATTGCTTTCCCATCAGCTAAATTTTTAGGCAGGAAGTTTCTTTTTTTTAATTTGTCATATCCATAAAGTTTATTTTTAAAAATGTAAAAAACTAACCATACGGGAATATTTATTAATATACTTAAAAAGTTTGTTCCCTATGTTGAAGTAAAATACATTAGCAATATCTTCCAGACTCCATCTTTATAAAAATAAGACTTCTAGATCCTGAAATATACTACAGTAGAATCTACAGTTTACATTTGTTTTGAGAGGGGTTTGCCCAGGCTGGAGTGCATTGGTGTGATCTTGGCTCACTGCAACCTCTGCCTCCCAGGTTCAAGTGATTCTCCTGCCCCAGCCTCCCGAGTAGCTGTGATCACAGGTGTGTGCCAACATGCCTGTGTAATTTTTTCTATTTTCAGTAGAGACGGGTTTCACCATGTTGGCCAAGCTGGTCTTGAACTTCTGACCTCGTGATTCGCCTGCCTCGGCCTCCGAAAATACTGGGATTACAGGCGTGAGCTACCGTGCCTGGCCTATAGTTTACACTTTTAATCACAGGATTGGAATTCATTCTCCTTAGTCCCCTACTCCTCACATGTGTTGGTTATTATTCCTAAATTAATAACATTCAATCATGTTATACTAGCACAGATCCTTAAACAGAGAATATACCGCATAACTACTAACAGAGCCAATATTCTCCATTTGTTGTCACGTATTTTATACAAGCATTTGACTTAAAGTGCAAACAGAAATACTACATCCCATAATCGTAAACATTCACCAAGAGCTTCCAGAGTACAATAAGTAATAGAGGTGACCCAAGAGTCAGTCAAGTGTTCTTCACTCATTGGATACTGCTGAGATTAGGAAAACTGTTTTGAAGCTAATTATCAAAAATTTTACTTGTATTTCTAAAAGGACACAGTTCTGGATATACGTTTTTTGTGAAAACACCTGAAAGTCATTCTAAAGACTACATTAAGCACCATTTTCACTTAACTGAAATATATTGAGTTAAATTCAGCAGTATGTATGAGTGTTAATATCAGAAATTAAAAATAACTGTGGGTCTCAAGTTGCCTTTTGTGAATACATATGGAGTACTGAGTTCCCACTGATGCTAATAGGAACTACTCATGCATACCAAGGGTAGTAACTCCTCCAGGGCCACATGCAACCCCTAAGTCTGAGGCACAACTATTACTTCTGTCGGTGGATGCTATACAAGCATATTTAAGGCTATATTCAGCTATGAAGAGTTCAATCTACTCTTTAATATTCTTTCTATGTAGATCACATACACAATTCAAAATTTTATGGACAGGAGGTGAGAAGTCTCCAAACACTTTTTAAATACCTTTCTCCATTCAATTTATTGTCAGCATATTTACATAGGGGAATGTTCATACTTAACACCATTTAAAAAAAAATGCAACCACAATTTTCAAACTTCTCATAGTTTCTCCAAGATTATCCTTGTTCTAATTTTTCAACTTTTGGTCAACTTCACATTTATCAGAAGTTTCTATAATTGGATTACTTCAAACTTTAACAGCCTCTTTCAGTAGTTTTCCACACCAGTAAGGCACTTCATCTTACCTTTTGTGGGATCTGGGCCAGGGCTGATGCAATTACGTTGGCCCTTTCTTCTGTCATGTTACTGACCATTGACCCCAGAGAAAACACCACAACACCATTTTCTCCAGAGCTCTGTACAAAGTCTTCCATTTCCTGTGAAGAAAGAATTTGCTTCATCACAAAAGAGTATTAGCACAGCGGGCACTACCAAAAGAATTGGTGCAAATTACTAAAGAGAGAAAATCCAGTATTTTGAGGAATTATTGGAGTAAATAATATTTTTTAACTGACCCAATCACTCAGTTTTTTTGCAAGTAGATGTATAATATGAGATAGGTGGATGCTGTTAAGGATATTTGTGTAAATATGTGTGTATGTGTATGTATTTGTGTGCATGTGTGTAAGGGAGAAAAGAAATGGAGCTATTACATTGTTGTCAGGGAGATAATGTTAAAAATATTATACACAGACTCTTCTCTTACAATACTAAAGTTACTAATATAGGTTCTTGGAAAGTGGGACCACTCAGCTTTAATTCTATATTGTTGTTCTACTAAATCCCTTGTGTTTATTTCAGGCAGGTTTTCTGTAGAATTCTCTTAGTTGGAAACAGTTAGTGGTTTACTTCCCTAACTATGAGCTCTGAGGATAAGCTACTCACAGTTGGGATAATTTTATATCTACATTTATGTTTCTCTACAATGCTTTATACTTCACTTAAAGTTTGTCAGAGTTTTCTGGTAGTTTTTCAAAAACTAAAAAAAATAAAATAAATAAAAGCTGGTGGTTAAGAACCGCTGACATTCTGGAGTCTGGTAATGTAATTTGGAATTTCTATGAATTAGTCCAGGAGTCTCATTTATCATACAGAATTGTATATAGTTACATAGTTGAATGATCATATTTTTCAGGTGATTCTTTAGGTGGAATAACTTTTCCCTGAAATCACACTGTTAAATTGATGTGCTGTTTATAACTGCATGTGAGGAACTCTCATCATCACTTTGTTGTGTCTCAGAGGCAGCACTTGCACCAGAACAGAAGAGGCCACCAGGCCTTTCTGCAGGGGAGATCTTGTCTCTTTTTTGAGTAGCTCACACACACCACGTAACATTCCTAGTGAAGATGTGCTTGGCTGCAATCGATTGAGAATTATTCTGACTTGCGTTGTCCAATATATGCCGATGTTTAAATTTAAATACTTTCAGATTTAATGATTGGGGTAAAACTTTTCCTAACTGTTCTTCACAAAACAAAGAAAAAAAAGTCCAAATGTTAACTCTGCAGACCACATATTACAGAGTGTTTTTTTAAAATATGATTTTTAATCTTAACATGAGAGTCATTGTACTGCTATTCCAGGTAATACTTGGGGCATCTAGGTATTGCGTGTGATTGCAGTTGCCTGTAGCCATATTTAATGTAACTGGTGTTCAGTGTTTCATCTCACTAGCTTGATGCCCAGAGCCTTATTTATCCACCCAGTGTTGAAGGAATCGAGCCTCTTTACAGATTCATCACTGATATGGACTGGTTGTTTCTTCTTCTGTGATAACATAATAAAAATAATATAAGATTAATGTAAGAAATTTTATAAAAGCATGAAAAAAATTTTTTTAAATAAAATTTTTCTAAAATTTTTATGTTGTGATATTATTTATGTAAAATATATTTTTTCATCATGGCTTTTGTCCTATTTACATAGCTCAATGTACACATGTGACACTTATTTAGATAATTTTAATCTTATTATGTATACATTTTCCTCCTGCAAAAACTTGTCATCTTGTTATATTTATCATTTTCTAACTCACTTTATTTGTAATATGGCTGACAGTGTAGTTGAATATTTCATTGATAAAATTATTGTAATGCTATTGTATGCACATAGTATAAGTTTTTAATCATTCCTTCATTTAAGATGTTGGATTACTTCCAATGTTAATTTTATGAATATTTTCCATAATGTTTAATAGGTACACCTTGATTAATTTTTTTCTCTGTATGATTTCACGTGAACATATTATAAAACTGATAGCAATATTCATTTTTAAAACACCTGATACATTTTGTCAAGTGTCTTTTTCTCTTATAAGAAATTATCTTAGAATTTAATATTTAATTGAAATGAAAGCAACCTGGGTTAGCAATTATTTTACATAATAAACGAAGAACGGGTTTCACAACCATTGACTTGCATTCAAATCTTTCTGCAAGTTAATAACAACAGCTAGTAGTAGTAATTATCACTATTTTAGTACTAGTCATCCCTTTTCTTGTCCTTCTACACCTCCTATTCTCTTCCCCCTCCTACTGACACTATCAGTTTTTCCCTTAGTATGGGTGGGGAAATTTTTCAAGAGTAGGGTAGGGTGGCATAGATTTTTCATTAGTCTTACCTCAGCTTTTGTCTCTTGAGAAAGTTATCATATAAAGCCCATACAATTTTCATTCAACATAGATATTGAGTTTTAACAATGGAATAAAATTTCAGTTTTATGTAGACAAAAATGATCTTTTAAGAGATTAAATAATAACGTAACAAAGAATGCTTGCTTTGTACATATGTCTTAAAAGTGTGATATTAATTTAAAATATATGAGTTTATTGTGTTCCTTCATAAAAAATATAATCTTATATGCTGACAGAATTCCCTGGAATCTAAACTAAGGGCGCCATTCAGATACAAGTGGTATAAATTATTTGTGCTTTATTATACATGCATTGTTCATTATCTCTGTGCTTCTGTGTCAGGCAGCTATGATGTTGAGACGAGTTCCCACAGGAAGCTTTAATAAGTTGCTTGTCATACGGCAAAAATCATCTGCTCTCATAGGGTATGTTTATGCTGTAATATGTAAATCTCTGGGGTCTCAATGAAGAATGATTTAAATGCTTTAGTAAGATCAAGTGAACACTAAGTTTGTCTGCAAATATTAAAGGAACACATTTCTATTGTTGAGGAAGTGTTTTACGCTGCAATACTGGTGAAGATCCTTATTACCTATGGTAGAATTTTAGAATTTCAAGTAGCTCATCTTACTGTCAAAACTGATATGTCTACTTTTAATCAAGTCCACAGGGTATCTGTCAACTATGACTCTGCAAGAGAATATAATTTTGATGTACTGAACAATCTGGTTCTATTAAATGAAGAATGATATCTCAAGTGACCAGCACATGTTAAGTAATTAGTAGTATTAGTAATAATAACAAAATAGCCATAATTGCAAAATTAATAATATTTCTGAGTCACTGACTATATTCCAGAGACACTTTAAGTGTTTTGTCTGTGTTAATATTTTTCCACTCAACACAATATGAAGTTGCCACTATTTTTGTAAATGTGGGCATAATGATTTCTATCAACTTTCTAGTCGACTTTTCCATCATCTGCTACCTGAATCCTGCAAAATTTCCTGAATGGTTGGCTCTTTACAGTCTGGCCCTCCTGCAATTTAATCCATTGAATATCTTGAAAGCTCTCCTTTAAAAAGAGAATCTTTTCATATATTTTTATTTCTTAATCTTTTTAGTAGTTTTTCAATGTGCTTAATAAATATTTCAACTCCTAATACGTATCTGGCTCTAATTTGCCTCTCACCATCATCCGAGTCTTAGTCTCTCCCTGCAAACTAAACTTGAGGACTTGAGAACTGTCCTGACCACTTTACCTGCTTCTTTTTTTTTTTTTTTTTTTTTGTCTGTCTCTCCCCGTCATTCTTTTACCTATTCCTGCATATTGTTCAGCTCTCATCTTACTAATCAGTGACTGCAGGATACTTTCTATTATCTCCACTGATGCTTTCTTGGTATTGCGTTTTTCCTTCAGATAATAGTTTTTATATAATTTTTATTACTTGCACATATTCTATCTTTTGAAGTAGAATGTAAGGTATGTGGGGACAGAAACTGTGTCTATTTTTTTCTCTGAAAATTCTGCACTTACCTGTGTTTTGTGCTAATCCCTTTGTAAATATTATTTGATTGGATGACCAATACCTTCTTAGGTATTGCATAATGAAGACTTTAATTTAACCAACCCTATTTTCAAAGTCTCCTTAGTATTCCTCTCTATTTGTAATACTCATAAAACTCATATACGTGTGATGGTATTAACGTGCACATGAGTTTCTAATTGGTATCTGCTTTACCCCACCCATTTCCCATCTTTCTTTCAGTGTAAGTCAAACACTCTGAAAGAAGACTATAGAATCATTTCTACTGAAAATTCAAAGCCAACAAAATAAAACCAACAAAAGTATGTTTACCTTAGGCAGGGGTTTGGCAGGTTTGCAGTGGAGTCCTCCAACAAAATCAACATTTGGTAAGAGTGGATATGGAAACTGAAAATTCCAGGAGTTTCGAATAAGCCATACGTCAGCTTTCCCCATTGTCTCAGATAATGTAGTGGGTCTTCCTGACAGGAATAGAAAAAAAAAAGGTGGATGACACAAGATAATTACTTTAGGTAAATTTCTGAAAGGGGTTAGAATAATGTAGGCAAAAATGTAGGCAAATATCTGTGCTTTGAAAAATATATACACATATTCATATATAGATATAATTTAATTTTATGTATTACATATTTTGCCCATGTGTATTTATAAGAAAGACAAAGTAGTAGGAGAATTGTGAGGTTAAGCTACATCTCTAATGTCGCATCAGTATGCTCATAATCATAAACAATTATTAAAATGAGCCATAGAAAGTTAAACAGAAAATTTCTTTTCTCTTAAAGCTTCAATAGTAGCATACGGACATTTAAACAACTCTTTGAGCTCCATAATCAATTAATTCTACTCTACCCATAAAAATAATTTTCTAAGAAATAGTCTAGTTTACACAACTCATTAAGCTAATTCTTTTATCTTTGGTTCAAGTGAACTGTGGACTATGTTGAGAGTATGGCTGAAATCCTTGTACCAACTACTCTTTTAGATTCAAGCTAAGATCTTAATAATATTTTTAAGTAAATATATTTGTACATTATAGCTAGAAATTTTTGAGAAATTATTGAAATAAAAATTTGTACTCAACCTTAATTTGTCTCATATGTTCTAATAAAGAGACATAGTTTCAAAAAACTATGTAGATATAACAACCTTCACACTTCAACAAGATGATTGGACTTTAAATTAATGATTTCCAATTCTTTCGTGAAAGAGTATAGAAACATTAGAAACTTCAAATTGCCCTTATTGATTTTTGCATCTGAGGTATAGACATTATCTCTCTTTACTGTGAAGGAAACCTTCTGGTAATATGGGAACATCTTTTGATTTCTAAATAAGAAAACAAGTTTACAAGAAAAAACAATTTCTGCAGTTATATAGATAGTTGTAGAAAAATGTGTAACTACTCATTCTAAATCTATGCATTCAGTAAGAAGTTATTTGATGGATTTTACTGTTTTTAAGATGTAAAACAATGTATAGTAAAACAGATGTGTAATTGCTTAAAGTCTTAGATGCACTAATGTATAGGTTTATGATTTCCTGGGGTGTTCTGTGTGAGTGATGGCCACAGGGTTTTAACTGACCCTGTAATTTAAGCTTTTCTATAATATTTGTGAGATTAATAGATCATCTTGTATTTTTGTTTTATAAATTCACTTACCAAAACCCCACTACCCTGACTTTATGGCTTTATATAAGCTCTGCTTCAAAGACACAAATAAGTTAGAGCTTCATGTTACTGATTGAAAAAAATACTTACCTAGAACTTCACTATAAAACTGATCCCACTTCTTCATGTCAAATATTTCGAACCAAAAGTCAAAGTAAAGCACATAGATCATATTTTTTACCCTCTCCATGAAAGTCATTTGATCAGTTAATTCTGACATAACAACAGGTACGTAGGAAGGAGGGAAAATAAATCCTCCACTATGCTTTTCAAAAGTGTAGCCAGGAGAGAAGCTGAGACTGTACACAAAGGGTATGTTAAATAGCTCAGCCAGCAGCTCACTACAGGGAAAAATAGCATCTGCAAAAATGACGTCAAATCTTGACTCTTGTACTTTTTTCATAAATTTCTTATTTGAAACTACATCTTTACAGAACTTTCTAGTTATGTCACCAAATATTGACATGATTTCCTGTACTTGTGAAAAATATAACCAAAATGTATCTTTTGGAAGGTCTGACCATCTCTTAATCTGTTGCATGATGAAATTCTCCAACTCAGTTTTAGTTAAAGATGTGGGATAAATTTCAATTTTAAGAGCGGATGAGTTGTTGGGATCAAAAAGAATGGAAGCTGAAGATGCCAGTACAGTCACCTCATGACCTCTCTGAATAAGCTCATCCAGGATTGTCTTTATATTCATCCAATGGCTGTATTCTGCTGCCCACACCAGCACCTTTCCACAATTCCCAGAGCTAAAGCAAAAGCTCAGTTGTATTAGCAAAATTACTGAAGTCCATTTCACAGACATCCTGGTGCAATGCAATGCTTGTTTTCCAGTTGCTGTTCCTTTCTGTCATTTCTCATGGTTATGTCCAAAGATAAATTAGCCAAGAAGTTAAAATGTAACCCTTATAAGTCAAAGTACATACAATATCATTAAATCAACAGTCTGAGCATGTGGATGGCAAAGAGACAAATGAAGGTAAATGATCTGTTCACACAGATGTGATTAATTTCCCTTTTATGTTTATGAGTGCTATCCTTCAGCTAATATCAAGGATCTTGTATGGACATGCCATCTGTCTTATGCAATATATTTTAGAAGAGTGTCCAGAACAGTAGCAGTGACAGATCTTGTTTCTGCAGTCCATTTGACACAAAACTAAAGATTAAATGACTAAACATGGTCCACATATTTTTGTAAACTTTGTTGACATGTAATTTAAATATCATACTATTTATCAATTATTGTGTAAAATTTAATGTTTCATAGTATATTCACAGAATTGTGCATCTACCATAACAATCAGTTGGAGAGCCCTTTTATCTCCCCAAAATAAGCCCTATAGTCCTTAGCCTTTTTCTCTCCACCCCTAGTTTCTGCATTTCCCCTGTCCTAGGTAATTGCTAATTGAATTTCTATCTCTATAGATTTGCCTATTCTGGACAATTTTTAATGCATAGAATCATACAATATGTGGTATTTTGTGACTGGCTTCTTTTATGTAACATAATATTTTAAAGGTTCATTTATGATATAGCGTATACATGTTGATTCTTACAACCATCATGTAAGATATTGAGAGTTTCAAGATGACACTATCTTTTTAAACTTTGTTAAAGTAATCAAAGATAAAGAAAGAAAAAGAGAAAAGTAAACCAAGCTTGTAGTACATTCAGCATTAATCATTAGGTTAGCTTGTTCTCCGACTCACTTCCTCACAGTTATTTGGCTGTTGTCCTAGAATTATGCAGACCCTGTTACAAGACTATAGTTCCTCTTAATCCTTCTATAAATATTAACTTAAACATTATGAA
This sequence comes from Homo sapiens, assembly GCF_000001405.40. Taxonomy (NCBI): domain Eukaryota; kingdom Metazoa; phylum Chordata; class Mammalia; order Primates; family Hominidae; genus Homo; species Homo sapiens. Next base: position 69,095,510 of record NC_000004.12, on the reverse strand, counting down.
ATGATCAACTTTCCTTTTGAGGTATTCCTTCAGGTCCAGCATACTGCTAAAACTACTGACTCGGCTGGTCTGAAGGATCTCACTGATGTCAGCTGATCTGAAAGACTTCACTGATGCCAGCTGATCTAGAGGACCCCACAAGGAACTGACTCAGCAAATAATGTAGTTTCTTGTTCTGATGACTTTACCCTATTACCCTGACTAATCAATTACCCAAATTTTCCAGCCTATCACCATCTATGATCTCCTTAAAACCTCCAACCCAGAACTCCTTGAGGAGCTGGATTTAGGGTTCTCTTCTTATCTCCTTGCTCAGTGCCCTGCAATTATTAAACTCCTTCTTTGCTGCCAAATCTGACGTCTCAGTGTAATTGGACTATTATTGGACAGTAAGCATATGAAACTGTTGGTCCTATAACAAAACTTTAATGGAATAAGTAACTGCAAATATAATAAAACTAGAAAGATAACTATAATTAGAAGTGGAACTTAATGATGTAACAGAATTGATGAAATCTCATGATAAAACAAATAAGTGAGGAGTTACTACTTTTGGAGGGGCAAAGAAACTTGTTTCCTGAGATGGAATCTACTCCTGGTGAAGATGTTATGAACATTGTTGAATGACAACAGGAGATTTAGAATATTACTTAAACTTACTTTATAAAGCAGCGTTAGAGTTTGAGAGGATTAATTCCAATTTTGAAAGAAGATCTTCTATGGGTAAAATGCTATCTGACAGCATTGCATGCTAAAAATATCTTTTGTGAAAGGGTGGGTTAATGTATGTGGCAAATGCCATTGTTGTCTTATTTTTAAGAAATTGCCACAGCCATGCTAAGTACTAGCGGCCACCACCAAAATGAGTTAGCAACCATCAACATTGATATGAGAATCTTCATCAACAAAAGTTGCACTGACTGAAGACTCAGATGATCATTAGCACTTTTTAGCAATTAAGTGTTTTTAAATTAAGGCATGTATTTTTTTAGACTTAATATTATTGCAGACTTAATATGCTATAGCATTGTGTAAACATAACTTTTTATATGCCTTAGAAACCGGCCGGGCGCGGTGGCTCACGCCTGTAATCCCAGCACTTTGGGAGGCCGAGGCGGGCGGATCACGAGGTCAGGAGATCGAGACCATCCTGGCTAACACGGTGAAACCCCGTCTCTACTAAAAAAAAAAAAAATACAAAAAATTAGCCGGGCGTGGTAGCGGGCGCCTGTAGTCCCAGCTACTCGGGAGGCTGAGGCAGGAGAATGGCATGAACCCGGGAGGCGGAGCTTGCAGTGAGCCGAGATCGCGCCACTGCACTCCAGCCTGGGCGACAGAGCGAGACTCCGTCTCAAAAAAAAAAAAAAAAAAAAAAAAAAAAGAAACCAAAACAAATTGTGTGATTTGCTTCATTGCAATATTTGCTTTATTTTAGTATTCTAGAACCAAATCTGCAACATCTCAGAAGTATGCCTTGTATTAGTGAAAACACTTAATATGAGATATACTCTAAAAATATTTTAAGCTGGAGGAGTGGCCAGGATGACTGACCGGAAGTAGGTAATATGCATGGCTCTCACAAAGATGAACAGAAGGGGTGAGTAAATACAGCCCCTTCAACTGAAACATACGGGCACTCGCATTGGGACTATTTAAGGAAACAACTTGATCCACAGAGAATGAAGAAAAGTAAGGCAGGATGACTGCCAACCTGGCATCAACACAGAACCAAGGAAAATTTCCTCACCCAGGGAAGTGGTGAGTGAATGTGCTACCCCAAATAACATGCTTCTTTCACAGATTTTTGTAACCCTCAGGTCACAAGATCCCCTCATGAACCCACTTAACCAGGTCTTCAGTCTGACACACAAAGGTATGTGGAGTCTCAGCAGAGCAGCCACTCAGGCACGTGTAGAGACGTGATGCCTTTAGATACTCTGGCTTTCAGGGCTTCCTGGCAAAAGTAGCTGTAGCTCTTGCAAAGTGGAAGGTTAGAATTGCAAAGTGGGAGGCTGAATTCAGGGGGCTGAGCAGTGACAGTCTGCGGGCCCCATTTTCACAGCACCTCACAGGATAAGATCCACTGGCTTGGAATTTCAACCAGCCGTGATAGCAGTGTTGGGCCTCCCTGGAATGGAACTCTCAGCCGCGTGGGGTGGGCCACCATCTTTGCTGTTTGTGCAACTTAGCTGTTCTGGCATTTGAGCTTTGGAGCATCCAAATCGACCACAGAAGGAAGGAATTCCCCAGCACAACACAGCTACTCTACCAAAACATGGCCAGACTGCTTCTTCAAGTAGGTTGCAGATCCTGTTCCACCTCACTGGGTGGGACCTCCCAACAGGGGACTCCAGTCATTTCCACCATTGTTCTTAGGCCAGCAGAGATTTGAAAACTCCCTGGGACAGAGCTCACAGAGATATGGGCCGCCATCTTTGCTGTTTGGGTGACTTAGCAATTCCAGCCTGTGGGCTTTGGAGATTATGTATGACAAACCATATGTCTTCCAAATCTTCCAAAGTATTAATATTGTTTTTTTTTTTTTTTTCTGGGGTGGGGGTATTGTTTTTGGCATGACTCTTAACAAGTATCAAGAAAAATGGTTAACTGACTCTAAAGAAAGTGTAACTATTTTAAGAAATGTATTACTTCTATTCCCAATTAGATTTTGATTATTCTTTCATTGGTATCACTGTTAGAGTTTTGCATGTAGGATAGCTATATAAAAATGTATTATTTATATTTACATAGATTTCATTTAACTCTCTTCTATTTATTTTGATAACTCATTTAAAATAAAAGACACTTATCTAATGCCTCACTATAAAATGATTACCAAAAATGAAAGTCATAATCCTGGATACAAAAGGTAAAGAAAACTTATATTTTTCATATTTTATGTTTTATATTTTACTTTTTATATTTTATATTTTACTTTTTCCAGAAAGGTCACTCTGTCCTACGATGTGCACAGGTACATAGGAAGGTGGAGCTAGAAGTTTCCTGAAGCATCACTCCCTGTTGCATCCTAAGTGTGAGCACAAAAGGGACTGCAAGCAACTCAGCCACTAGCTCCCCAGAGAAAATTATAGGGTCAGTAAACCATTACTCTGTAATGATTCATTTCCTGCAGCTGCTTCATGAGTGCCTGACTGTAGACAACACTCACATAGTGGTTTAAAAATTCCACCCAATTCAATTAAAGAATATATTTAGTTTTACCTTCCATTACCAGATGATAAGCCAGGAAAGATACTGAGAACTGGGTCTACAAGCCAAATATAGTGGCTCAACCTGTAATCCCAGAACTTTGGGAGGCAAGATGAGAGGATCATTTAAGGCCAAGAGTTTGAGACCAGCCTGGGTAACATAACAAGACCTACTCAGTACAAACATTTTACAAAAAAATTGACCAGGTGTGCTGGGGTGTGCCTACAGTCCTAGCTACTTGGGAGGCTTTGGTGGGGAGGATCACTTGAGCCTGAGAGTTCGAGGCTGAAGCAAGCCATGATTGCACTTCAGCCTGGGTGACAGAGCAAGACCTTGTCTCAAATAGAAAATAAAAGAAAATAATAAGCTAGGTCAAAAAATTCATCATTTGAATTCTCAAGATTATCTTTGTCATGTGCCACATGGACCTCCTTGAAGTTCAATGAAGAAGGCTTCTTGTAGTCAATGAGAAAAGCCTGTAGTAAGTAAACATTGTTACTTTGTGGCCCCTTTCTATGAGTTTATCTGGAATGTTTTTGACATTAAGCTAATGGCTCATGTCACAAGGCCAACCAGGACTTTCCCACAGAATGCACAACCAGCACAGCAGAGCTGCAGGTGCAGAATACTTGAAGCCCACTTCTCAGAAACTGTGATGGTAGCTCCCAGACGCACTGCTCACAGAGATTAAGAGTTTACAGGGCTCCGAATTGAAATAAATATACACAGATGTTAAAAATTAAATATTAAATATGAATGGCCACGCTTTATTTTGAAACTTGATGTTTATTACGGCAATCAAAAAATTATGTATCCAGAAAAATTTGTTCCAACCTTTAAAAAATAAAAATACATGAAATATAACTGTACTAATCTATATTTTCAATGACAGAAAAAAAAAACAAAATCTTTAAAGTTTCTAATTCACACAAAACACAAACATACACACACTTTCTTTCATTCCACACAAAACCCAAAGGTACAAGGTGGTTTTGGAAAACAAATATTTTACATTGCTTCACCTATGTGGACCCCGACTAATTAGCTGATAATACATTGAATAGCTATAATATAAAGACTATTTTGATATGAATCACATGAGTAATACAGGATGTGTTTAGAGTTCCAGAGAAAAAACACAAGTACTTCTACATGAAATAATTAGAAAAACTTAATTAGGCAGGTAACATGATATGAGATGAAAGCTTTGATTGGACCTAGGCAGTGTGTGGTAAAGAAGGGATTTTCCAATAAAGAACAGAATGAGTAAAGGTCATGGATATATGAAGAGCATCCCAATGTGTATGGATCACAGAGAAATTTGAGGGCAAGCTATTAAAAAAGACAGTTAATTTGGAATGAAGACCTTAGGCAGTCTTAATTGTCATACTATGGATTTGGATTTTAATACATGACCAAAATTTACTTACACAACTTTTAAAAAATGACAGTTATGAAATCAAGATTTTCCTTTAGCAAGCAACTGTGTCGACTAATATTGGCATGTAAAGTCAAGACCTTAAAATTAGAAAGACTATTAAAAATGTGTGTTTGTAACCAAAACAGGCGATCATAATGGCCTGATATGGTTTATCTGTGTCCCCGCCAAAATCTCATCTTGAAGTATAACTACCACAATTCCCACATGTTGTAGGAGGGACTTGATGGAGGTAATTGAATCATGGGGATGAGTCTTTTCCATGCTTTTCTCCTCATAGAAAAACTTTGCTTTAGACTTTGCTGTTTGTTTTTGGATAGTTAGTTGTCTTTACTTTCTGCTTTTTTTCATGTCTCCTTTGCTCCTTGATTTTATATATTAATTTATTTTTAATTAAAAAAGAAAAAGAAGTTACTTAGAATTTATGTTCAATGTTGAATTTTGTTTGTCTTTATGCCTTTTGTCACATAATTTGTTTTTTATGGGAAAGCTATGTGAAAATCTTGCATTTGAAAACATAGGAATACATAGATATTCCAATTTAATAGGCAAAACTAATTTCACAATCCTAATTAGCATACATGCTTTTATTGAGTTTTATGAACTTTAATTAAACATTACATTTTTAAAAAGTCACTGGATAGTGCATAAATAGTACTACCCAAATAGTGGAAATCTAGAATTGCAATAACAAGAAAGTTAAAATTAACTGACTACTAGACTATAATATCAAAATTGTAATTGCCTTTTAATTCTTGAAAAGTCTAATTCATAAGAAAGACTACGTGAATCTAAGCTTCTACTTTTATACCCAAGTACACTGAATGGAGTTCCTATACAATCAAATATGTTGAGGATATTCTTGGGCATAATTCTTCTCTATCTTTGTAATATCAGCCCTCCCTTTTTATGTTCCTTGGAGTTAGTACACTTCAGGGTTTTTTTATTTGTTGTTTTTGAGTAGTCAGCACAGGACTTAAGATTTAAAATCTCAAAATGTGAGATAGGAACTTAATATTTTATTTTCATTTTGTCACAAACAAATGACAACAAAGAGAAGTATTTCCAAAGTAACTTCAAGCATTCATAGGCAAATGATTAGTTGAGCCCACATACACTACTATAATGCTTTAAATTATTCTATGTAGAAGTAGTGCCTGTTAATGCAAAGCAGAAAATGAGATTCAAGTTCCAAATGGAAAGCCACATTTTCTTCACTGTGTAAATGGCTGCTTATAAGGATTGGACGTTGTACTCACCTTCTGTGGAATCTGGGCCAAGTCTGAAGCAATGAGATCAGCCTTCTCTTCTATAAGGTTTTGCACAACTGGCCCCAGAGAAAACACCACAGTGCCATCTTTGCCAGAGATCTGGACAAATGCTTTCATTTCCTACAAAGAAAATAATTTCTGCATCATAAAGATGCAATATCATGTAGAATAATATAGTTTACTTATGCTTTAATAAAAATCTGAAGAAGTTGTGATATGTATAGTTATATTGTCCCTATATTCTGCCATGTACTGCCAGTCTCTACAAGAAAGTTTGTGTTGGAAACACATAGCTTCAATACATAGTAATTATGTACTAGAAACGGTACACAAATAATTATACAGAACACTTAAATGATAAATATACAGCTCTTTTAATATTTGGTAGATAGCTAATTCTAAAATCATAATGGTTTGCAAACTCATAAAAGTATTCCTTGAGGAGTGATGTCAGTAAAATGATGAAATAACACCTCCCAACATTAATTCCCACACAAAAATAGAGCTAGTAACTATGTAAATACAAAAAGCCACACTGAATTCACCAGAGCTAAAAAGAGAAGAAGAAAATCCCAAGACTCATAGACATGGGAAAACTCATGATCTGTAAAATGAATAATTTTTTGGATTATGGCACCCCTTCCACACACCAAGAAGACACCACTGTGACAGAACTTTATTTTACCTGCAGTTGCCAAGATCAGAGGAGGAAATTTGAAGTGAATGTTCAGTTTCTTCATGGATCTGTGAATCTTTTTGGTTTGGGAAGCCCACTTTTGTCCTACCTCAGGAGAGGCATTAGGAGTGGCTATAGAGTTGAATGACCTGGGGTGAATTGGAAACAAGAGTGGAAGTACTAATCACAGTGACAGGCACACACATCTCAGCAACTGCTTGGTGTTCCTATTAGCAGGAATGCCACGCTGAGGAGTCTGACCAGTTCCATAACACTGCAGGGGCCAAAATCCAAAGGAAGGCCTGAATCTTTGGCAGGTATTTTTATAATTCCCAGATACTCATACGGAGCTTTTCTATGACCTGCAAACAAGTATAACATTTGAGATTAAGCTCCAGTTATTGCTTAAGTATCTCACAGACCTAGAAATCACTGCAAGTCTAGTTTTAAGTTACAGTGCAGAATTAAGGTTCAGATGCTCCGTAAAATTTTTGACAAGAAATTCAGTGCACACCTATTTTAAAAGTTCAGAAATCACAGCACATATGAATAGAGAGTTGAAAAAAACACACTTTAGAGAATAATCCAGGAAAATGATGATAAATTTTGCAAAGAAGTGGAAATGTTTTAAAAATAAAAAGAAATCCAATTAATAAAAAATATGTGAAGTGAATTGAAAAACTCAGTAGAAAACTTCAACAGCAGACTTGGTCAAACAGAGTAAGGAATCAGCAATCCTAAAGATAAAACATATGTAATTACCCAATCAGAAGAGCAAAAAAAGAGAAATAATTAAAATTAGTGAAGTAGGCATATGGAAAGTATCAAACATTATTAAGAAAACTACCTCCATATAATAGGAGTTCTTAAAGGAGATAAGAAATAAAAAGTCTAGAAAGCATATATAATAAAATAATGATGGAACATTTTGTAAATCTAGAGAAAGATGACAGTATCCATGTACCCTAATCAAATTTAATCCGAAGAGTATTTCCCAAAGGCACATCCTATTTAAATTGTTAAAAGGCAAATACAAAGAAAGAATATTGATAGCAGTATAAGAAAAGGTTTATACCATATTAAACAATGTCCCAATTCAAGTTTCATCAAATTTCTCAAAAAAAAATAAAATAAATAAATCAACTTGTGAGCAAGAAGACAATAAGATATACATTTAAAGTGCTGAAAAAAATCTGCCATGCAAAAATACTGAGCCTACCGAAGCAATTCTTCAAACCTGAAAGAGTGATAACATTTTCCGAAACAAAAGATAAGGCATTCATAAACATCAGACCAATCTTACAAGAAATAATACAAAGGAGAATTGTTTTATTGGAAAGAAAAGGACACTCACATGTAATAAGAATACATCTGAAGGCATAAAAAGCAGTAGTAAAACCAATTATAAAGACAAACTCAGAATACTCTAATACTATAATTGTGGTATATAAGCCATTTATATCTTTATCATGAAGATAAAAAGACAAAGTTATTAAAGAAAATCATAACTACAATTAAGAGATGGAAATATGAAAAGATATAAATTGAGACATGAAAAAGTCAATATGTGGAAGACAAAATTATGTCAAAATACAGAGTTCTGTTTATTTTTCTTTGTGCTCAAAGTTGTCACCAGTTTTAAATATCTAACAATAAAATATTTTTGTAAATCTTTCATTAACTAAGAAGCCAAACTTAGACACAACAAACACAAATGGCATGGAATCAAAACATATTACTAGAGAAAATTACTTAACCATAAAGGAAGACACAGAGAGAGAGAGACAGAGAGAGAGAGACAGAGTGAGAGAGAAAGGAAGACACAGAGAGAGAGAGACAGAGAGAGAGAGAGAGAAAGAGAGACAGAGCGAGAGAGAAAGGATATACAGAAACTAACCTAGAAAACAATTAACAAAATGGAGGTAGTAAATCTTTATCTATTAGTAATATTACAAATGAAATTGATTGAATGATCCAAGTAAAAGACATAGAGTGACTGAATGGATAAATAATTAAAACTCAACTGTATTGTTGCCACAGGAAACTCACTTCACCTATGAAGGTGTACACAGACTAAAAGAAAAGAAATAGAAAAATTTGTTTCATGTCATTGTAAACAATAAAAAAAATACAGTAGTAGCTATACTTAGTTAAAATATATTTTAAGTCAGGATTGATAAGAAGTTGGCCATTGTATAATAATCAAGAGCTCCATAGAGCAACAGAATAAAATTGTAAATATATATGGTCATAACACTGGAACATCCAAATATATAAAGCAAAATTTATAGAGCTGAAGAGAGAGATTGACTGTGATATGATAATAGTAGAAGAGTGCAGCACTTTACTTACAATAATAAAAATATAATTCAGACAGAAAATCAATGAAAAAACCTCAGAGTTAAACTGCACTCTAGGTAAGATAAACCTAACACGGACATTTACAGAACATTCCATCCAACAGCTGCAGAGTATGTAATCTTCTCAATAGCACATGAAACATCTTCTAGAATAGACCATATTTTAGGTCAAAATAAGTCTTAAATTTTTTTAAAATCAAAATGGTGTCAATTTTTTTCCACAATGGAATAAAACTAGAAATCAATAAAAGAAAGAATATGGGAACATGTACAACTATACATAAATTAAATGTGCTCATAAACAACCATTGAGTCCATAGATAAATTATTTTAAAATATATGACAAAAATAAAAATGGAAAGACAATATAACAAAACCTAGAAGATATAGAAAAAATAAGTTCTAAAACAACAAATATATGCCAATAAATGTCTTCATTAAAAATGCAGAAATATCTTAAATAAACAACCTATAGTACCTCAAGAAATCTGAAAACAGAAACTAAACTAAAAAATAGTAGAAAAGGGATATAATAAAGATTATAGAGAAAAAATAGAGATTTTTAAAATATTTAAAAATCAACAAGACAAAACGGTTTATTGAATACGTAAAATTTAAAAAGCTTCAGCTAAGTTAACTACAAAAAGAGATGACTCAAATAAAATGAGAGATGAAAAGGATACATAACAACTGATACACAGAAATACAATGGATTATAAGATATTATTATAAACAAGTTCATGCCAACAAATTAAAAAATCTAAAGGATAAGGAAAGTTTTTGGACACATACCACCAACCAGGATTGAATTAAAAATAAATAGAAACATGAACAGGGAAATAATGAGTAACAAGACTGAAGCAGTAATAAGAACTCACAAAACAAAAACAAAAACAAAAAACCATGAACTGATAGTTTCAGTACTAACTCAAGATGGATTAAAGACTTATATGTGAAACCTAAAACCATAAAAACCCTAGGAGAAAACCTAGGCAATGCCATTCAGGACATAGGCATAGACAAATACTTCATGACTAAAGCACCAAAAGCAATTGCAACAAAGTCAAAATTGACAAATGGGATCTAATTAAACTAAAGAGCTTCTGCTGAGTAAAATAAACTATCATCAGACTGAACAGGAAACCTACAGAAAGGGAGAAAATTTTTGCAATCTATCCCTCTGACAAAGGGCTAATATCCAGAATCTACAAAACAGTTAAACAAATTTACAAGACAAAAACAAACAACCCCATCAAAAAGTGGGTAAAGGATATGAACAGACACTTCTCAAAAGACATTTATGCAGCCAACAAACATGAAAAAAAGCTCGTCATCATTATCATTAGAGAAATGCAAATCAAAACCAAAATGAGATACCATCTCCCACCAGTTAGAATTGCAGTCATTAAAAAGTGAGGAAACAACTGATGCTGGAGAGGATGTGGAGAAATAGGAATGCTTTTACACTGTTGCTGGGAGTGTAAATTAGTTCAACTGTTGTGGAAGACAGTGTGGCGATTCTTCAAGGATCTAGAACTATAAATACCATTTGATCCAGCAATCCCATTACTGGGCATCTACCCAAAGGATTACAAGTCATACTATTTTAAAGACACATGCACAAGTATTTTTATTGCAGCATTATTCACAATAGCAAGGATTTAGAACCAACCCAACCAATGCCCATCAATGATAGACTGGACAAAGAAAATGTGGCAATATATACCATGAAATACTATGCATTTATAAGAAAGAATGAGTTCATGCCCTTTGTAGGGACACAGACCAAGCTGGAAACCATCATTCTCAGCAAACTAACACAGGAACAGAAAACCAAACACTTCATGTTTTCACTGCTAAGTGCAAGATGAACAATGAGAACACATGGACACATGGAGGGATACATCACACACTGGGGCCTGTCGTGCGTTGGGGGGAAAGAGGAGGGAGAGCATTAGGACAAATACCTAATTCGTGTGTGGCTTAAAACCTAGGAGACTGGTTGATGGGTGCAGCAAACCACCATGGAACATGTATACCTATGTATCAAACCTGCATGTTCTGCACATGTATCCAAGAACTTAAAGTATAATTAAAAAATTAATCCATTTTTTCCCAAATATTTTTTCCAAAACATTAAAGAGAAGTAAATGCTTTAAAAATGATTTGTCAAGAGTATGATTACCTTGATAGTAAAACCAGAAAGAAGGAGCTAGAGAGAGAGAAAATTTATAGACCAATAATCCTGATGAACATAGACGCAAAAATACTCAACTTCTAGCCAACCAAATCCAACAACACATCAAAAAGATTATACATGATGAGGAACTGGGATTTATCCCAGGGATACAGAGAAGGTTAAGCATATGCAAAACAATAAATGTGATATATTATATCAAGAGAATTAAGAAAAAACATATAATTTTATCAGTAGATGCACAAAAAGCATTTGATAAAATTTACATTTCTTCATGATGAAAACTTTCAACTTTCAACAAGTATACTAAAAACACTTCAAACTTATAAAGGCCATATATGACAAATGCACAGGTAACATCAGAGTAAAAAAGGAAAGTTGGAAAGCTTTGTCTCTAAGATCTGGAACAAGACAAAGATGTCCACGTTGACCACTCTTATTCAATATATCATTAGAATTTCTAGCCAGAGCAAGTAGCCAAGAGAAAAAAGAAAGGTCATCCACTGGAAGGGAGAAAATCAAATTATCCCTCTCTGCATATGACATGATTTTATACACAGAAAATCCTAAAGACTCCATCAAAAGCTCTTAAAATTGATCAACAAATCCAGTAAAGGCAGAAGATACTAAATCATCACCCAAAAATCAGTTGTGTTTCCGTATTCCAATATCTAAATGTTTAAAAAAGGCAAAGAAAATAAATCACATTTACAAAGTTACAAAAATGAAATTGTGTAGGAATAGGTTTAGCCATGAAAATATAAGATCTTTACAATAAAAATGATAAAACATTGATGAAAGAAATGGAATAAAACACATCTGTAGTTATAAAGTCTTGAACTCCTCAAAGTCATCCATGAGGATTGGAATCAAGTTCTTCCAAACTCCTGTTAATATTTATACGTTGACCTGCTCCTATGAATCAGAAATATTTCAAATAGAAATGTTTCTAATACACTAAATTACTTACAGAAGGTTTACAATTTACTCTGCCCATATTAATCACAGAAATCACAATCTAAGACAACAATAGCATTATAAAATGTATTTCTTAAATGATAAAACTTGAAAGTAAATTTACACCTTTATTAGTGGGCTGCAGAATAGATGCAATGTTGGTGGGCATGAAAACAACATTAATCTCTTTGTACATTCCTATCAGAACTTTTGGGTGTCCATGTGCATTTTCATTAAGCAGTAATATTTTGAAATAAATTTTATTTTCTGAGGAGTAGATCTCAACAGTCAGCTTAAAATATTCAGTGAGTCATGCTTTTAAAATATGTGCTGTCATCTAGGCATTGTTTTTCTATTTATAGTACACAGGCAAAGCAGATTCTCAAGGGCTCTCAACTCATAATTCTCAAGGACTCTAGAACTTTCAAAATAATAAATGAACATTGGCTTCAACTAAACTCACCAGCTGAATTAGCCACTAACGAAAGAGTCAGCCTGTCTTTTAATGCTCTAAAGCCAGGCATTGACTTCCCCTCTTTAGCTATCAAAGTCTCAGATGACATATTTTTTCAATAAAGGACCGTTTTGTCAACATTCAAATTCTGTTGTTTAGTGTAATCACCATCATCAATGATCTTAGCTAGGTTGTCTAGATAATTTCCTGCAGCTTCTACATTGGCACTTGCTACTTTACTTTGTACTTCTTTGTTATAGAGATAGATTTATTTTTTTCTCAGCCTCATGAGCCAATGTCTGCTAGCTTTCCACATTTTTCTCTTTGGCTCCCTCATGTATTTCAGCCTTCATAGATTAAAAAGAGGTAGGGTCTTGCTCTGGATTAGGGTTAGGGTTAAGGCGTGATTGTGGCTGGTTTGATATATCCAGATTAAAACTTCTTCACATGAATGATAATGCGGTTTTACTTTTTTACCATTTGGGCATTCACTGGAGTAACACTTCTAATTTCCTTCGTGAACTTTGTTTTATCTTTTTTGTTTTTTTTTTAATTCACAACTTGGCTATTTGATGCAAGAGGCTTAACTTTAAGTCTTTCTGAGCTTTTAACATGCCTTCCTCATGTTCCTTAATTATTTCTAGCTTTTGATTTAAAGTGAAAGATGTGGTACTCTCCCTTCTACTTAGGGACCTTCGTAAGTTTATTAACTGGCTTAATTTCAATGTTGTTGTGTCTCAGGAAATAGGCCTGAGGTGTGGGAGAGAGACTAGGAAACAACTGGTATGTAGGGCACTCAGGAGACACCCATTTATTAAGTTGGACATCTTATATGGGCATAATTTGTGATGCCGCAAACCAATTACAACAGTAATATGAAAAATCACCAATCACAGATCACCAGGACAGATATAATAGTAGCGAAAAACCTTGAAATTTTGTGAAAATTAGCAAAATGGGTCACAGAGATATAAATTTGTTACTTGCCATTTTAAAAATTATGTCAGTAGACTTGCATGATGTGCAATTGCCACAAGCATACAATTTGTGTAAAAAAGAAACAAAAAAACCTAAATATGTGTAAACCATAATAAAACAAAGTGCAATAAAATAAGGTATGCTTGTTCTCTGAAGAATATTATGATGTGTGATGTAAATGGTGCAATATGATCAGAAGCCCAGAGAAAACCATTATCCATCTATGGAGCAATCAGAAAAAGCTGGTGTGACAGATCACATAATACGGTGAGATGAAAGCTTTGGTAGAATCTAGACAGAGTGGCTAAAGGAAACAAATCACAGAAGGAGAGAAGTCCTGATGTTTGGAAATTATTCCCACAAGTATGAATTTTTGAGTAAATTGTATACCAGAGATTATAAAAGAAAAATTTTGGTTGAAATTGGAGGTCTTGTGTAGCTTTGTGTGATGTATACAGGTTTCTATTTTAATTTACAGGCAAAATAATTTAATCTAGTTTTAAGGAAAGCCAGTCAAAAGGTCATTTTTGTTTTGTTTCTTTAGCAAGCCACTCTGACAGCTAAACAAAGATTGGCAAGTAAACAGAAGAGTGTAAATGTAGGAAAAATAATTACAAGTGTATATTAGGAAACCAAGTATGAGATTATAGGGCTGTGGCTTGCATTGATAATAGTAAATGTGAGGAATATAATTTGAATTTGTGATTACTGACTACATCTGATGCTGAAAGTGTTGTATCAACAAAGACACTGATATGGTTTCTACCTGAATGGTCAAAACATTGATAATGCCATTAGGTAAAATATGATACAAAAAATGAATGTTACATTTGGGAAAATTACAATCTTTCTGCAATTTGTTTTTCTTCAGTGATTAATTTAGTAATAATATTTCTCTATGTAAATAATTATAACTTCCTTGGAGACTCATTGTTGGGTAAAGTGATAGAGTTTCAAGATATGAATTAGATAATAATTTATCTATCTACTCAGCTATCTATGCTTCTGTGTTTTTTTTATGTTACACATTTAATGCACAATTTACAGCACTTACCTAATCCACTCATTAATGGTATGTAGAGAATAAAAGAGAATGTGATGTAGTTCCTATGCTCAAGTAGCTCACGTTTATATTTAAATAAGTTGAATCGCATTTATTTCTATATTAAAGAAAGGGCTCCATTAGAGATATTCCATGGTGAGGAGTGTGTAAAGAAGAATGTTTAGTACAGAAAGTCAATTGCATTTAATTTTTTTCAGATGAAGCTATGCTTCAGCTGAGACTTTTCAATAGGTGCTTAGCGAGTCAAAGGAATACTATTTAAAACCCTGATCAATTTTAATCGTCTCATTTTGCTAAGAAGAGAACCACAAGCAAATTTGGAAGTATAGTCATTGATAGATTTTCTTTTTTTTTTTTTTGAGACGGAGTCTTGCTCTGTTGCCCAGGCCAGAGTGTAGTGCTGCGATCTCAGCTCACTGCAACTTCTGCCTTCTTGGTTCATGCAATTCTTGTGCCTTAGTCTCCTGAGTAGCTGAGATTGCAGGCATGTGCTACCATGCCTGGCTAATTTTTGTATTTTTAGCAGGGACGGAGTTTTACCGCATTGTCCAGTCTGGTCTCAAACTCCTGACCTCAGGTGATCCAAACATCTTGTCATCCCAAAGTGCTGGGATTACAGGTGTGAGCCACCACACCTGGCAGACAGAATTTTTGAGAGAGGGAGAAAGGATCAGATATTTCATATTTCACAATATTTTTTGTTTTACTGTTAATGTTGTTGTGCTTTGATACAACAAATGTCTCAGAGACTCAGGGTCATTTATTTAGCAGAACCTATTTGAGAGGAAGGATTAGAGTCAACAGTTGGAGAATCATTTGCTTTGCATAAATAGGCAAGATGATAACAGATTTTCTGATAGTAATTGATAGAGTGAATGACACTTCACAGGGAAAAAATGCAAAAAAAGATGCTAAGGTTAATAAATATATTAGAAGAAAGTGAAGTATTTAAAAATATTTGACAATAAATATTATTTCCAAGCTATATACAAAACTCAGGAATGCTAGGATTACAGTATAGCTGTATCACTTCTGTAAAAAAAAAACAAAAATTGGATTAAGAACCTTATTAATAACACCAAAAGCCAAAGTCAGGTTTTAAGATTATGTTCACATTGTATATGCCAAATAAGTAAATTTTGCTTATGTGAGAAACTTGACCCTATCCGGAGAGGCCAAGCAGGTATTCATATGATTTCGTGACTACAATGATTTTAGAATATAGTCACCAATTTCTAGAAAATATGGTGGTTTACAAATGTTAAGAATGAATGCAACGTTAATGGAAGGCTGAAGCTAGGTAAAATTCAGGTATGAAAATATACTTCACAGGATAATAAGTAAACTTAGTAAATCAAGAAAGACCTGTCACAATATGCTATGTTGTGAAAAATGAATATGACTATGTATATATATATTTTTTATTATACTTTAAGTTCTAGGGTACATGTGCACAACGTACAGGTTTGTTACGTATGTATACATGTGCCATGTTGGTGAGCTGGACCCTTTAACTCCTGGAATATGACTGTATTTTTAAAGTCTGAGAGATTTAATAGTGTTTGTCTTTTTGGATCAGCTTCTCAATGTGCTTTAATTAATTAAGAATCAACTTGTATTGCTATCATCCTTGCTAGAGCTTCCGGCCCAGCAGTCTCACTTCTGTCTGAATGCAGCAGAAGGGTGCAGCTTCCTGTTGTCCCAGGAAACACCCTGATGGCATGGCACAAAACCTCACCCATTCTGCTGCTGTTAGCCAGATGGGCAACGCTTGCTAGAGCTTACAGCCAAGTGGCCTCCTTTTTGTGTGAACTCAGCTGGAGGGCTCAGCTTCCTATTGTCCCAGGAAACACCTGAACAGCAGAGCATGCTCCACCTGAACCTGTCACTGGTAACCAGGCAGGTAATACCTCCTAGAGCTTCCAGCCCAGTAGTCTTGCTTTGTGTGAGTTCAGGTAGAGTGTGCAGCCTCCTGTTATCCCAGGAAACCCAAGTATGGCAGGATGTGTGACATTCCACCCACCACTGCCACTTGTCACCAGGCGGTGCAGACTCCTATTGCCCCAGTAACACACCAACAGCATGGCAAATAACTTCACTTGTCCCCACCTTCCATAGCCAGATGGATCACATCTGCAAGAGCTTCCAACCCACCTAGCGTTCTCACTTTCATCTGAACTTCAGGAAGCACAAAAACAGCAGATTAGGGCTGATAGGTCAAAGGTATGGTTTTGTGTGCCAACTATGGCTCCTACCTGAGGAAGACCCATGGCCAGAACATTTAACAAAATACACACAGTCATGGAGAAAGTAATCAGAAGGGGCTCCTCTAAACCCAGGAGTGGACTAGAATCAAAGATAGTCAACTGAATTCATCTTATTCCATAATTAAACCCCTAAAAGCATCAAGAAAGGAGAAAGAAAAAACAAGTTCTGAAATTGAGGCAGTAATTAATAGCCTACCAACCAAAAAAAGTCCAGGACCAGATGGATTCACAGCTGAATTCTACCAGAGGTACAAAGAGGAGATGGTACCATTCCTTCTGAAACTATTCCAAACATAGAAAAAGAGGGAGTCCTCCCTAACTCATTTTATGAGGCTAGCATCATCCTGATACCAAAACCTGGCAGAACCACAACAAGAAAAGAAAATTTCAGGCGAATATGCCTGATGAAGATGGATTTGAAAATCCTAAATAAAATGCTGGCAAAACAAATCCAGCAGCACATCAAAAAGCTTATCCACCATGATCAAGTCAGCTTCATATTTGTGATGCAAGACTGGTTCAACATGCAAAAATCAAAAAAAGGAATCCATGACATAAAAAGAACCAATGAAAAAAAACAAAAAACAAACCAAAAAAAACATGATTGTCTCAATAGATCCAGAAAGGGCCATTGACAAAATTCAACATCACTTCATGCTAAAAACTCTCAATAAGCTAGGTATTGATGGAACATATCTCAAAATAATAAGAGCTTCTTATGACAAACCCACAGCCCATATCATACTGAATGGGCAAAAGCTGGAAGCATTCCCTTTGAAAATTGGCACAAGGCAAGGATGCCCTCTCTCACCACTTCTATTCAACATAGTATTGGAGGTTCTGGCTAGGGAAATCTGGCAAGATAAAGAAATAAAAAGTATTCAAATAGGAAAAGAGGAAGTCAAATTGTCTCTGCAGATGACATGATTATATGTTAAGAAAAACCCCACTGTCTCAGCCCCAAATCTCCTTAAGCTGATAAGCAACTTCTGCAAAGTCTCAGGATACGAAGTCAATGTGCAAAAATCACAAGCATTCCTATACACCAATAAAAAAAAAGAGAGCCAAATCATGAGTGAACTCCCATTCCCAATTGACACAAAGAGAATAAAATACCTATGAATACAACTTACAAGGGATGTGAATGACCTCTTCAAGGAGATCTACAAACCACGGCTTAAGAAAATAAGACAGGACACAAATAAATGGAAAAACATCCCATGCTCATGGATAGGAAGAATCAATATCGTGAAAATGGCCATACTGACAAAAGTAATTTATAAATTCAATGCTATTGCCATCAAGCTATCATTGACTTTCTTCCCAAAATTGGAAAAAAAAAATACTTTAAACTTCATATGGAACCAAAAAAGAGCCTGCAGAGCCAAGACAAACCTAAGCAAAAAGACCAAAGCTGGAGGTATCATGCTGCCTGACTTCAAACCATACTACAAGGGTACAGTAACCAAAACAGCATGGTACTGGTACCAAAACAGATATATAGACCAATGGAACAGAACAGAGACCTCAGAAATAACACCACACATATACAACCACCTGATCTTTGACAAAACTGACAAAAACAAGCAATGAGGAAAGCATTCCCTATTTAATAAATGGTGCTGGGAAAACTGGCTAGCCATATGCAGAAAACTGAACTGGAACCCTTCCTTACACCTTATACAAAATTAACTCAAGATGGACTAAAGACTTACACATAAGACCTAAAATCATAAAAATCCTAGAAGAAAACCTAGGCAATACTATTTAGGACATAGGCATGGGCAAAGACTTCATGACTAAAACACCAAAAGCAATGGCAACAAAAGCCAAAATACACAAATGGGATCTAATTAAACTAAAGAGCTTCTGCACAGCAAAATAAACTATCATCAGAGTGAAGAGGCAACCTACAGAATGGGAAAAATTTTTTTAATCTGTCCATCTGACAAAGGGCTAATATCCAGAATCTACAAAGGACTTAAACAAATTTACCAGAAAAAATCAAACAACCCTATCAAAAAGTGGGTGAAGGATATGAACAGACACTTCTCAAAAGAAGACATGTACATAGCCAACAAACATATGAAAAAAAGCTCATTATCACTCATCATTAGAGCAATGCAAATTAAAACCACAATGAAATACCATCTCACGCCAGTTAGAATGGTGATCATTAAAAAGTCACAAAACAACTGATGTTGGAGAGGATGTGGAGAAATAGGAATGCTTTTACACTGTTGGTGAGAGTGTAAATTAGTTCAACCATTGTGGAAGACAGTGTAGTGATTCTTCAAGGATCTAGAACTAGAAATACCATTTGACTCAGCATTCCCATTGCTGGGCATATACCCAAATGATTAAAATACATCATTCTATTATAAAGACACATGCACATATATGTTTATTGTGGCACTGTTCACAATAGCAAAGACTTGGAACCAACCCAAATGTCCATCAGTGATAGATTGGATAAAGAAAATGTGGCACATATATATCATAGAATACTATGCACACATAAAAAAGGATGAGTACATGTCCTTTGCAGGGACATGGATGAAGCTGGAAACCATCATTCTCAGCAAACTATCACAAGAACAGAAAATCTAACACCGCATGTTCTCACACATAAGTGGGAGCTGAACAGTGAGAACACATGGACACAGGGAGGGGAACATCACACAGTGGGGCCTGTTATGGGGAGGGGGGCTAGGGGTGGAATAGCATTAGGAGAAATACCTAATATAGGTGACAGGTTGATGGGTGCAGCAAACCACAATGGTACATGTATACCTATGTAGCAATCCTGCACATTTTGCACATGTAGCCCAGAACTTAAAGTATAATAAACATAATACAATAAAGAAATATCCTTGTAGTTATTTATCACTTTATAACAAACTACCCTCAATTGTGGGGATTTTGAAAAACAGCAAGCGTTTTATTACAACTCCCATAGCCTGAGTGTTGGGTAGCCTCAGTCAGGTGGTTCATACACAGTATTTCTCAGGCTGATACTTTCATATGGTGGCTGGGGATGTAATCATCTGAAGGTCATTTATTTACATACTTGGTGATTGATGTCAAAAGACTCAAATTCCTGTGAGACTGAATAATCATGACTTTAGTCTCCTCTTTGCATCTCTCCTTGAAATTGTCCTTTATCGTCAGGACTTTGTGTGTGACACTGGGCTCCAAAGTGTGTAGAGGGAGAAAAAGGGAAAGAGGGAGAAGGAGAGAGAAAGAGAGGAAAAGGTATAAGTAGAAGACAGAGACAGACAGACAGACGAACAGAGACAGAGATAATGTACTGCCTTTTCTAACACAGTCTTCCAAATTATGCTGTCACTTTCAGTATAATTTATTTGCTAAGCAAGCCACAAGCCTTGCCACATTTCAAGGGGAGGGACCACGGTTTAATAAGAATGTCAAAGTATTTGCAGTGATGTCTGAAAATTCCACAAATTTAAGCTATTGAGTTGGTCAACAGAAGCCTCTAAGCAACTATGAAATTCATTACATATGGACATTAAAAACACAATAAAATCCTAAAAATTGTGTGAATTTATATTTTTACAACTACTGAAACATTCATTAAGCATTTTAAAATATTTACTCAAAGATTTTCATATATGAAATAGGTGTCCTAAAAACTAGCCTCAAATAAATTAAACAACATAGTATAGTGAGGTGATCATAAGCGACTCAACTTTTTCCCACTTCTGCTCCAGACACATATACATGCATTAAAAAATGATGTCAAAAGACATATACAGCCTAGTATAAAATGAAGGAAGAATGTCCACCAGTTGTTAAAATTGGAACGAATTCTATGAATAGATGCTTGTGAAAACTATGAAAAAGTGACTTTTGGGAGGAAACCAAATGAGACATAGTACCTTGAAGCAAGGAACAAAAATTTACAGAGTGCAGTGACTTTTGTTAAAAAATAATAATAATAAAATGTGTGTGTAACTGGAGATCTCCCTAGACTACAGCAGAGGCAATTTTAAATATTGTGAAGGGATTCTCTTACATTAGAGAATATGAGGGATGTTGCAGAAATCAACACATGTTGAAGATTTCCTCAAGAAAACCATATGAGGAAATAACCAGTGACACGCAGTTGGAAGATTTTCACCCAAGGATCATAAATAGGGGAAACAATCAGAATGAGACTTTGATTTTTAATTTATATATATATATATATATTTAAGATAAGGTGTTATTCCATCGTCCAGGCTGAACGAAATGCAGTGGTGTGTTCAGGGCTCACTGCAGCCTCAACCTACCAAGGTCAAGTGACTCTCTCACTCTGCTGTCCAGGCTGGAGTGCAGTGGTATGATCACAACTCACTTGAGCCTCAACCTCTGAAGCTCAAGTGATTCTCTCACCTCAGTCCCCCAAGTGGCTGGGACCACAGGTGCATGACACCACACCCAACTAGTATTTTAATTTTTGGTAGTGATGAGCTCTCATTATGTTATCCAGGCTTATCTCAAACTCCTGGAGTCAATCCTCCCATTTCAACATCCCAAAGTGTTGGGACTACAGATGTGAACCACCATGCCTAGACAAAATGAGATTTTTAAATAAGTATGATTCAAATGTTCAGAGATGGAAGAGTCACTAATATAAAACAAGAATGGGATGAGGTGAGAAGGATGAATACAAAAATAATCAGATATTTCTGAAATCAGAAATGGGCTCCCTAATTATATATGAAATGAAGGTTGATTACATGAAATAAAATGAAACCAAATGCTTGACTGATAGAGCCCAAAAGAGGAATTATCTAATGCTCTAGAAATTGTCAGTAAACAGATTAAAACCTAAAAGCATTGCTTGTTAACACCTTACATTAGAAATTTCCTGATTACCTGTTTTTTTTCCAAAGCTCTCTTGTTTCTAGTTGTTTTCTTGATCTTAGCTACTCATTATATGATTTGTCCAAGCATTTATGACCTATTCAATGTGTTTGTCTCAAGTGTATTTCATTCTGACTTAACTCTTGCAACCTGCATGTCCTCATTATGGTGGATTAATCCAACTGCAAAGTTCACCTTATTTGACCGAGGATTATTCATTAATTTTTACTTGTTTATCTGACCTTTATCAACCTTGTTTTTTGCCAATCACTCTGAGCCACTGTCATGATGAATCAGGATTCTAGATCTTTTATGAAAAACAAATTCATCCTTAAATAAAGTCTCTATACCAAGAAGAATCTATAGAAAAATGTAACTTGAAAAAATCACTGCAGGACATGAACAAAATTCTCACTGGATCATAAATCCAAAAAGTGATTAATCAGACTAATAATTAGGAACTTGCAATGAACTCAATGAGACATCTTGATATGCTTTGAATTGGTGAAAGTTAATATCCATTTTTGGGTAAAGCATCAAGTACCTGGCTACTCCAGTGTTGATTTGTTGGGAGTATGAATAGAGTGGTGATAGGCTAAGGGTATTCATGGGCTCAGCATCACAAAACTCCCTCTAACCAAGTCTGAGCTAGCTACTACTGAAATCAAAAATCCAACCCGCTAGTATGTCAATTCTTATTATATATTTGGACATTAGGGAAGTGACCACCAGGGAGGTGGAGAACCCAGTGGGCCAACTCTAAGCTCATCTTTCTCAGAACCTCTACATTCCCCCACTTTCAAAAATGTTATTTTCAAAAGAAAGCCATGTCTCCTACTCATCCAAATTTTGCCAAGATTCAGTGTCTGAAGGAACACAACTTTTATAATGATAACAAATGAAAAAATTGAAATTTTATGCTTTACAAGTTTTCAATTTATTGTCCCCTGGGTGCAAATATAACTTTATGATACTGAATCAGGATCCTGTAAATATTCCTCCTTTGCCAGCTAGTTGAATGTTAAGCTTCATCAATAAAGAACACTGGAGTGGTTGTGAGGTGGTAGATGCCAGAAGACACAACCCCCCCAAGACCCTGCTCTTTACTGTTATTCAGTAATTTTTACAATTATTATTGGGTTTTAAGAATTTGTATGTTAAAGAATATATTTAAGACTATTAAAGAATATACTTCAAGAATATAAGAAGGAAACTTTTAATTAGCATATTTGTTTTATCTTTTAAGAAACATTGCATTCTGCATAGATATTAATTCAGAAAACTTATACATAAAGCATTTGTCCTTGACATCGATAGACTCAGCTTCATATGTTATTTTCATCATTAAATTCACAATTATTTCATTTTCGTCTCCAACTTCTGTAGTGCTTCATATTCCAGTCTTTAAGCAGCATATTCAAAATTTTATAGAAAAAGATTTTCATGAGGATGAAGAATGTTATTTCAATTCAGTGATTCCATGTGACTACTTAGAGTTTCTGTGTTTAAATTTTGTTAACTGCTGAGATATTTAAAAGCTTTTAGAATCAATCTCAAAGAAACAGACACATGCACAATATTGAAATTTTTGGAATTTAATATACTATGTGATTTTATGAGTCTCTATCAAGTAAACCTTCATATTCACATACTTTCCTAACTATATGTGTACATGGTACTTTATGTGAAAAGATTTCTCAATATTAAAACAAATGAAAGTATTCTTTGATAGCTCATGAATAGACAAAGATTATTTTATCTAGCTATATGGTCTATGAATTGCAAAGAAGATCTATTTTGGCAAGGTCCTTGATGCATTTTCAGAAGTTGTTTCATAAAAAAATATAAATAGACTAAAATTTAGTTTGTGTAGTACATGTTGAGCTACATAATTTCCCCAGACTAATATTTGTCTATAAGTTTTCCCCTTTTATAAAGAAGACATTACTATAAAAAGTACTAATACGTTACACTTTTTTTCTTGTACTTGGCTATTTGTTTCTTTCTAGTGGCAAGACTATGTGTTCAAAGTTTAGTAAAGTAAAATATTTAGTGTATATCTCTTTTCTAGACATTATAATAATTCATTTTATTATCAATTATTGCTACAATATTTTCTCATAGAGAAGAGTACTATAAAAATCTATTTCATGTGTGAGAAATAATCATTATGCCTCTCTTTCATTCAACTGTTTTAGACACATCTCTTGTCAGATGGAAGAACAGCTCTTAAGTTTGTTCCCTTCTTCTCTGTTATTTGCTTTTCAAACCTTGTTCTGAGTCCAAAGGCTGTAATGAACAATATTTGAATGTAGGTATTGGAGAGCTTTTGCCATTTACTATGTTTTCTCCAGCATAGATTTTAAAAACTGTTGCACATGGTATTTGGCTCTTTATTCCACCTACAATTTAGTTTTCAATATGTTACGAGGAGAGAATAATCAAAATAATAGTATACATTTCTAGTTTGTATATCCTCAGTATTCCAGATATTAAAGTGGTTGGAAATATCATACTTGACAAGGTGAGGGCAAGAAAGGTGAGATCATATTTCAAGAGAGAAATCATGTAACATTATAATCTAGAGGGACTGGACTAAACTTGCTGGACCATATCTATAATTCCTAACTAGAGGGAACTAGCCTCTTCTTTTCTTTTGTGTATTACCATCCAATTACAAATGGTCATTACTAAAGCAAAAATAGTAACTCAAGTGTATTCAAGGCCTCATGTGGAAAACATCTTTAGTCTTTCTAACCAAAGATTTTACTAGTTTGCATAGTTTTACACAGGAAGCCAGTTATGACCATCTAGACTTTTGAAACAAAGAAAATTTTCAAGAGAAAATATTTTGTATTTCATGAAGGATATGAATTGGAAACATCTATTTAACATGAAGAACTTGCCTAAACGCCACGCTAAGAGAGTTGGCCAAGTTTAGTCCAGCTTATATGTGCACTATGTCATGGATTTGTCCTAGAAGGTGACCCTAGCCTTCATGCTGAGGCTTTGCTCAATAAAATGTGATCCTGCCAAATTGCAAAATTACCCTGTCTAACTCACCTTGTCTAATAATCATTTTACACTTAATTTTTATGTAATTTTCTATTTCCATGTAGCCCACTACTCTGTTTTTGGTTTCCTTATTTTTATTTCCTCATATTTCCTTTTTATTCATAAATGGATTTTCTTTAAAAGTCTCAGTTACCTTTGTCTTAGTTGGAGTTGAGCTCAGTTCATACTGTAGTGTCTGTCCCCTACTTCAGTAGTCAAAATAAAATTTGTCTTGCAATTTTTAACAAGGATCTTGCTCTGTTTTTCTTTTTTTTTTTTCTGACAGGGACACATATATTCCATATAATTGTATTTGTTTATATGGAAGAGGGTTCTTTATCTAGGTAACAAACGTGCACATTTTGCACATGTGCTTCCGAACTTGAAATAAAAGTTGAAATAAAACAATAAAAATACAATATATAAGTATATTTATTATATATAAAAGTATAATATATAAAATATATAAATTTATGATATATTATATAAATATATATATAAAAGAAGAGGTTTTTTTGAAATGCACAGTATAGCTAATCTTTCTGCCTTTCTCAAGTAAACAGACTGAGTTTCTAGTGAATCTCATTTTATTTTCAGTTTAAAAAATATACGTAGATAAGCATTAAAATTGAATTATTACAGGTTTTCTGAAATTAAAATTGTACCTTACATAATGTTTAACAAAGATTAAAAATTTCAAACAAATCAAGAAGGCACAGGTCTTGAAAAATGTAGTAAAGAATTTACTCCATACCTTGATACATAGTGGTGACATTAAATGGCATGATTTTCTGTATCATGCCTGCCTGCCTTAGATCTCAAAAAGATGTACTCTCTTTTCTTTCTTTCTCGCCTTAACAACTTTTGATAATCAAGCAACATATTATGACAAAGAGAGTAACAATTGCCATGCAGTCCAGCACATCCATAGAGCAGTACTGGAACCAGGTGAGACTGTTGGTAGGTGGCTCCATTGTGGTGCATGACAAACTCAATCCAGGAGAGTTTTTGGTCCAATGGCTTCAGAGACTGATCATAATAAATGATTGATAACTACATTACATTTTTTTTTTACAGCTAAAGGAAAATCAAATAGACATCAACTTATATAATGAACCAGAAAAGATAAATATGTGAAATTTTTGTGTAGATGTTAAAAATGAGTGCCACATAAAAGTGGATGAAAAATAAAATATTTTATTTCATAGTGGTTATAGAGATTTTGTTTTATGGGCTAGAATTTGTTTCATGCATAAGATTTCAAGATGTGAAGAGATAATTTAAGAGAGAACAAGTGTTTGTAGCCTAGAAATTGAAATCAGATAAGTCCAAAGGGTTAAAAAAAATCAATTGAGAGTACAGAGATTGAATTATCCAGGGAAAAAAAAATTTAATGGACCTGGCATACAAGTTTCAAAATAATATCAAAGTCTAGAGATAGCAGACAAATCTGACAAGGTCAGGTACATGTCAGGGCAAAGCTCATAAGAAGTTGGCGCTGACCAAGAGTTGGTATTAACATTACATCAATGGATTCATGGTTAAAAGTATGAAAGTGGATGGCCTTAGTTTGAATCCTAACCTGATATCTACCGGTCCTTTTTTTTTTTTTTTAAAGTATCTGTTCCAAGTTTTTTTATTGTTAAATTGAATGACTAAGAATCGTATCTTTCTTGCCTGATTTTTGTGAGTAGTAATGTAATGATTCTTAGAATACTTGGTAGAATTATTCTTGTCATAAAGTGATTGTCAGTAAATGTTCACTGTTATTACTATTTTTCTTGTATTGTGATTTTAGAATCTAAGTGGCTTTCAGTATTTTACTTTGAGGCATTGTAGTTCCATTTGTTTCTAGTTTTGAAATAATTATGGACTAATAGACAAAGAATAAGGATGCATATAAGTATCTCGCTTACCAAGTCAAAACCAAAAAGTGCTAAAGTATGGCACTGTAGCAATAGCAATGGAGGTAACTTCTCCCCTTGTTATTTAAAAAAACACAGTTGGAGAACTGTGTTTTTCAGAAGAGGGCACTAATTCTGATATATTTTTTCATACAATTGGGTTACATAACACAAATAACCAAGACAATGTGTGTCATACACATTCAATATGTATCAACTAATTAAAAGTTATCTTCATTTTTCAATACCAGCATTATGCTTATTAAAAATTATTGCTATTACTAATATAATAGTAATAGCATAACTGAAATTAATGTATGCACTAAAATAATTTTTAAACTACATATTTCTGGTTTAATACATTTTGGTTATTAAACAGAAATATTCCAACTTATATCTTTCAAGTCAATTATTTTTTGATTTTATAATTCTTCAAAATAAGCAAATCAACCACCACTGTAAGAACAAATAAATGGCTACATTTATACTAATATCTCCTCTTTTCAATAATTTTTGAAGGCAAATTTGAAAGCTCTAGCTGTTTACAAATTATCAGTGATGGGATCAAAATGTAGTGTAAAAATCTGGAGAACATTAAATATAATGGGAATTAGAGATTGATTGTCATGCTGATTACTGAAAATAAATCATCTTAGGAAAGCTTTAAAAACAAAAGAAATGAATAACTAATATGAGATCATGAATATGTTTATTTGTTTTATTATGGTAACCTTTTAAATATGTATTTGTATTCCATAATATCACTTTGTATACCTTCAATATAGACAAAAAATGTTTAAAAATGAACATTTGATGAGTTCTCATTCTGAAAGACAACATAAGTGTGCTGAAAATTAGTCAGTACTGTAATAATATTTATGGTTTTCTGCTTCAACTTTGGCCTCAATCTTTCTTATAATCCTTCTGTTACCATCTTTAGTAATTCCTCTTATTTTACTTTTTGGCTATTTTAGAACTTATGCACTATCCTAAAACCTCTGACAAATGTTTCCATTAAAACAAACGAAAAAAACACATTGCAACACAATGGTGTATTGATCATGGCCTTTAAGTGTTACAAAAAATATATGTACTCAGCACTGTGTTCATATTCAGAGTCACTGCTGCTCCCTTGGCCTTCATGTGAGAAAGTATGAACACATGCTATGAGGTTAAAAAATTTACATTTGTGTAGGGCCATTAATGACTGCCTTTAATGCATTGAGCAAATCTGTAATTTATGTTGTTTTTGAGTCCAATCTAACAGCTTCCCCCTTAGCCTTCATGTGAGCAAAGTTGTCACGTTGATCTGCAATAAAGGAAGCCCCACCCTAGGGATTCCATGATAGATTCTCTCATACATTCCATTGGATCCATCATGAGTTATAAAAGCTTTGGTTTGTGGATGACCTAAGAATAGATGATTTTTTGAAAAATTATGCATTGTAAGTCTTAGAAATAAAATGAGCAATGCACAATATGAGGCAATGAAACAGGCAGTGTTCTCTAGATAACAAATTATTGCAACAGTAAAACTGCATTAAAATTGGTTTCAGATCACAGAGGAAGATGCACCAAGTCCTCTGGGGCAATAAGTGAAGGCTACACATTAAGATGTGGTATGTGTCTTGAGACTTGAAGAATTAATACAATATTGTCATGTGGACAAATAGAGAACACTGTGGATAAAGATAGTTGTGTGTCACCCATTTCCCATTACCACCCTCCCCCACAAAAGAAGCAGGATGCATGCCAGAACTTGTTCTCTTAGAGAAATGGTGAAGTCACTGAGTATGATAAGGCATAGTATCCAAGGCAGCAGGGAGTGGGGTGGTGATGGTGCTTGAATAGAGGAAGGACAGGCCACACTCCATCATGAAATGTGTTACCAACACTCCATGATAAAGACCGAGGATTTACTCCCATAGAAAATGCAGGAGATCATCATGAAAATGAGCTGTCATTTTTCAGTTGCATTTGCAACATCTATACATTAGGAGGAAGGGTAGGTGTAATGATTGAATTAGGAGACAGACAACCCAGAAAATTATTGAAAAAAAATTTTGTGAAAGGTAACTACACTTGAAATAAAGATAGTTTGTTTCTGGCCATAAAGAATGTGACTATGTATAATAAAATGTCAACCTCTTTTAGTTTATTATATTTTCCCTAGGACTGGAAGATAAATGTAAAGAAGTTAGATTTTATTTTTGACTTTTTAAATAATAAATGGTGAATCACTTATTATTTCAACAGTGTGTTTTCTGTTGAACCATTTTCATCCTCATATGCTGTTACCAAAGTTTTCAATATTTGATCCTCAGAGTCTTACCGAGAAGGTCATTCTGGACTACCCACTATATAGGTGAATATTGGTACTAAGGTATCTGATTTCCTGTCATCAAATTTCCATAGAACTATATAGACAAGGGAGCCTAATGATGAGAACACGTGGACACATAGAGGGCAACAACACACACTGAGGCTTTTTAGAGGGTGGAGGGAGGAGAAGAAAAAATCACTAATGGGTATTAGGCTTAACACCTGTGTGATGAAATAATCTGTAAAACAAACCCCCATGACACAAGTTTACATATGCAACAAACCGGAACATGTACGCCTGAACTTAAAAGTTTTAAAAAAGTATGTACCTTGTTCTATGAGTGAAATTGAAATGATAGCATATCTGTTAGAATTCTAAAAACATTGAGATCACCTAGTCAAATGCCTTCCCTATGGCTAATAAGGAAATGAGGACAAGTTAAGTAATGAGAACTATTAGAAGACTGAAGTAAATGGAACAACTATATTTTCTTGACTAATTTTTATATTGTCAAGTTAAATACAATCATGATGTTTCATACATAGTGACTTAGAAAATTGTGATAATAAATTAAAAGTTCAAATATTTAAGTAATTGTTAGGCAGACATAATTCTAGTATAAAGAAGATTAAAAAATTACTAATGATCTACACATTTTTATTAATGTATTTACTACATACACATTCATCTCACAAATTTAATATTACATTTTTCATTTACAAAACAATCAAATGGGAGTGAGTTTACTTATATTCATTTGTTCCATAAGTTAGAGTCTGATATCTGACAATTTACTAAAAAAGCAAATCTATGCCATCATCTATGTATGAGAAATACACTAATCTACTTAGAAAGTACATATAATTTGTTTCTGATTTACAAATTATTAAGTGCTTCTTCCAAGAAAAAATTTTAAGTGATATTTTTCACATATATCGAGAATATTAGCACATTTACTACCACTGGAAATGATTTATATGTAAAAATAGTGATTGACAGTTTATAAATCATAGGGCTGTTGAAAAACTTCCAAAATTGTGATGATGCTAAATTTTGTTCTGTTGGCTGTTAACTCTTTGATGGTACACTCTAAAGCCTTGACAGATTCTGTCTACCTTAAGGGCAGGATTTGATCCCCCTTCTTTATATTACATCTTCCTATCAGATATTGGCCAAATCCAGTCCACCAAGGCAGTTTGGTTTTTCTATTTCTCTAAATCTACATGGCTAAGTGGGTACCTAGACTGAGGGTGGGTGAGTTTGGGCTTCCTTTTTTCTAAATAGCCCTCTGAAAAATACACTGAATAGACCTATTTCAAAATTAGGGTAAGTAAAGAGCCCCAGATTACATGGAAAGCCTAAACTCCATGATACATTTCAATTTTTTTTTCGATACCTACTTATTGTGCTAGTGAAGTAACTCATAAAGTATAACTCCTTTCTGATAACATTTGTAGTGTGTACAGTGCACTTAGGAATCCTGTAAATAATAGAATTGAATGGCAGGGCAGAATTTGGTGATATCTGTTACCTGCCACCACTATCATAATAATACCAAAATGCCATATTGCACCTCCTAATTATGTATTTTTTTCTAATCACAACGTTAACGGCAAAATATTACCAATCAGCAACACTCTTTGTGCTGTTTTATCATCTGTCCTGTATATTGTTTATAAATTGACATCTTTTTGCAGGAATCAGGAGTACCAGAGAGAGACCTTGGGGTGTATACAGGAGGATATCTTTATTGAGTGCACTCAGACTCAGCTGACTTAACATCCAGAGATTGGGCCCCAACAAAGACAGCACTTGACTTTCATACACACTTTCCAAAAGGGGTGGGCTAACTTGATGTAGGCTTACAGTGGCATGAAAGCAGAGATACAGAGGGAGAACAATTAATCAAATTGTGATAGTTCATAACTCGGGATTACACATGACTGTTGCTTTGCAACCTAGATGTCTGTTATCTAGGTTTTGCTCAAAAGAGCCTTGCACTGGTTTGCCTTATAACCTTCACTAGGTGCCCAGACAGCTGTAGTTCAGGCCTTCTCAGGCGTCTCATGACCTTCGCAGTACCTTTTAGACAAAACAGAATACTTGAAGTTACTAGTTACAGAGAACAAGAATCTATAAAGTCATACCATAAAACAAAGGAAAATTTGTTTTTCTTCTCCCTATGTTGAAGGAGTTTTGGGAGGGTCTACAGACCACATTTTTTTGGTGCATCTCCTGGCTTTTTAGACAGTAGTATCAGGACTTTCCCTGGGTCTGGGCTGCACCCGTTGCTGCGTCTGGGACAAGTTAGCCTAATACAGGAAAGCTTATTTCTCTTTTTAATTTTGTTTTTCTTTCTTTCTTTCTTTCTTTCTTTTTCTTTCTTTCTTTCTCTTTCTTTCTTTCTTTCTTTCTTTCTTTCTTTCTTTCTTTCTTTCTTTCTTTCTTTCTTTCTTTCTTTCTTTCTTTCCCATCTCATCTTCCCCTTTGATGCCTCCTGTAAATGGAATTCAATAGAAGGCATCACTATCATTTAATTCCTCATTACAAGTCAGTTCTTCTCTGTTTGGTACGGGTTGATACTTGTTTAGAGCCATCAGTGGAGTGGAGGTGGTTCTGTTAACGATGGATTCTGTGATTGATTGGATGTTTCTGATGAGGAGGCCTAAGAGGCAAGGGAACATTAAGCAACCTTTTAATATAGCCAACACTACCCCTACTGTTTTAAAACCACCAAAGGATGAAAACCAACCTCCTAAGAGGGAATCTGGAGACCATCTGGGTTCCAGGTCTGAACTGGGACATGAGCTATCTTCCACATCCTGGCAGCTATTTCTATGATGGCTTTCCTGTTATCATTAATTTCTAGGCAGCAATTCATCAGGCTCAACTTTCCACATAATCCTTCTTTTTGGGCTAGGAGGCAGTCTGAAGCCAGTCTATTCTAATAGATGGTGATCCTTATTTCTGTGGCTTGCTGGGCCAGCAAGTCTAACATATTTGCTGTCTCATTAGTGATGATTTCAAGTACCACCTGCAACCTTATGATGTGATTAAGCATGTAAATAGGGGTACAGTACCCCCTGACCTATCTTGTGCCCAGGTACCTATAGTATGTATGGTATAATAAAGTCTTAATTACTGTGTTTCTTTTTTTTTTTTTTTTTTTTTGAGACGGAGTCTCGCTCTGTCGCCCAGGCTGGAGTACAGTGGCACGATCTCGGCTCACTGCAAGCTCCGCCTTCCGGGTTCACGCCATTCTCCTGCCTCAGCCTCCCAAGTAGCTGGGACTACAGGCGCCCGCCACTACGCCCGGCTAATTTTTTGTATTTTTAGTAGAGACGGGGTTTCACCGTTTTAGCCGGGATGGTCTCGATCTCCTGACCTCGTGATCCGCCCGCCTCGGCCTCCCAAAGTGCTGGGATTACAGGCGTGAGCAATTACTGTGTTTCTTATCCATGTAGTGTGCATGCAGTGACGGCATCCTAATACGGGTCCTCCTTCTAGCATAGATATGGGGATCAGCACAAACAAAGCAAACAGTAGCATTCTTACAGCCAGCATGAACAGTAAAGGCATTTAGGGGGTTGGTTAAACAATAGCACAAGAGCAATATAATGAATAATACAAAGAAGATTACTGGGCCTAAGATTTCTGGCCACATTTATTCATCTGATGACGATTCTTCAAGCTTCGGCCGTGCATAGACTAGTCAGTTCTTGGTGTGACTAGAGCAGGGCTTGCTATTTTCTCAAGCTTCCACCATGCATAGACTGGTCATCTTCCAGAGTGACCAGAGCAGTGCTGTTGTCATCTCCACTGGCAATGTGGTCTCATTGCAGGATCATTCGGGTCAGATGGTCTATGTCCTGCTGGTTGGTCCACTGGTCCTGGGCTGATAATTTCAGCTGACTGTGGTGGATCCAAGGCACGATACCTGCAATTTTAACAACAGTGGGAGTGGACAAGATCACAATATGGGGCCCGTCCCATATGGGGCTCAGAATAGTTGGAGTCTATTTCTTAACCTAAACAAAGTCTTCAGGTTTGAAAGGGTGTACTGGGTCTGCCAGACTTATAGGCATTCTTTCCTGCGCTTAGCCATATACTTTTTGCATGGCCATATCTAAAGCCTGCATTTGCCTTCTTAAAGTTAGTTTTTGTAGCTCACGGAGATTACCTTTAATCTGACTTATGATTGGGGGTGGCTGGCTGAACAAAATCTCATTGGGCAAATACCCAGTGTGGTTTGTTTTGTGGGGGTGCACCTGACTTGGAGAAAGACCATGGGCAAGACCTGGTCCCACCTCAGATGAGTTTCCTGACAAAATTTCTTCAGCAGCTGCTTGAGTATCTGGTTCATGTGCTCCATCTTTACTGAGCACTGAGGCTGGTAGACTGGATGCAACTTCCATTTTATTTTTAACAGTCGAGTTAAGTCCTGAACGATTTCAGCCACAAATGCCAGTCCATTATCTGAACCCAAAGTTAGGGGCAGTCCAAATCTGGGAATAATGTCTCTTAACAATACCTTCATCAACTCTCATGCCTTCTCTGTCCTGACGGAGAAGGCCATGACCCATCCTGAAAAGGTACAGACAAGCACCAAAATGTACCTATAGACCCCTGCTTGGGGCAATTCGGAGAAGTCCATAAGCAGGTTTTCACAGGGCATAGCTCCTTTTTCCTGAATTCCCGGGGGCTGAGTGGGCCCTTTTCAGGGGTTGTTTTGGGCACAAGTTAAACGCTGTTTACAAATGGCTCAAGTAATAGCGGTGAGCCATTGCACATAGAAATGACACCCTAATCATGTCTCTAGCACCGTTTTTCTCATGTGAGTTCCTTGGAACTGTTTTGCAAATCTGGGGGCCAAGATTTCAGGTATGGCTAGCCTCCCATTGGAGAATTTCCACCATCTTCCTTCAACGTAATTCCCATTTTCCTGGGCAAATCAAGCCCTTTTATTTGGAGTGTAGCTTGGGGTCCCTGGAAGGGGAATCTCCAGGAGGAGAGGCATAGCTAAGGCTTCTTCTTTAGAATAGAAGGTGGAGTTGCCATTGCAGCTTGCTTTGCCTCTTTGTCTGCCTTTCTGTTTCCTTTAGCCTCTAATGTTCCTGCCTTTTGCCTACAGTGCATTACTGCTACCTGTTTGGGGGCCCATACCACATCCAGGAGCCGTAGAATTTCTTCATTACACTTTATTTCTTTACCTCCAGGAGTTAAGAGTCTTTTTTCTTTGTAAATAGCCCCATGAACATGCAAAGTGGCAAAAGCATATTTAGAGTCTGTGTAAATATTTGCCTTCTGGTCTTTTGCTAGCCAGAGAGCTCTTATAAGACCTATCAGCTTTGCTTTCTGAGAGGCAGTTCCTGTAGACAAAGACTGTGCCTCTACTGCTGAGTCCAAAGTCACCACTGCATACCCAGTTTGGTGGACTCCCTCTAGTATGAAGCTGCTCCCATCAGTAAAATATTCAATGTCCAGGTCTCCGAGGGGCCGATCTGTCAGATCTCTCTGGCTTGAGAACACTTCATCTACCACATCCACTCAGCAATGAAGGGGGCTTCCTGGCACTGATTCAATGGGGAGCAAGGTAGCTGGGTTTAGGGTACTCACAGTCTCTAAAGTTACACAGGGATTATCACATAGGAGCCCTTGGTATTGAGTTATTCTCGGATTCGAAAACCAATGGTGCCCCCTTTGGTCCATCAAAGTTATAACTGAGTGCAGTAGCTGGATTGTCACTTGCTGTCCTAAAGTCAGCTTATTAGCTTCCTGTGCCAGCCGAGCAGTGATAGCTAGTGTCTTAAAACAAAGACTCCATCCAGGTGCCACAGAATTCAATTGCCTGGATAGGTATGCCACCGGGTGATGCCACAATCCTATGGCTTGAGTTAGAACTCTTACGGCCATTCCCTTTTGCTCATGGACATATAAAAAGAAAGGCTTAGTTAGATCTGGCAGTCCTAAAGTTGGGGCCTGAGTCAAGGCTTCTTTGATTTCCTTAAAGGCCTTCTCCTGGTCAGCCTCCCAGAGGAGGAGCTCCTTTTTCCCCTCTTTGTGGCTTCATATAATGGCTTAGCCATGAGCGAGAAATTTGGGATCCAGATGCAGCAGGACCCTGCTGGCCCTAGGAACTCTCTTGTCACCGGGTGGTTGGAGTAGGAAGTGTACAAATGGTCTGCTTCTGTTCACTACCAAGCCATCTTTTCCTTTGGCTTATATAGAAGCCTAAATACTGGTCACTTTCAGAGCAGATTTGAGACTTGTTCCCTGACACTTTATATCCTGCCTTCCATAGCAAGTGCAGGAGGTCTTGGGTCCCCTCGAAGCAGTCCTCTCAGGTCGGGGCTGCTAGAAGAAGATCATCAATGTACTGGAGCAAGACACAGTCACTGTTTGGTGGGGTGTATGCTTTAAGGTCTGAGGCCTGTGCCTCTTCAAAGATTGTAGGAGAGTTTTTAAATCCTTGTGGGAGTCTTGTCCAAGTGTACTGTGATTTACCCCATTGAAAAGCAAAAATAGGCTCATTAATTGGTGCAAGCCAGAGACGGAAAAATGTATCCTTTAAATCTAGGACTGTAAATCAAGTGGCACTTGCTGGAATATGTCCCATTAAAGTATATGGGTTTGGCACCACTGGGTGGATGGTCACCGTGGCCTAGTTTTCCACACACAAATTCTGTACTGGTCTATATTCACCAGACGGCTTCCGCACTGGCAAGAGAGGGGTGTTCCATGGTGACTGGCATTTGACTATGATTCCATGTTTATGAAGACTCTAAATATTTGCGGACACCCAGTATGGCCTCAGGGAGTAGCAGGTACTGTTGGACCTGAACTGGATTTTAACTCTACCACCACTGGTGCCTGACTTACAGCCAGTCCAGGTGGGTTACTATCAGCCCAAACTCTGGGAATTTTAGTAAGCAACCCAGGCATTTCATTTACTCTTGGTTCCAGAGTCTTTTTTGCATATAGCCTCTATTCTTCAGCCTATGGTACAGTACGGGTTAACATCATAGCCTCCGGGTGAGGTAGATTTAAAGTTACATTCCCTTGTGGCCCAAATGTAATCTGTACCTGCAGTTTTTGAAGTAGGTCTCTTCCCAGCAAAGGAACAGAACCATTTGGGATGAGAATTCAGGTTGGACTTCTCATCCTCCTATAACACACCTCTTTGACCAACCGATGGGCCTCTTTTCAGAGACTCCAGTGGCTCCCACAATAGTTGCACAGTTCTTGGATAGTGGCCCTATAGGTTGGGTCACTACTGAGTGTTTAGCTCTGGTGTCTACCATAAAGTCCATTAGCTGGCCTCTAACTTCCAATCTGGCCATGGGCTTCTCAGGGCCCAAAGAGAAGCAGCCTGGTCTGTCCTAGTCCTCATATCCTTCAGCCCCTGCCAGTCTGATCAGATCAGTGCCTGGTTTCTCCTGGGTGTGGCAGCCCCTGGCTGGTGGCCTTCCTGTACGATGGCCCTGACCCTTCTCCTTATTATTATTCTCTGGACACTCATCCTTCCAGTGTCCTTGTCTTTTGCACTGTGCACACTGATCTCTTTCCAACCTGGGCCTGCTCTCAAATCCCTGTCCATACTGGCTTCTTCCATGCCCACTTCCATGCCCACATCACGCCACCTTGCAAAGCCAGCTTCCCTCCCTGTGAGAGCTGCTGCCAGCCAATCAGCCTTTTTCTTAAGCCTTTGATTAGCCTCTGTCTTTGCCTCCTGATCTCCGTTAATGTACAACTTGTGGCCACTTCAATAAACTGAATAGCATTCATGCCTGCAAAACCTTCCATTTTCTGCAATTTTTGCCTGATATCCCCCTGGGCCTGCTCTACAAATGCCGTGTTCAGCATGTGCTGGCCTCACTAAGTCTTTTATAAAACTGGCTGGGGCTTTCATATGCACCCTGAAGCACCTATGAGATTTTTCCCTATATTGATTGCCTTTCTCCCGCCTTCCCTTAAACTTTGCAGGAGTGCCTTTTGGTATCTGGGCAGCTGCTGTAGTTGGGCTGCCTCATTTGGGTCCTAGTCGGGGTCCTCTTGTTTCCCAGAAAGGCATTTGCATAGCCCAAACATGACCTGACTGGAGACAAGTTTGCTTTATTTTCCTAGCATTTCACCTTAACTTCCTGGAGTGAGGGCTCAGATTTTTCCATCTCAGGTGAGACTGGGGCATGTATCCCTTTGAGCTTGACTCCTCAGAGGCAGTAACTCTGGGTAAAGGTGGGTAGATTGGAGCATATGGAGGAAGGGTCTCTTCCCTCCAGTGGTTCTTGCAAAACTGGGTTTTCCTGTGGCTTTCTTTTTGTCTCTGTGTTTGCCAGAGAAGATTTCACTTTCAGCTCAGCTCAGGCTACAAGCTCCTGTGACTTTCCCTTTAACTCTGTTTTCACTTTGTCTTTGTAGCTGCCAGCACAGCTGATTACTCTCGGCTTGAACTGCGAGCATTCTGCAATAAGCTGCTAAACAGGGCTGCATTCAGCCATGAGTTAATATAAGGAAATTTGGTCTGAATGCCCTGACTGTCCTCTGACTCCGGTCACCACCTTAAACACAGGGCCAATTGTGTCCCTATCTATAAGTACATTTGGCCAGCCAGCCAACACCAAAAGAGGGCTATTCTAATTCACAGAGAGCTCTCAGCATTCAGTGGGTTAACTTGACTCCCTAACCACCACCCCCTCCACCACAAAGCCTTTCTTAAAGTTCTTTAACATGAATTCCAATGGGGTGGGTTTTGAGGATTTTCCTCCCATTTCCTGCCAGTTACAACACAGCACATTCACCTTTCCTTTCATTTTAGACCAGTCGGACCCGGTTGTTCCTACACTTTGCTCAGATAGATGCTGGGATTGTTTCAAGGTCTGAGCTTTTGTAATAGTGCTGTTATGAATATGGATGTGCAAATATCCCTTTGAGATCCTGATTTTAATTCTTATGGATAAATATCCAGAAGAGGGATTGCTGCATCATATGGTAATCTTACGTTAAATATTTTGAGAAACCTCCATACTGTTTTCAGTAGTGTCAATTTTTTAAACAAACCTCATCACTCAGTTCCTTTGGAAGGAGGTATGTGCCACAAGATACATTTCCTCTATTATTAATGCACAGTCATGCAAGTGTGCGTGTGTGTGTGTGTAGCAGGACAAGCCACAGGCAAAACTTCTCAGACACCGAGTTGTAGAAGGAAGGGCTTTATTCAGCTGGGAGCATCAGCAAGCTACTGCCTTAAAATCTGAGCTCCCCAAATACACAATTTCTGTCCCTTTTAAGGGCTCACAACACTGAAGATTTCACATGAAAAGTTCATGATTGATTTGAGCAAGCAGGTGGTGCATGACAGGGGCTGCACGCACTGGTGGTCAGAGAGAAACAGAACAGGGCAGGGAGTTTCACCATGTTCTTCTATACAATGTCTGGAATTTATGAATAACATCAGTTTCTAAGTCATGAGTTGATTTTTAACTACTAGGTTTAAGCCAGGCAGGCCCAGGGCTGGTTTTGGGCATGGTGCTGGGCTGCCTGTCTTTGATTTCACTTATTTGTTTTTTTCTTAAAACAGGTACTGAGGATAAAACAATATAAAATAATATGAGAGGGTCTTTCTCTTCCTTCATTCCCCCCTTTTGAGACTCTCACTTTTTATTAGCGGGAGTTCTCACTCTTATTTTTGTTACTTATGTCTTTTTGTGCAACAGATTGATAGTGATTTATATAGTACACTTGTGCTGAAGCACTTTGGTGAACTAAGGTAGCGATGAAGCTTTTTATCATTTGAAGAAGTACAGGTAGGAAACAAAGGAGCGGTAAGTAGGTTCTTAATTACTATTATTACTCTTATTATAAGAGTTTTAAATCTTCCTATTGCTGGGAACTAATTTTTAAACATGGCTTCCAGATTGTGTCCGTGCCACACTTGCATGGGTACATGTGCCAGTTTTGTTATGTCTTTAACTATATCCTCAACTACTTGTCCTTGATCATCTATGTGTAGACAACAATTAGTAAGGTTAAATTTTCTACAAACTTTTCTTTCAGCTGCTAGCAAGTAGTCGAGAACTAGTCTATTTTGATAGATCGCATTTCTCATCAGAGTCTCTTGACGGGCAAGAACAGTCAAGGCTTGATCGGTTTTATTAGTAATAATTTCTAAAACAGCTTGTAACCGTATGATTCGGTTGAGCATTTAGATGGGGGTCTAGTATCTTCATGAGCCATCTTGTGCCCAAGTGGCAGGTCCATAGTATTGTATGATTTTTTCAGGGGGCCATTTATTATCTTTTTAATCACCTATGGCTGTGCTTCCTTTTTTGTGGGAAGCATAGACTGGGAAGCCTAGAAGTTTACCTGTTTTTATGGGCAGTAAGAAGAAAGAAGGCTTAATGGTGCCAATTGCACAGCTACCTCTCCACTGATCAGGCAGCTTAGCATAAGCTCTGTGTCTACATATCTAGTATAACCTGGTGGGGACCATCCAGTCCTGGTAGAATTCTGGGTGGGCCTAAACAGTATGCAACTTTGGAAATTTACTGAATGGATTTCTTTCTGTGTAATTGGAACTCCACCATGTAACTGTTTTTGTGGTACTATTATAGAGCTTTTGTCTAAGACAGCTAAGCTGCCTTACAGGATGAGCGAATCCTTTTCTTTCTTTAGATATGCAATACTGTCTAATAATTGAGACTTTTAGAACCTAGAGATGATCAGGGTGATTCTTTTGGTCTGGGAATTCATCAGGAACTGGGTCTTTAGGAACTAATTCTGGGGCTTCCCATGGCCATTGATCTCCTGTTACGGTTTTTCCACAAACATAACGTGAAGTGACTTGTAGAGACTGGGCTATGTGTTCGGCTAATTGCAAAAACAAATTTTTAGTTTTTCCTGGAATCTCGGGTACTGGCACATTTAGTTCATCATAGAAAGTCTGAAATACTGGTTCTGGATAGTGTTCTTGAACTTCTTCTTTTATTAGGATGCTTACACTAGGATCTAGTCTTTTTCTGTTAATGTCTAATGTTACATATTTTTCTTTATTTTACTTTGGGTCTGAGGGGTTTGTGATTATCAATTTTAAAAGGTTGCAGCTCCTACTCATGCAGGAGGGGAGGGGCTGACCTTTTTTTTTTTTTGGAGTCAAACAGGATCCTTTTTATCTTTTTTTAAGTAGTCTAAATGACACAAGACCAGTATTAACACATCTCACAAAAATATGATTCTTGACAGATATACTTATTTTTTTACTGTGTAACTAGTTTTTCAATTTAGAGAACCACATCTTATCTCATGCTGCTTACTATTAATAGCAGCACAAGTGCCAAATTTTAAGATTACGTTTTTGGGGACCTTTCTTTTTTTTTTTTTTTTTTTTTTTTTTTTAGCTATTACTTTACTTCTGTCACTTAGAAAAGGATCAGTCCTTAATCATGGGAGGCTTACAGTGAGTCATAACACGCATCAGGCTGGTCACTTCCTGGATTACATACTTTGTACTGAGTGTTATTGTACAAACAAGTTCCTTTTGGAGTTCCTAGGCATTCATAATAACTATAAAATAATAGGACTGTAGCAATCTTTTTTCCTACCTCAGTGACTTGATGTATATACTGGGAACAGCCCTCAGTCTGAGGAAGTTCAGCTGAAGTCCTTAATGTACAAGTCCAAATTTTAAGGAAAATGAGTCCTGCGATGAGTTTCCTCATGCTTCAGCCGTGCGTGGACCAGTCAGCTTCTGGGTGTGACTGGAGCAGGGCTTGTAGTCTTCTTCAGAGTCACTTTGCAGGGGTTGGTGACGCTGCTCCTATCTACATACAACTCCTAGTCTACTGATGGTTAAGGATTGTCTCGGAGGTTGGGCCTACTAGAATAAACTGAGTCCAGCACCTCTAAACAGTTATGTTTAACTAGGCTCTCTGATACCAGGAGTAAGGTGGCAGGGTTAGGGTGTTGCAAACTTCAATGGTTATGTGGGGATTTTCACAGAGCAAGCTTTGGTATCTACTTAGTGTAACATTTATTAGCTAATGGTGTCCTTTAGTATTTATTAAAATCACCACAGCATGGGGAGACTTTATGTTTAGGTTTTGTCTAAGAGTTAGCTTATCTGCTTCTTGTGGTAACAGGGCCATTGCTGCCAGGGCCCTTGGACATGGGGGCCAGCCTTTGGAAACCCTGTCTTTTTGTTTTGAGAGATAGGCCACTGGCCTTGGCCAGTGCCCCACAGTCTGAGTTAAAACTCCAACTGCCATTTTTTTCTTTTCTGACACACAGACTTCACAGAGTCAGGTCAGGTAACCTCAGGGCTGGGGCCGACATGAGTTTTTTTTTTTTTAACTCATGAAAAGCTCTTTGCTGTTGGTTGTAATAGATGTAGTTTATCTAATCTACATTTTTATTCACTGTCATCTACCAAAATATTGACTTAAATCCTGTAGCTATTTGATTTCAAGCTTTAAATTGATCTGGTATTCCTTGCGGGGCTCTAATTGCATCTAAATAGATATGAGAGTTGGAAGACCTATAAGGGGCTTCTCTCGCTTTATGATATCTTATTATTTTCTTTTCTTCCTCTGGTTGATGAAATGCCAGGATGAAAGGGATAGCCAAATGGACTAAAGCACAAGTGCCACTCTACTTATTCAGCAGAGTACCTAGTAAAGGTCCACCACAATACCACCACACATCTGCTCGGGGATGAACAACGGCTGACTGATTGATAACCTTTCGAAAATTCTTAAGCTCACTGCATCCTTTCAGGTCTCTAAGGAATGCTGTCTCCTCCCTGCTGTGAGAGACACGAAGTGAACTTAGTGTTGGGAGATGGAAGCTGGATGGCCCTCGGAGGCTGACCCACAGGGACTTCAGGATATAGCAGAGAGAGCTTGGCATGACTTATTACTCCAGGCTGTAGAATCCTGGAAAAGAGTTACCATGCAGCCTACGCCTGGTCAACTGGAGGACCACTGTAGTGGAAAGGGGACAATTAGGGCCTCTGGCCTGCCATGTGCACAAGCATAACAATTGCTTTTGTTTAACGTGCAGATGGAATATTTGATCTATTTCAACCAG
Organism: Homo sapiens; assembly: GCF_000001405.40. NCBI lineage: Eukaryota > Metazoa > Chordata > Mammalia > Primates > Hominidae > Homo > Homo sapiens. The sequence goes on along the minus strand of NC_000004.12, from coordinate 69,053,409 downwards.
GCATTTGCATCTTGGTATGCTGTCTTAATTGCCAAAGTTTTTTTTAAGTCTTTAACTTCTGTGATCTTCTAGTAAAATGAATGTTTCCTTTAGCACCAATTTGTATTAGTTTTTAGACCAAAGAAAGCTAAACACCATTTCATATTTAATAATGCTTCTTGTATGATTTTTATACCAGATAAGCTAAATTTTACCTTTATATTAGTATGCTATTAATATTAAACTTAATTTTAATAAAACCTTGAAGACATATTTATCTAATTTTTCATGTTTGACCATAAGGTAAGATTTTATAGACTCTTTTTAACCTTTTATAATTTTTGTTAAAGAGCAGGTTGATGCTTTAAGAAAAAAAACCTGTTGCATTTTTACTTTTATGTCTAGTTCGCAGAAAAACTGGATGATATCTTTTTAACTTTAGCTAATATGTTTACACACAGACTTTTCTTTACAATTAATGTTTTAAAACTTGCTTAAACTTTTAAAACAATAATTTTTTTAACCTTTTAATGTAGGTAAAAATCCACATTTTTATGCCTCCTTATAATCTTTTTACCAAAGGTATGTTTTACTTTTTTATACACTTTGCACATAAACTGTTTCTTCAATAGTACTCAAGAGGCCAAATTACTTTTAAATTATAAAACCTTTTTGCATAAATTTTTATAACTTTTTTTCACGACTTCCACTGACAATTCTTCAACATGTCTCAACTTTTTGACTTATTACAAACATTTTTTTCTTGAAACAACCAATTTATTTCAGAACAAGAATTTACCATATAACACTCTTTTTACGTAAATTTTGCCTCCCCTTCTTTTTTTTTTTTTTTTTTTTTTTGAAGATAACCATTTCTTTTTTTTTAAGCAAACTTTTTTGATGTCTTTGGACTAGACTGTCTAAGGCCACAAGATTAGAATTTACCATAATATGTGTTACACTGTTAACTTTTAGCAAACTTCACTTTTGTTGAAAACCTTGTAAGTTTGGGATTTCAATTATCCTTTGCTATTAATAAGACCTTGTTTAGTCTAAATTAACTTAGAATTGGTATAGATGGCCTTTTTTTTCTCTCTGCTGGTCTTTCCTTGCCTCTGCCAGCTGCTTATGCTGCTGTTCTCTTAACTACTGTTGGGGGGGAAGGGGTCTAAAGACAGCTGTAACTGTCTATGTATGGAAACTGGTCTTGGTGCCTTGGTTTACAGGTTACTTTGTGTCATACCTTTGAAACAAGGGACCTGTCCAGGCTTCCTTCTGATGTCCAACCTACCTCTAATGCTGGCCAGTCTATTTCACACAAAGCTCTAAGTTTTCCTGGAGTCATAGTGACTCCATAGTCTCCATTAAATCCTTTCTTGAAATTCTTTAACATAGTTCTCAGTGGGGTGGGCTTACTTTGCACCTGATCCATGTTTTTTCGAGGCAAAACACCACGCTCACACCACACACACACCACAAAACAAAGAACAGGTAAAAGGGCACACACACACTTTTGCAGTTTATACCAAACCAAAATCAAAACCAAAATCAGCATACCCAGAAATTCAAGCCAGGCCAAAAACCGAAACCAAAGTATCCAGCAATTCAAGTCAAGTCAAAACCAGAACAAAGGTGCCAATAAGGGCACACCTTGGGTTGATCAGGCCACGCTTCCACTTAGGTGGAGTGGGGCAAGTTCAAAAGACTAGTCCTACCAAGTCAAGCCGAGTCAAAACCAGAACAAAGGTGCCAATACAGGCACACCGTGGGTGATCAGGCCACACTTCCACTCAGGTGGAGTGGGGCAAGTTCCAAAGACTAGTCTTACCAAATTTTAGATGTCTGGACTCCAAGTGCCAGTTCCTTCCTGGTGTTCAGCCACTGTGTTAATCCTCTGCGAGGGCCTGCTACCTGCTTCTCTGGTGAGGGATTCCACCGGGGCAATTTCCTACCCAGGAGGGCTCTTTGGATCATGTCACTCAGGCTGGCTGGAGTCCCCCACAGGGGCACTCCACAAGGCAGGCTTAAGTTGCCTAAGGGGCTGCCTCAGCTGTCTGTCAGTCACGTTGCTTCCCGGTCAGGGAGCCAAGAAATGTAACAGGAGGAGCCGCAGACAAAACTCAAGACACCGAGTTGTAGAAAGAAGGGACTTATTCAGCTGGGAGCATCAGCAAGCTACTGCCTTAAAATCCAAGCTCCCCAAATGCACAATTTCTGTCCCTTTTAAGGGCTCACAACACTAAAGATTTCACATGAAAGGGTCGTGATTGATTTGAGCAAGCAGGCGGTACTTGACAGGGGCTGCATGCACCGGTGGTCAGAGAGAAACAGAACAGGGCAGGGAGTTTCACAATGTTCTTCTATATAATGTCTGGAATCTATGAGTAACATCGGTTTCTAAGTTATGAGTTGATTTTTAACTACTAGGTTTAGGCCAGGCAGGCCCAGGGCTGGTTTTGGGCCTGGCGCCGGGCTGCCTATCTTTGATTTCACTTATTTGTTTTTTTCTTAAAACAGGTACTGAGGATAAAACAATATAAAATAATATGAGAGGGTCTTTCTCTTCCTTCATGTGTGTTTGACTTAGTATATATAATAAGAATTAAAATAGCATCTTTACAGAGTAGTGGGAAAGATACTGTTAAAAAATATGGAAACCAGACTCTTCATTTATAATATTTTAATCCCTAGTATGGATTCTTAGGAAGACTAGTGTTATTTGTTTACTTATCTTTAATTTTATATTGTTACAGCTCTGCTAAATCACTTGTATTTATTCCAGGCAGCTTTTCTGTTTAGCCATGAGAATTTATTTCCCTGACTATGAGCACAAAGGAAAAGTTACTTGTGATTGGGAAGATGTTATATATTTCTCTTAACTATGTAATCCAACATAAAACATTTTTTTCATGATCTTATTGGACATTTGCATATTCCCTGGTAAAATTCCTGTTTAGATTTTTAAACATTTTTTGATTATGTTATTTGTCTTTTTAACATTGAGCTGTAAGCTTTCTTTATTTTTTTTTATATAAGTAAGTCACTTATCAGGTATGTAACTTGCAAATAGATACTTCAAACTCTGGTTTCTCTTTTGACTTTATTGAAGGTGTTCTTTGATGTGTGAAAAATTTTAATTTGATGAAACCTAATTTATCAATTTTATTTTGGTTGCTCCTGCTCCTGGTGTCATATCTAAAAACTTTGCCACATTCAATGTTACAAAAAAATTTTACTTTGCTGTATATACAATTGTTTTTTGTGCTTGAAATATTAATGAATTCATCCTTTCAGCAACCCCATGAGGTTGATAATACTATGACCACCAATGCCATTTCATTGGTGAGGAAGTTGAAGCAAATAAAGTCCAAGTAACTTGTCCAACCCCACATCATTATGTAGTGGTTTCTCAGAGACTTGAATGAAGGGCATCTGGATCCAGAGTGCCAGCTCTTAACCACCATGTTATGCTGAGTCTTCTATTTGAGGTACAGATATTTTCAAAATATAATATTCCCTATTTTCCACTCATGTAGCTATATATTAATTGTAATTTTATTACAAATGTATAATTTAAAATATGTAGATTTATTATTCCAGTTATATATCACTGCATGACAAATTGTTTCCAAATGTCAGGCCTTAAAACAACTGTAATCATTTTATTATCATCGCTCAGAGTTTGGGTGTTGGTTGAGCTCAATTATGTGTTCCTTCCACAGAGTTTCTTAGGTAGCTACTTTCCTACGGTGCCTCGGTCTATAATTATCTGAAGATCATTCACTTACATACTTAATGATTCAAGTTGAAGGGCTCAAAGTGCTAGTGGGCTACCAGGATTTCTTGGGCATATATCTGTGTCTCTCTACCAAATTGTCATTTATTACGGGGACTACAGATGGAGTTGAGGAGGTGTAGAGAGAAAAAGAAACATACAAACAAAAGATCCAAAGAGAGAGGGAGAAAGAGAGAGAGAACACTTTGTGTTTCCAACAGAACTTTGTAAGATAAGCTGCATTATTTCCACTATATCGTTTCTGTTGAGACAGCTACAAGGTTTGCCAAACTTCAAAGGGAGGGGATATTACTTGACAGGAAAATTGTCAAAGTATTTATAGTCATGTCACAAAAATCACAACCAATATAACCTTTTGAAGAAGACAGTAGAAGTTGTTAAGTTATTGTAAGATTCATAAAATATTAAAAATAATAAAAAAACAAAATATGAAAATTATGTGAATTTAGATATCTACAGTTCTTGCAATTTTTTAAACATTGTATTATATGTATCCATAGGTATTTTAAACATGGAATAAGGGTTCTAAAAAAAGCTGCAAATGAATAAAATAGCATGTGAGAAACATGATCAATTCAAGTTTTTTGAATAACACTAATGAATTAATAACGAGATGTTAATTTTTCAAACGTCGTGTACTGATTTTATGTTTATTTCACAAATTCATTTTTAAACCTCATAAATAACACATGAAAATATTGTAAAAAGTTAAATACTGCAGGATTCTGTAGAATAAAATCTAAAATTCCCATCCTTATATTTATGTGTATTCTTCTAGATTTTTTTTCATTGTACAAGTTTACATATATTTTATTTTATTTCATTACAAGTACAAGTAAGCCTTTTTTTCTGGAAACTACTTTTTCTATTTAGCAATGGAATAAACTGTTCTCTGCAATGACTACACTCACATTTGTTGGAGCTATGTGTGTTCATTGACTGGAGCCAAGTAAGTGCTGGAGGAAATATTCTGTTCATACATGTGCTTATATGGAAGGATTTCTGCATGATAGATTTATAGATGTAGAACTTCAGTTTCAAACTGTATATTGACATTTTATTTTAGAAGGTTATTTTGCATTATACTCCCTCAAAAATAGATTTTTCAGGTTTTTATAGGTTGCAAATCTCTAGAGCATTAATTTATTGGCATTGTTTCTATTTTCCTGAGCATCAGTTACTTTATAATCTTTTATATGTTTTTGGGAATTTCTACTTTGAAGTGCCTGTTCATATTTTCATTAAGTTTTATATTGGAATGTTTCTCCTTTTTAGTTGGTGATTGTAGTACTCACTAAACAATAGATACCCACCTTTTAAGTGTGTTGTAGAATAGGTTTACTGTGAATTATTTCAGGCTTATAAGAATGATAAAACAACATTTTTAGCCTTTGCCACCTTGTTATTCCTGTTTTCCTTTATAAATGTATCAATACCAGGATGATTTGTGTAAAATATTCTGTTATACACACTTCCTATAATTTCTTTAACATCATTGTTTTAGTGCATGTGTGTGTGTGTATGACATGATTTATATATATGTATACAAATACAAATCTACATATTTAGTGATATATATAGTGATATATATAACATATATGTGTGTGTGTATATATAGTGATATATATGTGTGTATATATACACACATGTTTATATAGTGACATATATTTAAATCATGCCTTAGGCCGAATAATATTTGTTGGGAGACTTGTTTAGTGATAAGACTTCTGATTAACAAAGACAACTGGGTTTCTGTCAATCTGGACCACTTTGATCATAAAGTGCTTCCCTGATGTGCAGATTAAAGGAGGTTTATGGCTTGACTTAGCTATTTTCCACAAAATTTATAAACTTTTTGTATTCTTTGTAGATGTATTTTTGTTATGCTAAAAAATGTAGTGTTGCCAAATTATATTTATCGGAGGGAAAGATCAAAAGACTGTGGAAAAGAGAAAAAAAAATTAGACTTGATCATTTAAAGTATAGTTATGTAGAATAATAATTATAAATTCAAACTGTCTTCAATAAACACATTGAATTTCCCAACATAGCTATTAGATTGTAAAGTGATGCTGTGTCTTGTTTCAAAAGAAATGGACATGTATATGTGCCTGTATGTTCATCAAGATTGAAAATTCACTAAGTCCCTTTAGAATGCATTTCCTATATTATCACAAACTAAAATTAAGAACTTGTATTTGCTATTAAAGGTCAAAATGAGAATAAAACCGATATGAAATTTAGGATTGTTTTTTCTAGTTCTGTTAAGAATGATTATGGTATGTTTAGGAGAATGGCATTGAACTCATAGATTGCTTTTGGCTGTATTGTCATTTTCATAAAATTGATTTTACCCATCCATGAGCATGAGAGATGTTTCCATTTGTTTGTGTCATCTATGATTTTTTTTGACAGTATTTTGTAGGTTTCATAGTTTTCTTAGTAGAGGTCTTTCACCTTCTTGGTTGGATATATTTCTAAGTATTTTATTTTATTTTTTTTCTTTTTGATTCAGCTGTTGTGAAATGGGTTGAATTCTTGATTTGATTCTTGGCTTGAAGTCTGCATAGCCAAAGCAAGACTAAGCAAAAAGAACAAATCTGGAGGTATCACATTACCCAACTTCAAACTACTACAAGGCTGTAGCTACTGAAACAGGATGGCAAAGGCATAAAAACAGACATGTGGACCAATGGAACAGAATCCAGATTCCAGAAATAAAGCCAAATACTTATTGCCAACTGATCTTTGACAAAGCAAACAAAAACATAAAGTGGAGAAAGGACACCCTATTCAACCAGTGGTGCTGGGATAATTGACAAGTCACTTGTAGTACAATGGTACTGAATCCACATCTCTCGACTTATAAAAAAGAATCTACTTAAGATGGATGAAAAAATTAAACCTAAGACCTGAAACAATAAAAATTCTAGGACAGAACATCAGAAAGTCTCTTCTAGACATTGGCTTAACAAGGACTTCATGAGCAAGAACCCAAAAGGAAGTGCAACAAAAACAAAGATAAATAGATGTGACTTAATTAAACTAAAAAGCTTCTGCACAGCAAAAGAAATAATCAGCTGAATAAACAGACAACTCACAGAATGGGAGAAAATATTCACAAACTATGTACCTGACAAAGGACTAATATTCAGAATCTACGAAAATTCAAACAGACGAGAGAAAAACAAATAATATCATCAAAAATTAGGCTAAGATCATGAATTGACAATTCTCAAAAGAAAATATACAAATGGACAACAAACATAAAAAAAATGCTCAACATCACTAATTATCATGGAAATGCAAATCAAAACCACAATGCAATACTACTGTCCTCCTGTAAGAATGGACATCATTAAAAAAAAACAGAAAATAATACAATATTGGCATGGATGTAGTAAAAAGGAACACTTTTACACTACTGGTGGGAATGTAAACTAGTACAACCACTATAGAAAACAGTATGGACATTCCTTAAGAACTAAAAGTAGATCTACATTTTTACCCAGCTATCCTACTACTGGATATCTACACAGAAAAAAAGAAGTCATTATTTGCAAAGACTTATGCAAATCTTTACAGCAGTACAATTCCCAACTGTAAAAATATGGAACAAACCTAAATGCCCATCAACCAATGGGTGGATAAAGAAAATATGATATGTATGTATGTGTGTGTATATATATATATATACACACACACACATATATATAATATACACCCCCCATACACACAGACACACACCTTGGAATACTACTCAGTCATAAAGAGGAAGAAAATAATGCCATTAACAGCAACCTGGATGGAATTGGAGACCAGTATTCTAAGTGAAGTAATTCAGGATTAGGTAACTAAACATTGGATGTTCTCACTTATAAGTGGGAGCTAAGCTATGAAAATTCAAAGCCATAAGAATAATATAATGGACTCTCAGGACTCAGGGAAGGTTGGAGTGGGAAGAGGGATAAAAGACTATACATTGGGTGCTGTGTACACTGCTCGGATGATGGGTGTGCCAAAATTTCAGAAATCACAACTAAATAAATTATCCATCAAATCAAACACCACCTGTTCCCTAAAATCTATTGAAATAATTTAAAATATGAGAATAAAATCAAACAGATGAATATTTTTAAATGACCAGAAAAAATGGGTAAACTGAGACTCAGGATGAAAGACTGGCTCAGCAGAAGGGTGGGACTTGACCCCAGCTCTCCTGACTTTTAGTCCGGTGTTCTCTCCACCACTCACTTACTCATTTCTCCATTTTTAATTTTTTTTTTGGACAAAGATGTATTGATTTTGTTGATATCACATGGAAAGCCTGAATTGGCTCATAGAACCAAAGGCTTTGTAAAATAGTTCAATATTACTGTAGGAAGCAGGTAGCAGTTGCTATATTTCTAATGCCACATACGTTCCACTGGGAAATGACTAAAGCTCTAAAACAATAAACATTTTTGCCATAAATTTTAGGAAAAAACTGACGCTGAAGCAGTATGCACCATAAAGGCCAAGCAGCACTACTCATCTCAAAATATCAAAAGGAAGAGAGAGATTTTTTATACAATTCAATTGTTTAATAGTTCCTTTAACAACAGTTAAAATATGAAAATCCTGCTCAAAATGAAGCCAAAGTAATCTGAGTATTTGCAAAATAGAACCGATACTGTCAGTGGACTTCTCAATATTCTTGTGTTTAAGTACAATATGTGAAATGTAGTTAAGCTCAGTAAAAATTTTTTCATGTAACTTGTGAATGAGGGCAATGAATTTCAATATAAGCTTGACAAATTTTAACATCAGCTCGTATGGCTTTATACTATTTAATATTTTTGCCAGTATTTTCCTTCTTGACAAAAAGTATTTCTAACCATTAAACAGGTATTAAATCTCTGAAAAACAAATTTTTTAGTTGCCAAGGTAAGTAATTTTTGAAGAGATATTCTGTCACAGAAAGAAAGGAAACTTGCATCATAATCTTTCTTGTTGGAATAAACTGAAGAAGTCCCATCTATCAGGTTTCCCAACTTCAAGCTTCAAATACAACAAATCTGTTTCCCTTCTTTCCAGTTCTAGCAAATTTCCAGACACAAAACATACAACATTTCATGATGGTAAATATCACAGTTGCCACACAGGACAGCAGGAACCCAATCACGTTGAAGGAGTGTTACTGGAAGCCTGTGAGGTCCTGGGCTGCAACCCGAGGTTGCTTGGCTCCTTTACAGCACATGACAAATTCAATCCAGAAGACTGCTCGACCTTTACTGGTTGATCATGTCAAATTCTTGATAACTTCATAGTGTTCTCTTTATATCTGAAGGATAAACATAGAGATACCAAAATTGAAAGTAAGTTTATTTTCTTGAGCATATCAAGTCCATATAAGGCTTTTATTTTTTATTTTATTTTATTTTATTGATTTATTGAAACAGAGTCTTACTCTGTTGCCCAGGCTGGAGTGCAGTGGTGCAGTCTCGGCTCACTGCAACCTCCCCTTCCCGTGGTGTCAAGAGATTTTTCCCGCCTCAGCCTCCCGAGTAGGTGGGATTACAGGCGCACACCACCATGCCTGGCTACTTTTTGGATTTTTAGTAGAGAGAGACAGGGTTTTTCTATGTTGGCCAGGCTGGTCTCAAACTCCTGACCTCAGGTGATCTACCCGCCTCGGCCTCCCAAAGTGCTGGGATTACAGGCGTTAGCCACTGCACCTGGCCCATGAAAGGTTTTTACAGTGCCAAATGATTCAGAGTAAATGACATATAATTGACATAGAATTTGTACAATTTAGTTTGAGTCATCATAGAAACTTCAACTATTAAATTGGAATTTTATCGTTGACAATTTTTTTAAAGTAAAATGGAAAGTCAGGAAAACTAATTTCTTTCAGGCAAAGCAAATATGAGCCATTTTATTATTATTTTTTAATTTGTTAATTTTTAGTTTTTGTGGGTACTTACTAGGTGTATATATTTATGGGTTGCATGAGATGTTTTGATACAGGTTGCAATGTGAAATAATCACATCATGGAGAATAAAGTATCCTTCCTTAAACATTTATCCTTTCTGTTATGAACAATACAATTACACCCTTTTAGTTCTCTAACAGGCATATGAGAACGTGCTCAACATCATGAGCAATTTTAAGTTCTTTAGGAAAGATAGTGAAAATACAATTTGAGAATTACCATTTTTAAGTTCCTAAAAGGAATTGTGCCATGGTCAGTGAAATGCCTCATAGCTAGTCACTCTGCTTCTACCCTACCATTTTTCTCCTACTGTTTCCTACCCAGTAGCCAGAATGAAATTTTTGAAATTAAAGGTCAGATTTTGCAACTCCCCTGATTAAGATTTTTGCCTGACCTATCATATTAAGAATAAAATCCAACTCTGTTATTTGGTCTACAGGACCCTGCAATGTCAAACACTGGCAAGCTCTTCTCCTAACACTTTTTCCATACACACTATGTCTTCTAGAGACGTTGGTCTATTTTTCTTTAAAGTACCAAAAGTGTTCTCATCATAGCATCTTTACACATTTTGCCCCCTCTCTCGCACTCTTGGAACATTCTTTCTTTCAACAACCCAAGGCATGCTTCTATCTCCTTTTGAGGTTTCCCTCTAAGTGTTACCTCTAAGTTAGGCTTTTCCTGGACACTCTATGATGGAACCTCTAGGATTTTCTCTATTGTTTTATGCTTATTTTGATATTTGATTCCTAGAATTTTAAATACATTATATATCATATAAAATAAACCTTTAAATATTGAAATGAAAAGATAAAAATACATACACTAAGTGAATAGGTCAAAAGTGTGAGATCATCTTGAACATTATCTTGAAGAGAAGATACCAATTTACCTTCTGCTCAGATCATGGTGTACGATATCACAACCTGCCTAGAATAACTCTCCTTTTCTGAACCATTTATTCACTACTTTTGTCTTCCAATTAAATATTAGCCTGACTTCAAATATCATACATTAGTTTCCTTTGTTTATGTAATTGAATTATATAACATATATTCATTAGAGCCTATTTTTTTTAAAATTTTTGTGTAGCTGTTGTTGGTTAATTCCATTGCTGTTTAGTATTTTGTTGATTGCTAAAACACAGATTATGTCATCATTTTATGACCAATAGACATTTGGGTTGCTAACAATTTTTGGATAATATTGATAATTCTGTCATAAACATTCTTGTATATGAAATGCAAGAGTTCTGGGCCCCCCCCCACAAGATGTGCGACAGCTGTGTGGCTCATCTCTTCAGCCCCCATGCACATTCAAGCCCCTTATGGGAGGGGGAGCATGCAGACAGGCAAGTGCAGGAGCCTGGGCGAGCGCCCCTGGGCTCTGGCCCCATGGCAGCATCCAGGGGTGGGTGTCTACAACTCCCAAAGCCCAAGTAGGTATGTGTTGGTGTACTCTTTTAACCTTGCAATGTATTGATGGCTTAAGTGTTAACCAGTTCAGTGCCCTGTTAGTACTTAAGTCCTTGTCCAGGATCCAGAAAGAATCAGGTCGCACATGGACTCGAAGGATGAATGCAGGGGTTTTTATTGAGTGGTGGAGGTGGCTCTTGGATGAATGGAGAGCTGGGATGGTGATGGAGTGGGAAGATGATCTTCCTCTGGAGTTTGGCCATCCAGCATCCAATTTCCTCTCCTCTCCAACTGTCCCCAGCTGAACTACTCTCTGCATTCAGAAATTCATTCTCTTCTCTCTGATGCACCATTCTGCCATTCTTCGGCTCTTCTTTTCATGCCGGGGGTTTGGGGTTCATATGGGTACAGAATAGGAGGGCATGGTGGGCCAAAAGGGAACTTCGGGCCTCAAAAACAGAATGTCTGTTCTCATTTAGTTTTCAGGCTTGAGGGTGGGAACTTTGCTGGGGAACCGACCTCTTCTACCCAGTATTTTCCTGTTTCCTGTCCATGTCATATGTAGCACTAGATTTACATATTTATACATATCTGTTGGGTATATAATTGAAAGTAGAATTGCTGAGATAAAAATGCATGCTTAATTATGATTAACTTCTTGACTTTTTTTTTCTTAATTTTTAATTTTTTTAAGTTTTATTTATTTATTATATTTATTTTATTTTTTTTGGAAACAGAATTTTGCCCTTGTTGGCCAGGCAGGAGTGCAATGGCATGATCTTGGCTCACTGCATCATCCAACTCCCAGGTTCAAGCGATGGCTCACGCCTGTAATCCCAGCACTTTGGGAGGCCAAGGCGGGTGGATGTTCTGAGGTCAGGAGTTCAAGACCAGCCTGACCAACATGGTGAATCCCTGTCTCTACTAAAAATACAAAATTGGCTGGACATGGTGGTGCATGCTTGTAATCCCAGCTACTGGGGAGGCTGAGGCAGGACTTTAAATTTTTTTGAAGTGTATTTTCTTAATTTCCAAAATTAAAGATATTTTAGTTACATTTTTTAAAATTTCCCTTACTTCTACTAAGGCTGGATCATATATTCTTTATGATATTGAATCTTTTCAAATTTACTGAGTCTTGATTTATGTCCCACCACATGTCACTTCAAATAATTATTAACAATTCAATATGCTCTAAGAAAATGTCTTTTAGTTGATATATATGATACATATATATATATGCATGCGTGTGTGTGTATCTTGTTACAAGTTTCCATTCGTTAACTGTGTTCTTCTAATGTTCTATGGCATTACTCATTATTTGCTCCTCTTTTTAAAGTTTGTTTAGATTTAATGGAAGTATCTGTGTATTTACATTTAAATAAACCACCTTATTTTATATTTCTTTTATATTGGTCCAACCTGTTTTATTGTACAACCTGTTTTAAAAGTATTCCTTTAGGTGATGGCTGTCTTACATGAAAACATTATTGATAGTAGTTATAAATGCTGAACTGATGGTAGCTGGAGTGGGTAGACATTTTGCATGTTGTATCCTTTGGAGTATAAATAAATCAATTATTAAAAATTTAACTTATTAAAATTAAAAATTTTGTGCTTCAAAAACCATCATCAAAAGTGTAAAATGTTAGCACACCCAGAATGAAACAAAATATTTGCAAATTATGTATCTAAGATTATATCCATGAAACATAAATAGTTCTTAAAACTCAATAATAAGACAAGTAGCAAAGTTTAAAAATGTTCCAAGGATTGGAATACGTGTTTTTCCAAAGCCATATATGGTCAGTAAGCACATATAACAATGGTCAACATTTTTAGCTGTAATGAAAATCCAATCCAAAACCACAATGAAAGATCATTTCACACCCACTAAGAAGGCTATAACAAAAAGATAATAACATGTGTTGGCAACAGTGTGGAGGAATTGGAACCCTCTTGCACTGTTGGTGGGAATGACAAATGGAACAAGGACTTTGGGAAACAGTTCAGCAGTTCTTCATAAACATACAGTTCCCACATGAGCCAGCAATTCCACTTATAGTATCAATCCCAAATAAAGAAAAACATGTTTATGCAAAAACACGTGTAGCAATGTTCCTAGTAGCCATAATTGGAAACAATCAAAAGGCCAATGAACTGATAAGTGAACATATAAAATATGGCATATCCATACTATAAAATATTATACTGCTGTAAAAAGAAATGAAGTATTAATACACACTACAACATGAACGAATCTAAAAACTATTTTAAAAAACCCAAAAAATTATGCTCAGTGAAATAAGTCGTTTACACAACACCCTAAATTATGTGATTGCAGATGATGGCTTCGTGACTCGTAAGCATTCTAAATATATTGGGATTTTAAACCTTAAATAGGTGGATTTTAAGTCGTGGAAATTATATCTAATTATCAAGCCTGTTACAATAATGAAAAGAATAAAAATGAATTTTTCAGCAGGAAAATAGTTATACTTTTAGATATTTTGGATGTTTAATTAAAACATTTTATCATATTTCTTTAAGTTTATCCTTCTTTTCTACTGTGGACTGATCATGAAATTTTTTTAAAACAGTCTTTTTTATATTATCTATATTACTTGAAAATTATTTTTGTGTAAAAAATTGTTTCACTATTGGATACCCATTAAATGTACGGAGTTCTAAAAACAGTTTTTAAACAACTGCTCAAAAATAAAAGAAGATTTCAGATTGGTTACATCATTTAAATTCTTTCAAAATTAGTCTCTTGAAAAAAGGATGAAACTCATACTATTGAGAAGATAAGGTATCTATAAATACCACCTAGTGAAAAGATATTGTTATACTCACAAAGGGTCATTAATTATTGGCTTCAAGCATTGAGCAAGTCTGTACTAGACATTGTGCGGAAGTCCAATCTAATAGCTGTGCCCTTGGCCTTCATGTGTGCAATGTTATGAGGTTGATCTGCAAGCAATGGAATGTGCACCATATGGATCCCATGGTAGATTGCCTTGTAGATGCCATTGGATCCACCATGAGTTATAAAAGCCCTGGTTTTTGGATGAACTAGGATTGGATAAATTTTAGCAATATTACTCATAGGAATAAAATGAGAAATGCACAACAAAACACGCAAGTGACAGTGTTTTCTAGCTAAAACATTGAACTAAATTAAAATTGTGTTTCAGACTTCAGAGGAAGGAGCACATACTTCTGCTGGAGATATAAGTGAAAGCTATATGTTTTGTGTGACTTCAGACTGAAAAAAAATTAAACAAGATTACCAGTTGGACTAAAGAAACAATGTGATCTAAATTAAATGCGAAAAAAAAAGAAAAAGAATCAAAGAAAAGAGAAGGACATGTAAGAATGTGTTCTCCTAAGTGCAGTCACGGAATGTGATATGTGAGATGTGCAAGGCAGCAGGCAGTGGGGTGGTGGTGGTGCTATGATTGAGGAAGGACAGGTCACACTTCGTCACGAAATGAGTCATCACTTTATGATTAAGATTAGGAATTTAATCCTACAGAAAATTCAGACTTCCTGGTGATAGCAGAAGAGCTGTTTTATTAGTGACATTTGAAATAACCCTGCATAAAAAGAAAGAACAAGTGTAAAGTTATAGAAATAGGAGACAAAGAGACAATCTATGACGTTAATAAAAAATTCTGCAAGAAATAATAACACTTGAAATAAAAATACCCTGATTCTGACCATAAAGACTGTGAATGTATATCATAAAATGCCAGCAATTATAGCTTATTATGTTCCCCGAAGGACTGGAAAATAAATACAAAGAAGTTTCATTTTATTTATAAGTTTTTCCATAACACATTTTGAATAAGCTTATTTCATGATTAATTATTCACACTCTAATGGGCTGGTACTAATATATTCAGTATTTCTACTCCAGAGTCATACCAAGAAGGTCATTCTGGGGTATCCACTTGTACACTCGAGTATTGAGTCCCAAGCCATGTGGTCTATTCCCATCAAATCTCCACAGAACCTGCTACAGTAAAAAAAATATCTTATTCCGTTAGTAGAACTCCAAAGTTAGAGAATGTTAGGACTCTAAAGAGATTAAGAATGAGATCAGGGATGTTAGGTAATAAAACTACTCAAAGACTGATGTAAATAGAATGCCAACATTTCATTTTCTTAACTTCTATAATTAGTTAAGCATATAAGGAAGTCAGGATTTTCCAAATAATAGCTTAGAAAAATGAGATTATAAATGAAAAGTTCAAGTATTTAAAAAATTGGTATGCTTTACAAAAGAAGACCTATGTGTGGCCAACCATCATATGCAAAAAGCTTACCATCACTGCTCATTAGAGAAATGCAAATCAAAATCACAATAGATACTATCTTGCACCGGTCATAATGGCTATTATAAACTTAAAAAGTAATAGATGCTAGCAAGATTGTGTAGAAAAAGGAATGCTTATACTCTGTTAGTGGGAGTTTATGTTGGTTCAACCATTGTGGAAGACAGTGTGGCACTTCCTCAAAAACCTAGAGGCTAAAATACAATTCAACTCACCAATCTCATTAGTGGGTATATACGCAAAGGATGATGAATGATTCTCTTATAAAGGCACATACACGTTTATTAATAGCAGTAGTATTCACAATAGTAAAGATATGGAATCAACCTTAATGCCCATCAATGATTGACTGAATAAAGAAAATGGAATGGGATATATATACACCATGGAATATTATGCAGCCATAAAAAAGCAAGATATGTATTTTACAGGACATAGATGGAGCTGGAGGCTGTTATCCTTAGCAAACTAGCATAGAAACAGAACCACATGTTCTCACTGTTAAGTGGAAGCTAAAAGATGAGAACACATGGAAACATAGCATGGAACAACATACTGGGGTGTATTGGAGGGTGGAGGGCAGGAGAAGAGAGAAGATCAGGTAAAATAACTAATGGGTACTGGTCTTAATGACTGGGCGATTAAACAATGTGTAAAACAAACTCCCATAATACAAATTTATCTATGTAACAAACCTGCACCTGTACCCCTGAACTTAAAATAAAATTTAAAAAATAAAATAAATTTAATTTTAAGCACACAAAAATTCTAAAAAATTGTATGTATGAAAAATATTTAAATAGTCATTATAATTCTAGTGAGAATAAGCAGTAACAATTTAGTAATGACCTATATGCTTATTTTATTTTATGTATTTTATACTAGTTTTCATCTTCCAAATTAAATATTAATTTATTCATTTTTGGTAATATAGGAAGTAATTCATGTATTTCTGCTTGTCTATAAGTTATTATGTTAGGGTTTGGTGTTCTTTGATTGACAAAAAAGCAAGTTGATAAAATAAGCTAATTGTAAGAAATAATGCTACAAAGGTAGCATGTATAACTTCTTTGAAATTATGAATTATCAAGCACTACTTCCAGGAGAAATTTCAAGGGACAATTTCTGAGACAAATTCAGAGTATTATCAGTATTGCTAATTTTTGTTGTTTTTTTTCAGCATTGAAATGAGGAACCTGCTGGTATCATAAATAAAGATATAGCTGTTGAACAAATTCAAAATCATATTTTTCTGAATTTGGTCAACAGATTGTTAACACTTAGACAATGTGCTACAAAGCTTTGACAACAGTGATTAATATGTTCTACTATAGCCAAGACATTCTTATGTTTAAGTTACTAATTTTGGAACTCCCAAGCAATCCTCATAAACTGATAAATAATTTACAGTGTTTTACTTGTTATATCAGTATTAAAATAACTGGTTTTTCAGCAAAAAACTTTAGTGGAGGTCATTGCAAGAAGACTATATCAGATAGGGAGCTAAAAAGTAATTGACAAATACACAAAAGTCACCGTTTTATTCTATACAGAAGAAAATATGTTCCTACTATGTATTATAGAGGGAGCATCTGAACCTATTCCCCACCTGGCTTCCTTCTGTTTGACTCCTTCCTATATTTTTTTCTGCTGCCTCCATTGGGAAGAATTGTTAATCTGATAGTTAGTGCTGAGTCCTTGTGGGGCCACATTTTATACAGCACAGGATCCACCTTCAGGTCAGGATCCATTTCCATCCTTTTTCTTTCATCTTCCTGTTTTAGACATTGGCTGGGCCCAGTCCAGCAAGGGAGGCTGCTTTTTCTCTTTTTCTAAATCTACCTGGCTAGGTGAGAACTTGGACTAAGTCTGTCAGCCTAGGCCATTCTTTCTCTGAATAGTACCCTGAACATCACTCAGATGGGCCTATTCCAAAATGTGGAGGAACTACATGAGGCCAGATTACATGGCAAGCCTAAACTGCATGATGCATGTTAGACATTTTGAAATACCTGTTATTGTTATTGTGCTAGTGAAGTCACCCATTAAAATGTAACTTCTTCTGATAACATCTATAGTGTGTATAATTTCCTCAGGAATCCTTAAACATAAGGATCAGATGACAGGGAAATAATTTGGTGATATCTCTTATGTGACCTCAATATCATGATAATATCAAAACTTTACCTACGCCTCTTAATATATTTCTTCCTGTTCACAATATTAGTACCAAATTTATTATCCATGATTATACCCTTTGTATTACTTTAGCATCTTTCATGTACATTTCTCATTTTGAACTAATATCTGATAATTAGTGCTTTCCCAAGAGCTACATTTCCAGGAAGGAAATTTCTATAATTGGATTATTTATAGACTTTAACAGCCTCTTTTGGTAGTTTTCCATACCGTAAGGAACTTTATCTATCCTTCTGTGGATCTTGGCAAGGGCTGATGCAATTACATTGGCCCTTTCTTCAGACATGTTGCTGATCATTGACCCCAGAGAAAACACCACAACACCATTTTCTCCAGAGCTCTGGATAAATTCTTCCATTTCCTGTGAAAAAAGAATTTGTTCCATCACAAAAGAGTAACAGCACAGCAGGCACTACTGAAAGAATTGGTACAAATTACTAAAGAGAGAAAATCAAGTATTATCAGGAATTATTGGAGGAAATTATGTCTTTTAACTGACCCAATCATTCAGTTTCTTATCAAGAAGATGTATAATATGAGATAGGTAGCCTCTACTAAGTGTGTTTATGTAAATATGTGTGTGTGCATGTTTGTGTGTGTGTGTAAGAGAGAAATGAAATGGAGCTATTACATAGTAGTCAGGGAGATAATGTTAGAAAACACTATACCCAGACTCTTCACTTATAATTTTACAGTTACTAATATAGGTTCTTGGAAAGTGGCACTACTTGGCTTTAATTCTATATTGTCATTCTACTAAATCACATATCTTTATTTCAGGCAGGTTTTCTTATTGGGGGAAACAGCCCCCAATATTTCAATGTAGATTCTTTTCTATTTTCCCTAAGTATCAGCCAGTCTGAGAAATAAAGGGAAAGAGTACAAAAGAGAGAAATTTTAAAGCTGGGTGTCCGGGGGAGACATCATATGTTGGCAGGTTCCGTGATGCTCCCTGAGCCACAAAACCAGCAAGTTTTTATTAGTGATTTTCAAAGGGGAAGGAGTGTACGAATAGGGTGTGGGTCACAGAGATCACACGCTTCAAAGGCAATAAAATATCACAAGACAAATGGGCAGGGCAAGGTCACAAGGCCAGGGTGAAAATAGAATTCCTGATGAAGTTTCATGTCCCACTGGGCACACATTGTCATTGATGACACATTATCAGGAGACAGGGTTTGAGAGCAGACAACCAGTCTGACTAAAATTTACTAGGCAGGAATTTCCTAATCCTAATAAGCCTGGGGGCACTACAGGAGACCAGGGCTTATTTCATCCCTTATCTACAACCATATAAGACAGACACTCCCAGAGCAGACATTTTAGCCCCGCCCCCCCCAATGCATTCTTTTCCCAGTGCTGTTAATTATATTCCTTACTAGGGAAAGAATTCAGTGATATTTCTCTTACCCGTTTTTGGTAATAAGGGAAACATGCTCTGTCCTGCCTGGCTCCCAGGCAGTCAGACCTAATGTTTATCTCCCTTGTTCCCTGAACATTGCTGTTATCCTGTTCTTTTTTCAAGGTGCCCAGATTTCATATTTTTCTAACACACATGCTTTACAAACAATTTGTGCAGTTAATGCAATCATCACAGGGTCCTGAGGCGACATACATCCTCAGCTTATGAAGATACTGGTATTAAGAGATTAAAGCCAGGTATAGGAAATTATAAGAGTATTGATTGGGGAAGTGATAAATGTGCATGAAATCTTCACAATTTATGTTCTTCTGCCATGGCTTCAGCTGGACCCTCTGTTCGGGGTCCCTCACTTCCTGCAACATTTTCTATAGAATTGTTTTAGTTTGAAGCTATCAATGGTTTTCTTCCCTAACTATAAACACTGAGGAAACGTTACTCACAGTTGGGGTGATTTTTTGTCTACATTTATCTTCCTCTGTAATCCTTTACACTTCACTAAAATTTTGTCAGAGTTTCCCAGTTTTTTTTCAAAAAAGAAAAAAAGTAACAGTAAAAAGTGGTGGTTAAGAATCACTGACATTCTGGAGTCTGGTTGTGGTTTGGAATTTCTATGAATTAGTACTGAGAGTCTCATTTATAATACTGAATTGTACAGTATATAGTTAGATAGTTGAATGATCATATTTTTCAGGTGATTCTTTAGGTGGAATAACTTTTCCCTGAAATCACACTGTTAAATTGATGTTCTATTTATAACTGCCTGTGAGGAACTCTCATTGTCACTTTGTTGTGTCTCAGAGGCAGCAGCACTTGCACCATAATGGGAGAGGCCACCAGCGCTTTCCACAGGGGAGATCTGGTCACCCTCATGAGTAGCTCACTCACACTACACTTCTTGGTGAAGATGTACTTGGCTAAAATTGATTGATATTTACTCTGATTTGCTTTCTCCAATCTATGCCAATATTTAAATTTAAAAACTTTCAGTTTTAATCATTAGGGTAAAACTTTTTTGAACTGCTGTTTATAAAACAAAGAAAAAAATCCAAATATTGACTGTGAAGACCATATATTGCTGTATTTTTTTTCAAATATGATTTTTAATCTTAAGACATCAATGTTAATGTGAGAGTCATTGTACTACTATTCCAGATAATACATGGGGCATCTAGACATTTTGTGTGATTGCAGTTACCTGTTGCCACATTTACTGTAACTCGTGTTCAGGGTTTACTCTCACTGGCTTGATGCCCAGAGCCTTCTTCATCCACCCAGTGTTGAAGTAATCTAACTTCTGTTTACTGATTCATCACTGATGTGGACTGGTTGTTTCAGACTCTGTGACAACTTCATAAAAATAATACAAAATCACTGTAAGTAATTTAACAAAAGTATGAAAAGTTTCATAAAGAAAAGGAAATATTTCTAAAATTTCTATCTAGAGATATTACCAATGTAAAATATGTATATTCTCATCATGGCTTTTATTCTATTTACACATGTACACTCATGACATTTATTTAGAAAGTTTTAACCTTATTGTATATACATTTTCCTCTTACAAAAAATTTGTCATCTTGTTATATTTATCATTTTCTACTACACTTTACTCGCATTATGGCTCACAGTGTAATTGAATATTTGATTGATAAAATTATTGTAAGGCTATAGTATGCATATAGTATAAGTTTTTAGTCATTCCTTCATTTAAGATGTTGGATTATTTCCAATGTGAATTTTATGAATATTTTCCATAAATATTAAATGTGCACATCTTAATTCATTTTTTTCTCAGTATGATTACATGAAACTATATTATTAAACCAATGATTATGTGCATTTTTAAATCACTAGAAATATTTTGCCAAATGTCTTTTTCTCTTAAAATATAGACATATATTATGAGAATCTAATATTTAATTTAAAAGAAAACAACTTGGGTTAACAATTATTCTACATAATAAACAATTAGAGAACCAATTTTACAACCATTGACTTGCATTCAAATCTTTCTGCAAGTTAATAACAACAGCTACTATTAGTAATTATCACTATTATACTACTAGTCATCCTTTTTCTTATCCTTCTACACCTCCTATTCTCTTCCCCCTCCTAGTGGCACTATCACTTTCCCTTAATATGAATAGGGAAATCTTTCAATAGTAGGGTAGGGTGCCATAGAATTTTTATTAGTCTTACCTCAGCTTTTGTCTCTTTAGAAAGTCATAAAGCACATACAATTCGCATTCAACATAGATATTGTATTTTACCCATGGAATAAATTCTCAGTTTTATGTAGACAAAAATCTTAAGAGATTACTTAATAATGTATTAAAGAATGCTTACTTTCTACCTATGTCTTAAAAGTATGATACTAATTTAAAATGCATGAGGTTCTTGTGTTCCTTTACAAAGAACATCATCTTCTAAGTAGACAGAATTCTTTAATTATGGTAAACTAAGTTTACTACTATTCAGATACAAGTGATAGAAATTATTTGGCCTTTATAATACGTGCATCATTCATTTTCTCCATGCTTCTCTGTAGGGAGCTTTGGCGTCTAGACACAAGTTCAACCAGGATGCTGTACTAAGTTGCTTGTCATAAGGCTGAAAACACCTGCTCTAATAGGGCATGTTTCTGTTCTAAGATGTAAACGTCAGATATCTCAGTGTAGAATGAGTTACATCCTTGAGTGAAATCAAGTGAACACTGGGTTTGGCTGCAAATATTATTAAGGATACACATTTATATTGTTGAGTAACTATTTTCTTTTTAAGATAGAATACTTAAAATCCTCATAACTTACAGTAGAATTTTAGAATGTCAACTTACGCATCTTACTAGCAAAACTAGTATGCCTACTTTTATTCAAGTCCACAATATATCTGTCCTCCACGACTTTTCAAGAGAACATAATCTTGATGTGCTGAACAATCTGGTTCTATTAAATGAAGAATGGTATCTCAAGTGACTTGCACATGTTAAGTAATTAATAGTGTTAGTAATCATAACAAAATAACCATAATTGCAAAATTAATATTTCTGAATCACTGACTATATAACAGAGAGATTTTAAGTGTTTTGTGTGTATTAACATTTTTTCCACAAAACACAATATGAAGTGGGTACTATTACTGCAAATGTAGGCATAATTACTTCTAGTCCAACATTCTAATCCACTTTTCCATCATCTGCTACCAGATTCCATGCAAAATTTCCCAAATGGTCTGCTCTTTCTTTGTTTCTTTTTTTTTAAATAACCTTATCATATATCTTCATTTCCTAACTCTTTTTAGTAGTCCCCAAAGGTGCTTAATAAATATTTTAACTCCTAATAAGTATCAGGCTCTAACTTGTCTCTCAGCATCATCTGATTCTCACTCAGCCTGTCCCTGCAAACTAAACTTGGAGTCTTGAGAACTTTCCTGAACACTTTACCTTTTTTTCTTTTTGTGTTTTCTGCCCTCCTCATTATTTCACCAATTTCTGCACATTGTTCAGCTGTCAGCTTCATTATCAGTGCGTCCAGGATACTTTCTATTATCTCCACTGATGCTATCTTGGCATGAGATAATAGCTTTTGCACAATTTTTATTACTTATACATATTCTATCTTTTGAAATAGAATGTAATGTGTGTGGGGACAGAAACTGTGTCTATTTTTTTTCCTCTTGCCTGTGGTTTTTGTTAAACTTTTATAAACATTCTCTTAATGAATGACCAATACCTTCTTACGTGTTGCATAATCAAGGCTTTAATTTAACCAACCCTATTTTCAAAGTCTCCTTAGTATCCCTCTGTATCTATAATAATGATGAAACTCACGTACTTGTGATGGTATCGATAAATCAACAAGTACAAGAGTTCCTAATTGCTATCTGCTTTACCCCACCCACTTCCCATCTTTCTTTCTAAGTCAGACACTCTGCAGGAAGACGGTAGAGTCATTCCTACTAAAAATTCAAAGCTAACAAAACCGAATCAACAAAATTATCTTTACCTTAGGTAGGGGTTTGGTAGATTTGCAGTGGAGTCCTCCAACAAATTCAACATTTGGTAAGAGTGGATGAGGAAATTGAAAATTCCAGGAGTTTTGAATAAGCCATATGTATGTCAGCTTTCTCCATTGTCTCAGATAAGGTAGTGGGTCTTCCTGAGAGGAAAAATGAAAGAAAAAGTGGATTACACAAGATAATTACATTAGGTAATTTTCTGAAAGGGATTAGAATAATGTAGGCAAAAATGTAGACCAAGTGTCTGTACTTTGAAATACATGAACATATATTCAAATATAAACATAATTTATTTTTTATGTATTATATATTTTGCCCTTGTGTATTTATAAGAAAAGCAAACTGATAAGAGAAGTTTGAGGGTAAACTACATCGCTAATGTCACATCGGAATACTCATAATCACAAACAATTATTAAAATAATCTATAGAGAAGTAAACATCCATTTCTTTACCCTTTAAAACTTCAATAGTAGCATATAAACATTTAAAAAACTCTTTGAGCTCCATGATCAACTAATTCTGCCTAACCCATAAAAATAATTTTCTGAGAAATAGTCTAGTTTCCGCAGTTCATTAAGCTAATCTTTTTATCTTTGGTTATTCAAGTGAACTGTGGGCTATTTTGAGAGTGTGGCTGAAATCCTTGTACCAACTACTGCTTTTGATTTATGCTAAGGTATTAACCATATTAGCTTTTAAGTAAATATATTTGAAAATTACAGCTAGAAAATTTTGAGAAATTATTCAAATAGAGATTTGTATCCAACCTTAATTTGGCTTATATTTTGTAATAAACATAGTATTTTTTTAAAAAAACTATATAGATAGAAAAATGTTCAGACTTCAATAAGATGATTAGTCTTAAAATGAATAATTTCCAATCTTTTAGTGAAGGAATGTGGAGACATTAGAAACTACAAATTGCCCTTATTGGTTTTTGCATTTGAGACAGAAGCACTATTTCTCTCAACTGTGAAGGAAACCTTCTGGTAACATGGGGACATATTTTAATTTCAGAATAAAGAAACTGCGGTGTACAAGGAAAAACAATTTCTGCAATGTTACATAGATAGTTGTGGTAGAAAATTGTGTAACTACTCAATATACATGTATGCATTCAGTAAGATGTTTGTGGACGGGTCCGACTTTTTTAAGATAAAAATATGTATAGTAAAACAGATGTGTGATTGTTTAAAGAAATATTAGGTGCACTAATTTACAGGTTTATGACTTCCTAGAATGTTCTGTATTAGCAATGGCCACAGGGTTTTAACTGAACTTATAATTTAAGCTTTTCTATAATATTTGTGCAATTGATAGATCATCTTGTGTTTTCATTTCATAAATTCACTTACGAAATACTCCACTACCAGCTGGGCGTGGTGGCTCATGCCTGTAATCCCAGCACTTTGAGAGGCTGAGGCAGGTGTATCACTTGAGGTCAGGAGTTTGAGACCAGCCTGGCCAACATGGTGAAGCCCCATCTCTACTAAAAATACAAAAAATTAACCAAGTGTGCTGACACATGCCTGTAATCCCAGCAGTGAGTTTAGATTGCACCACTGCACTCCAGCCTGGAAGACAAAGAAAGTCTCCACCAAAAAAAAAAAAAAAAAAAAAGGACCCTGACTTTATTGCTTTATAGAAGCTCAGCTTCAAAGGCACAGGAAAGTTAGATCTCCATATTACCAACTGAAAAAATTACTTAGGTAAAACTTCACTGGAAAACTGATCCCACTTCTTCATATTAAATATTTGGTTGGAACCAAAATTGAAAATAAACCAGATAGATCATATATTTTTACCCTCTCTATGAAAGTCATTTGGTCACTTAATTCTGACATAACAACAGGTATGTAGGAAGGCAGAAACAGAAATCCTACATTGTGCTTTTCAAGTGTGTAGCCAGCAGAGAAGTGGAGACTGTACAGGAAGGGTATGTTAAATAGCTCAGCCAGCAGCTCACCACAGGGAATAATAGCATCTGCAAGAACAACATCAAATTTTAACTTTTGTAGTTTTTTCATAAGTTTATTATTTTAAACTACATCCTTACAGAACTTTCTAAGTATGTCATTAAATGTCCACATGATTTCTTGTACTTGTGAAAAATATGACCAAAACGTGCCTTTTGGAAGGGCTGCCCATCTCTTGACTAGTTGCATGATGATGTCCTCCAACTCAGTTTTAGTTAAAGATGCAGGATAAACTTAAGTTTAAGAGTAGGTAGGCTGTTGGGATCAAACAAATGGAAGCTGAAAATGCCAGTACAGGCACTTCATGCGCCCTCTGGACAAGCTCATCCAGGATTGTCTTTACATTCATCCAATGGCTGAATGCTGTGGGCCACACCAGCACCTTTCCACAACTTCCAGAGCTAATGTAACAGCTCAGCTGTATCAGCAGCAAAATTGAAGTCCATTTCATACACATCCTGGTGCAATGCAATGCTTTTTTCCATTTGCTGTTTCTTTCTGTCATTTATTATGGTTATATCCATGGATAAATCAATCACGAAGTTCAAATGTAACTTTTACACTTCAAAGGAAATATATTATCATTAGATTAACAGTCTGAGCATGTAGATGGCAAGGAGATAAATGAAGGTAGATGATCTATTTACACAAGTGTGTTTAATGTCCCTTTATGTTTATAAGTGCTATCTTTGAGCTAATATCAATGTTCTTGTATGGACACATCACTTGTCTTATGTAATTTATTTTAGAAAAGTTTCCAGAAACATAGTCATGAGAGGTCCATGTTTGTGCATTTTGTTTGACACAGAACTAAAGATAAAATAACAAAACATGGTTCAAATAATTTTTTGTATATTTTGTTTACATATAATTTATATACCACACAGCACCTTCAACTGAGGCATGGTGTGCAGTGCAGGCTGCCATTTTTGCTGTTTGTGCAAGTTAGCTGTCCTGCCCTTCGAGCTTTGGAGAGTCCAAATGTACATTTAGTGGAAGGAATTCCCCAGTTGCTGCACATCTGCTCTATAAAAACATGGCCAGACTGCTTCTTTAAGCAGGTACCAGATCCTGTTCCTCCTCACTGGGTGGGACTTCCCAACAGGGGACTCCAACCACTCCCACCAGTGTTCTTGTGTCTACAGAGATTTGAAAACTCCCTGTGACAGAGCTCCCAGAGAGAGTTATGGGCCGGCATCTTTGCTGTTTGAGTGACTTATCAATTCCAGTCTGTAAGCTTTGAAGAACCCATTCTGACTGGGGTGAAAATGATACACCAGAACAGCACAGCAGCCATATAAAAATGGGGCCAGACTGCTTTTTTAATTGAGTTCCTGACCCTCGTCCTCATTACTGGGTGGAGACTCCCAACGGGGATTTTTGGCTACCATCACTGGTATTCACAAGCTGACAGAGGTTCCAGGCATCCCTGGTAAAGAGACCCAAGGGGGCAGGGCAGGCTGACATCTTTGCTGTTTGGGCAACTTAGCCATTCCAGCCTTCTAGCTTTGGAGTGTCTGAGGCAACCGAGGGCTGAAGTGTACCCCCAGCAAAGCACAGCTGCTTTATGAAAATGTGGCTAGACTACCTTAAGCAGGTCCCTGATACCATTCCTTCTGACTAGGGGTCAGATCTCCCAAGTGGGGTCTCCAGCCACCTCTTAGAGGTATGTTTGTGGCAGAAACAGGTCCATATCTCCCTGGGATGGAGCTACCAGAGAAAAGGGCAGGCTGCCGTCTTTCCTGTTTCTCAGCCTTCACTGGTGATACCTCCAGGTACTAAAAAATCTGAGGTGAATAGTGACTGGAGTGGCCCCTAGCATAACACAGCAGCCCTACAGAAAAATGATCAGAGTGTAATGTGGTTGCCTGCTCCTGTATGTCCTCATCATGCAGATCTTCCAGGCCTGGGTCTCTAGCCAACACCTGCCCAATCTATCCAGCTAGTAGCAAATTGGCAACTCCTTGGAGAGAGCCACTGGGGCAACAGAAAGCCTCTCAGCCACTGCATCTGCAGTGAAACTTTCCTTGACTCCCTTGGACAAACAAAGGAGCAAAGACACTGAGCCATTGCTGGCTTGCATCTCTCTGAGATGAAGCCACAGGAACAAACAAAGTAGCAAAGCAGCAAGCCAACTGATGTGGATCCCAGAGCAGTGGGTGCAGGAGAATCTGTAGCAGTGTGGCCATCTCTGTAAGTTCAACTTTCATGAATAAGAGACCCTAGCCCTTGGGTAACAGTCAGACCTGATCCCTGCATGGTGATCCTGCACATCAGATGAGGCTGGTCTGATTTGAGACTCCTTGATCTTCTACCCTCAACTGGGGCCCCAGCCTTGCCATGCCTACTTACAGGGCAGCCAGAAACACACCATAGTTTCTGCAACAGAGGACCAGGCCTGACTGACAGAGAGTTCCAGTGACGCAGTCCCTACAACTGTGTACCAGTCTGCATGTTCCTTCCCATACTGCAGCTTCGACTGAGCCTCTCCCCTGAGAAACTCCTCACACCACTTTGCTGAGTGCATGTCTGCATGGGTGGATTTTGCTGTACTTGACCCACCAGCACACAGGAGTGCAGTGCATCCCTCCATGACCCCCCATCACATTCACTCAAATCACACTGATAGCCTTTGCAGCATTGCAAAGAGAGCTTTGATGGGCACAGAACCAGAAATCCCTGTCAAGCCAGTGCCCACCTTTTTCTGATGCTGCATAGAGGACAGGGGATCCTTCCATACCCTGAGTGATCACTTCTGCTTGCAGGGCACAGAGAAGGCACCCAGACTTGTGCTGGCAATCACCCCACCCTAAACAAACACCACCTCCCATGTAACGTCACACAGTCTCCAGCAGGGGTCTTCCATTCCCCTTCCAACTGCTTTGCTTCTGCCACTGTTGTGAACACTCAGAAAGAGGCAGACACTCCTGCACTCACTAGCACTCTGCTGCACTTGTTGCACCTTCATCACCTTAGTGCAGTAGACTTAAAGCCTTGAAAAGCCAGAGAACAAAGCTGGGGCTCAATGCAAGTCCATCAGAGTTAAAGCATACGGTCCAGGAGTTGGGAACTGAACTCTGCCCCCTCTACAAACAATGTCAGTTGGCTGAATCCACCTTATATCACAAACAAACCTTCAAGGCAATCAAATAGAATAAAAGAAAAAAAAATCCAAAGGCCAGCAACCTCAAAAATTGAAGGCAGATAAGCCCACAAAAATAAGAGAGAATCAGTGCAAGAACAGTGAAAACTCAAAAAGACAGAGTGCATTTTTTCATCCAAATTACAGCATCATCTCTCCAGCAAGGGTTTAGAACTGGGCTGAGGCTAAGATGGCTGAAATGACAGAAGTAAAATTCAAAACAGGGATATAAACAAAGTTTACTGTGCTAAATGAGTATATTGTAACCTAATGCAAGAAAGCTAAAAATAATAATAAAACATTGCAGAAGCTAACAAAGTAGCCTGTAAAGAGAAAATGTAACTGACCTCATAGAGTTGAAAAGAACACCACAAGACTTTTATAATGCAATCACAAATAAAAATTGAAAAATAATAGCAAAATAAACCAACTGAAAAAAAAATTATGAGAGCTTTAAGACAGGCTTCATGAAATAAGACAGGCAGGCAATAATATAGAAAAAAGAATAAAAATGAATGAACAAAACCTCCAGGAAATATGAGATTATGTGAAAAGAATGAGTCTATGAGTATTTGGTGTATCTGAAACAGATGGAGACAATGAAATCAACCTGGAAAGTATATTTCAGGATATCATTCATGAGAACTTTTCCAATCTAGCTAGAGAGGCCAAATTTAGAAATGCAGAAAACCCCAGTGAGATAATCAATGAGAAGCTCATCCTCAAGACAAATAATTATCAGATTCTCCAAAGTCAAAATAAAAAAAAAACATGTAAAAGACAGCTAGAGAGAAAGGCCAAATTACCTACAATGGGAAGCTCATCAGACTAACAATGGACTTCTCAACTGAAATCCCGGAAGCCAGGAGAGATTGGTGGCCAATATTCAACATTCTTATAGAAAAGAAATTGCAATCTAGAATTTCATATCCAGCCTAATAAAACTTCATAAGCAAAATAAGAACCTTTTCAGACAAGCAACAGCTGAAGAAATTGGTTACCACCAGACCTGCCTTGCAAAAATTTCTGAAGGAAGCACTGAATATCGGGGGGGTGGGGGGTGGGGAAAGAGCGTTACCAGCCTTTACAAAAGCATACTGAAGTACACATACTAGTGACACTGTGAAGCAAGCACATAAACAAGTCTGCAAAATTGCTTGATAACATCATTATGACAGGATCAAGTCCACACATATCAATATTAACCTTAAATACACATGGGCTTAATGCCCCTATCAAAAGACACTGAAGGGCAAGCTGATTATAGAACCAAGAACCATTGATATGCTGTGTTCAAGAAACCCATCTCACCTGCAGTGACATATATAGGCTCAAAATAAACCAATGGAAAATAATCTAACAAGAAAATGAAAAAAAAAAAAAAGCAGCAGTTGCAATTCTAACTTCTTACTAGACAGACTTTAAACCAACAAAGATAGAAAAATGACATAGAAGGTTGCTACAGATGTATACGATTAAGATGATGAAAAGGAGGCAGAACT
Source organism: Homo sapiens (assembly GCF_000001405.40). Taxonomy (NCBI): domain Eukaryota; kingdom Metazoa; phylum Chordata; class Mammalia; order Primates; family Hominidae; genus Homo; species Homo sapiens. Next base: position 69,023,643 of record NC_000004.12, on the reverse strand, counting down.
AGTTTGCAGCTTCTACTCGAATGGATAGAGCAGTGTGTTGGGACTCATGTCATGAACTGTTTCTCCAAGGATTACAGCAGGAACACACCAGGAAAGCTGAGAAAATTCACAGACTCTCTGAAGGAACTGGATCACCACTGCAGGCTCCCTGAGATGCTGAAAAACTGAGTCTGCTTGCTTTCTAGGTGAGGAGGCTTGTGGTTAGCCCTTCAGAGTTGGTCCAAATTGAAATGAGGAGAATGGGCCTTTAGAGTCCTACACGTGACCAGGCATTGGATATGGGCTGTGTTGGAAAAGTCACTACATGCTAGATAGCTTTCAGCAGAGATGTACTGAGAGAGAGCTTATAGGTGAGGTATGTCAGTGTTTAATCACTTCATCAGCTGGAAAGTAATTTCTATATTACCAAAAGGGAAATCTGGGTGACACATAATGCATGCACTCAAGGACATTAAAAATATTGAGCAATATTGCCACTCTGCTGGCAATATTTGCTCACAAACTGTGTTCAAAAATCCTTTTAAGAAAGATTTACTTCATTTCAGGTTAACAGATTATTAATAGAATAAAAACAAATTTCTCTATTTTGTGACATGCATCTTTTCCTTCCTAATTCTACTTTGATGTAAATTTCTGGTGAGACTTTTTAAAGTAGAACTTACCTGAATTACAAGGCAATCTGTGAAACAAGTTCAGTAGTAGGCGTTTAGAAGATAAATACTTTCTAAGACTGAGAAACTAAGCAATGTTGCAAATATTCAGAAAAGGAAAATATTGTGATTTAGACAAAATATTTTCAAATGAAGCAAAGTAACTGTAATTGTACTTAAAACATATCTGTTTGGATAAAAATAAAAGGAATTTCTACTGTCAGAAAAACAATGTCAAGGAACATGAAATGAAGCTAATATAATAAGTGTGAAACTATATAGAGAAAATGAAGATGGTCTATTTGAGAATGTTTAGATAAATAAGAATAGATCACATCACTGCCTCATTGTTGACAGAATGATGCTTTCTTATACTAGAAACTCTTTATATACAACTAAATTATCTCTTGTTCTGGAGACAGCCACATTTACAATAAGACTGAAATTTATTATTCACACATACAAACACAAAATCATTCATCCTTTTCTTTATTCTCTTGCTTTCCAAAACCTCTATTGTCAACACTTAAATCATTATGACATTGATTGACATTGATATGTACCAAGTTAGGGAAAGTTATAAAGAAAGATAGCATTTTAACAGTTGTCTAAGAAATGGGCTTTTTTGTTTCTTATGCTGACCGTTGTATTCCAGCTCTGAGTCCCATGAGAATGTGCTGGTGTGGCCAGTGAAATACAGTCTTTATATCAATTTAATAATGATACTTGATGAACTTGCTCAGAAACACCATGAGGTAACTGTGCTTGTCACCTTCAGCTTCCATCCTCATTGATTCCAACAATTTGCTGTTAAATTTGAGGTTTATCCCACATCTTTTACTGAGAATGAACTTGATTTCATTTTTATGAAATTGATCAAGATGTGGACATACAAGTTCCCAAAGAGTACATTGTTGGCATATGATTCAAAGATGCAAAAAACACATATTATGAATGTTCTGATACTGTTCAAAAGCTCTGTGAGTATGCTGTTTTGAACAAGAAACTTACAAGGAACAACAAGATTCCAGAATTTATGTCATTCTTGCAGATGTCATTTCTCATTAGTGAGCTGCTATCTGAACAGCTTAATCTGTTAAACATTTCTTATACATTTGGTCTACTATCATCCATTTACAACTGGCAGTATGTACCAAGAACTCTGTGGAAGACTTTCATTACCTCCTTCTGATGTAACTGTTGTCATATCAGAACTTAGTACCAAAATACATTTATAGAAAGGTGAAAAATCTTTTCCATTTTCTTCATTTTGACTTTGCATTTGAGACTTTTAACAAAAAGAAGTGGAATCAGTTTTACAGTGAAGTATTAGGTAAGTTAGTGTTTAATTTATTCACTTTTCCTCCAATATGTGGAAGGAAACTTTCCTTTCTTTGTGTCTGTTAGAGTGTGTTTATGAATTAAAATAAAAAATAACCTTTTTTGTTATTTGAAAGACAAGGTTTGGCAAGTTGGTGGAGACACTGAAACCCTCAAACATTGTTGGTTGAGAATAGAAAATTATTCACCCACTGTGAAAAAGTCCAGCAATTCCTCAAAAGGTTACACATATATTTACCACACAATTCAATAATTGCCTTTCTAGACATATACCCAAGAAAAATAAAAACATGCCCAAAGAAAGCATGTACATCAATGTTAATCAATGCTATTCATAACGGCCAAAAGTGGAAGAAAATCAATGTCCATCCACTGATAAATGAATAAATAAATTGTGTTTATAAGTAGCATCTGATACTATTTGGCAATAAAAATATCAACGCTATGCATAATGGCCAAAAGTGCAAGAAAATCAATGTCCATCCACTGATGAATGAATAAATAATTTGTGGTTATAAGTAGCATCTGATACTATTTGGAAATAAAAATGAAATCCTTATATACACTATTCTATGGATGGTCCTTTAAAAACATTAAACTAAATAGAAGAAGCCAGCCACAAAAGACCACATATTATATAGTTTCATTTATTTTTAAAAAGATCCTGAATAAGCATATTTGTAGAGGCAGAAATTAGATTATTGGTTGCCCAGTGCAGGGTGGATGCAGAAATTCAGGTGGGGAGATGATATTTAATATACAGGACTTTTTTTAGATAAAACTGATTGTTATGTTGGATGCACAAGTCTGTGAACTTACTTGGAAATATTTAATTTTATATAATAATTGATGAATCATATGGTAAGTGAATTATACTTCAACAAAGTTTTACAAGATATTCCTTGAACCACGATATTCAAAAATTCTATTTGCATTGTATAATTACTTCATCTCTTATTCTGTGTCAAGGGGCCTGCAGGACTCTCTCACTTGCCACTGTTCTTGACACTATTACAAAATACATTATATAAAACAGGATACTTGCAAGGTCATTAAACTTAGGTGGATGACAGCAAATATAAACATAAAAGAAACATCAAACATTCTTGAGTAAATATGAAGTAATCGAACTTTGTCTCCTTGCCATCCATGTACTCAGGATGCTCATATAATGTATTTACTTTGAATTGAAGGAGTTATGTTTTAACTTGATTGATTTTTCTCTGTATATAAGTATGAGAAAGAAACAGTGACTGGAAAAGAATTATCACATTGCACCAGGATGGCTCTGAAAGGAACTCAAACTTCAGTTCTTCTGCTGATACAACTCAGTTGTTACTTTAGCTCTGGGAGTTGTGGAAAGGTGCTGGTGTGGGCCGCAGAGTACAGCCCTTGGATGAATATGAAGACAATCCTGAAAGAACTTGTTCAGAGAGGTCATGAGGTGACTGTACTGGCATCTTCAGCTTCCATTCTTTTTGATCCCAATGACTCATCCACTCTTAAACTCGAAGTTTATCCTACATCTTTAACTAAAACTGAGTTGGAGAATATCACGATGCAACATTCCAAAAGATACATTTTGGTTATATTTTTCACAAGAACAAGAAATCATGTGGGCATATAATAACATAATTAGAAACTTCTGTAAAGATGTAGTTTCAAATAAGAAACTTATGAAAAAACTACAAGAGTCAAGATTTGACATCGTTTTTGCAGATGCTTATTTACCCTGTGGTGAGCTGCTGGCTGCGCTATTTAACATACCCTTTGTGTACAGTCACAGCTTCACTCCTGGCTACTCATTTGAAAGGCACAGTGGAGGATTTATTTTCCCTCCTTCCTACGTACCTGTTGTTATGTCAAAATTAAGTGATCAAATGACTTTCATGGAGAGGGTAAAAAATGTGCTCTATGTGCTTTATTTTGACTTTTGGTACCAAATATTTGATATGAAGAAGTGGGATCACTTTTACAGTGAAGTTTTAGGTAAGAATTTTTTCAATCAGTAACATGAAGCTCTAACTTCTTTGTGTCTTTGAAGCAGAACTTGTACAAAGCCATAAAGTCAAGGAAGTGGAGTTTTTGGTAAGTGAATTTATGAAATGAAAATACAAGATGGTCTATCAATCTCACAAATATTATAGAAAAGCTTAAATTATAGGGTCAGTGAAAATGCTGTGACCATCACTCATACACAACACCCCAGGAAATCATATACCTATATATTAGTACACCTAAGACTTTAAGCAATTACACATCTGTTTTATCATAGAATGTTTCAGACCTTAAAAACAGCAAGATCCATCAAGTAACATCTAACCAAATGCATAGATTTAGAATGAGTAATTACACATCTTTCTACAACTATCTATATAACTGCAAAAAATTTTCCTTGTAAACCTCAGTTGTCTTATTTAGAAATTAAAAGATGTTCCCATGTTATCAGGAGGTTGTCTTCACAGTAGAGAGAGATAATGTCTATATCTCAGATGCAAAAATCAATGAGGGTAATTTGAAGTTTCAAATGTTTCTATACTCCTTCACTAAAGAATTGGAAATCATTTATTTAAAGTCCAATCATCTCGTTGAAGTGTGAAAGTTGTCTTATCTATATAGTTTATTTGAAACTGTGTCTCTTTATTTAAAAATATGAGACAGATTAAGGTTGAGTACAGATTTGTTTCAATAATTTCTCAAAAATTTCTAGCTATAATTTATAAATATCTTTACTTAATATTATTAAGAAGTTAGCTTGAATCCAAATGAGTAGTTGGTACAATGATTTCAGCCATACTCAAAATAGTCCACGGTTAACTTGAAGAACCAAAGATAAAAGGATTAGCTTAATGATTTGTGTAAACTAGACTATTAGTTAGAAAATTTTTTTATGGTTACAGTAGAATTAATTGATTATGGAGCTCAAAGATTTTTTTAAATATCTAGAGGCTACTATTAAAGTTTTAAAGAGAAAATAAATTGATGTTTAATTCTCTATGACTTATTTTAATAATTGTGAGTATACTGACATGACATTAGAGATGTAGCTTAACCTCACAATTCTCCCACCACTTTGCCTTTCTTATAAATAAACATGGGCAAAATATAGAATACATAAAAAATAAATTATTCCTATATGTATATATTTTTCAAAGCATACAAACTTTACCTACATTTTTGCCTACATTATTCTAACTCCTTTCAGAAAATTACATAAAGTAATTATCTTATGTCATCCACTTTTTCTTTTCTTTATTCATATCAGGAAGACCCACTACCTTATCTGAGACAATGGGAAAAGCTGACATATGGCTTATGCGAAACTCCTGGAATTTTAAATTTCCTCATCCATTCTTACCAAACGTTGATTTTGTTGGAGGACTCCACTGCAAACCTGCCAAACCCCTACCTAAGGTAAACATACTTTCGTTGGTTTTATTTTGTTGGCTTCAAAGTTTCAGTAGAAATGACTCTATAGCCTTCATTCAGAGTGTTTGGTTTACATTGAAAAAAGATGGGAAGTAGGTGGGGTAAAGCAGATACCAATTAGAAACTCATGTACATGTTGATACCATCATAAGCATGTGAGTTTTATGCATATTACAAATAGGAATACTAAGGAAACTTTGAAAATAGGGTTGGTTAAATTAAAGTCTTGATTATGCAACATCTAAGAAGGCATTGGTCATTCATTCAAAGAATATTTATAAAGAGATTAGCACAAAACACAGGTAAGTGCAGAATTTTCAGAGAAAAAAAATAGACACAGTTTTCTGTCCCTACATACCTTACATTCTACTTTGAAATATAGAATATAAGTAAGTAATGAAAAGTATATAAAAATTATTTTCTCAAGGAAAAACCCAATGCTAAGAAAGCATCAGTGGAGATAATAGAAAGTATCCTGGAGTCACTGATGAGTACGATGAGAGCTGAACAATAAGCAGGAATAGGGAAAAGAATGACGGGGAGAGGCAGACAAAAAGGGAAAGCAGATAAAGTGGTCAGGACAGTTCTCAAGTCCTCAGGTTTAGTTTGCAGGGAATGATTAAGAATCAGACAATGCTAAGAGGTAAATTAGAGCCAGATACGTATTAGGAGTTGAAATATTTATTAAGAACATTGAAAAAGTCCAAAAAAAGAGTTAAGAAATAAGGATATATGAAATGATTCTCTTTTTAAGAAAAGGCTCCAAGATATTCAATGGATTAAATTGCAGAAGGGCCACACTGTAAAGACCCAAACATTCAGGAAATTTTCCATGAATTCAGGTAGCAGATGATGGAAAAGCGGACTAGATTGTTGATAGAAATAATTATGCCCACATTTACACAAATAGTGCCAACTTCATATTGTGTTGTGTGGAAAAAATATTAACACAGACAAAACACTTAAAATGTCTCTGGCACATAGTCAGTGACTCAGAAATGTTGTTAATTTTGCAATTATGATTATTTTGTGATTATTACTAATACTACTAACTACTAAACATGTGAAAGTCACTTGAGATATCATTCCTCATTTAAGAGAACCAGATTATTCAGCACATCAAGGTTATATTCTCTTGCAAAGTCATAGATGACAGATACCCTGTGGACTTGATTAATAGTAGACATACCAGTTGTGACAGTAAGATAAGCTAGTTGAAATTCTAAAATTCTTCCATAAGTAATAGGATCTTCACCAGCATTCCAGCTTAAAACACTTCCTCAACAATATAAATGTATGCCTCAAATATGTGCAAACACAGGGTTCACGTGATTTTAATAAAGCATTTAAATCATTCTGCATTGAGATCCCAGAATTTCACATTTTAGAGCATAAACATACCCTATTAGAGCAGATGATTTCTGCCTTATGACAGGCAACTCAGTAAGGCTTCCTGGGGGAACTCGTCTTGACATCATAGGTGACTGACAGAGATGCACAGAGATAATGAACAATGCATGTATAATAAAGACCAAATAATTTCTACCACTTGTGTCTGAATAGTGCCCTTAGTTTCAATATGAAAAAAAAATTCCGTCAGCGTATAAGATTATATTCTTTTTGAAGGAATAGAAGAACCTCATATATTTTAAATTAACATCACATTTTAAGACATATGTACAAAGAAGGCTTCTTCAATGCATTATTATGCAATCTCTTAAAAGATCATTTTTGCTTGCATAAAACTGAGATTTTATTCCATTGTTAAAACTCAGTATCTATGTTTAATGCAAATTGTATGGGCTTTATATAGTCAGTTTCTCAAGAGTCAAACGATGAGGTAAGACTAATGAAAAATATATACCACTCTACCCTACTCTTGAAAGATTTCCCCACTCACACTAAGGGAAACTGATAGTGCCAGTAGAAGGAGGAAGAGAGTAGCATGTGTAGAAGGACAAGAAAAAAAGGTTGACTGGTAGTACATTAGTGGTAATTACTAATACTAGCTCTTGTTATTAACTTGCAGAAAGCTTTGAATGCAAGTCAATGGTTGTGAAACCAGTTCTTTAATTGTTTATTATGTAAAATATTTGCTAACCCAGGTTGCTTTCTTTTCAATTATATATTAAATTCTCAGATAATTTCTATATATTTTAAGAGAATAAGACCCTTGATGAAATGTATCAGGTGTTTTAAAAATACATATTGTTATTAATTTTATAATATAGTCATGTGAAATTAAAAAATTAATCAAGATGTACCTATGAAACATTATGGAAAATATTCACAAAATTAACATTGGAAGTAATCCAACATCTTATATGAAATAATGATTAAAAACTTATGTGCCTATGATAGCACTAAAATAATTTTATCAATGAAATGTTCAATTACGCTGTCAGCCATAATACAAATACAGTGAATTAGAAAATGATAAATATAACAAGATGGTAAGTTTTTGCAGGAGAAAATGTATATACAATAAGATTAAAATTTTCTAAATAAGTGTCACATCTGTACATTGACCTATATAAATAGGACAAAATCCATAATAAAATAATACATATTTTCTATAAATAATATCTCTAGATAGAAATTTTAGAAAAAACTATTTTAAAAAATCTTTTCATACTTTTATAAAATTTATTACATTAATTTTGTATTATTTTTATAATATTATCACAAAAGGAGAAACAACCAGTCAATATCAGTGAGGAATCTCTACACAGAGGTTAGATTCCTTCAACACTGCACAGAAAAATAAGGCTCTGGCATCAAGCTAGTGAGGTGAAACACTGAACACGAGTTACATTAAATGTGGCTACAGGTAACTGCAATCACACACAATACCTAGATGCCCCAAGTATTATGTGGAATAGTACAGGGACTATCATGTTAACTTAAGATTAAAAATCATATTTTAGAAAAAGCTCTATAATATGTGGTGCACAGTTAATATTTAGACACTTTTTTCTTTGTTTTGTTAAAAACCATTTGGAAAAGTTTTACCCCAATGATTAAATCTGAAAGTATTTAAATTTATATATTGGTATACATTGGGGAACTCAAGTCAGAGTAATTCTCAATCAGTTGCAGCCAAGCACATCTTCACCAGGAGTGTAATGTGGTGTGCGTGAGCTACTCAAAAGAGAGACAAGATCCCCCTGCAGAAAGGCCTGGTGGCCTCTTCTATTCTGGTGCCAGTGCTGCCTCTGAGACACAACAAAGTGATGATGAGAGTTCCTCACATGCAGTTAGAAATAGCACATCAATTTAACAGTGTGATTTCAGGGCAATAGGTGTTCCACCTGAACAATAACCTGAAAAATACAGTTATTCAACTACTAACTACAAACTGTACAATTCTGTATTATAAATGAGACTCTAAGGACTGATTCATAAAAATTCCAGATCACAATACTAGACTCCAGAATGTCAGTGATTCTTAACCACCAACTTTTATTTTTTATTTCATTTTTTGAAAAACTACCGGAAAACTGACAAATTTTAAGTGAAGCATAAAGCATTGCAGAGTAATGTAAATGTAGATATAAAATTATCCCAACTGTAAGTAGCTTTTCCTCAGTGCTCATAGTTAGGGAAGTAAACCACTAATGGCTTCAAACTAAAAGAATTCTACAGAAAACCTGCCTGAAATAAACACAAGTGATTTAGTAGAACAAAAATATAGAATTAAACCCTAGTGGTGCCACTTTTCCAAGAACTTATATTAGTAATTATAGTATTATAAGTGAAGGGTCTGGGTATATTTTTTAACATTATCTCCCTGACTACAATGTAATAGTTCCATTTATTTTCTCCATTACACACATACAGACACATACCTACATACACACACATATTTACACAAATATCCTTAACAGAGGCCAACTATCTCATACATCTTCTTGCAAAGAAACAGTGATTGAGTCAGTTAAAAAATATTATTTACTCCAATAATTCCTCAAAATACTGGATTTTCTCTCTTTGATATTTTGTACCAATTCTTTCAGTAGTGCCTGCTGTGGTGATACTCTTTTGTGATGAAACATTTTTTTTTCCACAGCAAATGGAGGAGTTTGTACAGAGCTCTGGAGAATATGGTGCTGTGGTGTTTTCTCTGGGGTCAATGGTCAGTAACATGACAGCAGAAAGGGCCAATGTAATTGCAACAGCCCTTGCCAAGATCCCACAAAAGGTAAGATAAAGTGCCTTACTGGTGTGGAAAACTACTGAAAGAGGCTGTTAAAGTTTGTGATCTACATAGAAAGAATATTAAAGAGTAGATTGAACTCTTTATAGGCGAATACAGCCTTAAATATGCTTGTATAGCATCCACTGACAGAAGTAATAGTTGTGCCTCAGACTTAGTGATTACATGTGGCCCTGGGGTAGTTACTACCCTTGGTATGCATGAGTGATTCCTATTAGCATCAGTGGGAACTCAGTACTCCATATGTATCCACAAAAGGGAGCTTGAGACCCACAGTTATTTTTAATTTCTGATATTAACAGTCATACCTACTGCTGAATTTAACTCAATATATTTCAGTTAAGTGAAAATGGTGCTTAATGTAGTCTTTAGAATGACTTTCAGGTATTTTCAACTAAAAATATATATCCACAACTGCATCCTTGTAGAAATACAAGTAAGATTTATGATAATTTTCTTCAAAAGAGTTTTCCTAATCTCAGCAGTATCCAATGGGTGAAGAACACTTGACTAACACTTGGGCCACCTCTATTACTTGTACTCTGGAAGCCCTTGGTGAATGTTTACAATTAAGGAATGTAGTATTTTTGTTTGTACTTTAAGTCAAATGCTTATATGAAATACGTGGCAACAAATAGAGAAGACTGGCTCTGGTGGTCATTATGCAGTATATACTCTATTTAAGGATCTGTGGTAGTATACATGATCGAATGTCATTAATATAGGAATAATAACTGGCACGTGTGGAGAGTAGGGGAGTAAAAAGAATGAATTCTAATCCTGTGATTAAAAGTGTCAACTATAGGCTGGGCACGGTGGTTTGCACCTGTAATCCCAGCACTTTGGGAGGCCAAGGCAGGCGGATCACGAGGTCAGGAGGTCGAGATCACCCTGAACGATATGGTGAAACCCCATCTCTACTAAAGATACAAAAAATTAGGCAGGAGTGGTGGTGTGTGCCTGTAACCCCAGCTATTCAGGAGACTGAGGCAGGAGAATCGCTTGAACCGAGGAGGTGGAGGTTGCAATGAGGCAAGATCGCACCACTGCACTCCAGCCTGGGCTACAGGGCCAGACTCTGCCTCAAAAAAAGTAAACTAGTAAACTATAGACTCTACTGTAGTATATTTCAGGACTTAGAAGTTTTACTTTTATAAACATGGTGCCTGGAAGATGTCACTAATGTATTTTACTTCAGCATAGGGAACAAACTTTTTAAGTATATTAATAAATATTCCTGTATGGTAAGTTTTAAACAATTTTTTAAAATAAACTTTATGAATATGACAAATAAGAAAGTTCAGGCCTAAAAATTTAGCTTTTGGGAAAGAACTAATTATCTCAGATATTAGTTCAAAATCAAAAATATACATGGACGATGCTATAATAATAGAGGCTGTTTTTCATTTATAATAAATTTGGCATTAATAATATGACCAGGAATAAATTTATTTAAGAAATGTAGGTGAAGTATCGATATTATCATGTTATTGGGATCAGGTAAGAGTTATCACCAAATTCTGCCCCTGTCATTTGACCCTTTTGTTTAAGAATTCCTGATGGCACTGCACTGTACACACTACAGATGTTATCAGAAAAAGTTATGTTTTAATGGGTGACTTCACTAGCAAAATAACAATAGCAGGTATTTCAAAAAGTCTGACATGCATCATGCAGTTGAGGCTTGCCATGTTATCCAGCCTCAGGTACTTCCTCTACATTTTGGAATAGGCCTATCTGAATGATATTTCAGGCTACTATTCAGAGAAAGAGTGGCCTAGGCCAACAGACAACTAGTCCAAGTACCCACACAACCAGGTAGATTTAGAGAAAGAGGAAAAGCAGCTTGCCCTGCTGGACTGGGCCCAGCCAATATCTGAAGCAGGAAGATGAAAGGGAAAGGATGGAGATGGATCCTGACCTGAAGGTGGATCCTGTCCAGTATAAAATGTGGCCCCACAAGGACTCAGCACTAATTACCAGATTAACAACCCCTCCCAATGGACGCAGCAGAAGGAAATATAGGAAGGAGACAAACAGAAGGAAGCCAGGCAGGGGAACAGGTTCAGATGCCCCCTCCATAGAACATAGTAGGAATATATTTTCTTCTATATAGAATAAACCAGTGACCTTTGTGTATCTGTCAATTACTTTTTAATTTCTTATCTGATAAAGCTTTCTTGTAATGGCCTCTAAATTTTGCTTAAACCTGAGTTACATTAACACTCATGTAGCAAATAAAATTAAACACTGAAAATTATTGTTCAGTTTATGAGGATTGCTTTGGAGTTTCAAAATTAGTAACTTAAACATAAAAATGTCTTGGCTATAGAAGAACATATTAATCACTGTTGTCAAAGCTTTGTAGCACCTTGTCTAAGTGTTAATAATCTGTTGACCAAATTCAGCAAAATACAATTTTGAGGTTATTGAAAAGCTTTATTTTTATTCATGATACCAACATGTTCCTCATTTCTATGCCAAAAAAATCCAAAATTAGCAATACTGGTTGGTAATACTCTGAATTTGTGTCAAAAATTGTCACTTGAAATTTTTCTTGGAAGTAGTGCTTGATAATTTGTAATTCCAACGAAGTTATACATAAAACCCTTGCAGCATTTATTTATTTCTTGTAAGTAGCTTATTTTATAGACTTGCTATTTTGTCAATCAAAGGACAACAGGCTCTAATATAATAACCTACAGACAAGTAGATATATTGGAACTACTCATATTACTCAAAAAGAAACGAATACATTACAATTAAATTTGGAGATGAAAACTAATATAAAATACATAAAACAAAATAAACATATAGGTCATTACTAAATTGTTACTGTTTTTTTACACCAGAATTGCAATGACTCCCTATAATTTTTTATACTTTTTTTAGAATATTTTTATTTTTTAAATTAAATTAATTTAACCTTTATTTTTAACTTCTATTTTAAGTTCAGGAGTACATGTGCAGGTTTTTTACATAGGTAAACTTGTGTCATGGGGGTTTGTTGTACAGATTGTTTCATCACCCAGGTATTAAGACTAATATTCGTTTATTATTTTTCCTGATCCTCTCTTTCCTCCCATCCTCCACCCTCCAACACATCTCAGTGTATGTTGTTGCCGTCTATGTGTACATGTGTTCTCATCTTTTAGCTTCCACTCATAAGTGAGGACATGTTACACTTGGATTTCAATTCCTATGTTAGTTTGCTAAGGCTAATGGCCACCAGCTCAATCCTTATCCCTGCAAAATACATATTTTTGTTCTTTTTATGGCTGCATAATATTCTGTAGTGCATATATACCATATTTTCTTTATTCAGTCCATAATTGATGGTCATTTAGGTTGATTTCATGTCCTTGCTATTGTGAATAGTAGTGCAACTAACATGCACTTTCATGGATCTTTATGAAAGAACAAGTTATAGTCCTTTGGTTATATACCCAGTAATGGGATTGCTGGGTTTCATGGTATTTTTGTCTCTAGGTTTTTGAGTAATCATCACACTGTCTTCCACAATGATTGAACTAACTTACATTCCAACCAACAGAGTATAAGAATTCCTTTTCCATACAACCTTGCCAACATCATGATATTTTTTGAGTTTTTAATAATGGCCATTCTGACCGGTGTGCGATGTTATCTCATTGTGGTTTTGATTTGAATTTCTCTAATGATGTGTGATGTTCAACTTTTTTTCTTCATATGATGGTTAGCCGCAGGTAGTTCTTCTTTTAAAAAACATAACAATTTTCTAAATACTTGAACTTTTCATTGATAATCTTATTTTTCTAAGGTATTATTTTGGAAAATAATGGTTTCTTATATACCTAAATCATTAAAGTTCAGAAAATAAACTGTGGGTATTCTTTTTACAGCGGTCTTTGAATAGATTTATTTACTATCATCCCTTGATCTCATTTCTACTCTTTTTACAGTTCTAACATTTTATAACTTTTGAGTTCCACTCGTGGAATAAGATATTCTCTTTACTGTAACAGGTTCTTTGGAGATTTGATGGGAATAAACCAGATGCCTTAGGTCTCAATACTCGGCTGTACAGGTGGATACCCCAGAATGACCTTCTAGGTAAAACTCTGGTGAACAAATACTGGATATATTAGTAACAGCGTATTAGAGTGTTAATAGTTCATCATGAAACAAGCTTATTGAATATTTGTTAAGGAAAACAAAATGTAACTTCTTTATATTTATTTTCCAGTCCTAGGGGGAAAAATTAGCTATAATTGTTAGCATTTTATGATATACACTCACATTCTTCACGGTCAGAATCAGAGAGAATCTTTATTTCAGGTGTTATTATATCTCACAGAATTTTACAATATCTTCCCGGGCTGTCCCTCTGTCTCCTATTTCTACAGCTTTACACCTGTTTTTTCCTCTCCTGCAGGGTTATTTCAAATGCCACTAAATATAATAGCTCTTCTATCACCAGTGACTCTGTATTTTCTGGAGGACTAAATTCCTAATCTTAATCTTAAAGTAATGACACATTTCATGATGAAGTGTGACCTGTCTCTCCTCAATCCTAGCACCACCACCAAGCCACTGCCTGCTGCCTTGCACACCCCACATATCACACTCTGTGACTGTACTTAGAATAACACTTCATTTCATGCCCATCTCTTTGCTGTCCTCTTTTGTGCACATTTTTAAAATCTAGAATGCCCTTTTTCATTAGTCCAACTGGAAATCTTGTATTAAGTTTTGCAGTCTGAAGTCACACACACCATATAGCCTTCAGTTACATCTCCAACACAAGTACCTGTTTTTTCCTCTGAAGTCTGAAAAGTAATAGCAAATTAGTTCAATGTGTAATCTAGAAAACACTGTCACTTTCAGAGCCTTTCATTGTGCATCTCATTTTATTCCTATGAATAATTTTGCTAACATTCATCCAATCCTAGGTCATCCAAAAACCAGAGCTTTTATAACTCATGGTGGAGCCAATGGCATCTACGAGACAATCTACCATGGGATCCCTATGGTGGGCATTCCATTGTTTTTTGATCAATCTGATAACATTGCTCACATGAAGGCCAAGGGAACAGCTGTTAGAGTGGACTTCAACACAATGTCGAGTACAGACCTGCTGAATGCACTGAAGACAGTAATTAATGATCCTTCGTGAGTAGAACAATATTTTTCACTAGGTGGTATTAATAGATAGTTTTTTTGTCAGTAGTTAGCATAAGTTTCATCCTTTTTATGAGAGTAATTTTGAAAGCATTTAAATGATTTAACCAATCCAAAATCTGCTTTTATTTTTTATGTTATTTAAAAATTGTATTTGAACCCCATACATCTAGTGAGTAACCAGTTAGTGAAACAATTTTCTAAACAAAAATAATTTTAAAATGATATAGATAATATAAAAAAATTTCTTAAAAATTTGACATAATGAATCCATAGTAGAAAGGAAGAATAAACTTGAAATAATATAATAAAATGTTTTAATTAAATATCTAAAATGTCTCAGAATATAACTATTTTCTTGCTGAAAAATTAATTTTTATTATCATTATTGTAACAGACTTGAAAATGAGATTTAATTTTGATAGCATAAAACCCATCTATTTATGGCAAAAATTCCAAATATTTTTACTATGTTACAGAGTCATTAAGTCATCACCAGTATATAAGTTTGGAACATTTTTATCAACACAAAAGAAACTGCAATGACACCAAAATCACCTCCCATGACTGCCTAGTCATAGTCTAACACCAATTTGTTTTCTTTCTCTATAGATTATTCTCTCTAGATATTTCATATAAATGGAATCATACAGTCTAGGGTACTGTGTAAATGACATTTCACCTAGCCGAATTTTTTGTTGTTTTTTTTTATGGTTTTTAGTTTAATTCATGTTGTTGTGTGTTTTAATATTTAATTTCCTTTTACACTTGTATAATATTTTGTAGTATGGATACGTCATAATTTAGTTGTTCATTTATCAGTTCATTGGCCTTTTGATTGTTTCCAATTGAGGCTACTATGAATATTGCTACACATGTTTTTGCATAAATATGTTTTCCTTTCTCTTGGGTTGATACTATAAGTGGAATTGCTGGCTCATGTGAGAACTGTATGTTTATGAAGAACTGCTAAACTGTTTTCCAAAGTACTTGTTCCATTCATCACTACCACCAGCAGTACAACATGGTTCCAATTCCTCCACACTGTTGCCAAACCTCTTATTATCTGTCTTTTTCTTACATACTTCTTAGTGCATATAAAATGATCTCTCATCTTCGTCTTGGATAGCATTTTCATTACTGCTAAAGATGTTGAGAATCTTTATATGTGCTTATTGATCATTCATATATCTTCTTAGAAAATATGTCTACTCCAATCCTTGGAACATTTTTAACTTTGCTATTAGTCTTACTATTAAGTTTTAAGAACTATTTATATATTATGGGTCAAGTCAGATATATAATTTTTAAATATTTTGTCCCATTCTGGGTGACCAAACTTTTTACTTTTTGATGATGGTCTTTGAAGCACAAAAAATATAATTTTAAGTTAAATTTTAATAATTGATTTTATTCACACCCCAAAGATAACAATGTGCAAAATTCCTTGTGGAGTCCAGCTACCATCAATTCCGCATTTATAACTACTCTCAATAAAGTTTTTGTGTAAGGAGGGTATCATCTAAAGGAATACTTTAAAAATATTGTATCACAAAGAAAATAGAAGGATAATGAATGATCAAAATACCTTTAAAGAAGATGGGAAATAATTGAAAAGAAACAAAAACCAGCTTGGACAAATAGAAAAGAAATATAAAACAAAGTGGTAGATTTAAATGTGATTATACAAATACTTTCACTCAATCTAAACAGACTTTTAAAAAAAGAGCAAATAATGAGTAAGAACATAAAACATTTGAAGAACACAATTAACAAATGGAATCTTATAATGTAAAATGATAAACACACACATATGTACATATACAATACACGTATAGGTATCGTATATATCAACTGGAAGACACATTTTCCTAGAGCATGTCGAATAGTTAATAGTCGTTTGAAGTGGCATGTGGTGGGAAATAAATCAAGACTTAGGAAATATAAAAAGATTCAATATCATAAAGACTATATGATCCAGCCATAGTGGAAGTAAGGGATGTTATAAATACTATTACTAAAATATCTTTAAATTTTGGAAATTAACAAAATACACTTCAAAAAAATTTAAAGTCAAGAAGTAAATCATAATTATGCATGCACTTTTATCTCAGCAATTCTACTCTCAATTATATACACAACAGATATGTATAAATATATAAATCTAATGGTATATGGAAGAGTGTTCATGACAGAATTATCAACAGTGTCCAAAAATCGTTAGCAACAGAAATATATATTCAACATAAAATGAAGACATAGTTTGTGCTTTATCAATCAACAAAATATTACACAGCAATGGAATTACCCAAGAACTGCTATATTAAAAAAAACAGACACTAAGGAGTACATATTATATAATTCAATTACATAAACAAGCAAAACTAGTGCTGCTATTCAAAGTCAGGCTAATCTTTAGTTGGTGGACAAAAGTGGTGACTAAATGGTTCAGAAAAAGAGAGCTATTCTAGGCAGGTTGTGATATCCTATACCATGAACTGAACAATAAGTAAATTGGTATCTTCGCCTCAAGATAATGTTCAAGAGGATCTTCCATTTTTGAACTATTCACTTAGTGCAAGTATATTTATCTTTTGTATTTTATATTTAAATGTATATTTTATGAGATATATAAATCATTTTAAAAATTCTAGGAATCAGATAGAAAATAAGCACAGTAAACAGAGAAAATCCTAGAGGTTCCATCAGAGTGTGGCCAGTAAAAGCCTCTCTTAGAGGTAACACTTAGAGGGAAGCTACAACAAGAGAGAGAAGCATGCCTTGGGTGTAGCAAGAAAGAATACTCCAAGAGCGGGAGAGAAGGGATAAAATGTGTAAAGTGCTAAGATGAGAACACCTTTGGAAGCTTAAAGGAAAATAGTAGGCCAATCTAGAAGACAGTGTGCAGGGAAAAAGTGTTAGAAAAAGATCTTGCCAGTGTCTAACAATGTAGGGTTCTGTAGACCAAATAATAGAGTTGGATTTTTTTCTGAAAATAATGAGAAGCCAGGCAAAAATCTTAATCAGGAGAGTGCCATAATCTCACTTTAATTGCAAAACATCATTCTGGCTACAGGGTAGGAAACAGTAGGAGAAAAAAGAGTAATCTAGAAGCAAAGTGACTAGCTATGAGGCATGTCACCCACCATGATAAAATTCCTTTTTAGGACCTGAGAGATGATAATTCTCAGATTGCATTTTCACATCTTTCTTATAGCACTTAAAATGGCTCATGATGTTGAGCACATTCTAATATGCCTGTTTTAGAACTAATAGTGTAATGTGGAATGTGTTCATAATACAAAGGATAAATGCTTAAGGAATGAGTATCTTATTTTCCATGATGTGATTATTTCACATTGTATCAAAACATCTCATATACCCCATAAATATGTACACTTAATATGGACCCACAAAAACTTAAAATTAAAAAATTAAAAACAAATTAAAAATGCCTCATACTTTCTCTGCTTGAAAAAATAACTTTCTCACCTGACCTTCCTTTTCTACTTTAAAAATATTTGTTAATGAGAAAAGTCCAATTTAAAAGCCAAACTTTCTATGATGACTCAAATTAAAATACATAAATTCTATGTCAATTCTTTGACATTTACTTTGAATTATTTGACACTTTAAATGCCTTTCATAGACTTGATATGTACAGGCAAATTAACTTACTTTCAGTGTTGGTATCTTTATTTTTATCCTTCAGATATAAAGAGAATATTATGAAATCATCAAGAATTCATCATGATCAACCAGTGAAGCCCTTGGATCGAGCAGTCTTCTGGATTGAATTTGTCATGCGCCACAAAGGAGCCAAACACCTTCGAGTTGCAGCCCATGACCTCACCTGGTTCCAGTACCACTCTTTGGATGTGATTGGGTTCCTGCTGGCCTGTGTGGCAACTGTGCTATTTATCATCACAAAGTGTTGTCTGTTTTGTTTCTGGAAGTTCGCTAGAAAAGGAAAGAAAGGAAAAAGGGATTAGTTAAATCTGAGATTTGAAGCTGGAAAACCTGATAGATAGGGATACTTCAGTTGATTCCAGCAATAAATATTGTGATGCAAGATTTCTTTCTTCCTGTGACAAAAAAAAAAAAATCTTTTCGAAATCTACCTTGTCAAGTAAAAATTTGTTTTTCAGAGATTTACCACCCAGTTAATGGTTAGAAATATTTTGTGGCAATGAAGAAAACACTAGGGAAAATAAAAAATAACATAAAGCCGTACAAGCTCATATTGAAATTTGTTGCACTTATATTGAAATTTGTTGTTCTAATTCACAAGTTACATGAAAAAAATTTACTCAGCTTAACTATATTTCACACATTTTACATAAACACAAGAACATTAAGAAGTCTACTGACAGTATCAGTACTGTTTTGAACATACTCAGAATAATTTAGCTTCATTTTGAACAGGATTCTGTTGTTTTAACTGTTGCTGAAGAAACTATTACATAGTTAAATTGTTTAGAAAGTCTCTCTCTTCGTTTTGATATTTTGAGATGAGTAGTATTGCTTGGCTTTTATGATGCATGCAGCTTTATTGTCACATTTTTTGCTAAAATTTATGGCCAAATGTTTACTGTTTTAAGCACATAAGTCATTTCTCAGTGGAAATTATGTGGAATTAGAAATATAGCCACTCTTTCCTGCTTCCTACTGTAAATTTGAACTATTCTGCAACATCTTTGGTTTCACAAGCCAATTCTATTTTTTCCAGATATTTAAAAATATTCATCTGTTTGATTTTATTCTCATATTTTTAATTATTTCAATAGCTATTTGGGAACAGGTGGTGTTTGATTAGATGGATAAGTTCTTTAGTGGTAATTTCTGAGGTTTTAGTGCACACATCACATGAGAAGTGTACCCTGCACTCAATGTGTAGTCTTGTATCCCTCACCCCCTCCCACCCTCTCCTCTGAATCCTTAGAACCCACTATATCATTCTTATGCCTTTGCATCCCCATAGCTTAGATCCCATTTATAAGTGACAATTTAGAATGTTCAGTTTTCTATTCCTGAATTACTTCACTAAGAATAATGCCCTCCCACTTTGTACAAGTTGCTGTTAATGCCATTAGTTTGTTTATTTTTATGGCTTAGTAGTATTCCATGGTGTATATATATATAGTATGTATATGTGTGTGTATATGTGTGTGTGTGTGTGCGCGCACGCGTGTGTGTGTGTATACATTTTCTTTATCCACCTATTGGTTGGTTGATGGGCATTTAGGCTACTTCCATTCTTTTTTTTTTAATTGCAAACAGTGCTGTTGGAAACATATATGTGTGTGGGTCTTTTTCATATAAAGACTTCCTTTCCTCTGTAAAGATACACAGTAGTGGGATTGCTGGATTAAATGGTACTTCTACTGTTATTTCTTACAGGAATCTTCATATGGTTTTCCATAGTAGTTGTACTAGTTTACATTCCCATAGCAGCATAAAACTGTCCCCTTTTTACCACATCTATGCCAACATTTTATTATTTTTGGATTTTTAAATTATATTCATTCTTTCAGGAGTATAGTGGTATTGCATTGTGGTTTTGATTTGCATTTTCCTGATAATTAGTGAAGTTGAGCATTTTTTCATATATGTTGGCCATTTATATATCTTCTTTTAAGAATTGTCTATTTATTACCTTAGGCTACTTTTTGATGGGTTTTTTTCTTTTTTTTTTTTTTTTAGCCATTTGTGGATTCTGGACATTAGCCTTTTGGTGTGAGATGCATAGTTCATGAATATTTTCCACTACTCTGTGAGTTGTCTGTTTACACAGCTGATTATTTCTTTTGCTGGCAGAAGCTTTTTAGTTTAATTAAATCACAACTATTTATCTTTGTTTTAGTTGCATTTGCTTTTGGATTTTTGGTCATGAGGTTTTTGCCTAACCCAATGTCTAGAAGAGTTTTTCCAGTGTTACCTTCTAGAATTTTTTATTGTTTCTGATCTTAGTTTTCACTATTTGATCCATCTTGAGTTGATTTTTTATAAGGTGGGAGACAAAGGTGAAGTTTCATTCATCTACATGTGGATTGCCAATTATTCCAGCCCCATTTGTTGAATAGAGTGTCATTTCCCCTTTATGTTTTTGTTTGCTTTGTCAAAGTTCAGTTGGCTATAAGTATTTGTCTTTATTTCTGGAATCTCTATTCTGTACATGCCTGTTTTCATACTGATACCATGTTGTTTTGGTAACTTTTAATGTGCCTTATAATACATTGGGTAATGTAATGCCTCTAGGTTTGTTCTTTTTTGTAGTCTTTCTTTGACTATGCAGGTTTCAAAGCCGAGAATCAAATAAAGAACTCATCCATTTTGAAAATAGCTGCAAAAAAAAAAAAAAAGAAAGAAAGGAAAACAAAACAAATTACTGAGGAATATATGAGGAATATACCTAACAAAGAAGGTTAAAGACCTCTACAAAGAAAACTACAAAACACTGCTGAAAAACGTCATAGATGACACGAACAAATGGAAATACATCCCATGCTCATGGATGGGTAGAATCAATTTTGTGAAAATGAGCATATTGCCAAAATAAATCTATAAATGCAATTCAATTCTCATCAAAATACAATCATCATGCTTAAGAGAACTAGAAAAAAAAATCCTAAATTTCATATGGGTTTTATTATCATTTTTGGCCTTTAATAAAAAATGTAAGTCCTTAATTTTAGGTTGTGATCATATAGAAATTGCACTCTAAAGGGACTTAGTGAATTTTCAATCTTGTTAAACATACATGTACATATACATGTCCATTTCTTTTAAAACAAGACACAGCATCAATTAACTAGCTAATAGGTATGTTATTGAATTTAAAATTCAAAGTGTGTTTTGAAGACAGCTTGAAATAATTATTATTATTCTACATAACTATATTTTAAATGATCATATCTATTTTTTTATTTTCCACAGAGATTTTTGATTCATCCCTCCTACAAATGTAATATGGAAACATAAATTTTTTAGTAAGTCAAAAATATTTACAAAGAATACAAGAAGTTTATAAATTTTGTGGAAAATACTTAAATTAAGCCATCAATCTCCTTTAATCTACATATCAGCGAAGCATTTTATGATCAAACTAGTCCAGATTGACAGAAACCTAGTTGTCTTTGTCACTAAAAAGTCTTACCATTTACCAATTTTCACAAAAAATATTCTCCGGCACAAGGTGTGATTAAAAACAAATATATTTATATATATATATATATTTATAATTACATAGACATAGATAAATCACGTTTATATATATATATATATATATATATATATATATACACACACACACACACACTCTAAAACATTGATAAGATGGAGGAATTATAGAAAATTTTATGCAAATCTTCTAGGAATTAATAAAGATATAAAGAAAAGCAGAACTTATATAGTGCCAAAGATTAATAATGTTGTTTTATCATGCTTATAAACCTGTATTAATTCACATAAAACCTATCCTATAACACGCATAACAAAAGATTGGTATCCATTGTTCAGTGAGTACTAGAAATCACTAACCAAAACCGACAAACAATCTAATAAAAAATTGATTAAAATATGAAGAAGCAATTCGAAGTAAAAATGGCCCATAAGATATAAAAGATTAAAAAGTTACTGATGCTTAGTAAAATAGAAATAATGCCAACAAATTGATGTCATAGAGAAGATTTTCACCCTATAAAAACCTGAGAAATCTATTTTTGAGGAAGTAAATTTGAAATAACACTTTTAAATAAAATGTGAATATGCCGTTTGAAACTGAAGTTCTACATCTAGGAATCTGTCATGCAGAAATCCGTGCATATAAGCACATGTATGAACAGAATGATTTCTCCAGCACTTAAATGGCTTTCAGTCAATGAACACATGTACCTCCAACAAATGTATGAGGGTAGCCATTGCAGAGAACAGGTTCATTATCACATTGCTAAACAGAAAAAGTAGTTTCCAGAAAAACAAAAAAACGTATTTTTTCAATGAAATAAAGTATATGTAAACTGTTACAAAGAAGAAAGAATCTTGAAAAATACATGTAATTACAAGGATGAGAATTTAAATTTTTATTCTATATAATTCTGCAATGTTTAACTTTTCACAAACGTTTTCATGTATTAATTATGAGATTTAAAGTTTAATTTGTGAAATGAACACAGCAATTCAAGACAGGAAGTTCCAAAATGTAACATCACAAATTAATTTATTAGTGTCATTCAAAAAACTTGATAATGTTTCTTGTATGTTATCTATTTTATCCACTTGCAGCTTGTTTTTAGAACATTTGTTCTGTTTTTGAAAATATGTTTGAATAAATAAAATACAATGTTTAAAAATTGCAGTAATTGTAGAAATCTAAATTCATGTAATTTTTTTCTTGTACTATTTTTAATATTTTATGAATCATATGATAGTTTAATAACTTCTGCTGCCTTCTTTGAAAGGTTATATGTGTTGTTATTTTGAGATATGACTATAAATACATTGACAATTTTCCTATCAAGTAGTATCCCCTCCCTTTGAAGTTTGGCAAACTTTGTAACTGTCTCAACTAAAAGAAGGTAGTGAAAATAATGCAGCTAAGTTTTCAAAGCTCTGCTGGAAACAGAGCATGTTCTCGCTCTGTTTCTCCTTCTCTCTTTCTGTCTCTTCTTTTCATGTCTTTTTTTCTGTCACTATTACCCAACACCTCAACAACTCAGTCAGTAGTCCCCATAACAAATGACAATTTGGTAGAGAGACACAAATATATGCCTAAGGAATCCTGGTAGCTCACTAGGACTTGGAACCTTTCAACACGAATCACTAAGTATGTAAGTGAATGATCTTCAAATAATTATAGACCCAGGCACCATAGAAAAGTAGCTACCTAAGAAACTCATTGGAAGGAACACACAACTGAGCCCACCTAACACACAGACTCTGAGAGATGATAATGAAATGATTACAGTTGTTTTAAGGCCCTACATTTGAAAACTATTTGTTATGCAGTGATACACACCTGGAATAATAATTCTACATATCTTAAATTATACATTTGTAATAAAATTACAATTAATATATATCTACATAAGTGGGAAACTGTGATACTACACTTTGAAAATATATGTACCCCAAAGAGGAGTGTCAGCATAACACGGTGGTTAAGAGCTGGCACTCTGGATCCAGAAGGCCTTGATTCAAGTCTTAGAAACCACCATATAATGATGTGGGATTGGACAGGTTACTTGGACTTTATTTGCCTCAGCTTCCTCACCAATGAAATTGCAATGATTGTCATAGCATTATCACTATCATGGGGTTACCAAAAGAATGAATTCATTAATATTGCAAAGCACTAACAACTGTGTGTACAGCAAAATAAAATTTGCACTATTATCATTAAACAAGTCAAAAAATTTCCATAAAAATAACTTTAGTGTTTATATAATTGCATAATATATTATAGTTTCAAAACATGTTATGTTTCTAATGCAAATGATAAAAATGACAGCATTTACTATTTCAAGCATGTGGGAAATAAATTTGTAGCATAAACCAAGGGCTGACAAACTATGGCCTCTTGGTTTCTCAAATCTGGTCAGCCACTTTTTAAAAAAAAAAATAATTGATATAGGAATCTCACACCACAAAATTTTACACTTTACGCATTTAATCTGTATGATTCATTGGCATTTAACATATTTGAAATGTTGTGCCACTATCACCACTATCCAGATCCAAATTATTATTTTTTCACTACAAAAGGAAGCTTTATACCCATTAGAGAGTCATCTCGCATTCTCCCCTCCTTCATGCCTTGCAACCTGGAATTATGAGTTGGCATGATTGTATAACCTATTGGGTAATATTACTTAAAAAATTGCAAATATGTATATAACTTCGACAAAGTGTTTTATTTTTTCTTCTAACATCTCCTATTTCTAAATAGCAATTCTATGATGTATAAAATTAAACTTTTATGTTTTAATTGCTCTATTAAATATATTCAGAGGTGCTGTGATTTACATTGTTATGAGTTCTTTCCAATTTTATATTGAAGTCTCTTTCTTGAGAATGGCCTTAAACCAAGACCCTGGAAAGTTCTGATGGAGGTGGGGAAGTGAGTTTCAGATATATGAGTGAGGTAAAATATAATGAAATGAGAAAGGAAGAACAAAATACATAAAATAGAAGAAATTTATTACTCACAGTTCCTAAGTGATGTTAGGGATGATGATAGAAAACTGAAAGAAAGTCCAGAAGTGGCAGAGAGCTCAACCACCTGCATAGAAGTGTGAGGGGGAACCTCTGTGGGAGGACTTTTATTAAGGACCATGGGTATTATTTCCTAGGCTTCTCTGCAGGAGTTGAGGAATGGCTAGCTTAAGGGAAAACACATGAAGGGGAAAATTATTATACGACTCTGGTATTGATCATTAGGTTATATCATGGTCATCACTTCCGTGATGTGTTGCATTTCTGGGTCATTAGGATGAGAACCAAGTAGACTCTACCTCAATCAACTACTTGAGGAAGGGAAGTTTTAACAAAGCCAAAAGTGACAAGCTATGACTAGATCTTAAACAACTCATGTTAAGCCTAAAAATCAATGCTGAGGCAGAACAAATTTATGACAAGAAGGCAGACAGACATTTTAGAAGAAAACATGACCCAGCCACTTCCAGATTGGTAGCATAAAAAGTACCAGGTATCAGCTCCAAAATGTGACAAGAATAAATAGTGAAAATTGTTTTTAGAGGCAACTATTTAAACATATTAGGAGAAGTTGACTGCAGTGGCATGCACCTATAGTTCCAGCTACTCAGGAGGCTGAAGAGGGTGGACTACCGGAAGCCAGAATTTCAAGGCCAGCCTGGGCAACTTTTTGAAATCACACCTCTTTACCATTTTCCAGTTTAGGAAGAAAAGGGTACAGCTCACAGCCAGCACTCATTTAATTTCACATAAATACACTCTTGGAGGCTGAAGCAAATCTGTTTCATTTTCAGTGTGAACATGTATTACAAAAACTTTTTTTGGAGCTATTTCTAAACAGCTAACATCCAAATCATCCATTTTAGAAAAATTGCATTCATCAAATTAATCTTCAGCCAACAACTGCTCAAGAACGATGTTAACAAAAATTCATTAGAAGGGACCATTTGCTTGACGAAGCTGAAGGTCTTTTACCAGATGACGAGCTTACATTATTTTGTGAGATGAGTGTGGTACTAGATTCAGTAAACATATCAGGACATACTAATACAAATACTTTGAAGGTGGCTGAGTGTCGACTAGGAGAAGATTTATGTAATCTCTGTGAAAACACAAGATGTACAGACTGTAGTTTTTTGTGAGAGGACAAGAATTTAAAGCTCATAAATCTGCTGGTACCTCCATCCCCAGTTTTTAATGCCATGTTTGAACATGAAATGGAAGAAAACATAAAGAATCGAGTGGAAATAAATTATTTAGGCCCTGATGTTTTTAAAGAAATGATGAGATTCATTAACACAGGGAAATAACTAAACCTTGACAAAATGGCTGACAACTTGTTGGCAGCTGCAGACAAACATGCACTGGGAACAGCTGAAAGTCATGTGTGAGGAAGCTTTGTGTAGTAATCCCTCAGTAGAAAATGTTGTTGATACACTTGTCCTTGCAGATTTGCACATTGCAGAACAGTTGAAAGCAAAAGCCATAGACATTATTAGTAGGTGCAGTGTACTTCGACAACTTGGGTGTAAACATAAGAAAAACTGGAACAGCAACCAAGCAACCGACATAATGGAAACATCAAGGTGGAAGTCCATGATTCAGTCTCACTCTTACTTAGCAGCAGAAGCCTTCTGAGCACTAGCATCTGCACAGTGTCCACAGTTTGGCATTCCACACACACGGCTAAAACAGTCCTAAATCTTCCGTGAACAGTTGAAAAATGGAATTGACTTTTAGTCATTCAAGTCCAGAAGGATTCTAATACATAAACCATAAGGAAGATTTGTTTCTGTTACTTGGTCCACAGAACAGAAGCTGAAAAAAACATATTGCTTGCATTTTAGGTGGATAATTAATGGTTTATTCTTCAGGTTTAAGTTAGACTGATTAATTCACTTCAAGGCCTTAAATTATTTTCAATGACTTTTCTTGTTTGTATAATAATGCTTTATTTTCTTTTATTTTGCCTTGTCATTTTGACCAATGCTATGCAAAATTATATAAATCAGCTTTATAATGCAGTAATAATGATAACTGAAGATACTAAGTTTCAAAAAGATCTTGTGTTTTGTAGAGGAAAAATGTATTTTATAGGGTTTGTCCTATGCTATCTCAAGGTTTAAGATTAAATTCTGTTTAAAAGCAATCGTATTGGAGAATACCAGTAATGTCTTCAATCTAAGTTCTATAAATACCAGAGAACACACTTACCTTCCCAGTAAGTTACCACAAAACAAGTGTTTGTCCTGTATGTTAACTGTCCCACAAACTGTGGGCTTATCTACATTTGCAATGATTGAGAACTGAATGAGGTTAAGACATCATGAAGAAAGCATGTATTGTGTGGAGGTAATTTTTCAAATTTATAGTGACCTACATTTATATATATATGTTAAGAGTAAGGATGACCAAACGTAAATTTAATGAGTGGACCAATTAACCAAGATATATATATATATATACACATATATATATATATACACACACACACACATATATATATACATATATATACACACACACATATATATATACACATATATATGTAAAATATACACACACACACATATACACTTTCACTTTTACTGTGTAACTTTTGTATGCTGAATGGTACATATTTATTTTTGCTTTTGAGAGAGTTAATAAGGTAGAATTAATTGTGTCTTAATATTTTAAAGAAATTTTTAGAAGGAGGCAACTAGGATGTTTGTGATAATAGATAAGAAAGATATTCTTGATTGTATTAAATAGTTTTGGATTGCAGAGATTCATTATCGAATTTACTCCTGTTTTTTCACACTTTGGAAAATATACCTAACAATTAATGAATCTTGGATAATCTACTCTCCTTCAAAACCTGAACTGAAGGCTGAGGTGGGTGGATCACCTGAGGTCAGGAGTTTGAGACCAGCTTTGCCAACATGGCGAAACCCTGTCTCTATGAAAAATACAAAAAATTAACCAGGCCTGGTGGTGGATGCCTGTAATCCCAGCTACGTGAGAGGCTTGCTTGAACCTGGGAGGCGGAGGTTGCAGTGAGCCAAGATCACACCATTGCTCTTTAGCCTGGGTAACAAGAATGAAACTTTATCTAAAAAAAAAAGAGAGAGAGAGAACTGATACTTGCCTGTGGGAGACACATACAAAAAGAGAGAAACCTTACAGTATATCAGGTCATACACCATGAGCATCCCCACCCACCTCTTATTTCTTCTTTGTGTTTCAGTTACTGTACTAACATTGTGGATGATATGGAAATTCTGCTTAATATGAACAGTTATAAACTATTTATAATTTGGAAAAAAGAGAATGACACCAAATGATAACTTGAATTTATAAGAACAAAAAAGAATGGTAATGAGGAGGTGCAGTGTGGCATTTTGGTATTATCATGATATTGGAGGCAGGTAACAGATATCAACAAATTCTGCCCTGTCATTTAGTACTTTTGTTTACAGGATTACTGAGGGGTACACACTACAAATGTTATCAGAAAGGAGTTATGAAGGAGTTATGTTTTAATGGGTAACTTCATTAGCACAATAACAAGGAGTAGGTATTGAAAAAAATCTAAAACATATCATGGAGTTTAGGCTTCCCATGTAATCTGGGCCTTTTTACTTCCCCTAATTTTGAAATAGGCCAATTCAGTATGTTGCTCAGGGGGCTATTCAGAGAATGGAAACCCAAGGCTCACCCCTCCCTGAGTCTAAGTACCACTAAGCCAGGTAGATTTTGAGAAATGGAAAAACCAAACTGCCTTGGTGATTGGACTTTGCCAATGTCTGAAAGAAAGGAGTAACAGAAAAGAGGGGGATCTAAGGTAGATCCCGTGCAGTATAAAATGTGCCCCAAAAGGACTTTGCTTCTAACACATATATTGATGCTACCTCCCATCTGAGAAAGAAGGGGGATATAAGCAGGACTCAAGGCCAGGAACAGTGGCTCATGCCTATAATACCAGCACTTTGTGAGGCTAAGTGGGAGAATCCATTGAGCCCAGGAGTTTGAGACCAAACTAGATGACTTAGAGAGAGCCCATTTCTAAAAATAAAAAAAAAAAATAATAATAATAATAAAATAGCAGGACATGGAGGTGAATGCCTGTAGTGTCAGTTACTCAGGAGGCTGAGGCAAGAGGATTGATTGAGCCTAGTAATTTGAGATTGAAGTGAGCTATGATTGCACAACTGCATTTCAGCTTCAGATACACAATGTGACCCTATCTCAAAAAAGACGAAGCAGGAGAAGGAAGAGGAGGAGGAGGATGAGGGAAAGGAAGAGGAGGAGGAGAAAGAGGAAGAGGAGGAGGATGGGAAAGAAAGCGATATGGAATAGGGGCAGGGAACTGCAAGGAGGAGAAGCTTAGGAACCTGGCAAGGGCTCCACCCCTGACTTGTGCCCCGGGACCTAGGTGAAGACAGGCACTCCTGCTTTCATGCCCAAATGTTGCATTTCCCAAGACCACACTGCCCTGCCACGCCCCCATCATGTGCCTATAAAAACCCCTGAGACTCTAGCAGGCAAGCACACAAGTGGCTGGACATCAAGAGGAGTGGATTAGCAGAAGAAGAAACAAATGTCTGGACGTCAAGAGGATGTCCAGGGGAGCATGCAGGCAGGCCACCAACTGGCAGAACAACACGGAGTTTGACTGGGGTGGTTGGAGAGCAGCCCGACTCCAGGGGAAAACCGTCCCCTTTCTGGCTCCCTCATCTGCTGAGAACTACTTCTACTCAATGAAACCTTTCACTCATTCTTCAAGCCCACGACGATCCCATTCTTCTGATACACCAAGGCAAGAACCCCTGACACAGAAAACCCTCTGTTCCAGTAATAAGGCAGGCGTCTAATTGAGCTGACTAACACAAGCCATCTATGGACTGCTAAACTGAAAGAGCATCACATACCGTGTAGAAGGAAGCCAGGCAGGGAGAGAGGTACAGATGCTTCTTCCACCATAAAATTTAGTAATAACTAGCTTTCTAATATGTACAACACAACTCTGATATTTGAATATTTATAAAGCAGCTTTTAGTTTTATATCCTGTATAACATTCTTGTAATCACCCATACTAATTTTTTTGATGCAAATGTGTAGTTACTTTTAAAACTCAGATAGCAAGTAGATGTTAGAAACTTGTAGATTATACTCTAGTTTATGAAGATTGCTTGGTAATTCCAAAATCAGTGCCACATTGTGGTACTAGGCATGTACTCTCTGGCTTAGCTATAGCAGACCATATAAACCACTGCTGTCAATGCTTTGGATTGTGCCATTGAAGAGCTAAGAGCCAGCAGAATGAAATTTAGCATCACCACAATTTTGGGATATTTTAAACAGACCTATTATTAAAGAACTGCCAATCAGTCTTTTCTACCTTTAAATGATTTCCAATTGTAGCAAATGAGATATTATTCTGGATATATGGGAAAAAAGTCACTTGAGTTTTTTTCTTGGAAACAGTGCTTAATAATTTGTAACTGGAAAAAATATATATGTGCTTTTTAAGCAAATTCATGTACTTCTCATACATAGATGATTGATAGATTTGCTTTCTTTGTAAATCATCAGATATGAGAATATAAGTTATGAAACAAGTGAATATAAGTAAACTCATTGCCAATTCATTGTTTTAGAAATGAAAAGCTTAACATTATATTTGGAAGTTGAAAGTAAATGTAGTAAATACATTAATAAAAAAGGTGTACATGATCAAGTGGGCTTCATCCCTGGGATGCAAGGTTGGTTCAACATATGAAAATCAATAAACGTAATCCAGCATATAAACATAACCAAAGACAAAAACCACATGATTGTCTCAATAGATGCAGAAAAGGCCTTTGACAAAATTCAATAATCCTTCATGCTAAAAACTCTGAATGAATTAGGTATTGATGGGATGTCTCTCAAAATAATAAGAGCTATCTATGACAAACCCACAGCCAATATCACCCTGAATGGACAAAAACTGGAAGCATTCCCTTTGAAAACTGGCACAAGACTGGGATGCCCTCTCTCACCACTCCTATTCAACATAGTGTTGGAAGTTCTGGCAAGGGCAATCAGGCAGGAGAAGGAAATAAAGGGCATTCAATTAGGAAAAGAGGAAGTCAAATTGTCCCTGTTTGCAGATGACATGATTGTATATCTAGAAAACCCCATCGTCTCAGCCCAAAATGTCCTTAAGCTGATAAGTAATTTCAGCAAAGTATCAGGATACAAAATCAATGTGCAAAAATCACAAGCATTCTTATACACCAATAACAGACAAACAGAGAGCCTAATCATGAGTGAACTCCCATTCACAATTGCTTCAAAGAGAATAAAATACCTAGGAATCCAACTTACAAGGGATGTGAAGGACCTCTTCAAGGAGAACTACGAACCACTGCTCAATGAAATAAAAGAGGATACAAACAAATGGAAGAACATTCCATGCTCATGGATAGGAAGAATCAATATCATGAAAATGGCCATACTGCCCAAGGTAATTTATAGATTCAATGCCATCCCCATCAAGCTACTAATGACTTTCTTCACAGAATTGGAAAAAACTACTTTAAAGTTCATATGGAACCATAAAAGAGCCCACATTGCCAAGTCAATCCTAAGCCAAAAGAACAAAGCTAGAGGCATCATGCTACCTGACTTCAAACTATACTACAAGGCTACAGTAACCAAAACAGCATGGTACTGGTACCAAAACAGAGCTATAGACCAATGGAACAGAACAGAGCCCTCAGAAATAATGCCATATATCTACAACTATCTGATCTTTTATAAACCTGACAAAAACAAGCAATGGGGAAAGGATACCCTATTTAATAAATGGTGCTGGGACAACTGGCTAGCCATATGTAGAAAGCTAAAACTGGATCCCTTCATTACACCTTATACAAAAATTAATTCAAGATGGATTAAAGACTTACATGTTAGACCTGAAACCATAAAAACCCTAGAAGAAAACCTAGGCAATACCATTCAGGACATAGGCATGGGCAAGGACTTCATGTCTAAAACACCAAAAGCAATGACAACAAAAGCCAAAATTGACAAATGGGATCTAATTAAACTAAAGAGCTTCTGCACAGCAAAAGAAACTACCATCAGAGTAAACAGGCAACCTACAGAATGGGAGAAAATTTTTGCAACGTACTCATCTGACAAAGGGCTAATATCCAGAATCTACAAAGAACTCAAACAAATTTACAAGAAAAAAAAAAGGAAAACAATCCCATCAGAAAGTGGGCAAAGGATATGAACAGACACTTCTCAAAAGAAGACATTTATGCAGCCAAAACACACATAAAAAAAGCTCCTCATCACTGGCCATCAGAGAAATGCAAATCAAAACCACAATGAGATACCATCTCACACCACTTAGAATGGTGATCATTAAAAAGTCAGGAAACAACAGGTGCTGGAGAGGATGT
The DNA here is from genome assembly GCF_000001405.40 of Homo sapiens. NCBI lineage: Eukaryota > Metazoa > Chordata > Mammalia > Primates > Hominidae > Homo > Homo sapiens. The sequence continues at coordinate 68,991,195 of NC_000004.12, read as the reverse complement.
GGAGAAATAGGAACACTTTTACACTGTTGATGGGACTGTAAACTAGTTCAACCATTGTGGAAGTCAGTGTGGCGATTCCTCAGGGATCTAGAACTAGAAATACAATTTGACCCAGCCATCCCATTACTGGGTATATACCCAAAGGACTATAAATCATTCTGCTATAAAGACACATGCACACGTATGTTTATTGTGGCACTATTTACAATAGCAAAGACTTGGAACCAAGCCAAATGTCCAAGGATGATAGACTGGATTAAGAAAATGTGGCACATATACACCATGGAATACTATGCAGCCATAAAAAATGATGAGTTCATGTCCTTTGTAGGGACATGGATGAAGCTGGAAACCATCATTCTCAGCAAACTATCACAAGGACAAAAATCCAAACACCGTATGTTCTCACTCATAGGTGGGAATTGAACAATGAGAACACATGGACACAGGAAGGGGAACATCACACATTGGGGACTGCTGTAGGTTGGGGGAAAGGGGGAGGGATAGCATTAGGAGATATACCTAATGCTAAATGATGAGTTTATGTGTGCAGCACACCAACATGGCACTTGTATACATATGTAACAAACCTGCACATTGTGCACATGTACCCTAAAATTTAAAGTATAATAATAATGATAATAATAATAAAAGGTGTGGACCATTAGTAATTTCTTACTCTTCTTTTCACTGGAATTATGTCTGCCTAATGATTACTTAAATATTTGAATTTTTCATTTATTATCTCAATATCTAAGTCACTATGTATAAAACATCATGATTTTATTTAATCTGGTTCAATATAAAATCCAGTCAAGGAAATATAGATGTTCTGTTCACTTCAGTCTTCTAGCAGTTCTCATTACTTAACCTGCCTTGTCCTCATTTCCTTGTCAGCCATATGGAAAGCATTTAAGTAGGTGACTTCCATCTTTTTAGAATTCTTTTTTTTTTTTTTGAGATGAATTCTCTCTCTGATGCCTGGGCTGGAGTGCAGTGGTGTGATCTCAGCTCACTGCAACCTCTGCTTCCTGGGTTCAAGCAGTTCTCTGCCTCATCCTCCTGAGTAGCTGGGATTACTGGTGCCTGCCACCATGCCTGGCTAAATTTTTTATATTTTTAATAAAGATACAGTTTTGCCCCCTTGGCCAGGCAGGTCTGTAACTCCTGACCTCGTGATCCACCCTCGTTTGCCTCCCAAAGTCCTGGGATTACAGGCGTGAGCCACTGCACCCGGTCCCTTTTTAGAATTCCAACAGACATGCTCCAATTTGAATTTGACTCATAAAACAAGGTACTTACTTTCTCTTTTTTTTGAAGTTTTACGTTCAGGGGTACAAGCGCAGGTTTGTTACATAGGTCGGCTTGGGTCATGGGGGTTTGTTGTACACATTATTTAATCACCCAGGTATTAAGCCAAGTACCCATTAGTTATTTTTCTTGACTCTCTCCTATAAGGGGAAATTCAGCCCGATATCAGGTGAAATTCACCCCCAATATTTCATCTAGGTGCTTTTCTATTTCACTAAGCATCAGCCAGTCTGACAAATAAAGGAGTACAAAAGAGAGAAACTTTAAAGCTGGGTGTCTAGGGGAGACATCACATGTCAGCAGGTTCCATGATGCCCCCTGAGCCATAAAACCAGCAAGTTTTTATTAGTGATATTCAAAAGGGGAGGGAGTGTACAAATAGAATGTGGGTCACAGAGATCACGTGCTTCACAAGGTAATAGAATATCATAAGGCAAATAGAGGCAGGGTGAGATCACAGGACCACAGGACTGGGGCGGAATTAAAATTGCTAATGAAGTTTCAGGCACACATTGTCATTGATAACATCTTATCAGGAGACAGGCTTTGAGAGCAGACAACCTGTCTGACCAAAATTTATTAGGTGGGAATTTCCTCATCCTAATAAGCCTGGGAGCACTATGGGAGATGGGCTTATTTCATCCCTACAGCTTCGAACATAAAAGAAGGCCGCCCCCCCAGAAGTGGCCATTTCAGAGGCCTACCCTCAGGAATGCATTCTCTTTCTCAGCGATGTTCCATGCTGAGAAAAAGAATTCAGTGATATTTCTCTCATTTGCTTTTGAAAGAAGAGAAATATGGCTCTGTTCCGCCTGGCTCACCAGCAGTCAGAGTTTAAGGTTATCTATCTTGTTCCCTGAACATTGCTGTTATCCTGTTCTTTTTTCAAGGTGGCCAGATTTCACATTGTTCAAACACACATGCTCTACAAATAATTTGTGCAGTTAAGGCAATCATCAAAGGGTCCTGAGGCAACATACATCCTCCTCAGTTTACAAAGATGACAGGATTAAGAGATTAGAGTAAAGACAGGCAAAGGAAATCACAAGGGTATTGATTGGGGAAGTGATAAGTGTCCATGAAATCTTCACAAATTATGTTCAGAGATTGCAGTAAAGACAGGCGTAAGAAATTATAAAAGTATTAATTTGGGGAACTAATAAATGTCCATGAAATCTTCACAATTTATATTCTTCCACCATGGCTTCAGCCGGTCCCTCTGTTTGGGGTTCCTGACTTCCCGCAAGACTCTTCCTCCTCAAACCCTCTGCTCTCTGAAAGGTCCCAGTGTGTGTCGTTGCCCTCTATGTGTCCATGTGTTCTCATTGGTAGGCTCACTTATCTATATGGATCTATGGAAATTTGATGACAGGAAATCAGATACCTTAGTACAATAACTCAGCTGTACAAGTGGGTAGTCCAGAATAACTTTCTTGGTATGACTCTGAAGAATAAATTTTGAAAACTTGAGTAACAGCCAATCAGGATGATAATAGTCCCACAGAAAATTTCTGATTTACCATTTATTATTTAAAAACTCAAAAATAAAATCCAACTTCTTTTCGTTTATGTTCCAGTCTTGAGGAAATATATAATAAACTACAACAGTTGGCATTTGTTATACACAGTCATTTTTTTATGGTCAGAAAAAAACTACCTTTATCTCTAGTATAGTTGCATCTCATGAATAATTTTTCATTAATTTTCTGGGATGTCTGTCTACTAATTCAAATGTTCCACCTACCCTTTTCTCCTAACAGCTACGTATTTCAAATGCAACTGAAAAATAACAACCCTTCTTTTATTACCAGCAACTGCATTTTTTATGGAAATAAATCCCCAGTCTTCATTATGAAGTGGTAACACATTTTGTGATGGAGCGTGGCCTGTCCTTCCTCTATTCAAGCATCACCACCACCTTATTCCCTACTGCCCTGGACACCGTGCCCTATCACACTCAGTGACTCCACTATTTCTCTAAGAGAACATGTTCTACCATGCATCCTACTTCTGGGGGGCTGCAGCAGGGGATATGCAGTTTTCTTTATCCACAGTGTGCTCTATATGTCCACTTGACAATCTTGTATTTATTCTTCAAGTCTCAAGTCATATACCATTTCTTCAATGTGTAGCCTTCACTTTTCACCCCAGATGACTTAGTGCTTCTTTCTCTGAGATCTGAAAGTAATTTTAATGCAGTTTTACTGTTGCAGTAATTTGTTATCTAGAGAACACTGTCCATTCCATTGCCTCCTATTGAGCATTGCTCATTTTAATTCTAAGACTCATCACGAATAATTATTCAAACATTTATCTAATCCTGGGTCATCTAAAAACCAATGTTTTTATACCTCATGGTGGAGCCAATGGCACTTATGAGAGGATCAACCATGGGATCCCTATGGTGGGACTTCCTTTGTTTGTAGATCAACCCGATAAGTTTGTTCACATGAAGGCTAAGGGGGAAGCTGTTAGAGTAAACTCAAAAACAATGTCAACTACAGATTTGCTCAACGCATTAAAAGCAGTCATTAATGACTCTTCATGAATGAAATTTTTTAAACTACATAGCATGTATTGATAAGTTCTCACATGAAGGCCAAGGAAGCAGCAGTGACTCTAAACTTGAACACAATGCTGAGTACTTTTTTTTTTTTTTTGGTAACGCTTAAAGGAAATCATTAATAAACCACTGTGAGTATCACAACCTGTTTTTTTGGTGGTTTCAGTGGAAACATTTGTCAGAGGTTTTAGGATAGGGCATAAGTTTTAAAATAGCCAAAAAGTGAAATAAGAAGAATTGCTGAATATGGTAACAGAAGGATTATAAGGAAGACTGAAAACAAAGTTGAAGAAAAGAAGCATGAATATTATTACAGCACTGACTAATTTTCAGCACAGTTATAAGGGTCTTTTAGGATGAGATCTCATCAAACGTTAGTCTTCAAATAAATTTTATTTTGTCTATTGAAGGTATGGAAAGTGATAGTATGGGATACAAATACTTAGTTAAAAGGCTACCATAATGAAGCAAGTAAACATGTCCATCATCTCACTTTAGTTACCCTTTTTTCCTTGTTTTTAAAACTCTTGTAATTTGTTTTCAGTAAATCAGCATGATTTACTGATCAGATTGACATAATCAATCTCTAATTCCTATTATATTTAATGCTTTCCAAATTTTTATGCTAACATTTTTATCTCATCACTGATAACGTGTAAACAACTAGAGCTTTCAAATTTGCCTTTACAAATTATTTGAAAAAGAACATACTATATAAATGTAGCCATATTCTTTGTTCTTATGGTTGTGTTTGCTTTTGCTTATTTGGAAGATTTATAAAATTGAAAAATAATTGGTTTGAAAGAGATAGTTTGGAATATTCCTGTTTAATAGCCAAAATGTCCGAAACCAGAAATATAGGATTTCTAAGTTATTTCAGTACATACGTTAATTTCAGTTTTGCTATTACTATTAAATTGACAATATTATAAATTTTAATAAATATAATGCTGTGTTGAAAAATAAAGATAATTTTTAATTAGTTGATACCTATTCACTGTATATGAAATGACATGCATTATATTCATAATTTGTATTATGCAACTTCTTGGTTATAATTTTTCCCAATTGTATTGAAAATATATATCAGGTTTAATTCCCTCCTCTGAAATACATAGTCTTCCCACTCTGTTTTTTAAATATCAAAAAGAGAAGTTACCTCCGTTGCTATTGCTACAGTGCCATGCTTTAGCACCCTTTGGTTTCTACTTGGTAAGGCTTATGCTTACATTCATCCTTATTCCTTATTTATTAGTCCATAATTATTTCAGCACTGTTAATAAATGGGACTACAATGCCTCAAAGTAAAATATTAAGCCCCACTTAGATTTTAAAATCACAATGCAAGAAAAACAGTAACAATAGTGAACATTTACATAGAGTCTCATTATGATGAGAATAATTCTACCAAGTATCCTAAGAATCATTACTACTTACAATAAACAGATAAGAAAGATACCATTCTTATTCATTCAATTTAACAATTAAAAAAAAAACTAGGAACAGATACTTTTCAAAAAAATAAATAAATAAAAAAGCACCAGTAGATATCAGGTCATGATTCAAACTAAGGCCATGTACTTTTACACTTTTAATCACTAATTCACTCATATGATGTCAATACTAATTTCTGATCAATGCCAACTTCTTATCAGCTTTGCCCTGATATGGACCTGAACTTTGTCATAGATTTGTCTCCTATCTCTAGACTTTGATATTATTTTGAAATTTGCACACCAGGTTCATTACAATTTCATTAATGGCTAATTCAACCTCTGTACCCTCAAATGATTTATTTTTATCCTTTGGACTTAACTAATTTTAATTTCTAGCATAGAAACATTTGTTCTCTCTTAAATTCTCTTTTCACATCGTGAAATCTTATGCATCCAACAAATTCTAATCCATAAACCAAAATCTCTATAACCAACAGGAAATAAAATATTTTATTTTGCACCCACTTATATGTGGCACTAACTTTTAACATCTACACAAAAATTTCACATATTTCTATTTTATATTCTATAAGTTTATGTCTATTTGATTTTCGTTAACTGTAAAGAGAATGTTATATGGTTTCAGTCACTCATTATGATCAGCTTATGAAGCCCACAGACCAAACAGTCTTCTGGATCAAGTTTGTCATGCGCCACAGAGGAGCCAAGTACTTGCTGCCACCTGCCAACAGTCTCACATGGCTCCAGTACTGCTCTCTGGTTGTGCTGGCCTGCAAGGCAATTTTTACTCTCTTTGTGATAATATTTTGCTGGTTTGATTATCAAAAGTTTGTTAAGACAAGAAAAAAAAGAGAGTAGCACTGTTTGAGATCTAAGGCAGGCAGGCATGATAGGGAAGGTCATGACATTTAATGCCACCAATATTCATCAAGGTGTGGCAAAATTCTCCTCCATATTTCACAAGACTTGTGCCTTCCTGATTTATTCAAATATTTTACTCTTCATTAAACATTAAGTAATATACAATTTTAATTTCAGAAATCCTAAAATTACTCAATTTTGATGCTTACTTATGTATATTTCTAAACTGAAAAAAATGAGATTCACTGAAAACTCAAGGTTGTTTATTTAAGAAGGTGGGGAATAATGTATTTCTACTGTGCATTTTTAGAAACCCCTTTTTTATTTTATTTTTTACTTCCAACATTTATTGTAATTCCAGAGGTACATGTGCAAGAGGTGTAGGTTTGTTACAGAGGTAAAGAAAACTCTTCTGTATAAACAAATACAATGATATGGATTATGTGTGTCCCTGTCAAGAAAAACAGAGCAAGATCCTTCTTAAAAATGGCAAGACATATTTTGTTCTTACTAATGAAGTAGGAGATAGAGACTACAGTATAAACTGAGCTCAACTCTAATTAAGACAAAGGTAACTGAGGCTTTTAAAGAGAAAAGTGATATGAATAAATTGAGGAAAACAAAAAGTAGCTAGTGGGATATGTGAAAATGGAAAATTACATAAAAATTTAGTGGGAAATAATTGAAAATTATTAGACAAGGTGGATTAGGCAGTGTATGTATGTTTTGCAGTTTGGCAGCATCACATTCTTTTGAGTCAAGACCTACCATGGAAGCTAGGGTGACCTTTAAAGGCAAATTCATGACCTAGTGCACATATAAGCTAAGCTAAACTTGGCCAAGTCTCCTAACATGGTGTTTATACAAGTCTTTTCTGTTACATGGGAGTGTAAAAATAAGTCCTTCATGAAATACAAAATATTTCTTAATGAGAATGTTCTTTGTTTCAAAATTATTGATGGTCATAACTGACTTCCTATCCAAAACTATGCAACCTGGTAAAATCCTTAGTTAGAAAGACAAAAGATGTTTTCCACATGAGGCCTGGACTATGCTTGAGTTATTATTTTCACTTTAGTAACAACCCTTTGTAATTGGATAATAATACACAAAATAAAATGCCAGGCTAGTTCCCTTTAGATAGGAATTATAGATATGGTTCAGAAAGTTTAGTCCAGTCCCTCTAGATTACAATGTTACATGATTTCTGTCCTGCAATAATATCTCACTATTTCTTGGCCTTAACTTGTCAAGTCAGACATTTCCAACTTTTTTAATACCTGGAATACTGAGGATACACAAACCAGAAATATATACAATCATTTTACTTATTCTCCCCTCATAACATGGAAAAATAAATTGTAGATGGAATAAAGAGCCAAATATCCTGTACAATAATTTTTAAAATCTATGTTCAAGAAAGCATAATAAATGGCAAAAGCTCTCTAAACTCTGCCTTTAAATATTGGTCATTACAGCATCTGGATTCAGAAAAAGGTTTGCAAAGCAAATCACAGAGAAGGAAAAAACCAACTTAGAGCAGTTCTTCTGTCTGACAAGAGATGTGCCTGAACAATCAGATGGAAGAGAAGCATAATGATCATTCTAACACATGAAAAAGATTTTTATATTACTCTTTTCTATGAAAAAAATATTTTTAGCAACAATTGGTTATAAAACAAATTATTTTAATATCTAGAAAAGAAATATACACTGAATATTTTATTTTATTAAACTTTGAACATATAATCATGTCACTAGAAAGAAAAAAATAACAAAGTTCAAGAAAGGAAAAAAGTAATGCATTTGTGCACTTCAATTATAGTAATGTCTTTTTTTAAAAAAAACAGGGAGAAACTTATGGATAAATATTAGTCTGAGGCAATAATGATGTTCAGCATGTACTACAAAAGCTAAATTCTAGTCTGTTTATATTTCCTTAATGAAGTATCTTCTGAAAATGTATCGGAATATATCAGAATATACTTTCCTAATAAAGTATGTTCTTAAAATAGATCTTCTTTGAAATTCTTAGACCATATATCCAGATACACATATCTATGTCTATCCATGAGTGAACACATAATACTTTCACTAGTTTAATTCTGAGAAGCCTTTTTACATGAAGTGATATGTACATATATACTTAGGAAAATATGTGAACATGATGGTATGCTTGATGGAGAGTCATAAAAATTCCATTTTAAATTGGATTACAAAAATTGCAATAATATGATGTGTCTGCTCTTTGGGGATTGATTGTACAAGCTTTTAAATATCTCCGCAGTTAAAAAAATTTAAACACAGAAACTCTAAGCAATCACATAGAATGATATAATTGAAATAACATTCTTCAAATTTGCGATATTCTTTTTTTTAAATTTTGAATATGCTGCATAAAGACAGGGATATTCAAGCACCACAGAAGATAAACACAAAAATAACATAATTATAATTTTAATCTTTAAAATAACATATGAAGCTGAATCTATCTATGTCAAGGACAAATGGTTTATGTAGGAGTTTTCTGAATTAATTTCTTTGCAGAATGCAATATTTCTTAAAAGATAAAACAAATGTGCTATTAGAAGTTTTCCTCTTACTTTAAGTATATTCTTTAGTATTCTTAAGTATATTCTTTAACATTCATATTCTTAAACTTCAATATTAATGATAAACATTACTGAATAACTAAAGTGTGAGTCTTGGAAGGGATGCACCTTCCTGCATCAAGCACCTCACCATCACTCGAGTGTCCTCTACTGATGAAGCTTAACCTTCAACCAGCTGGCAAAAGAGGAATGCTTACAGGATCCTGATTCAGTATCATAAAGCTATATTTGGATCCGAGCTACAGTAAATTGAAAACTGGTGAGGCATAAAATTTCAAATTTCTCATTTGTTATTATTTTTAAGTTGTACCCTAAGACACTGAATCTTGGTAAAGTTTGGATGAGTAGGAGGCATGACTTTCTTTTTTGAAAGTGGGGGGCCATATAGAGGTTCAGACAAAGGTGAGCTTAGAGTTGGCCCACTGAGTCCGCAGTTCCACTGGTGGTCACTTGCCTAATGTCCAAATATATATTAAAAATTGCAATACTAGTAGGTTGGATTTTTTATTTCAGTAGTTGCTGGCTCAGACTTGGTTAGAGGGGATTCTTGTTGTGCTGAGCCTGTGGATGCCCTTCACCTATCACCACTCTATTCATACTCCCAACAAACCAGCACTGGAGTCGCCAGTTATTTGGTGCTTTACCTATGATAAATATTAATTTTTCCAATTCAAAGTATATGAAGATATATAATTGATTTCATTGTTAGTCCCTAAATAATAAACTGATTAATCACTTTTTGTGTTTATGATCTAGTCAGAACTTTGTTCACGTACTGCACTCATTTTTTCAAGTGATATTTTTCATTAGATTCTTCTTTAGTATAGAGACTTTATTAAGGATAAATTTATTATTCATAAGAGATCCAGAATCCTAAGTCATCATGACCATGGCTCAGAGTGACTGGCAAAGAGACAAAATTAATAAAGATCAGATAAACAAGTAAAAATTAATGAATAATCCTTAGATAAGGTGAACTTTGCAGTTGGATTGATCAATAATAATGAAGACATGCAGATTGCAAGAGGTAGGATAGAATGAAATAAAAATTGAGACAATCACATTGAAACAGGGCATAAATACTTTAACAAAGCATGTAATGGATAGTTAAGACCAAGAAAACAACTAGAAACTAGAGAGCTTTGGAAGAAAAACTAATCAGGAAAGCTTTAACAGAAGGTGTTAACAAGCAATACTTTTACATTTTAATCAGTTTACTGGTAATTTCGAGATCATTAAGTGATTCTTCTTGGGGGCTGTACCAGTCAATCATTCAGTTCCACTTTATTTTATGTAATCAAACAACATTTCATATAATTAGGGAGCACATTTCTGATTTCAAGAATATCTAATTATTTTTGTATTCATCCTCACCTCATCCCATTCTTGTTTTATGTTAGTGACTCTTTCATCTCTGAACATTTGAATCATGCTTATTTAAAAATATTTTTGTAAAGTTACGGTGGTTCACATCTGTAATCTCAACCCTTTGGGATGCTGAAATGAGAGCACTGTTTGAGCCCAGGAGTTTGAAATCAGCATGGACAACACAACAAGAGCTTATCACTACAAAAAATAAAATAATTAGTTGGGCGTGGTGACATGCACCTGTGGTCCCAGCTACTGAGGGGGCTGAGGTGAGAGAAACACTTCAGCTTAGTAAGTTGAGGCTGAAGTGAGCCGTGATCACACCACTGCACTCCAACCTGGACAACTGAGCAAGGCCTTAAAAAATAAATATAAAAATCGAAAATCAAAATCTCATTCTGATCGTTTCCTCTATCTAGAATCCTTGAGTGCAAATCTTCCAATTGTGTATGACTGCTTAGTTTCTCATGTAGTTTTCTTGGGGAAATCTTCAACAGGTTTTGCTTTCTGCAACATCCCTCATGTTCTGTATTGTAAGAGCATCCCTTCACAATTTTTTCAATTGTCTCTGCTGCAGTCTAGGGAGATCTCTAGTTCCACACATTTTTTCTCTACTTGTTTTTTAACAGGATGTCACTGCATCCTGTAGAGTAAATTTTGTTCCCTGCTTCTAGAAACTATGTCTCATTAGTTTTCCTCCCAAAAGTCACTTTGTCACAGCTCTTACAAGCATCTATTCACAGAATTCCCTCTGATTTTAACAATCGGTAAACATCCTTCCTTCATTTTTCGTTCGTTTGTTTGTTTGTTTTTACTCTAATGTGGAATCTGGAGTGCAGGGACACAATCTCACCTCATTACAAACTCTGCCTCCCCGATTCAAAGAATTCTCATGCCTCAGCCTCCCGAGTAGCTGGGATTACAGGCGCCTGCCCTGACATCTGGCTAATTTTTGTGTTTTTAGTAGAGATGGGGTTTCATCATGTTGGCCAGGCTGGTCTCAAACTTCTGACCTCAGGTGATCTGCCCACCATGGCCTCCCAAAGTGTTGGGATTACAGGCATGAACCACTATGCCTAGATCTTCCATCATTTTATACTAGGCTATATATGTTGTTGTATGTCATTTTTTCTTGTAGATGTGTATGTGTCTGCAGTAGAATAAATGGGAAAGAATTGAGCCACTTAGGATCACCTCAGTATTCTATGCCATATGATTAATTTGACGCCTGTTCATAGGAAACCTATTTTATATTTAAAATATCTATGAATAAATATTTTACAATGCATAATAAAGGTTTCAATAGTTGTAAACTTTTAAATTCACACACTTTTATGATTTTACTGTGTTTCTATTTTCAATATATAATGAATTTGCTAGTTACACAGTGACTTCTGTTGACTAACTCAACAGCTTATATTTTGGTGATTTAGAGACATGACTGCAAATACTTTGACATTCTAATCAAACCATAGTCCCTGCCCTTGCACTTTAGCAAGGCTTGTGGCTGTCTCAGCAAAGAAAATATGGTAGAAGTGACAGCGTAATTTTGAAGACTGTGTTAGAAAAGGCAGTATATTATCTCTGTCTGTCTCCTTGTCTCTGTCTGTCTGTCTGTCTTTGTTTTTACTTATATCTCTTTCTTCCTCTCTCTCTGTCCTTCTGCCTCTTTTTCTCCCTCCGTACACTGTGGAGCCCTGTATTACAGCCAAAGTCTTGATGATAAATGACTGTTTGGGGAGGGGCACACAGAGGAGACTAGGAAGTCAGGATTATTCAGTCAAAAAGGAGTTTCAGTCTTTCGACATCAATCACTAAGTATGTGAATGAATGACCTTCAGATGATTACATCCCCAGCCATCATATGAAAGTAACGACCTGAGAAATACTCTGTATGAACCACCTGGCTGAGCCCACCCAACACTCATGCTATGAGAGTTCTAATAAAATGCTTATTGTTTTTCAAAGTCCCCACTTTTGAGGGTAGTTGGTTGTGACGTGATAGATAACTAAAATATTTCTAAAAATGTAATTATACATTCATAATAATATATAATTAATATAGAGGCAAGAAAATGAAAACTACAAATGTAGCATTTTGAAAATAACTGAAACTCAGAAAGGGAGGTCAGCATAGCATGGTGGTTAAGAGCTTTTGTACTCTGCATCCAGTTAGCCTGGATTCAAGTCCCTGCAAAACCACTACAGAATTATGTGGGGTTTGGCAAGTTGCCTCACCTCTATGCCTCAACTTCTCCATCAGTGAAACGGAGATGAAGTAACGCCATTATCTACCTCATGTGGCTGATGAAAGGCCGGATGCATTAACTTGGTAAAGCACTACAGGTGCTATATGTAGCAAACTAAATTTGCATTAATTATAATAATTATTAACTAGACAGATAAATTTCCACAATGATTTGAGTCCTTACCTAAATTGCCTCATATATTTTTAAAAGTATCATTTTTCAAAAGTAAATGATAAAAATGACAGCATTTGCTATTTTAAATATGTCAGAATTAAATTTCTTATAATTTAATTAACCAAGGGTTGACAAATCAATTGGGTCCTCTGGGCAAAATTTGGTCAGCTACATGTATACATGTTTTTTTTTTAATATTTGAGGTAAAATTACATAAAATAACATGTACTATTTTAACCATTTAAAAGTGAACAATTCAGTGGCATTCACAGTATTGTGTAACTGTCACTTCAATCTAGATCCAAAACTGTCACCAACCTAAAAGAATGTTTATACACATTAGACAATCACTCTCCATTCAAGCTTACCCTATGTTGGTTATATGGCATTTTGTGTTAAAATCATTCTGTTGTATATTAGAAGATTTTTTTTTAAGACATACAAATTATTTTTTTCTTAATTCTCTTGGTGTTATGTATCACGTTTATGGGTTTGCATAGGTTTAACCTTCCCTGCATCCCTGAGATAAATCCCAGTTCATCATAGAGTATAATCTTTTTGATGTGCTGTTGAATTTGATTGGCTAATATTTGCTGAGAATTTTTGCATCTATGTTCATCAGAAAAATTGGCCTACAGAATTTTTCTATTTTTTTAAATTTTTTTTGGCTCCTTCTTTCTGGTTTTGCTATCAAGGTGATCCTTATCCCAGCCATAAAACCCTATTTTTTAAAGCATTCAATTCCCCTTAATGTTTTGGAAGAAACATTTTTAGAAAAATGGTTTATTTTTCAATAATTTGAATAAAATTAGTACATTTTTATGGAGTTTTTATTGCTGCTTCAATTTTGTTACTCGTTATTTCTCTACTCATGTTTCTGTTTCTTCATAATTCAATCCTGATTTGTTGTACATTTCTAAAAGTTTGTCTATATCCTTTGGATTTTTTAATTTGCTGGCAGGTACTTGTTTATGATAGTCTCTTATAATCCTTTGTATTTTTGTGTATCAGTTGTTATGTATCCTTTTCATCTCTTATTTCATTTATTTGAGTCATCTATTTTTGTAGCTATTCTAGCTGAAGCTTTTTCAATTTATGTATTAAAAAAGACAACTTTTCTCCTCTTGATCTTTAAATATTTTCCAAATGATTTTTTAACTTTCTGTTTATATTTTCGGTGTTTCCTGAGCTCTTTTATAAAAAGATGTGCTCTGAATTCTCTGTCAGAAATGTTATATATGTTTATTTCTTCTACTGCATTAGGTGAGTTCTGTTGTTTTTTAGCGGTGTTGTGTTTCCTTTCATCTGTACATTGCTGTTTCCATATTTAAAGAGATATTGACATGGTATAGCTCTTATAGGTGTATTCTTGTGTTGTTCAACCTTTACTATTTATTATTGGAATCTAATTCCTTGCCACCAGTTGCTTTTTGTTTGGGCAAGGACTTAATATTTGCCACCAGAATTTAATACTGCACCAAAACTCAATTCAATATTTGCTCTAATGTTGTTTTCCAGTCTTGGGAGACTTATTGTGAGCATCTGAACATAAATGCTGCACTGGAACTTAAACCCAGACTTGCAGTGATTTCTAGGTCTGCGAGAGATTTAAACAATCATTGGAACTTAATTTCAAACCTTATACTTGTTTCCCAGTCATGGAAAATCTCCATCCACATGACTCCCTGGGAATTGTAAAAAATCTTGTCAAAGATTCAGACCTTCTCTTAGATCTTGCCTCCTGCAGTGCTATGGTTCTGGTCAGACTCCTCAGTGTGGCATCCCTGTAGCTAGGTACACAAAGCAGACGCCAAGATCTGTGGGCCAATCACTGTGATTACTACTCTTACTTTTGGTCTCAAATTTACCCCAGGTGGTTCAGCCCTGTGAACACTCTCAATACCTCTTGTGGGGTGGGACAAATGTGGGCTTTCCCTCCAAATTTACAGACCCATGAAGAAATTATATGTCCACTTGAAATTCCCTCCTCCCATTTCAATAACTGCAGGTAAAAAGAAGTTATCTCACAGTGGTGTCATTTTTGTGTGTGGAAGGGGTTGGTATAGCCCCCAAAAATTATTCATCTTACCAATCATAAGTTTGTCATGTCCGTAAGTCTTGGGGTTTTCTCCTTCTCTATTGAGATCTGGTGAATTCAGAGTGGCATTTGTGTATTTGGATAGCTACTAGTTGTACTTTTGTTGGGGAATTGATGTTGGATTTTTAAAATTTTATTATTTTGTTGACATCACAAAATGCCAACAAATTGACACTTGATATTGTTGAAATAGTTTTATGAGTTTACTAACCATTATGTTTTTAGAATTTGATGTCTACCAAATATTAAACAAGATGGACATTTCTCACTTAAATGTTCTGTATAACTATGTGGTTGTGTGCTTTTTCTAGTAAATAATTATTATGTACTGAAGACATATGTTTCTAACACAAACTTTCTCATTTCTATGCTAAAATGCATCTCAGAATACAGGGACAATACAACTATATATATGTCAACTTCAAAATTTTATTTTAGAAGTATGCATAAACTGTATTATTCTATTTGGCATTGCATCTTTATAATGAAGAAAATTTTTTTTTCTGTAGGAAATAGAAGAATTTTTCCAGCGCTCTGATAAGGATGGTGTTGTTGTGTTTTCTCTGGAGTCAGTTGTGAAAAACCTTACAGAAGAAAAGGTTTATCTTATCACTTCCGCCCTGGCTCAGATTCCACAAAAAGTCAGTAGAACCTCCAATCCTTATAAGAAGCTATTCACACAATAGAGAAAGTATGGCTTTCCATTTGGAACTTGAATCTCATTTTTCAATTTGCGTAACAGGCGTTAGATTTACGTAACAATTTGGAAAACATTATGGTTGTGTATGTGGACACAACTGATTATTTGCCTAGTGATCTTTTCTATTGCTTTAGTAACACATCTCTTGCTTGTCATTTGTTAATAATAAAATAAAAATAGTGCATTAAGTCCCTATTCCACATTGCAGGATTTGAAATCTTGAGACATATTCTGATGACTCCAAAGGAAACTTTTTAAATATACTAGCTCAAAGGAATATAAAAATTGGGGAATTATATAAGAGAAGAATCATGCTCAATAGTATTCTCAACATATTTGATTATATAGGAACTCTATTCCACGTATTTGAACATAAAAGTAGAAGCTTAAATTTATGTAGTCTTTCTAATGAACTAGAGTTTTCTATAGTTAAAAGGCAATTATGGTTTTAATATTATAGTCTAGCAACCTGCATGTAATTCTTTATGATATTCAATTAGTTTTGTTATTACTGTAATTCTAGTTTTCCTCTCTTTAGTTAGTGCTATTTATACACCAGCCTAGAGGTTTTTTTTTTAATTTTATGTTTAGTTAAATTTCAAAACACTCAATAAAAGCAAGTATGGTAAATAGGAATGTGAAATTGGTTTTAGTCATGAGATTCTCGTTTTGGGAGTTCAGAGTATCTATGTAATCCTTTGTTTTCAAGTGTGAGATTTTCATATACGTTTCTAGAAAGAAAAAAGTATGGAACTAAGATACAAATACAAACAAAATTTAACCTTCAACAATGAAATATAGGTAACTCCTCTCTCTTTGTTTTTTAATTAAAGATAAATGAAATAAAGGAGAGAAGGAGGCATGAAGAGAAAAGACAACCAACTACCCAAAACCAGACAAAAACCAAAGCAATGTTTGTCTCTGGGAAACTATAAATTTGATAATAGAGCTAGAATGGCCAAGTGATTTACATTTACACAGAAGTTGTGTGTCCGTAAGAAATTGAACTTCCATATGCTGACAAATTAGCCAACACTGCTTTATTTTTTTGTTATTTTTATAATCTCACTCCTAGATGATTTGAGTTTGCAGGAAACAAAATAATAAATGGTATCCCCAAGAGTTTAATGGTACCTACCCTTTTAAGAGGTGACTGTCAACAGTCTTACTATTTTTTTCAGTGATTACATAGGACCCTTATATGCTCCTGTCTCAAATATCATCTGAAATAAAGTGGATTGTATGAATTATAATGATCTGAAAACTCAAAATGCTATTATCTTGTGGTTTAACTTGTGAAATGCATACATTTACTTCCTCAGGTTTTATAGAGATTCAAAGGAAAGAAACCAGCTACACTGGGAACCAATACTCAGCTCTACGTTTGGATATGCCAGAGCGATCTTCATGATAAGATTATGACGTAGTAAAAATGAGGAATTTCATAAGGGAAAAATTGAATAACTGTTTAACACCTAATAAATTTAACAAAAATTTAAAATTTATAGTTTGTTATTTTACCTTTAATTTTAAAGTATATATAATTGAGTAATTGTTGGTCATTATATTTTTTGATTCTTACTTTTATTTTTAAAGTAAGTTTCAAGCAATGCAGAAATAAATTAATGCCTCTTTTCCTTAAGAAAGCAAATTTCTTTTGCAATGATGCCCTTTTTGTTCACTTTTGTAGAAAATTCTGCCCTCTTCAGTGAGTTATTTCAAAGATTTTTTCCCTACATGTCTCTGAAATTCTTTTAAGAATTGTGATAATAAAAACCATACTTCTTATTCAGTTTCCCAACTAGGTCATGCACAAACCAAAGCTTTTATCACTCATGGTGATATAAATGGGGTCTATGAAGCTATTTACCATGGAGTCCCTATGGTGGGAGTTTCCTATGTTTGGTGATCATCTTGACAACACCTCTCACATGAAAGCCAAAGGAGCAGCTGTGCAGCTGAACATGAATACAATTACAGGTACAGATTTGCTTAGGTCTTTGAGAACAGGTATCAATAATCTTTTGTAAGTATTACTGCTTTAAAAGGCTTATCTACCATTGATTATGTTATATATCATACTAGAAAATGTTAGGGCCATACTGGAAGACTATTTAAAAGATCTTCCCTCTCAATCTCAGGTATTATCATCTTAGTATTGCCATTATCTTAGTATTGCAATGATTATATCATCAGGTATAATCATCTTAGTATTGCAATAGTCCTGGAAATGATAGTTCATAGAGTGTCAATCCTCCTTCTTGGAAACAGTAGATTTAAATTAACAACCAGCTTACTAAGTATTTTTCTACGTCTTCATTTTACCCCATTCTGCTAAGAATATGTGTCTTTTTCAATTTCCCCACCGTATCTGTTCAATGCTATGCAACCAATGAAGTTCATATCACAACAAAAATAATTCTTTTATTCAACAAGCTTTTGGCTTGTATAACATATGCTACGGTTTACCTACTTCTTTTTAATGAAAACAAAACAAAACTCTGTTTTCCATATGTGCTCTTGCTTTCCAATTATAAAGAGAATGCTATAAGGTTATCAAAAATTCACCATGATCGACCTGTAAAGCCCCTGGGTTGAGCAGTTTTCTGGATCAAGTTTGTCATGCACCACAAAGGAGCCAAGCACCCTCGGCTAGCTGCGCACAACCTCTCCTAGTACCAGTGCCACTCTTTGGGTGTGATTGTGGTTTTGCTGGTCTGTGTGGCAACGGCTATATTTTTGGTCACAAAACTTTGTTTGATTTCCTGTCGAACATTTGGTAAAATAGGAAAGAAGAAAAAGAGGAAATAGATGTTTCCGAATTTGGGAAAGGCAAGAATGGAGCAAGCTTGTTAATATTTCATCCACAGATAATTTAAAGAGAACACATTACTTTCTCCTCATTTTCATATTTTCCACTCTAAAACTCTGGGGCTTTCTGAATTCCTTTATGAGACTCCCTGCCACTCAAGAGCTATTGCTTGTAAGACTTTCATTCTTCATCAGTCTGGCGTTGCGTTTTGAGATCAGCAGCAATCAGAGTCCAGTTGGCCTTGTGTATGCAATATGTTCTGCCCTAACCATTTCGTCCTTTCCCAAGAATCTGCTCAGGGTTGTTATCCTCTCTCTCTATGAACTCCCAACCTAGAGTCCCAAAACCCATGAAAAACAAAGAAAGAAATATTGAAAAATAGGATTTTTAATGAGACTAATGTTTACATGAGTTATCAGAGAGGAAAGCAAAATTTACGTATCTACTATACATATAAAAATTTTGTGCGTATCAGATTGATTAAGACAGGAGTTTCCAACTTTTGCTAAACATGAAAAAAAGGGGAGTTTTGATTATAACAACACCAATGCCCATTTCTCTTAATAAATAATATCTGTCAAAAGCCAAGATTTTGTATTGTTAAAAGGTGTCTCAGTGATTCCAATGCATAGTGGAATGTGGAAAACATGGCTAAACTCAAATTTTAAAAAGTCACAGAAAAGAGAAAATCTTGAAAACTGCCAGTGAAAAATGGCTCATCACATATAAGTGAGCTAGAATAAGAGTATCAACAAGAATCTCAGCAGAAACCTCCCAAATCAAAAGTAAATGAGATGATATATTCAAAGCACTGAAAGAAAAAGAAAAAGAAACCTGCTAAACAAGACTACTATTTGGCAAAGTTATATCTTACAATATTTATAGAATATTGAATATCATCTATGGTAAAAAATAAAACAACAATTGAAGAAAATAGTCATTACAAGACCTGACTATAAGAGATGCTGTCCTTCAAGTTTAAATGAAAGGATGCTAGATATCAAAACAAAGGCATATGCAAATAGAAAGCTCTGTGGCAAGGGTAATCATACAGTCCAATATAGAGCTTCATAATGTTGGTGTATTAATTAATTTCAATTTTGGAATACAATTTAAAAGACAAAAACATTAAAAAACTATAAATCTATCTAAATAAGTCCATCTAAGAAAAGAACTGTTACACAACATAAAAAGCTATAATTAGTGACACCAGTAACATAAAGTGAAGATAGTAGTAGATTTTTCATATGTGATTGAAATGGTTTTGAACAATTTAAAATACATTTTTAAACTGTAAAATAATTATATAATCTTCAGAGTAACTAAAAAATATGCCTATAGAAGATACACAAAAAATAAATAAGAAACAAAACCTCATGATTTAACATGCACGGTTGCGTGAGAAAAGTTTCTAATAAATACCTACATAAAAAAGAAAATCTGACATAAGCAACTAACTTTACATCTCAAGAAATGCGAAAAAAATAATTTTAAGCTCAAAGACAGCAGAAGGAAGAAAATATTACAGATTTGAAGAGAAATA
This sequence comes from Homo sapiens, assembly GCF_000001405.40. Lineage (NCBI taxonomy): Eukaryota > Metazoa > Chordata > Mammalia > Primates > Hominidae > Homo > Homo sapiens. Next base: position 68,971,447 of record NC_000004.12, on the reverse strand, counting down.
GAAAACTTTTTGAATAGAAAAAAATCAACAAAACTAAGAGTCAGTTTTTAAAATGGTCAATAAAATTGAAACTGTTTTATCTAGACTAATTTTAAGATAACAGAGAGAAGTGTTGAATAAACAAAATCATATATAAAACCTCTACAACTTAGCAACTACAACCCAATTTTTTTTAAAAAAGCACTTGAACATGCATTTATCCAAAAAATATTATATGGTCAAAAAGCATATAAAAATATGTTCAACATCACTAATCATTAGAGAAATGTAAATCAAAAATATAATGAGCTATCACTTCATAACCATTAGCATGGTGTATATGTGTGTCTGTGTCTGTGTATATAAAACATCTCTTAAATAGGTTATGAGCTATCACCATAAACATTAGGATGGTGTATATATGTGTTTATATATACAAACACACATTATATACCTATATAAACATGTATACATACATAATATATATATAACATAAATATGCACACCTATACATATATAATATATACACACATATACATGTATAAAAAACATTATGAAGTTAAAGGACTCTATATTGGACTGTATATTTACCTTTGCCATAGAACTTTATACATATACACACACACACACACACACACACACAAAAATATGCACACATGCCAGAAAATTAAAATAGAATTTACATGTGACACAACCATGTCACTACTAGGTAATTATCCAGAACAAATGAAAAGCAGAATTTTGAAAAGCTATTGGCAGACGTCTCACTCCTTCATGTATTACTGGCAGCACATCAGACTGACAGACAATATGACTTATGTGCAAAGCTTAATTATTTTTTCTCCTATGTAACTTGTGATCTGCTATTATTATACATTTATAGGATGGGGAGAGTAGCATAACTAGGTGTTAGGTCATAGCAAAATTTATTTTCCTAATTATTTTATATTGAAAATGTAATTATCTTTGAAATTATAAAAGTAATATTACGGTGTAGAAATAGTTAAAAAGATATTGATAAAGTGAGCATAAAACGATTATATTCCTTTAGTAACTGAAAGTATTGACTATACTTTGTAGTTAAGGCATAAAATATTGTGGCCATAACATTTTAGAAATAAAGTATTTATTATTTTGTAACTGAAACCCTTTCAGCTATGTTTCACTTTGTGGAGTATCTCTGTACCTTTCACTCAGGTTGTGTTTCCATTGTATTTCTTCACATTTGCATGCCGTTTACAATTCTTAATGGTTGCACTTTGTTTTTAGAGTCAGAATTCAGTGTAGGTTTATGGTGCAATAATGTAGTTCTAGGAATAAATATCACTTTTGTTCTTCTTTTGATACTCCACAGAAAAGCGTAGGGATATTTCTATAAAGAATCATGATTTTAGGCTTTGGACTTTTTCGATTTTTTTCTTTGTATGTTTTTCAAGCATATTCTTCCTTTGCTTTCTTACCAACAGTACCTTCAGATTCAGCTTGTATCTGTTTATACTGAAAATCCTCTATACGTCTATGTAGTATATAATTTTAGCCCTCCTTATATCCTTACTTTCTTACACTATGGATTAAGCAAAATATTTTTAATTACATAAACAATCATAACATGAATTTTATGTTTATCTGATGTACATGATTCAGAGTTATCTGCTTACTTTACTTCTGTAATCCCTCTCTATAATGAGTAAAATATAATTTAAAAGTTAAAACTTTATCTGAACCGTAATGTTGCTGAGTATCAACAGGTTCTGATCAATTTATATTCCATTGATATCACCTCACATTTATAATGTATAGTTAAAATTCAATTGAATTCAAAATCTTTACTAAGAAATAGTCATTATATATTTGTTTGAAAATTTGGAATATTACTAAATTTAAACCTCAACATAAGCAAGATTATTTGTATAAAATTACACTTCAATCACAGCTTTTATTTTTCCAATAGGTATCATTATTTCAGTTTTACTTCAATATAATAACTATAAATGCATTTTACCGGAAAAAAACGGAGAATCAGTAATAGCATCAGTCAATTCATATTGATGTATGTACACATATATTTTTAAAATATTTAAGAAATTCTCTTTAGTAATCATTGCATGCTTTCTCAAAATTAAATCTATATCATATGTATAAAACAAAAATGTCTCAATATTCTGTCAAACTAAGGTGTATATTCAGACTGAAAAGAATCACTTACGTAAAATTTGGAGTATGAATGATCTAACCCCTGCTACAGGTCCTGTATTTATTTCAACACACACTTTATGAGCACTGATGATGCTGGGTCATAGGCTAACCCCTCATGTTACAAAAATAAATTTTAACTCTAATAATTTTTTTCTCTCTTTCTCTTACTCATTCTCTCTCTTTCTCTGTGTTTTCATGTGTCTTTCACCTTTGCTTCTCAATACAGTACTTCACCACACTACCAGGTGGTATGTTAAAATGAAACAAATCACAGACAGTATTGCTCCATTCATGTATATATTTCTTAGTAAAAAGGCCTAATAAAGTGATGAAATGTATTCCAGCAAGCTCAGTACAATCCCACCTCTTTGATCTTTTAATCACTCCATGAGAAGCTCTGAGCACGTGTATAGTATATACAGGGATAAGTTCCTCTCTGCTGGTGTGTAATCATGACTTAGAATCAAAATACTTGCCTAAAAAACCAGTTGTGTAGATCCTTTGTGGAGTTGTGTAGATCCTTTGGCCTAGAGTTCTTTATGTAGCTACCCTAAATCATCTCTCTCAAGTTCAAAGTTCCATAAATCTCTAGGGCAAGATCAAAATGCCGCCAGTCTTGTTGCTAAAACATAACAAGTCACCTTTGCTCCAGTTCTTCATCCCCATCTGAACCCACCTCAGCCTGGACCTTATTGTTCATATCACTATCAGCATTTTTGTCAAAGATATTCAACAAGTCTCCAGGAAGTTCCAAACTTTCCCACATTTTCCTTCTGAGCCCTCCAATAGCCCTGATTATTGTATTAGTCCATTTTCTAGCTAGTGATAAAGTCATACCCGAGACTGGGAAGAAAAAGAGGTTTAATGGACTTACAGTTCCACATGGCTGGGGAAGCTTCATGATCATGGCAGAAGGCAAGGAGTCACATCTTACATGGATGGCCGTAGGCAAACAGAGACCTTGTGTAGGAAAACTCCCATTTTTGAAACCATCAGATCTCATGAGATTCATTCACTATCACGAGAACTGTGCAGGAAAGACCTGATATATAATTCAAGACCTTCCACTGTCTTCCTCCCATGACACATGGTAATTTTGTGAGTTACAATTCAAGATAAGATTTAGGTGGGGACACAGCCAAACAATGTCATCCAGTCTTAGGAAGTTCATTATAGTAGTGTGAGAATGGACTATTACAGTAAGTTGGTACTGAGGTAGTGGGGTATGGCTATAAAGATACCTGAAAATGTGGAAGTGACTTTGGAACTGGATAACAGGCAGAGACTGGAATAGTTTAAAATGCTCAGGAGAAGATAGAAATATGTAGGAAAGTTTGGACCTTCCCAGAGAATGGTTGAATAGTTTTGACCAAAATACTGATAATGATGTTGCCAATGAATTCTAGGCTGAGGCAGTTTCAGATGGAGATGAGAAACTTTTGGAAAACTGGAGCAAAGGTAACTCTTGCAATGCTATAGCAAAGACATTGGCACCATTTTGCCCCTGCCCTAGAGATCTATGAAACTATGAAGATGAGAGAGATGATTTAGGGTATCTGGCAGAAAAAAAAATCTAAGCAGGAAAGAATTTAAGAATTGACCTGTTTGATTTTGAAAGCATTCATTCTTATGTGTTCACGAAAAGACGGCTTGAAATGGGAACTTATGTTAAAAAGGAGAGCAGAGAAAGATTTGTGGTTGAAAGTTTGAAAGATTTGCAGGCTGACCATGTAGTAGAAAAGAAAAACTCATTTTCTAGGGAGGAGTTCAAGCCAGCTTCAGAAATTTGCATGAGTAATGAGGAGCCAAATGTTAATCACAAAGACAATGGGGAAAATGTCTTCAGAGCATGTCAGAGTTCTTAATAGCAACCCCTCCATCACAGATCTGGGAGCCTAGGAAAGAAAAGTGGTCCACTGCTGTTCTGTGCAGCCTTGGGACTTGGTGCTCTGTTTCCCAGCCATGGCTAAAAGGTACCAAGGTGTGGCTAAGCCCATTATTTCAGAGGCTGCAAGTTGCAATCCTTGTTGGCTTCCACGTGCTGTTGGGCCTGGGAGTCCACAGAAGTCATGAACTGAGGTGTGGGAACCTCCACCTACTTTTCAGAGGATGTACGGAAATGCCTGGATGTCTAGGCAGAAATCTGCAGCAGGGATGAAGCCCTCATGGACAACCTCTGCTTGGGCAGTGCTAAAGGGAAATAAGGGGTTGGAGTATCCACATTGAGTCTGCACTGGGACACTGTCTACTGGAGGTGTGAGAAGTGGGTCACCATTCTCCAGATCCCAGAATTGTGGATTCACCAAAAGCTTGCACCACACACCTGGAAAAGCCACAGACACTCAACACCAGCCTGTGAAAGCAACTGGGAGGGTGATTGCACTGGGCAAAGCCACAGCAGCATAGCTGCCCAAGACCATGGGAGCTCACCTCTTGCATCAGCATGACTGGATGTAAGACATGAAGTATAAAGGAGATCATTTAGGAGCTTTAAGATCTAATGACTGTTCCACTAGATATCTCATGTACATGGGGAGTATAGCCCCTTTATTTTGGTCAATTTCTCCTATCTGAAATAAGAGCATTTATCCAGTGCCTGTACCCTCATTGTATACTGGAAGAAACTAATTTGCTTTTGATTTTACAGGCTTCTAGGTTGAAGGAAATTGCCTTATTTCACATTAGGTATTGGATATGAACTTTTGAGTTAATGCTGAAATGAGTTAAGACTTTGGGGGACTGTTGAATAGGTATGATTGATTTTGTAATGTAAGGAAATGAGATTTGGAAGGGGCCGGGGGAAATGCTATGGTTAGGCTTTATGTCTTCACTAAAATCTCATTATAAATTGTAAACCCCATAATCCTTATACATCAAGGAAGAAACCACATGGGAGGAAATTGGATTATGGAGGCAATGTGCCTCCCGTGATAGTCTTGTGATTGTAAGTTATCATGAAATCTGATGGTTTTATAAGTGTCTGACAGTTTTTTCCCTCACACACTCATTCTCTTGCCTGCCACTATGTAAGATATGGCTGCTTCCCCTTCTACCATGATTGTAAGTTTCATGAAGCCTCCTCAGTCATGTGGAACTGTGAGTCAATTAATCCTCTTTCTTTTATAAATTATCCAGTCTTGGGAAGTTCTTTCTAGCAGTTCGAGAATGGGCTAATACATAAGGATTTAGTCATAAATTGTTTCCAAAGGCGAATGTCCAGAATGGTGTCTTCTAGGTTTTCCCTTAAGATTCTTACAGTTTGAGATTGTAGAGTTAAATCTTTAATTCATTGCCTTAGGCCATTCTTGCATTGTTATGAATTAATACATGTGGTTGCATAACTTATGAAGTAAGGAATTATAATTGGCTCACAGTTTAGTATACTGTATAGCATGACCCCAGCATCCACTTCTAGTGATGGCTTCCTGAAGCTTACAATCATGGAAGAAGGTGAAGTTAAGACTTTGGGGAACTGTTGGAAGGACATAATTGTATTTTGAAATGTTAAGACATGAGATTTGGAGGGGCCAGGAGCAAATGATATGGTTTGGCTGTGTCTCCACCAAAATCTTATCTTGAGTTGTTGTTCTCATAATTCTCATGTGTCATAGGAGGGACCCAGTGGGATGTAATTGGATCATGGGAGTGGTTTCCCCCATGCCATTCTCATAAAAGTAAGTTCTCACAAGAATTGATGGTTATATTAGGGGCTTCCCTCTTTTTGCTGCTCTCATTCTTGTCCTCGTTGCCACCATGTGAAAAAGAATATGTATACTTTTCCTTCTGCCATGATTGTAAGTTTCCTGAGGCTTCCCCAGCCCTCTGGAATTTTGATAAATTAAACCGCTTCTTTATAAGTTACCCAGTCTTGGGTATGTCCTTATAGCACATGAGAGCAGACTAATACATCATAGAAAAATCTAGTTCTTAAAAAAAGTCTTCAACTTACCTTCTCTCTCTTGCTTCCACTCTCCCTTTTACTCAAGCAAACCTCTCTAGCAAGTTAATGCTCTGAAGCCCACTTGAATAACTCTACTGAAAGCTATTTTCATTTCAACATCATGGCCATTCTGAGAATTTTCCAAACTTTTATGCTCTTTTTTTTCCTTTTAAATACACATTCTAACTTTAGGTTCTTTCCTTGCTTCTATATCTTATCATAGGCTGTTAGAAACAGACAGGTCACCTCTTGAATGCTTTGCTTCTTAGAAATCTCTTCCACCCAACACTCTAAGTCATCACCCTTAAGTTGAAACATTCAGAAAGCCCTAGGACATGATCATAATGCAGCCAAGATTTTTGGTAGGGTGTAACATGGGTGACCCTTATTCTGGTTCCTCATATCTTCCTCATTTTCACCAGGGACCTTCTCAGTGTGGCCCTCACTGTCAATATTTCTGTCAGCATTTTGGTCACAAACATTCCACCAGTCTCAAATGAGTTCCAAACATTTTCTCAGCTTCCTTTCTTCTTCTAAGCCCTCAAAACCCATCCAACCTTAGACCGTTACCCATTTCCAAAGCTACTTCCACATTTTCAGGTATCTCTATGCCAACATGCTACACTTGGTATCAATTTTCTGTGTTAGGCTATTTTTAGCATTGCTATAAAGTAATAAATTAGGCTGGGTGCTATGGTTTGAATTTGTATTCCTGTACAAATCTCATATTGAATTGGAAAAGGGGCCTGGTGGGAGGTGACTAGATCGTGGAGGTGGATTTCCTCCTTGCTGTTCTCTTGATAGTGAGTGAATTTTCATGAGATCTGATAGTTTAAAATTTTGTGTTACTTCTGCCTTTGCTTTCTCTCTCTCTCTCTCTCTCTCTCTCTCTCTCTCTCTGTCCCTCTGTCTCTCTCTCGGTGTCCTGCCACCATGGAAGATGTGTTTGCTTCCCCCTTTACTTTCTCCAGATTTTTAGTTTTCTGAGGTCTCCCAGTCATGCCTTCTGTTACAGCTATGGAACTGTCAGTCGTTAAACCTATTTTTTTCATAAATTGCCCAGTCTTACATAGTTCTTCAGAGCAGTGTGAAAATAGACTAATATGCTGAATAATTTATAAAGAAAAGAGGTTTAATTGGTTCACAGTTCTTTAGGCTGTGCAAGTTTGTCTCCAGTATCTGCTTCTGGTGAGGACTACAGAAAGCATACAATCGTGATGGAATTTATAGAAGGAGCCATTGCATCACATGGCAAGGGTGGGATCAAGAGAGAGAAGGGATGTTCCCAACTGTTTGAAGCAACCAATTATTGTGTGAATTACCTGAGTGACAGTTAACTTATCACCAAGGGGATTGTGCTAAATCATTCAATAATGCTTCACTCCCATAATCCAGTCACCTTCCACTGTAACAAAAGAGGGTCTGGTTGCTCACCACTTGTAGAAAGAAGCCAAAATAGTAAAAGCAGGATATAATAAGAAAGACAGTAAATTTTATTACTGTTGTCAGCAAAGGGGAAAGTGGCCAGAAGCACTTTCAAAATTTACCACTTCTTTCAAAATTTACTACTTCTCAATTTCTGTAGATAGGGCAATGATTTAAGAAGAAGGGCTTGGAATGCAGAAGAGGCAAGGTGGGTTCGGATGTGCCAGGTTGTGTGACACACTCCAGTGGTTTATCTTGAATTATTGTTCCATCTAGTGAAGGGGAGAACATTATGTGCTCAACCTGGTTACAAATTAATCACAGAGAATCTTGCAGTTACTCTAACTGGGAGTGAACTCCAGCCTTGAAGTAATCTCCTGTTGGGAAGAGAATTCCAGAAATGCCTGCAGCATGTTAGGATTTGATCCCTGAAGCTTCTAACCGGTATATAGTCAGATAAGTTATCATGGTGTGTGCTTAACAGGCATCTAGGTAAATTAATGTGCAGAAGGCATGGGAGCTTAAAGTGGGAAAGGAGAGTGGAGTTTTAAAGCACATTCTCATGCTCTATTTCAAGATGAAAGAATACACATCTGTTGATTGTTGGAAAGCTGTGTCTTGAGACTGGAGAGAAAGAGGAAATAAAAAAGTTTTTAAAATGTGGTTTGAAGCTAAGCTGCTTGGTTACACACTGATATAATTTTTGCAAAGGTGATTTTAATATCTCTTTTGGCTTTCATACATCTTATTCTTAAGTTTGTGGACATAGAGATAAAAAAGCGTGAAAATCAATCTAGTTTCTTCCTGCTGATAGGAGCATAGTTAAGGATTTAATCACAGGGAAATAGGAGGGAAATCACTGCTATGCAGCTATCTGCATGTACTCATGGTTGTATAACAAAGATGTTAATATTCTCACCCACAGTTCTAGTACAGCACTTAAGTGAACAATAGACTATAGGTTTTTAGAAAGACAGATTCAGTTAAATAAGAAGAGCAAACTTAAATATATCATCCTATATCTATTTAGTCAGTGTTCTAGGCCTGAGACTAGATGAGTTCAGTTAAACAAATGTTTCTCATATCTGTTTAAGGAGGCAGCATTGAAGATAAGCTAAGCTTCTGTATCTATGAAAGAAAACAGATATTTAATAAAGGCATTTATGTAGAGACAGCAGAAAAACAAAAGGTTAATGTTTGGCACAATTTCTCTATACATTAGACTTAAAGGATTTTTGTTTAAAGAGGAGGAAGGTAGTATCAATTTCACATGCTTTTTTCTCACCTGTATTACAAAGAATCAAGGCCTCAGAAAAGATGTAGTAACAATTTTATTGAGGCCAAGTCAGAAAAAGAATTAAAATATAATTTGCAAGCATTAGTTTTGGGACTTGTAACCAAGAAAAAATTCAGGATTAAGTGCACAGTGTATAAAATATTAAAAACTCAAAAATAATAGACAGGACAAATCTAACAACAGGTGTGCTATATTATTTTCCTGAAGCACAGTTTTTCTTTCTTCAATTCCCATTTTTACTGAAGAAAAAAAATAGTAGGACAAATATATTTGCATAAAGTAAAAAAAAAATTCCTATTTTACTTGGCCTGGGTTTTTGTATAAAGTTAGTCAGAATAATTATTTGCCTTATAGAATTCTTAAAATTAGCTTTGCTGGAACTTTAGTCCATAAGAAATATTAGCTTAGACTTTTCAAACCCTTCAGCCCAGCCACGGATTTATCTGTGCCTGCAAATATCAGTATGGGTTGGATGAATTTCTCACCTTGAGGTCCCAAGATAATGTGGGGCTCCTGAGACTGTCAGAAAGTGACATTCTTTACTTGCCATAGGGAAGAAATTCTTACAAGAATCGTGTAGACCAGTTAAGAGGTCAGATTTACCAAGGGGTTTTATTGGCTCTATTAGTCAACTTTGATCCCTAAAAGCAATCTGAAAGTATTCCATTCGAGTTAGAGCTTTGGTATATATTTCCTAATAGTGTCCTGTTATTAAAAAGAAAAAAAAAGATTCTTATTTAACTTACACAAATAACTATACTGTCGTAAATTAAGTATGCTTACAATGAGTCTTCAAATTCTGGAGAAATCAGGTAGAGAGAGAAATACGTTTTAAATTTTGCCTAAAGGAGTGTACTTTACCCAATTGTTAAACGTTGTATGTGGCTCAAAAGAAAAAAAAAGTTTTCTAATCTCTAAAAAGAAAAATAATTAGCTATGTTTCAAACAAAAATCCACAAAAAAAATTTTTATCTTTCATTAGTTAGGTTTGGTTAGTTTACTCATGTTGTTTTCAATATTATCTCTCTACGAAAATCTGGGAATTTTTGTCCTCTATTCTAATGTAAAGAACACCACTGTTATCAGGTAAATGAGTCACAACAACCTTACATACAATCTGCTTAAACATCTCAAATTTTGTAATCCTCTCAACATTTACAATTTTATGTTCTGATCCCAGGAGCTTTTCTTCTTTATCTTCAAACAAATTTAACTTTCTGGTAAAAATAAAATCTCCCAGAATAGGGTTGAGCCAAGATTCTCAAGCCCTTTTGTCAATCTCTATCTAAACTTGCCTCAACATTGCCACAGGCAATGTCAGCTTTCCCATTAGATTACAAATTATGCTTTAAAAAAAAAACTTATCCAATCTAAGGCAAATACAAAAAAAACTGGTGTAGGTCCCTTTGATGTTTGGGGACCAGCAGGAGCTCCCTTTGGTTCACCCCACCTTTGATAGCATTTTGTGCCCAGGTAGAAGGGGCCCACTTAACCATAGCCTTTACTATGACCAGGGTAATAGGTATATTTAGTTGAATAATATTCTGGTATTGATAAAGCCAGTCCCATATGGCTTGTATACGAAGCATATCAGTTGCTTCATCTGGGGAACTCCACCTGGAATTTTACAGGGTGAGTTGGGCAGTCTCTTTCTCAGGGTAATCAAACTTAACAATGGCAATTATTCTGTCCACTAGGCTGGTTGTTTTCTCAGGAATAAACTTTTGTGAAGCTGGGTCACATATACTCTTCAGTGATTATTTAATCCTGAGCTGTGGGACCTGCATAAACTCATGCTCTTTCATTCTGTAGCACTTAAAATAAAAAATATTGTCCTTAAAGTAGTTATTTTTCCAATCCATTATAGTAAAGGTTTCTCAGAAACTGATTATATTACTCTACAAAATGGAGCAATTTCTTTACATTACACCCTCTGGGTTTAATAGTTAACTTGGCTTTCCCTTTCCCCACATTGACTAGAGGTTCTTGGTAACTACAGGTCTCAAAAGTAGCTTTGTTGCCCTGGCTTAAGATGTGTATGTTTGTGTGTGTGTGTGTGTGTGTGTGTGTAGCTTTGAGGCTAGTGGCCTGAGCTGAGAAAGACCCACATAAATTTGGTCCAGCCTTAAGGCAAAACCCAGCACTCTTTTACTTTCATTTTAGCGATTACAGATAGCAATAACTGAGGGAATTAACATTTTGTAGTTTTCTTATTAGTTTACATTTTGTTATGCATTCACTGAACTAACTCCCTGGGAGTGTGGCTATCATCCATCTCTAAATTTCCACTGGTAACTTTGACCTTTAGTAACTGAATGCAGCCCAGCTGCAGCTCCTGAAGGTGGGTGACCGTGTAGCCACCCAAGAGTCAAAAGTTTCTCATTCCCTGAGTTTTCATTTTTCTCTTTATCCATTTGGTCTTATCTATCTATCTATCTATCTATCTATCTATCTATCTATCTATCTACCCCATCATTTTTTTTCTTGAGATGGAGTATCTCTCTGTCTCCCTGGCTAGAGTGCAGTGGCAAGATCTCAGCTCACTGCAAGCTCTGCCTCCCAGGTTCACACCACTCTCCTGCCTCAACCTCATGAGTAGCTGGGACTACAGGTGCCTGCCACCATGCCCAGCTAATTTTTTGTATCTTTTTTTGGTAGAGATGGGGTTTCACTATGTTAGACATGATGGTCTCAATCTTCTGATGTCATGATCCACCTGCCTTGGCCTCCCAAGGTGCTGGGATTTCAGGCATGAGCCACCACACCTGACCCATCCTTCTGTTTTTATAAACCTCACCCAAAAAAACCTTTGTATTCTACAACTATTTTAACTCTCAGTAACATAAATTCTCAGTGACCATACTGAGGGTTACTTAATTTAACATAACATGACTCAGATTTTATACTATTAGAGAGAATTTTGAGATTAAATTTTCCAAATTAATGTTACCAAATACTACTATAGTCATGTGAACTCAAAGGTATCCAAGCTAGCTTTTGTTAGTGTGATAAGCGCTTAACTTTTCTTTAAGTCAATTGATTAGAGCTCTTTCATATATTTTGATATTGAAATATCACTTCCACATGACGCAAGTAATATATAAATATAACAGAGATACAGACAAAGGCAGATGTTGGGAACAGGCCCCCCAATTTGGCCATAAACTGACCCCAAAACTGGCCATAAACAAAGTCTCTGCAGCACTGTGACATGCTTGTGATGGCCATGACACCCACACTGGAAGGTTATCAGTTTACTGGAATGAGGGCAAGGAAGACCTGGTCCACCCAGGGCAGAAAAGTGCTTAAGGCATTCTTAAAGCACACATAATAGCATGAGCGATCTGTGCCTTAAGGACATGTTCCTGCTGCAGATAACTAGCCAGAGCCCATCCTTTGTTTTGGCCCATTACTTTATTTCGCATAAGGAATACTTTTAGTAAATCTTATCACTGGCTTGCTGTCAATAAATATGTGGGTAAGTCTCTGTTCCAGGTTCTCAGCTCTGAATCCTGTGAGACCCCTAATTTCCCACTCCACACACTATATTTCTGTGTGTTTGTGTCTTTAATTCCTCTAGTGCCACTGGGTAAGGGTCTCCACAACTGAGCTGGTCTGGGCAGGCAGATCCAAAAAATGTTTTTCATTTGCCTGTTTTCAAAAACTGTCTCCCTTACTTCAGACTATGAATAAAAAGAAATGTTACAGGATTCAACAAAAGTTTAAGGAGAGAGTTACCATCCCAGGCCTTCTCAAAAGGAAGGAAGAGCTGAAGCAGCAGGATATAGCAGAAACTAAACTTCTACTAATCAGATTACACAGTTTAAAAAATGAAATATTCTTGCATTAACTCAATATTTTAATATAATTTTTATAACCAATTCATTAGTTTTGTATTAGTTTAATTTTAATATTAAAGTCCAATTACCAGAAAGACTATTATAATCTCTTTTTAGTTATAGCCAACTTACTCATATATATTTCATATATGTATTTAAAATAAATTTCATTTTACTAAACTTACTATGACTTACACAGATTATTCATAACATACTTGGCTTTGGGGTTTGTCTTAAACATCCATCTTCTTCAACAACCTGTTATTTTATTTTAGAACAAAAATATACAATACAAGATTTGTCTTCATGTAATCTTTCTTACCAAAGGTACCTTTTTATATGTATGTTTCTTTAAATATCTCTTATTCCCTAGTTTCTTTTGCCTTGTATAATATATACACTTTAAATAACTGTTGAACTAGAAAAATAATTGTCTTTTAATAAGAAAACATTTTTTAAAGTTTCCTTATAATTTTTGAAATCAAAAATTACCCATACATTTAACAAATATCTATTATTTAATATAGCTTTAGATTCCAAATTATATGACTTTCATTTTATCATAGTCATATAATAAATTTATTTAATAGTTTGCCTAGATTATTTATAAAAAGTGTAACAGTCATCCCTTAGTTATTTTTTAACTATGTTTATACCCTATGAATTTCAGGTATTTACCTAAGAAACTTAAGGTTAAATATATGGGTATTTTTCCAATAACTCAGGATTTAGTTGCTCTCATTAAGCCAATAATATTAAATGTTTTCTTTACTAAAAATTACACAAGCAAAGATCATTTAGTTTGGTGCTGGGTTCACAGTTTTATAAACCTTATGCCAAATTTTGGCACCTTACAATATTTGGCAGGAAACAAAAATATTTGGCAAGACTAAGTATGAAACCACTTGATCAATAAGTGGAAAGAAAAATGCTAACAATTCTTAAGACATCTCTAATATTAGTTTACCAACAATTTCAAAGCTAGTTTTTTCTTTAAAAATTTTACTTAATTCACATAGACTTGAAAAGCCATTAGGTTTATTATTTCCTTAATTTCTGAGATCTCCTTAACTTTAATTTTATTTGGTTCCTTGTAGCTATAACACATAAAAAATACACGTATGTACAGATAAACAGACACAAACACCCTCATACAAAGATTCTACAGCTTTTACTTTAGAACTCCAGACATGAGATATTGATACAAACTCACTGGTTTACAAATAATAATAATAAGAAGAAAAAAAAAACAAAATAATGGTTCTAGCCAAAAAGTGATTTTTTTTTTCCTCAGTAGAAAACTAGCAGTAGACATAAAGCAGGTAGAAAAAAGAAAAATAGAGAACATAAAAACTTTATAGTTACATGTAAGCCTTTGGGTCTAAATTTTCACTTAGTGTAATTGGGCCATCAGTTTAAAATGTGCAAAACAGAACATAATATGTAACTATCTAGAGCCCTAGAAAGTCTGATATTCCATTATGACATAGTTATAAAAAACTACCTGAGACTGGGTAATTTATGAAGAAAAGAGGTTTAATTGACTCACATTCCACAGGGTATATAGGTAGCATGACTGAAGAGGCCTAAAAAAACTTATAATCATGCAAGAAGGTAAAGTGGAAGCCAACATATCCTACATTCCTGGAGCAGCATGAAGATGGGGTTTGGTAATACACCCTTTTAAACAACCAGATCTCATGAGAGCTGTATCACAAGACAACACTAGGAAGATGGTGCAAAAACATTAGAAATCACTCCCATGATTCAATCACCTCCTACCAGCCTCCACCTCTAGCACTGAAGATAACAATTTGTAATAGTTAATTCTCACACGGCTAATAAAGACATACCCAAAACTGGGTAAATTATACAGAAAAAAGGTTCAGTGGATTCACAGTTCAGCATGGCTGGCGTGGCCTCAGGGAACTTACCATCATGGCAGAAGGGGAAGCAAACATGTCCTTTGAGCAAAAGGGGGAAAAGCCCCTTATAAAACCATCAGATCTCATGAGAACTCACTCACTATCATGAGAACAGTAGCATGGGAATAACCACCCTCATGATTAAATTACCTCCCACTGGGTCCCTCCCAAAACACATGGGGATTATGGGAACTACAATTCAAGATGACATTTGGATGGTGACACAGCTGAAACATATCACAATTTAACATGAGATTTGGGTGGGAACATAGAGCCAAACTGTATCATTCTAGCCCTGAACCCTCCCAAATCTCATGTCCTTCTCACATTTTAAAACAAAATCATGCCTTCTCCACAGACTCCCAAAGTCTTAACACATTCCAGCATTACCCAAAATGTCCAAATAGTAGGTCTCATCTGAGACAAGGCAAGTCCCTTCCACTTATGAGCTTGGAGAATAAAAAACAAGAGAGTTACTTCCAAGATCCAGTGGGGATACAGCAACTGAGTGAATGTTCCCATTTTAAAAGGAAAATGTTGACCAGAATCAAGGGGCTCCAGGCCCCAGGCAACTCCTAAACCCAGCAGGGCCCTCATTAAATCTTAAAGCTCCAAAATAATTTCCTTTGACTCTATGTCTCACATCTATGGCACACCAGTGCAACGGGAGGGCTCTCAAGGCTTTGGGCAGCTCTGGCCCTGTGGATCTGCCTGTCTTTTCCTCATCTTCCTGTCTTTTTCTGAGCCTTCCAAACTGTTTCAACCTCTGCCCATTACCAAGCTCCAAAGTTGCTTCCACATCTTCAGGTATCTTTATAACAATGCCACACCTCTCTAGTTTTCTGTATTAGTTTGCTGTCACATTGTTCTCACATCTTCTGTATTACTTTGTTCTCACATTTGTTCTCATATTGCTATAAAGAACTACTCAAGATTGGGTAATTTATGAAAAAAAGGGGTTTAAATTACTCACAGTTCCCCAGGCTGTATAGGTACTATGGCTGAGGAGA
Source organism: Homo sapiens (assembly GCF_000001405.40). Lineage (NCBI taxonomy): Eukaryota > Metazoa > Chordata > Mammalia > Primates > Hominidae > Homo > Homo sapiens. The sequence continues at coordinate 68,955,836 of NC_000004.12, read as the reverse complement.
CCTCAGGAAACTTATAATTATGAGAAGGTGAAGGGGAAGCCAACATGTCCTGCCTGACTGGAGCAGGAGGAAGTTGGGGGGAGCGCTACACACTTTTAAACAACCAGATCTTCTGAAAACACTATGATAAGACAGCACTAAGGGGGTGGTCCTAAATCATTAGATGGGGAAGGCCCCCAAACTTCTCCGTTTTACACACATGCTTGCAAATGGGAGCCGCATGAAACCAAAAAATTGCCCCAAAAGAGTTTTGTCCTTGTCTTTCCTCATTCTTATATATTTTCCCACTTTTTTTCTTAAAAGGAGGAACCAAACTGTGTCCTAGGGTTTTTTGTGTGGTGCATCAATGCGTGCTGATTGTAAGTGAGACTCCACATGTTTTAACGTTGAGTTGTTTCTGCCTTCTTACATGTCTTAGTGAATCTTTGAAATGCTTGTTCTTCAGTGCCGTAAAGAAAAGAAATAGCACTCGAACATAAATTTAATTTCTTCAGCAAGACCATTTTTTTTTCTTTTTTTTTTCCTTTCTGCAAAAAGGGTGCACTCACCAGCAGTTTAGTCATGAAAGTACACCAAACAGAGGATACAGGGTCATTTATAACTTGATGCATCCACCTTACTGCTGTGTCCTGTTTCTACTGGAAGGAATAGGACCTCATATTCTGTGTTTGTCCTGATTGGCTAGCAACTTAGAACTTTTTAAAAGAGGCAAAGGCAGAGGAGAACAAAGGAAGGTGGAAGTAACTTGTGGAATGCTGAGAAAGGTAAAAACACCTTCAAATAAGCAATAGGACAAGTCTATGACCTAACGCTTTCTTGGACCAGTGCAAGCATGCCAGGGCAAATATTTAGGCTAAATTGTGGGAGCTAAGAACATAAAGTACATTGATTTCTTTATTACGGCTAGTGAATATTTAAGAATGTTAGCACAGGTCTTTGAATAAATTTTGCTTCTAAGACAAGTTACTATTTATTCTCAATTAGATGAGGAGGAAAGTCTTTGAAGAGGCACCTCTACTTTACTTTTTACAGTAAAGCAGACTAGGGTCACTGGAGCAGTTTTGTTGTTTGAGGTATTACCAGGAGTTCTGGAAAGGGTTGTCCTTTCACAGTTGAATGCAAAGACTCTTATAAAAAAAAAAAGGAAGAAAGAAAGCTAATGGGGCAGAGTGTTTCATTTGTGTAAGACATGAAAAACTGGTTAGGATTGGATGTCTTCTTTGCATATATACAAATTATCGTTAGCTCCACTTCTTCCCTCTAGTGTGCACGCAGGTCCTTAGCCTGACTTAGTGCATGTTGTTTTATTTTGCTTATTTGGTATGTGTCACTGCGGATGTGTCTGGTTCTGTGTAACTTTCTTTATGTATACAGCTACAGGTCTGTCTTAGACAAGCACTCTGTGCAAGTTCCTTTATACGAGTATGCCTGAAAATAAAAGGTATGTGATCACTGAAGGCCACCATGTACAGGCAGAGCTCACTTGTTGCACAGAAGACAAAGGCTTTGGACTTTGCTTCCTTATCTGCGCTTGCAGCTTGATTTCTTCCACACTGTTATTTTTTGGGGGAGGACTTCTACCAAGAAACTTGTCCAAACTATTTGCCTAACTGGTTCCTTATTTTCTTTTCTCTCATTAGTTTCTCTCTCCAGACAGCTATCACCTCCATGAGGGCTCAAAACACTGAGTGATCAGCTCTTACATGCATTTTCTAGATGAGCTTTTTTAAACTCGTTGTGTTGGCAGGGGTTCTCTGTTTGGCCACTATACATCATGAAGTTTTAACATCCCAGACATTCCAAGTGGGCCCCCTTGGCTGGGAGGAGTAAAATGCCCTTTCTCTTCAGAGCTGAGGAGCTCAGTCTCTGGTCTCTCATTTATCTGTGAAAATAATAGTTCAGCTTCTCATACAAAAGTGCAGAGAAGCCTTTTGAGCTTATATTTGGGAAAAAAGGCAATGGAGAGGACCCTTTAGAATGAACTCCTGAAGTATAATTAGGATTCTAAAAGACAACCTCCAAGGAGAAAAAAAAGAAAAAATGTTCAGAATAAATCAAGGACTATATACCGAAAGGAGATCCAGGACTCAAGAGGACATACCAGTTCCACTGGAGAAGAAGCTCAAAATTGGAGAGGCATTCAGTGGGCCTCTGTTGCTACCTTAGCTTCAAGTTCAGGCAAGTTTTATGGTGTCCTGAGTTTTGTCTGAGGCCCCACATGTTCAAGTGTCAAGTTGTTATTGATGAAAAGAGTCGAACACTTTAAAATATTTAAAGAGGTTTATTCTGAGCCAAATATGAGTCAGTAATGGCCTGTGATTTATCCCTCCAGAGACCCTAAGAACATGTCATCATGGTGCTCAGGCTACACAGTTTTAATGCAATTTAGAGTGACATTAGACATCAATCCATACATGTAGGTTATATATTGACTTGGTCTGGATAGGCAGGACAACTGGGAGTGGGGCTTCCAGGTCATAGGCAAATTCAAGGATTTTCTATTGGCAATTGGTTGAGTTATATTGTTGTCTAAGTTATAGAATTAACAGACAAGAATGTCTGGGTTAAGATAAAGGGCTGTTAATACCAAGGTGTTATCATGCAGATAAAGCTGTCAAGCAACAGGCTTCAGAGAGAATAGATTGTAAATGTTTCTTATCAAAATTAGTGAGTCTGTTCTATTGGTTTTAAAGTCTGCGTTGATGGTAGTGCTAGTGAGTTTTTCCTGAATTCAGAAAGGGGGGAGGGTATAATGAGGCATATCCTATCCCACCACCCCACTTCTCATCATTGCCTCAACTAGTTTTTGAGATTAACTTTGAAATGCTCTTTGCTGAGAGTAAGGGTCCGTTTAGATGGTTGGGGATTCCTAAAATTTTATTTTTTGTTCACATCTACATACAGTTGTTGAAAATTTGAACAGTAACTACAGGAAAAATAACCCAGTTAGATGATATTGATTCTGAAAACTGCTCTAAGTTTTGTGCATAATATTTTACCTAATGTCATTATCAAACTTCTGCTTATTAAGACAGAAACCACAACCATGTCTTTTCTCCTACACATTTTTTCCTATCTCAGATATTATCAGTAAATTCAAATTTTAAATTAATTTCTTGCATTTAACTATTAACAATTTATGTTTCATTCTATTAGGTTGACATGTCTCAGTAACTAATATATAATTTTTATCGTTTTCCCTGTTTTAAACTCTTACCTTTACATACCACTCTGTGTTGAGATGCAAGAGTTTCTTGCTAAAGAAAAGGTTGATCTTGTGACTATCCTTTAAAACTTGAGTAAATAATTATTTGCCTATAAATTATGATTCAAACTCATAATTTTTTATTTAAAATTATGTTCTCCAATTTCAAACTAACTTTCTTCTGTAACGTCCTGCTCTGAACTTTCTCTGTGACCACTACTCACTGGAATGATTTTCAAATATCCTATACTTTTGTATGCTTCTATCGATTGTGAAATGCTTCCTTTGGCAACAGTAAATCCTATCAAAGCTTTCATCTCACCTCCTAAGTCAAATGCCTTATTAAAGCTTTTATTATTTCATATTAAAGCAATTGTGCATTTTCCCCTCTGAAATACTGAACACTTTGTACTTATTATATAAAATTAGTCAAAATAGTTACCCAAACTCTCTAAGTATATTCTCAGTAAACCTTTGTATTGTCCTTGTGAGCAAGGGATGTGAAACATGTGCTGTCCTAAACCATCTGATGCCTTGGACTTAGTGTGGAATGAATGTAAGTGTGATTGTGTGCATGTTTCTGCACATGAATTATTAAATCTAAAGACTTGAAAAATTTTTTTCTTTATCATCAATCCAGGTAATAAAAGTATATTTATGTATTTTATTTCTAAGTTCTAGAGGGTTGGAACAACTTTTCCCTGATACATTGCATTTTTTTGATACCTTCAGTACATGTTAAACTGGCAACCACCAGTGAACTTTACTCTTAAAATATTAATTTTTAACTTCTGTGCTTATATTGTCATTTCAACTCCTTGCTTAGTAACTACAAAACCATTGCAGATCAGTGTGTGAGGGAACTGCCATCATGAGGTCTGACAAGTCAGCTTTGGTATTTCTGCTCCTGCAGCTCTTCTGTGTTGGCTGTGGATTCTGTGGGAAAGTCCTGGTGTGGCCCTGTGACATGAGCCATTGGCTTAATGTCAAGGTCATTCTAGAAGAGCTCATAGTGAGAGGCCATGAGGTAACAGTATTGACTCACTCAAAGCCTTCGTTAATTGACTACAGGAAGCCTTCTGCATTGAAATTTGAGGTGGTCCATATGCCACAGGACAGAACAGAAGAAAATGAAATATTTGTTGACCTAGCTCTGAATGTCTTGCCAGGCTTATCAACCTGGCAATCAGTTATAAAATTAAATGATTTTTTTGTTGAAATAAGAGGAACTTTAAAAATGATGTGTGAGAGCTTTATCTACAATCAGACGCTTATGAAGAAGCTACAGGAAACCAACTACGATGTAATGCTTATAGACCCTGTGATTCCCTGTGGAGACCTGATGGCTGAGTTGCTTGCAGTCCCTTTTGTGCTCACACTTAGAATTTCTGTAGGAGGCAATATGGAGCGAAGCTGTGGGAAACTTCCAGCTCCACTTTCCTATGTACCTGTGCCTATGACAGGACTAACAGACAGAATGACCTTTCTGGAAAGAGTAAAAAATTCAATGCTTTCAGTTTTGTTCCACTTCTGGATTCAGGATTACGACTATCATTTTTGGGAAGAGTTTTATAGTAAGGCATTAGGTAAGACACTTTTGTTTTATTTTTAATTTAGTTATCAAAAGAAATATTTTTAAAAATTGTCATACATTGTCTATGACATATATATGCAGGTCAATGAGTTTTTTTAGAAAATGTTGTAGCTGTTTTTCATAAAGAAAGTGTATTTGTTCTAAGCGTAAGATAACCTACTTTCTTAATACCAGTAATATACTTAAAAATGATCATCAATAACTAAGAGATTATATTTTGTATTTCCTCCAAATAGCGCAAATCAACATCACATATTTTTGAGAATCACTGATTGTTAGTCTGAATTTTATAGAATTTCTATTGAAATAAAATGCTAATCATTATTTTCTCTCTCATCATGTATTTAAGAAAATCTTCAGAAGGTCTTCTTTGAATTAATTTTTCAAGAGTCATTAAATTGAACATTTTCTAGAATTCTTTAATTTCTTAGGTGATTACTTCACAAAAACTTGAAAAAATATTATAAAAAGTTAAAAGACTTACGGTCTTGTGGGGCATAAGATAGTAGAATTTTTACTTTACTGATATACACCTACTTGACTTATTTTTATTTCCTTGCTTTACTGATAAAAAGTTGTTTTGCTTTGCAATTTTCATATAGTTGTGATCAGAGCTGGTCAATGCAAGACATGTTTTTATCCAAATATGTTTGAGAATTATGTAGAAACATGAAAAAAGGTACAATTATATTCGACACTAAAATATTGTTTAATGTATTCCAACGAATTCTTATGCATAGACTGTTTCACAGAACTAATATTCAGAGGATCCCAGTTCAAATGTCCTTAGCCTTAGACATGATTTGAATTTACATGTATTGATTTGCTTTAAATAATTTTCCATTCAGTAAGCTGTGCCTAGCTGCAGATAGCCTACCAGGCTTTATGGATCTAGGTAAACAATACAAATCTCTTGGCCTCAAGTCTACATTCAGATATTAATTTAAAGGGGTACAGCTATATAGAGGTCACTGGCAAATTTTGGTAAAATAGGATTATAGTAAAAGCCCCCTGACAAGATTGAAATTTAAAATAAAACAAAAGTGTTATCAAAGGGGTGAAAGAGCATTTTCCAATAAACAAAAGTGGGTTCTGGCCATGCATTCAGAAATTCCCCAACAATTCTTTAAAAATCATGGAGCAGCTTGATATATAAGAAATTCATTTAATAACTATATTTATTATGTAGCTCCAACTTACTAAATTATTGATTATTATATATTTTATAGAATTATCTATTGTGAGTCTAAATCAAGAGTATATATTCAAACAACTATAGGAAAAGGGATATCAGTCAATTTCAATTCAAGGATTTATTTCCATAAGTGCTTACGCACAGGTGTATTTCATTTTATTATACATTGCTTTATTGTCCTTCACAAAAATTGCAATTTACAAATTAAAGGTTTTTGAAAACCTTGAGTCAAGCTAATCAATTTGGCGTAATATTTCCAACAGCAAGTGTGTACTTTTGACTCTATCACATATTGGCATTTATCATGCTTTTTCAAATTTTTCATTGTTATATCTGTTACGGTGATCTGGGATCAGTGTTCCTTGATGGTTACACGTTTATTAGCTTGGGGGCACCTTGATGTGTTACAATATAAGACAGCAAACTTAATTATAAATGTTGTGCATGTACTAACTGCTCCGCTGATTCGTTTCCCCATCCCACTTCTTCTTAGGCCTCCCTATTCCCTGAGACACAGTAATATAACATACAATGACTTCTAAATGTTCCAGTGAAAAGAAAAGTAGCAGGTCTCTCAATTTAAACCAAAAATATAAAGGAATAAGTTTAATGAGTACTATAGTTTAGATATGGTTTGCTTGACCCTACAAAATCCTGTGTTGAAATTTGATCACCAATATTGGAGGTGGGGCTTGATGGGAAGTGTTAGGGTCATGAGGGTAGATTCCTTATGAGTACATTAATGCTCTCCCTGGGGAAATGGGTGAGTTCGTTCTCACTCTATTAGGTCCCAGGAGAGATAATTATTAAAAAGAGCCAGGAACATCCACCTTCTTTCTCTTGCATATCTCTCATTATCTGATCCCTGCACTTGCTGGCTCCCAACATCTTCTTCAATGAGTGGAGGAAACCAGAGGTCTTCACCAGACACAGATGTTGGTGCCATGCCTCTTGTATACCATGAAGAATTGTGAGCCAAATAAAAACCTTTTTCTTTTACAAATTAGACAGCCTCAGTTGTTCCTTTGTAGCAACAAAAAAAGCCTGGGACAGGCCAAAAACTACACCATTGCACCAAACAGTTAAACAAGATGTGAGTGCAAAGGAAAAGTTTTTGGAGGAAATTAAAAGTGCTACTCCAGTGTACATACAAATGATAAGAACAAATAACCATTATCAGTGCTGATATGGAGAAAATTTTAGTTGTCTGGAGAGAAAATCAAATTAGCTAGCTAGCTGCAGTGATTCATATCTGTAATCCCAGTAACTTGGGAGGCTCAGGTGGGAGAACGGCTTGAGCCCAGAAGTTTGAAGTCCAAGGCTGCAGTGAGCTATGATTGCTCCACTGCACTCCAACCTAGGTGATAGAGCAAAACCACTACCAAAAAAAAAAAAAAAAAAAAGAAAAAAAAGAAAAGAAAAAAAATTAAACCAACCACAACATCACCTTAGGTTTTGGCATTAGCTAAAAACTAATACATAGTAAAGCGTTAACTATTCAATTGCATGAAGCCTCAGAGAGGAGAGGAAGATGCAGAAAAAAAGACTGAAGCTAGTAGAGGTTGACTAATGAGGTTTACAGGAATAAACTGCCTACATGATGCAAAAGTTCAATGTGAAGCAATAGGAAGTCATGCAGAAGACTTAGCTAATATACTCAGTAAATGTGGCTACAGTAAACAAATGATTTTCAATGTAGACCTAACAGCCTTCTGTTGGAAGAAGATGCCATTTAAAACTTTCATAGCTAGAGAAGAGAAGTCAATGCTTGTCTTTGAAGCTACAAAAAACAGGCTGAATCTCTTGTAGTGGCTAATGCAGCTGATGACAAAGGTAAAGCCAATGCCCATTTACTTTTTGTAATAATTATAGAGGACTCTTAATAATTATGTTAAATCTACTTTGCCTGTGTTATATCAATGGAACAACAAAGCCTGGATGATATCACATTGGTATATGACATGGCTTATTGAATATTTTAAGCACACTGTTGAGACCTATTGCTCAAAAAAGAGGATTCCTTTCAAAATATTGCTGCTCATTGACAATTCACATGGTCAACAAAGGGCTCTGATTAAGATGTACAGATATTAATGTTTGCCTGCTTGCTATTATTACATCCATCTTACATGCCATGGATCATATAGCCTTGACTTTCAAGTCTTATGTAAGAAATATATTTTGTAAGGCTATAGCTCTTACTAATGGGGAAAGTATATTGAAAACCTTTTCAAAAGGATTTTTCATTCTAGATTCCATTAAGAACATTCATGGTTCATGAGAGGAAGTCAACATATTAACATTAACAAGAGTTTGGAAAAAATTTGATTCTAACTCTCCTGGATGATTTTGAGGGATTGAAGACATCATGTGAAGAATTAACTGGGGATGGGGTGGTCATGAAAAAAGAAATAGAATTATAAGTGGGCCTGAAGGTTTGTCTAAATTGCTATAATATCATGATAAAACTAAAACCTGTAAAACCGGTGAGGAGGTGCTTTTTAAACAGTTACTTTTTATAGATGAACACAGAAATTGGTTTTGTGAGTTGGAATCTTCTCCGAGTGAAAATGCTATGAACATTGTTGAAATGGCTACAAATGACTTAGAATATTACACAAAATTAGTAGATAAGGCAGCATCAAGGTTTGAGAGAATGGACTCAAATTTTGAAAGAAATTCTACTATGGGTAAACTGCTGTGAAACATCATCATATGCTACAGAGAAATCTTTCATGAAAAGATGAGTCAATTCATGCAACAATCTTTGTTGTCTAATTTTAAAAATTGTCCAGCTGCCCTGATCAATCAACAGTAATCAGCACTGAGGCAAGACCCTACACCAGAAAAAATAAAAATAAAAAACCTCACTTGCTGAAGACTCAGCTTATTATTAGCACTTTTTAGCCATACTTTTAACTAAGGTATGTGCATTCCTTTTTAAACGTGATGATATTGCACAGCTAATAGCCTACAAGGTATGGTTAACATAACTTTTATATGTCCTGGGACCCAAATTTGTGTGAATCACTTTATTGGCATATTCCTTTTATTGAGATGAACTGCAACTTATCTTGCAATATCTCCAAGATATGTGTGTATGGCATTTCAAATAAGATGTGAAATTATTTTATTAGTATAAAAAGCAAATTTAATTTTCTTTCCTTTGATCATCTTTATCCTTGTTACTGTGTATTTATCCTTTAAACATTGAATGACTCCAATTGTTTAAAACTGAGTCTTTCTTAAATGAGTCCTAATATCATAGTAATTAAAATCACCTACAAGTTGGTAATGCAGGCAGCATGTGAGGCACAGAAAACAACAAATTTATAAGACATAAATGCATTTGCTTGGAAGCTGAGAGAAGGCTCTATTCTAATTTCTGATAACTTCAAACTGAGTATCTTCAGTAAAATTTATTCACTATCAAATTCAAGGCGTTTGGATTTATGACCTAGGAAAAAACTTCAAACATTAAAATGTGATGACCTTAAAAAGAGGCTCTCCACACTATGGTGTATAACACCACCAACTTTGATTAGAATTTTAAAGAGAAACAAATTCTCTTATGGAGTTTATCTTTTTATCACTTGCAAAATATGTTTTTGTAAAGAGATACTAATTACTTAGTTATTTGTAGTTAGCCATTCTTCTGATTAAAAACCTAAAATTAAATCTTGAAAATGTGTTTTCCTTCAAAACACATCATTTGAGAGAAACACTAAAGTAAGTGTATGATTATCATAGCATGTACATAGGTGCTTCACAACCCAAAAAGAATATTGTCATGGGTAAGAATCAGTAAAGGAATTTCTCCTAATAAAACAGTAGCCTATTAATTAAAGTAATGATATGCAATACAGCAAGTTAAAGGGAACTGATCCTGGTGGGATTATTGAAAGATATACCCTTGACTATAGATTAGAAAATACAGAGATGTTATTTAGTGAAGATATTGTGGTACTCATTTATCATCTGCAATTCACTTGCAGAGGAAAAAATGAGTAATAAATTCATTTGCATTTTGGATTTGTGTCTTTAAGTTGTGAAAATACACTTAAATATAACCATCTGTCCTTTGCTCCTTCCTTCCTTCCTTCCTTCTTTCCTTCCTTCCTTCCTTCTTTCCATCCTTCCCTCCCTCCATCCTTCCTTCCTTCCTTTCTTCCTTCCCTCCTTTCTTTCTCTGTCCTTCCTTCTTTTTTCCTTTCTTTCTTTTTTCTTCTTTATTATTTCATTAATTCCCCCTTCCATTTGACGTCTAAAAGCCATGTTGTTCTAGAGGACTTAAACTTATTTTTTTCTTAATAGCTTACTGAAAAATTAGTGATACAATTTTTTATTTGAATTGTATGCTAATTCATTCTGTTATTTCTTTTATTGAGGAAGGCCCACTACATTATGTGAGACTGTGGGAAAAGCTGAGATATGGCTAATACGAACATATTGGGATTTTGAATTTCCTCAACCATACCAACCTAACTTTGAGTTTGTTGGAGGATTGCACTGTAAACCTGCCAAAGCTTTGCCTAAGGTAGGACTATTGTATTAAGGAATATTATGTACTTTATGACATGACTTGTTTTCCCTTGAAAGATTACAACCTTAGTTATAGAAGGATGATGTTGAATGTCTTCTGTTTGCAGCTCCATATTTATTTTCCATGCCACAGGGGCTCTTATAGGTGATTATATGTCTTTTCGGTATTATATTGAGAAAGTAGGCAGAAGAATGTCATGATTAGAATAGATTTTAAAATACTAGTATTACAATAGTTTGGATAATAAATTGAATTAATAGGGAATTGGAGCCATGAAGATCACTAAAAAGAATGCTCTAGCCTTTCTCACAATCAAATTGGGCTTATGAACAAGGATATTTGTCATGATAGTACAGAAATAAGCATATTTTCATGAGACATATTGGATATATTCCACAGGAGTTGGTGAGTGAGAGAAAATAAGTGATGAAGGAAGACAAAGAATAAAAGAAAATTTCAATAAATGGAAAGTTTAAGTGTTTAATGATAGTGATGACTTTTACTCAAATAAGTGCTTAGAAGTCATCTTGTTTGTGATTTATATGATGAATTCTGTGTTGTGACTATCCACTTTGAGCTCGTGAGAATGTTAGGTGAGGTTTAATAAAAGCCATTTGAGAAAAACAAGGTTTCAACCTCTGTGGACAGAAATCTAAATATCGATAGTTATCAGGACAAAGTAGAGCTCATAGAAATAATTTTGCAGCCTGCAGGTTTCTTTTGGAGTGAAAATAAAATTGTATACTATATTCCTAAATCATCAGAGGAAAAAATTTATAGTTCAAGGAATGTTGAAAGAAACAATATTGAGAAGTAAAAGTGAGTAATAGTTGTTATAGTTTTTTAATAGTTTTGTAAGTATGTCTTGAGTTCACTGTCCCAAAAGTGGCTATTAGCTCTAGCCTTGACCTGACAAGGTTCTAGGATATTTAGTCATGGATGTTCATAATCTACCTCTTACGGGATACTTTTTATTCTGATGAACAGCCTAATGCCTAAGTGTGCAATCTATACCAAGATTGTTCTTATAGGGAACTTGTTTACACTGGAAGACACCACTGTGTCTCTTGTATGACCTATGTCTTCTTTATCCCTACAAAGGTAACCACATTATAGGAAACCCTGACAAGGCCAGATGTTATATTTGTGTTGGTCAAGTGAGAAAACATGGGAGAAACTTAACCAAACACATAAAATAACAGAAACAGTCTTCTTTGACCATTTCTAGAGAAAAGAGTTCAGCATCCCTTGTAAGGCCACTAGGAAGAAGAAAATTCTCTGGGAAAAGCACATTCAACCAATGAATGGAGACCAAGAAAGAGAGTGAGGGATCTATGTGCCAAAATGTTAACTGGGATCCAGGGTGTTACCTAGGTGGGTTTCCAATGGGGAACTGTAATTGGTAGGTTTAATGCAAGCAGGCACAAAGTCCATGGAGGCATTCTGAGACTGAAAGATAGTCACTTTGGCATATCTGCACAGAATCTGATCAGTGATTCAAGCCCAAGTAGGCTGTATCTAGTTGTCCTATAGGGTGGTTACCAGGAGGCAGTGTGTAAGTAAAAATCCTGACTGAACACATTGAGGAAATGGAAGGAGGTGGAAGATTTTAAACGGTGTCAGTGTTGACTAAGACCTGCTTCTGGTATGGAAAATTCAACTTATATTTTAAATGCATAGCCAGACAACATAAAATTATAAGAATTTACCACAATAGCTATGGTAACAATACTGGGTTTACCTATTACTACAGAGTGAAAAGAAAACCCTCATTTCCCATTTTATGGAAATATAATCAAAATCCTATAAGGAAGGTTTCAGAGCCAGTAGGATTTCCAGAAAAATTATTGGTTTTATAGTAAGATGTGTATTGATGAATATAATTTTATTTATTAATTATTAATATCACTTTACTTACCAGGAAAGTTATACCAGAAAACCAAGCTCTCTTAAGCCATGGCATCTGTATCTAAAATAGAAATACAGAAGGAGAGCTGACAATTTCCATCATTCTCTAGGTAATCTCCCATGCCATTCTACCCTTTATTCCCACACTCCCAGTTTTACACACACACACAAACACACACACACAAACACACACTCATAGAAATAATCATAGAAGTCATATTTTTAAAAAAGTTAGATCCATACAGTAATAATTTATTAGGTAAAAGCTTTTGTGCTGATAATTTTACAAGTTTAATTGAGATATATTTTAGGGCTGTCTTACACTAAATATTTATTTTTATTTTTTAAATTTGACATGTAATAATTGCACATGTTTAAGAGAAATGCTGTGGTATTACAATACATTTAAATGTTGTGTAATAATTACATCAAGATAATAAACCCATCATCTAAATATTTATCATTTCTTTGTGGTGATAACATTCAAAAACCTCCTTTCTGGCTATCTTGAAATATGTAATACATTACTATTAACTATAGTTACCCAACAACTTAATATAATAACAGAACATATTCTTCCAAATTTAAACGTTGTATCCATTGATCCACCATTTCTCATTGCCCTCCCTACTATCTCTTCAGCCTCTAGTAACCACAATTCTACTCTCTAATTATATTATGAATGCATTTTTTGATTCCACGTATAAGGGATACCATGCTATCTCTGCCTGGATTATTTCAGTTAACATTATGCCCTGGAGGTTCATTCATGTTTCTACAAATGACAGGATTTCATTCTTTTTTTTCCAATATATATTTAATGAAATGGATATATATAAACATTGGAAAATGTATATATATATATATATATATATATATATATATATCTCCAGTGGAATGCTATTGAGCTATAAAAAAGTTAATATATAATAGAAATAAAGCTTATATATATCTAATGGAATGGATATATATATATAATGGAATAGAAATATATATCTATACATATAAACACACACAATATACATATCCATTTCATTGCATATATATATATAGAGAGAGAGAGAGAGAGAGATATTTTCAAATGTGTGTATATATATCCAATGGAATGGACATATATATATGTATATTTTTTCCATATTTTCTTTATGTATTTCTTCATTAATGGATGTTTAGGTTGATTCATCCCTTGGGTATATGAATAATGTTGATGTAAACATAGAAGGACAGATATCTCTATGACTTCTTAGTTTATTTAAATATACACCCAGTAATGGAAATGCTGTATAATATGGTAGTTCTATTTTCATTTTTTGAGGAACTACCATACCGTTTTCCTTACTAATTGTACTAATTTGCATTTCCCTCAACAGTTTATAAAAGATCTTCTTTCTCTGCATACTTTCTAGCACTTGTTATTTTTGCCTTTTGATAATAGCCATAACAGGGGTGATGTGATATCTCATTGTAGTTTTGATTTGCATTTCCCTGATGATTAGTGATTTTGAGCATTTTGTAATTATACTTCTTAGTCACTGATAGTCTTCTTTTGAGAAGTGTCTATTCAGGTCTTTTGCTTATTTTTTAATCAAATTAGTAATTTATTTTTATTGACTGATGTGACTTCTATGTATATTTGAGATGGTAACTTATTGTCAGATTCATAGTTTGCAAATATTTTTCATGTTGTGAATTGTCTCTTCACCCTGTTGTTTGCTTCATTTTCTCTGCACAAGCTCAATGCTTTGATATAACCCGTTTATCTACTTTTCCTTTTGTTGGCTGTGCTTCTGAAGTCCTATCCAAAAAAATCCTTGCCTAGACCAATGTCACAAATCATTCCTCCTACAGTTTCTTCTAGTAGTTGTATAATGTTTGGCCTTATATTTAACTTTGTAATTCATTTTTACTTACTTTGTATATGGTGAGGGATAGAGGTCTAGTTTCATTTTCTGCATGTGGATATGCAGTTTTCCTAGCACCATTTAGTGAAGAGGTTGCCTTTTTTCTATTATGTGTTCTTGGCACCTTTGTCAAAAGTCAGTTAGCTGCTATATTCCTCCATTTGTGTTGTTATAGAGGAACACATGAGACTAGCAAATTTATATATCAAATAGAATTATTTGAATGATAGTTCTGCATACTGTACAAGAAGCACAGCACTGACTTCTGCTTGGCCTCTGGTAAGGTTCTCAAGATGCTTCCACTTGTGGTAGAAGGCAAACATGAGCTGGTATATGCAAAGGTCTCATGACAAGAGAGGAAACCATAAAGAGGGGATGTGAGGGAGTGCCAGGTTTTGTAAAACAACTAGCTCTTCTGGGAACTAATAGAGTAAAAATTCGCCTCCCAGGCAGGGGATTAATCTATTCATGAGGGATCTGCTTCCATGACAAAGGCACATTCTGTTAGATTCTACCCCCAATATTGGGGATCAAATTTTAACATGAAGTGTGGAGGGCTCAAATATCCATACTATGGCAGCAGTAAATGCATAAATTTATTTTGTGGATCTCTATTCTATATAGTATTGGTGTATGTATCTGTTTTCATGCCACTGCCATACTGTTTTGGTGATATCTATGCTATATATGTGTGTGTGTATATATATATTATATATATGTATATATGTGTATATTATATATATGTATATATGTGTATATTATATATATACAATACTTTAAGTTTTATATATATATAAAATACTTTAAGTTCAAGGGTACATGTGCAGGATGTGCAGGTCAGTTACATAGGTATACATGTGCCATTTTGGTTTGCTGCATGCATCAACTCATCATTACATTAGGTATTTCTCCTAATGCTATCCCTCCACCAGCCACCCAACCCCCAACAGGCCAGGTGTGTGATGTTCCCCGCCCTGTGTCCATGTGTTCTCATTGTTCACTTCCTACCTAAAAGTGAGAACATGCAGTGTTTGATTTTCTATCCTTGTGATAGTTTGCTGAGAATGACTGTTTTCAGCTTCATCCATGTCCCTCAAAAGGACATGAACTCATCCTTATTTATGGCTGCATAGTATTCCATGGTGTATATGTGCTACGTTTTCTTAATCCAGTCTATCACTGTTGGACATTTGGGTTGGTTCCAAGTCTTTGCTATTGTGAATAGTGCTACAATAAACATATGTGTGCATGTGTCTTTATAGCAACATGATTTACTATCCTTTGTGTACATACCCAGTAATGGGATAACTGGGTCAAATGGTATTTCTAGTTCTAGATCCTTGAGGAATCCCCACACTGTCTTCCACAATGGTTGAACTAATTTACATTCCCACCAACAGTGTAAAAACGTTCCTATTTCCCCACATCCTCTCCAGTATCTGTTGTTTCCTGACTTTTTAATGATGGCCATTCTAACTCACATGAGATGGTATCTCATTGTGGTTTTTGTTTGCATTTCTCTGATGACCAGTGATGATGAGCATTTTTTCATGTGTCTTTTGGCTGCATAAATGTCTTCTTTTGACAAGTGTCTGTTCATATCCTTTGCCCACTTTTCAATGGAGTTGTTTGTTTTTTTCCTGTAAATTTGTTTAAGTTCATTGTAGATTCTGGATATTAGCCCTTTGTCAGATGGGTAGATTGCAAAAATTTTCTCCCATTCTGTAGGTTGCCTGTTCACCCTGATGGTAGTTTCTTTTGCTGTGCAGAAGCTCTTTAGCTTAATTAGATCCCATTTGTCAATTTCGGCTTTTGTTGCCATTGCTTTTGGTGTTTTAGTCATGAAACCCTTGCCCAGGCCTAAGTCCTCAGTGGTATAGCCTAGGTTTTCTTCTAGGATTTTTATGGTTTCAGGTCTAACATTTAAGTCTTTAATCCATCTTAAATTAATTTTTGTATAAGATGTAAGAAGGGATCCGTTTCAACTTTCTACATATGGCTAGCGTGTTTTCCCAACACCATTTATTAAATAGGGAATCCTTTCTCCATTTCTTGATTTTGTCAGATTTGTCAAAGATCACATGGTTAGAGATGTGTAGTGTTATTTCTGAGGCCTCTGTTCTGTTCCATTGGTCTGTATATCTGTTTTGATACCAGTACCATGTTGTTTTGGTTACTGCAGCCTTGTAATGTAGTTTGACATCAGGTACCATGATGCCTCCAGCTTTGTTCTTTTTGCTTAGGATTGTCTTGGCAATGCAGGCTCATTTTTGCTTCTATGTGAACTTTAAAGTAGTTTTTTCCAATTCTGTGAAGAAAGCCATCGGTAGCTTGATGGGCATGGCATTGAATCTATAAATTACCTTGGACAGTATGTCCATTTTCATGATATTAATTCTTCCTATCCATGAGCATGGAATGTTCTTCCATTTGTTTGTGTCCTCTTTTATTTCATTGAGCAGTGGTTTGTAGTACTCCTTGAAGAGATCTTTCACATCCCTTGTAAGTTGGATTCCTAGGTATTTTATTCTGTTTGTAGCAATTGTGAATGACAGTTCAATCATGATTTGGCTGTTTGTCTGTTATTGTTATATAGGAATGCTTGTGATTTTTGCTCATTGATTTTGTATCCTCAGACTTTGCTGAAGTTGCTTATCAGCTGAAGGAGATTTTGGGCCGAGATGAAGGGGTTTTCTAAATATCCAATAATGTCATCTGCAAACGGGGACAATTTGACTTACTCTTTTCCTAATTGAATATCCTTTCTTCTTTCTCTTGCCTGATTGCCCTGTCCAGAGCTTCCAATGCTGTGTTGAATAGGAGTGGTGAGAGAAGGCATCTTTGTCTTGTGCAAGTTTTCAAAGGGAATGCTTCCAGTTTTTGCCCACTCAGTATGATATTGGCTATGGGTTTGTCATAAATAGCTCTTATTATTTTGAAATGTGTTCCATCAATTCCTAGTTTATTGAGAGTTACTAGCATGAAGGGTGTTGAATTTTGTTGAAGGTGTTTTCTGCATCTATTGATATAATCGTGGTTTTCCTCGTTGTTTCTGCTTGTGTGAAGGATTACATTTATTGATTTGTGGATGTTGAACCAGACTTGCCTCCGGGGATGAAGCCAACTTGATCATGGTGGAAAAGGTTTTTGACATGCAGCTGGATTCGGTTTGCCAGTATTTTATTGAGGGTTTTTGCAGTGATATTCCTCAGAGATATTGGTCTAAAATTCTCTTTTTTTGTTGTGTCTCTGCCAGGCTTTGGTATCAGGACGATGCTGGCCTCATAACATGAGTTAGGGAGGATTCTCTCTTTTTCTATTGATTGGAATGGTTTCAGAAGGAATGGTACCAGCTCCTATTTGTACCTCTGATATAATTCAGCTGTGAATCCATCTGGTCCAGGACTTTTTTTGGTTTGTAGGATATTATTGCCTCAATTTCTGAGGCTGTTATTGTTCCATTCAGAGATTCAAATTTTTCTTGATTTAGTCTTGGGATGGTGTATGTGTCCAGGAATTCATCCGTTTCTTTAGATTCTCTAGTTTATTTGCATACAGGTGTTTATAATATTCTCTGACGGTAGTTTGTATTTCTGTGTGAACAGTGGTGATATCCTCTTTATCATTTTTATTGTGTCTATTTGATTTTTCTCTATTTTATTCTTTATTTGTCTTGCTAGTGGTCTATTTATTTTGTTGATCTTTTCAAACAACCAGCTCCTGGATTCATTGATTTGTTGAAGGGTTTTTCGTGTCCCTATCTCCTTCAGTTCTGCTCTGATCTTAGTTAATTCTTGTCTTCTACCAGCTTTTGAATGTATTTGCTCTTGCTTCTCTGGTTCTATTAATTGTGATGTTAGGGTGTCGATTTTAGATTTTTCCTGCTTTCTCTTCTGGGCATTCAGTGATATAAATTTCCCTTTACACACTGATTTAAATGTGTCCCAGAGATTCTAGTACTTCGTATCTTTGTTCTCATTGGTTTCAAAGAACATCTTTATTTTTGCCTTCATTTTATTATTTCTCTGGTAGTCATTCAGGTGCAGGTTACTCAGTTTCTATGTAGTTGTGCAGTTTTGAGTGAGTTTCTTAATCCTGAGTTCTAATTTGATTACACAGTGGTCTGAGAGACTGTTGTGATTTCTGTTCTTTTACATTTGCTAAGGAGTGTTTTACTTCCAATTATGTGGTCAATTTTAGAATAAGTATGATGTGGTCCTGAGAAGAATGTATATGCTGTTGATTTGGGGTGGAGAGTTTAGTAAATGTCTACTAGGTCTGCTTGGAGCAGAGCTGAGTTCAAGTCCTGGATATCCGTGTTAACCTTCTGTCTCCTTGATCTTTCTAATAACAACAGTGGGGTGTTAAAGTCTCCCATTATTATTGTATGTCTCTTTGTCGGTCTCTCAGGACTTGCTTTATGAATCTGGGTGCTCCTGTATTGGGTGCATATATATTTAGGATAGTTAGCTCTTCTTGTTGAATTGATCCCTTTACCATTATGTAATGACCTTCTTTGTCTCTTTTGATCTTTGTTGGTTTAAAGCCTGTTTTATCAGTGACTAGGATTGCAACCTCTGCTTTTTTTTTTTTTTTTTTTTTGCTTTCCATTTACTTTGTAGATCTTCCTTTATCACTTTATTTTGTGTCTATGTGTGTCTCTGTATGTGAGATGGGTCCCCTGAATACAACATACTGATGGTTCTTGACTCTTTATACAATTTGCCAGTCTGTGTCTCTTAATTGGGCCATTTAGCTCATTTACATTTTAGGTTAATATTGTTATGTGTGAATTTGATCCTGTCATTGTGATGTTAGCTGATTATTTTGCTCATTAATTGAAGCAGTTTCTTCATAGCATTGATGGTCTTTACAATTTGGCATGTTTTTGCAGTGGCTGGTACCAGTTGTTCTTTTCCATGTTAAGTGCTTCCTTCGGGAGCTCTTGTAAGGCAGGCCTGGTGGTGACAAAATCTCTCAGCATTTGCTTGTCTGTAAAGGATTTCATTTCTTCTTCACTTATGAAACTTAATTTGGCTGCATATCTGATTCTGGGTTGAAAATTCTTTCCTTTAAGAATGTTGAATATTGGCCCCCACTCTCTTCTGGCTTGTAGGGTTTGCTGAGAGATCCACTGTTTGTCTGATGGGCTTTCCTTTGTCGGTAACCTGACCTTTCTCTCTGGCTGCTTTTAGCATTTTTTCCTTCATTTCAACCTTAGTGAATCTGACAATTATGTGTCTTGGAGTTGGTCTTCTCAAGGAATATCTTTGTGGTGTTCTCTGTATTTCCTGAATTTGAATGTTGGCCTGCCTCGCTAGGTTGGGAAAGTTCTCCTGGATAATATACTGAAGAGTGTTTTCTAACTTGGTTCCATTCTCTCCATCACATTCAGGTACACCAATCAAACATATATTTGGTCTTTTCACATAGTCCCATATTTCTTGGAGGCTTTGTTCCTTTCTTTTTACACTTTTTTCCCTAAACTTGTCTTCTTGCTTTATTTCATTAATTTGATCTTCAATCACTGATATCTTTTTTTCCAACTGATCAAATCGGCTATTGAAGCTTGCGCATGTGTCATGACGTTCTCATGCTATGGTTTTCAGCTCCATCAGGTCATTTAAGGTCTTCTCTACACTGTTTATTCTAGTTAGCCATTTGTCTAACCTTTTCTCAAGGCTTTTGTCTTCCTTGCGATGGGTTAGAACATGCTCCTTTAGCTCAGAGAAGTTTGTTATTACAGACTTTCTGAAGTCTACTTCTGTCAGCTCATCAAAGTCATTCTCCATCCAGCTTTGATCCATTGCTGGTGAGGAGCTGCAATCCTTTGGAGGAGTAGTGGCGCTCTGCTTTTTAGAACATTCAGCTTTTCTGCTCTGGTTTCTCTCCATCTTTGTGGTTTTATCTACCTTTGGTCTTTGATGTTGGTGACCTACAGATGGGGTTTTGGTGTGGATGTCCTTTTTATTGATTTTGATGTTATTTCTTTCTGTTTGTTAGTTTTCCTTCTAACACCCAGGTCCCTCAGCTTCAGGTCTGTTGGAGTTTGCTGGAGGTCCACTCCAGACCCTGTTTGCCTGGTATCACCAGAAGAGGCTGCAGAACAGCAAATACTGCAGAACAGCAAATATTGCTGCTGGATTCTTCCTCTGGAAGCAAATATATTATGCATATATATATATATATATATATATATATATATATATATATACATACATACATACATACACACCTCCTTGTCTGGTGTGGGATCAGGGTAATGCTAGCCTCACAAGATGATACTGAAGTGTTTTTGCCTTTTTGACTTTTTGATGGTTTGGAAGAGTGAGAAAAAGTGTTATTAATTATTCTTTAAATTTTGTTGAATTTCATAGTGAAGACCTTAGCTCACTGGCTTTTTTAATGAGACTTTATTACTGATTTAAACTTCTTCTTCATTATTTATTTCTCCTTGTTTTTATTTCTTCATAATCCAGTCCTATTTTATGTGTCCACTAAATTGTTTATTTTCCTAGATTTTTCCATTTATTGGCATATGCATGTCCATAGAAGCCTTTTATAGTCCTTTTCATTTCTAGTGTCATTTTTTTCCTTTTTTTTAAGAATCCTTAAGATTTTAGAGATGAAATGTCACTTTGTTACGCATACTGGAGTGCGGTGACATTATTATAGCTCACTGAAACCCAAACTCCTGAGTTTAAGCAATCCTTCTACCTCAAAATTCCAAAATTCCTGAGTAGCTGAGACAGGCATACACCATCAAGACTGGCTAATTTATTTCAAATTTTGTAGAGATGGGTTCTTACTAAGCTATTCTCAATCTTTGGGCTTCAAGTGATTCTTCAGCCTCTGTCTCTGAAAATGCTGGGTTTATAGATATGAGCCTCTATGCCTGATTTGCTTTGTCTCTTTGTAATCTCCCATTTTATTTGTGTCTTTTCTGGTTTGTTTCATTTTGTTATGTTTTCAGTTACCTTGCTAAAGCTTTGTCGATTTTATCTCTTCAAACAACTAACTCAATATTTTGCTGATTTTCCATATAGTATTTTATTTCTATTTCATTTATTTCTGCTCTAATCTTTGTTAAATATCTTGTTTTCCTAATAATTTTGAGTTTCCTTGTTCTTGTTTTCTAATTCCTTGAGATGTTATCATAAATTGTTTATTTGATATCTTTCTACTTTTTTGATGTGTGTGTTCGTTGTTGTAGACTTTCCTCTTTATTATTCTGATTTCTTCCTCAATTCTCTAATATTATGATTGCATTATTTTCCAAGTTTCTTTTGTTTTTTTATTTATAGTTTATGTGATTCCTGAACTTGTCAAAGAGATTATTGTGAATTTGATGTCGGATATTTAAGCATTTTCAAAACTTTTGGTGCATTATTGAAATTTTATTGGTTTATTTTAGAGATGTCATACTTCCCAGTTTTTTTTTAACAATACTTGCTCTTTATATTGATGTCTACATATTTAAAAAGATAACCACCTGATTCAGCTTTTTAAGGTGATATGCAGTGGTGTTAAGTGTGTACTGCTTAATATCAGAGCTGAATCACTGCCCTGAGGATTCTTTCTGTTCTGAGGAGAGCTTGTAGTTAATAGCAGAACCTAAATAGTGCAGTAGAGCTAAATCTCTTCCATGCTGTTGTTTTCCTGTCTGGGGAAGACTTATCATGACCATGAAAACATAATGCTGTGCCAGAACTTAAACCCAAACCTGTAGTAATTTCTGAGTTGAGGAAGGCTTAAGAAATAACTGGAACTTAGTTACTAACCTGATAGTTGTTTCTGAGTCAGAGAAATGCTCTGCATGATCACCTGGGATATTTGTAAAATCTAACCAAAGATTCTAGCCTTCCCTTGGATTGTGTCTCCTGTACTACTGTAGTGCTGGCTAGGTCCTCATCAGTGAATTCCCTGCTGATAGGACCACAAAGCATCTGCCAAGATCTGTTTGCCATTTGCTGTGATTAGTGCTTCTGCTCTTTGCTTCCAATTCAACTCAGGTGGTTCAGCCCTTCTGACACTCCTAATACCTCCTGTGGGATGGAACATAGAAGGCTTCTCACAATGATTCACACACTGATATGGAGATTGAATGTCCAGTTGCAACTATTTTCTTCCACCTGTGTAATTGCAGGTACAGGGAAGTTTTCTGTGACTGATGCTATTTTGGTTTGGAGAATGGGGTGATGTGGCACAATGATCTTTCTTCTTTCTGGTCATGGATTTTTTAATTTCCATGAACCCATAAGATTTTTCACTTTTCTTCTGAGCTCTGGTGCTTTCAGAGTGGTATTTTTATATTCGAATAGTTGCTAGTTGTACTTTTAAAAGCGATTGATGCTGGAGGTCTTCTATTCCACCATCTCGCTGATGTCAGTCCTCAAATAATAATTTTATATTTTAGCAAATTATTTTGGTTTTAGGATTTTGTGTCTACGTGACACAGACATGAAAAGAGATGTACTCATTACTGAAACTTTTTGCATACTGTTTTGGTTGTGCGCCTTTTCTAGTATGAATGATTACATATTTAAGCCACATGTTTTATACATAGACTGTCCTTTAAAGAGACTAGATAGTTCTGTGTGTCAGCATATAGGGACAGAATATAACTACACATTAATAATTTCTCAAGTATTTATTTTAGAAGTGTAAGTAACCTTTATTTTAATTTTTGTTATATTATGCCTCTGTAATGCAGATAAATTTTTATCTTCAGGAAATGGAAAATTTTGTCCAGAGTTCAGGGGAAGATGGTATTGTGGTGTTTTCTCTGGGGTCACTGTTTCAAAATGTTACAGAAGAAAAGGCTAATATCATTGCTTCAGCCCTTGCCCAGATCCCACAGAAGGTCAGTAAAACCTCCAATCCTGATAAGCAGCTATTCACATAATGAAACAGTATGGTTTTATTTGGGTCTTGAATCTCATTTTCCACTTAGCATAACAGGTACCAAAATTTGCAAAACATTATAGTAGTGTACATGGGCATAACTGATCATTTGCCTACTGAGTCTTGCTGTTACTGGAAACAACTTTCTTGATTGTCATTTGTTTATAATAAAATAGATATAATAAATAAAGCCCTACCTTATATTTTAGGATTTGAAATCTAAAAGCGTGTGCCAATGATTCCAAAAAAAAATTCTGACATCTATTATTTCAAAGGACCAGAAAAAGGAAAACTGATATAAAAAAAAAAAGAAGAATCAATCTCAAGAATATCTTCTCATATTTGTGTGTATAAAAACTGTATTCAGGGTAGTTTTGCTTAGAAATAAAAGCTCAGATTAATGTAGTCTTTCTAAATAATTAGAAGTTTCAAAAGTAAAATGTCAATTACAATTATAGTATAGTAACAATTATTTAAGTAATGTAATTATTTATGATACTCCACTAATTTTAACTTTATTATTACTGTAATTCTAGAATTTCACACTTTAGATAGTGCTATATATAAACTATCCAAAAGATATTTCATTTTATATTTAGCTAAAATACTTCAAACTCAATAAAGGCAAGCATACTAATTAGGAATTTGAAATATTGTAATTTTAATTATGAAATTATCTGTTAAGTAGTTTGAAACATCTATGCCGTTCTTTGTTTTCAAATGTATAAAATTTGTATAGGTGTCCAACAAAGAAAAATTGTGTAAAAAAAAGGTACAATCTCAAAGAAAATTTATCATTGAACAGTGGAACATAAGTAATTTTCTAGCTCATTCTTCTTCAATAAAACAATTAAATATAAGAAGAAAGAGGCCAGGAAGGAAATAGAGAAGAAAAGACACCTGATTATCCAAAAGACACACATAATTGAAAGCAAATTTTTATCTGCAGGGAACTGTAAATTTGATGGTAGAATGAGATTGGCTCCATGAGTTAAAATGACACACAGATCAGGTACTTATAAAATTTTTAATTCTTATATAAAAATAGATTAGCCACTGCTGAATTATTTTTTTAAATATTCACTGGTATTCTCATTCTCAAATATTTTTAATTGGTAATAAAATAATAATAGCATACCTAATAGGCAACTGGTACACATTATTTTAAAAGATCTTTGTAAAACGTCCTACTATATCTTTCAGTCTTTACGCGGTAGCTCTACACACCCCTGTCTCAACCATCACCTGAAGTACAATGAGTTTATAATTTATAACTATATCTACATCCTTAGAATGCTAATATCCTGTGGTTCACTCTGTGAAATACATGTGTTTCTTCCGTAGGTGTTATGGAGGTACAAAGGAAAAAAACCATCCACATTAGGAGCCAATACTCGGCTGTATGATTGGATACCCCAGAATGATCTTCTTGGTAGGTCTATGAGAAAGTAAAAATATGAACTAGACGAGGAAAAAATGAATAAATGTTAAACAGCAAGCAAATTCAGCAAAGATCTAAAATTATAAAACTTTATTTTACTTACTCTTTTGAAGCAGATATAATTAAAGGATTGACTAAAATTGTATAGATTCACACTTTCTATTGTTAAGGTGAGAGTGACAGGAAATTCAGAAGGAATTAATGCCTATTTTTCTGGAGATAGAAATGATCTTTAGTAGCAATGCTCCATGTGCTCACCTTCTAAAGAAAGTGCTGTACGCTTCAGTGAGTTATCTCGTAATTCCCATCTGTAGTCTTTAAATAATTTTAAAAGTTTAGAATAAAATATCTCACCATTTCTCATCCAATTTACATACTAGGTCATCCCAAAACCAAAGCTTTTATCACTCATGGTGGAATGAATGGGATCTATGAAGCTATTTACCATGGGGTCCCTATGGTGGGAGTTCCCATATTTGGTGATCAGCTTGATAACATAGCTCACATGAAGGCCAAAGGAGCAGCTGTAGAAATAAACTTCAAAACTATGACAAGCGAAGATTTACTGAGGGCTTTGAGAACAGTCATTACCGATTCCTCGTAAGTACTACTGCTTGTACAGACTGATCTAACATTGACTATGTTATACATTATACCAGAAAATGTTAAATATCATCCTGGTAGACATGTTGAGGGATTTTACTCCACAATATTGAGTCATTCATCACCTTGTTACTGGAATAGTTGTGGAAATTGTAGTTCATAGAGTGTCAAACTTTCTTCATGGAAATATTAGGTTTAAGTTAACAACTGGCTTACTAAGCTTTTATTCACATCTTAATTTTACCCCATTTTGTTAAGAATATACTCTTTCAGTCTCTCCACTATATCTGTTTAATACTATGTAACCAACAATATTCATGTCACAACCAGAATCAATCTTTTACTGAACATGTTCTTGGCTTGCATAACATATACTACGGTTTATCTACCTGTCTTTTATGAAAACAAAACTACAACTTTCTAAGTTCTATGTGTGTTTTTCCCTTCCAGTTATAAAGAGAATGCTATGAGATTATCAAGAATTCACCATGATCAACCTGTAAAGCCCCTAGATCGAGCAGTCTTCTGGATCGAGTTTGTCATGCGCCACAAAGGAGCCAAGCACCTGCGATCAGCTGCCCATGACCTCACCTGGTTCCAGCACTACTCTATAGATGTGATTGGGTTCCTGCTGGCCTGTGTGGCAACTGCTATATTCTTGTTCACAAAATGTTTTTTATTTTCCTGTCAAAAATTTAATAAAACTAGAAAGATAGAAAAGAGGGAATAGATCTTTCCAAATTCAAGAAAGACCTGATGGGGTAATCCTGTTAATTCCAGCCACATAGAATTTGGTGAAAACCTTGCTATTTTCATATTATCTATTCTGTTATTTTATCTTAGCTATATAGCCTAGAATTCCACGATCATGAGGTTGTGAGTATATCTCATTCTTTCGTTGTATTTTCCTAGGTGTCTTTACTCTCTTCTCTCACTTTGTGACACAAGGACATGAATACATCTAAATTTTCCTATTTCTGATATGACTGTTTTGATGATGTCATTACTTCTATAACCTTAAGTGATAGGGTGACATGCAATATGATTATTCCTGGTGTGCGCCCAAACACATGGATATAAAGAGGTAAAAAACTTAAAATTCACAAAATTCAGTAAACCACACAAATCAGGTAAGTGTTCTATGAGATTAGCTGGCTATGAGAAACATAATGATGTTTCTTTTTCAATTTAAATAAGCCCTTCTACATAGCCAGCATCAGTGATCTCAGAAAATAAATTGCTAATAATGATGACATGGCATTATGCTTAGAAAAGTTTGCTGTATTTCCATAGACCTCATCTAGATGTCATGGCCTACATTTCTGCCATCACTCAACCAATACTTTTTTCTGTTTTCTTGATGATAAAAAGACCTTTCTCATGATTGCCATCAAATAACAAAAGAAACTATTTTTTTTCTCACATAGAGAACATGTCAGTAAGATATTCAAGGTGAACAGATTATTTTTGGGATTAGTAACTATTTGAAATATGTGGTGATAATTACTGAGTTTATAAAATTTATTTGATAGTACACTTAAAGAAGATTTATATGTTTATTCTTTAAAAATGATGAATACTCATAATTCTTATCTCTATAATCAAAAGTATAATTTACTGTAGAAAAATAAAGAGATGCTTGTTCTGAAAGTAAGATCAGTGAACTGCTTTTCAGTCTCAATCTTTGAGAATTGTAAATTCATCAAATAATTGCTTACATAGTAAAAATTTAAGGTATTAGAAAACCTGCATAACAAATAGTATTATATATTAAATATTTTGATATGTAAAGCTCTACACAAAGCTAAATATAGTGTAATAATGTTTACACTAATAAGCAAATATGTTAATCTTCTCATTTTTTTACTGTCATATAATCTTAGTGATATGCCTATTAATAGTTTTAAATAAATAAATTGGCTCATCTGGCTTTTTGAAAATTTTGAAATTCTTACAGATGTTGATTAGGTATATCTACAAATTAATTTCAATTTTAAAATGATGATATAAAAATAAATATAAGTATTTTTCTTGTGTATGTATACAATAAATATAAATAAAATTGTTTACTGTTTTGAAAGTTTCTTAAGTTTTTACACTGATATGTTTTTTGACTTTTACAATATTATTATAATCTAGGAAAAGCTGATTATATCTGTTTTAAGCCTCATCTTTTCTCTGTAATTAAACACAGTAATTTATTAACATGCTGTGACAGGTGGGAAGCCATTTCTGGAGTTGAGCCTGCTGACACTCTGGAGCTTTTTAGGTTGGACGTTCATTGTATGTGGGACTCTCTGCCTCTCGATAGCTGTTGCTCATAAGACTCTCCTTCATCAATCTGGCATTGAATTTTGAGATCAGTTGCAATCAGAATCCAATTGGCCTTGCCGTTTTAGTATGTTCTATCTTAACCAGCAATTTCTAACCAGGAGCCTGCCCAGGTTTGTTCTGTCTTCCCTGTAAGAAGCTCCCAGCATAAATATTCTAAATTTTACACTACTAATCTATTAACCAACCTTTGGACCATGTTCACTTTAGGTTGAGCATAGTGTGATGAGATGCAAATTAAATTACAATCCTATAGGTGTGTGTTATAAATTTTAAAGTGTATAAATTAAATAACACATTCTAAGTATCCAACAAAGGTCAAAAAAATGATATAAAGTCACCAAACCAATGCTATTTGAGCTCATCTTATTTCAGAAATTTTCTGGTAATATCACCTTTTGTTTTTTTAAATTATATCAATTATTGCAAACAAAGGAAATCTCAAAGGAATTTTTAATAATTACCTAGAATCTCACTTCTAGACCTAGCAAATAACAGCAAATTCCCATATTTTCATCACATTGTCTTTAAAATTTGCACATGGTGTGGTGGCAAAATTGTTGTTTTAAAGGTGACAGAGTAAGAATGCCCTGTCCCTGTTTCCCCATGCAGAAAGAGACTTAACAACATCATATAGACCAAATTGCCATGGTGATAATCCCAGAAACCAGTGAAAAGATTACAGCACCCCAGAAAAGAGCAAAACCAAGAAGAATTTTATTGAAATATCTTAAGAAGTGTTGTATCATATACTCTCTATAGATCCTTCTCTAGCCAGTACAGCATTACACAATCAGGAAAAAAATATCCTTAGTCATCACATTTCCCACAGGAGTGAAAGGAGAGTGAAATGTGGTCTAATTTTCCGGCTCCTTAGGGGACATCCCAAGGGTCTGATTTCTGTCACCGAACTTAAATCACTTATAGAAACCACAGCTTTTGAATGCCTGGGAATAAAGGCAGTGTGGCAGTTTAAAGCAGTAGCAAAAAAGCTGCATTATTACTACAGAATGGCACGAGGGAAAGCAAAATATTACAAAATCCTGAAAACAAACAAACAAAAAAATCCTATTTAACTTGGTAATTACATTCAAAAGCCCTGAGAGGATACAGCTCTTGGAAACGTTTGCCAAGCTCCCAGAATCTCTAGCTGGGGTGATAGATGAAGGTATTTCCCTACACTAAGCCAGTACATAAAGACTTGGAGATGTGGGTGTTTCTTTAAATCTCAAAATTTAAACAAAGAAATGCAAAACATGCAGACACCAGAAAGTATGACCTATTTAAAGGAACAAAATAAACATTTTTTAAAGCCTGAATGAACAAAGATCTATTAATTACTTGTCAAAAAATTCAAAATATATTAAATACCTATCAAAAATTTCAAAAATAATTAAAGATGCTCTATTAGCTAAAAGAACACAGACACATTTTTGAAAACCAGGAAAATAATACATATATGAAATAAGAGTATCAATAAGACATAAAAAGTATAGAAAGGAACCAAATAGAAATTCTGGAGCTAAATAATACAAAAACTAAATTGAAAAATTTACTAGAGAAATTCAATAGATGACTTGATCAGCTAGAAAAAATAATTCATGAATTTGAAAATATTGGCCATTTGAAACTATTAAGGGAGAGGAGCAAAAAGAATATGATAATAAAGTGAAGAAAGCCTGACACTTATGGGACATTGTTAACCAGACCAGTTATGCATTACGAGAGCCCTCATGGGACAAGAGGAAAAGATTGAGGCAAAAAGTCTATTTAAAGAATTAATGGCAGGCAGAAAATTTCCCAAATTTGAGAAAAAATATGGATGTAGAATTGTTTTAAAACACAACTACTGTACACTGAAATCAATTCAAAAATTTTACACCAATAAATATTATAATCAGTCTTTCAAAAGTCACAGACAAAGAATATTGGAAGCAGAAAAAGAAAAAATGGATCATGACATAAAAGGGAATTCACATGATATCAACAAGATACAAGAGGATATCTTTTTAAACCAAAAGTAAGCGACATAATATATTCAAAGTATTGAAAGAAAAATAAGAAAAAATCCCTACCACACAAGACATTCATTTGGCAAACCTGTCATTCAGAATGGAAAATGGAATATTTTCTCAGGTTAAAAAAAAAGGTTGAAGAAGGTAATTATTACCACACCCGTTCTACAAGAAAAGCAAAAAGGAGTCATTCAAGTTGAAATGAGGGAGGCTAGGTAGCAAAATGAATGAATGTAAAAGTATAAATCTATCTGGTAAAGATAAATAAATAATTAAATATAAAGTCACATAAGTTTTTAATGTTGATGCACAAGTTAATTTTAATTCTGATATGCAATTTAAAAGAGAAAAGCATAAAAGTAACATTACATTTATATTAATTGGGACAGAAGATAAAATATATAACTAGTGATATTACTAACATAAAGTAGAAATGGGAGATGTAAAGAAATACAGTTTTCATATATAATTAAAGGTTTTTTTGGTTTAAAATGGACTGTTATTTTAAAATATTTTAATGTTATTTATTATTTATTTATGCTTTATTTTTTATAATTTATAATTATTTTTCATTAATTATGTAAAATAATTTAATTCTATATTTTTATTTTATTTCTATTTTATTTATGTATTTATTTTTTAAAATATTTTTATTACACAATGTTTATTATAAAATTTTTTATACAATCCTCATGGTAAGCACAAAATATACCTATAGAACAAGAGTGTCCAATCTTTTCAATCTTTTTTTTTTTTTTTTGAGACGGAGTCTCGCTCTGTCGCCCAGGCTGGAGTGCAGTGGCGCGATCTCGGCTCACTGCAAGCTCCACTTCCCGGGTTCACGCCATTCTCCTGCCTCAGCCTCCCGAGTAGCTGGGACTACAGGCGCCCGCTACCACGCCCGGCTAATTTTTTGTATTTTTAGTAGAGACGGGGTTTCACCGTGTTAGCCAGGATGGTCTCGATCTCCTGACCTCGTGATCCGCCCGCCTCGGCCTCCCAAAGTGCTGGGATTACAGGCGTGAGCCACAGCGCCCGGCCAAGAGTGTCCAATCTTTTGCCTTCCCTGGACCACAGTGGGAAAAGAAGAATTGCCTTGGGCTACACTTAAAATACACTAACACTAGCCATAGCTGGTGAGCTGAGAAAAAAATAGCAAGAGAAATCACAACGTTTTAAGAAAGTTTACAAGTTTGTGTTGGGCCGTATTCAAAACCATCGTGTGCTGCATGCATACACATATTTACATGAATACCCTTAGTAGAGGCCAGCTATCTTCATATTATACATTGTCTTGATAAGAAACTGAGTGACTGAGTCAGTTAAAAGACATAATTTACTCCAATAATTCCTGTTAATACTTGATTTTCTCTCTTTAGTAATTTGTACCAATTTTTTCAGTAGTGCCTGCTGTGCTGTTACTCTTTTGTGATGGAACAAATTCTTTTTTCACAGGAAATGGAAGAGTTTTTCCAGAGCTCTGGAGAAAATGGTGTTGTAGTGTTTTCTCTGGGGTTAATGGTCAGTAACATGAAAGAAGAAAGGACCAATATAATTGCATCAGCTCTTGCCAAGATGCCGCAGAAAGATAGATAAAGTGCCTTACTGGTATGGAAAACTACTAAAAGAGGCTGTTAAATTCTGTAAAGAATCCAATTATAGAAATTTCCTGCCTAGAAATGTAGCTGTTGGGAAAGCACTAATTATCAGATATTAGTTCAAGATCAGAAATATACATGGAAGATGCTAAAATAATACAAAGGGTATATTCATGGATAAATACATTTGGCACTAATATTGTGATCAGGAATAAATATATTAAGAGGGGTAGGTAAAGTTTTGGTATTACCATGATATTGGGGTCAGGATATCACCAAATTCTTTCCTTGTTATTTGATCCTTATGTTTAAGGATTCCTAAGGACATTGTACATGCTACAGATGTTATCAGAAGAAGTTACATTTTAATGGGTGACTTCACTAGCACAATAACAATAGCAGGTATTTCAAAATGTCTAACATGCATCATGCAGTTTAGGCTTGCCATGTAATCCGGCCTCGTATACTTCCTCTACATTTTGGAATAGGCCTATCTGAGTGATGTTCAGGGTACTATTCAGAGAAAGAATGGCCTAGGTTGACAGATTAGTCCAAGTTCCCACCCAGCCAGGTAGATTTAGAGAAAGAGAAAAAAAGCAGCCTCCCCTGCTGGACTGGGCCCAGCCAGTGTCTGAAACAGGAAGATTAAAGAGAAAGGATGGAGATAGATCCTGACCTGAAGGTGAATCCTATGCTGTATAAAATGTGGCCCCACAAGGACGCAGCCCTAACTATGAGATTAACAACTCCACCCAGTGGAGGCAGCAGAAGGAAATATAGGAAAGGGTCAAACAGAAGGAAGCCAGGCAGGGGAACAGGTTCAGATGCCCCCTCCGTAGAACATAGTAGAAACATATTTTCTTTTATATAGAATAAAATGATGACATAGGTGTATTTGTCAATTACTTTTTAGTTCCGTATTATCTGATATAGTCTTCTTGTAATGACCTATACTAACATTTTTGCTGAAAACTCAGTTATTTTAATACTGATATAACAAGTAAAAGTTAAACACTGTAAATTATTCTTCAGTTGATGAGGATTGCTTGGGAGTTCCAAAATTAGTAACTTAAACATAAAAATGTCTTGGCTATAATAGAACATATTAATCACTATTGTCAAAGCTTTGTAGCACATTGTCTAAGTGTTAACAATCATTTGACCAAATTCAGAAAAATACAATTTTGAATTTATTCAACAGCTATATCTTTATTTATGAATAAGATTCCTTATTTCAGTGCTGAAAAAACAACCAAAATTAGCAATACTGATAATAGTCTGAATTTGTCTCAAAAATTTTCCCTTGAAATTTCTCCTGGAAGTAGTGCTTGATAATTCATAATTCCAAAGAACTTATACATGCTACCTTTGTAGCATTAATTTATTTCTTATAAGTAGCTTATTTTATCTACTTGCATTTTTATCAATCAGAGGACACCAGACTCTAATATAATAACTTACAGACAAGCAGAAATACATGAACTACTTCCCATGTTACTAAAAAATGAATAAATTAATACTTAATTTGGAAGATGAAAACTAGTATAAATACATAAAATAACACAGGTCAATACTAGATTGTTACTGCTTTTTCTCACTAGAATTATAATGACTATTTAAATTTTTTATACATATAATTTTTTAGAATTATGTGTTTAAAATTAATTTTATTTTTTAACATTTAAGTTCAGGGGTACAGGTGCAGCTTTGTTACATAGATAAACTTGTGTCATGAGGGTTTGTTTTACAGATTGTTTTCTCACCCTGGCATTAAGACCAGTACCCATTAGTTATTTTACATGATCTTCTCTCTCCTCCTGCCCTGCAGCCTCCAATACACCCCAGTGTATGTTGTTCCCTGCTCTGTTTCCATGTG
This sequence comes from Homo sapiens, assembly GCF_000001405.40. Taxonomy (NCBI): domain Eukaryota; kingdom Metazoa; phylum Chordata; class Mammalia; order Primates; family Hominidae; genus Homo; species Homo sapiens. The sequence continues at coordinate 68,922,722 of NC_000004.12, read as the reverse complement.
TGCCGAGACCAGCTAAGTCGGGGAGACCCTAATCCAGTGGTGCCAGAGGAATTAAAGACACACACACAGAAATATAGAGGTGTAAAGTGGGAAATCAGGGGTCTCACAGCCTTCAAAGCTGAGAGCCCCAGAGATTTACCCACGTATTTATTAACAGCGAGCCAGGCATTAGCATTCTATCTATAAATATTCAATTAACTAAAAGTATCCCTTATGGGAAATGGGATTAACTAAAAGCATCCCTTATGGGAAATGAAGGGATGGGCCAAAATAAAGGAATAGGTTGGGTTAGTTAACTGCCGCAGGAGCATGTCCTTAAGGCACAGATTGCTCATGCTATTGTTTGTGGCTTAAGAATGCCTTTAAGCAGTTTTCCACCCTGGGCAGGACAGGTGTTCCTTGCCCTCATTCTGGTAAACCCACAATCTTCCAGCATGGGCATTATGGCCATCATGAACATGTCACGGTGCTGCACAGATTTTGTTTATGGCCGTTTTGGGGCCAGTTTATGGCCAGATTTTGGGAGGCCTGTTCCCAACACATGTGTTCTCATCTTTTAGTTTCCACTTTATAGTGAGAACATGTGGTATTTGGATTTCTGTTTCTATGCTAGTTTGCTAAGGATAACGGCCTCCAGTTCCATCTATGTCCCTGTAAAATACAAAATCTTGTTTTTTGTTTATGGCTGCATAATATTCCACGGTGTATATGAACCCCATTGTGTTTTCTTTATTCAGTCAATCATTGATGGGCATTAAGGTTGATACCATGTCTTTACTATTGTGAATACTACTGCTATTAATAAACGTGTATGTGACTTTATAAGAAAATGATTCATCATCCTTTGGATATATACCCACTAATGGGATTGGTGAGTTGAATTGTATTTTAGCCTCTAGGTTTTTGAGGAAGTGCCACACAGTCTTCCACAATGGTTGAACCAACTTACACTCCCATTAACAGAGTATAAGCATTCCTTATTCTACACAATCTCACTAGCATATATTATCTTTTGGGTTAATAATACCCATTATGACTGGTGCAAGATAGTATCTACTGTGATTTTGATTTGCTTTTCTCTAATGAGCAGTGATGGTAAGCTTTTTTTCATGTGATGGTTGGCCACACGTAGGTCTTCTTTTGAAAAGCATAACAATTTTTTAAATACTTCAACTTTTCATTGATAATCTCATTTTTCTAAGCTATTATTTGGAAAATCTTGATTTCCTTATATACTTAACTAATTATAAAAGTTAAGAAAATGAAATGTTAGCATTCTGTTTACATCAGTCTTTGAGTAGTTTTATTACCTAACATCCCCTGCTCTCATTCTTAATCTCT